>NC_000004.12:108296381-108921381 GCF_000001405.40 Homo sapiens | reverse complement strand
AGTTATTTTCCACTGTCTCAAAGCCATGCCTTGCTCTAAATAAAGCCAAGAGAATCCCAACACTGACTTTGTGGTTGAAAAACTGCTAAATCTCAAAATTGCTGCATTTCCATGCTGTATAAATATTCTCATTCATCTCACTAAATCTCCTCCACCCAGTATCTTAGTCTAAGAAACAATTGACAGCATCTTTTGTTCCCTTTTCTAGTATATACTCGGTATCACAGTTGACACTGGCCTCCCCTAGTTTGTAAACAAGTTTTTGTGCAGGTTAGTTGACCATATTTCCTAAGAGGAAGAACAGAAAAAAAAAGTCATGTTTCTTTGTAATGCTATTCAATTATTTCCTTTGCAAATCTGCTTACTGAAGATTTGCAGGTGCAGAAGTCATCTAATGTGTCCATTTGCTGAGAAACTACATTGCATTTTAACTGCTTCTAGGGACTATATCTTCAGCCTTCTAAATGAGATTGATGTGACACATTTATAGGTATTTTTTAAAAAAACAATATGTGCTGGAACAGCAAAGATTATTTTTTAATAGAGAGGAGAAATCAGAATCCTGCTGCATATGCTTAATGTTTTTCAAAAGAAAATTAGAAGAAAAGATCCACTTGGAACTTCAAACTGAAATTTTTCTTTTTTTTTCCTGATATATGAAATGTCAACATATTTCAGTACAGCAAAGAGAATCTTAGAGAATAGGACAGTTTAAATTGGTCATCTAAGCTTAAATGGCTACAATAGTATGTTAATTGAATCGTTTTTCTTTTTTAGGGTCCTCTAGGGCCTCCGGGACAAAAGGTAGAGTATAAACAACAATATTGTGAAAGTAATTATGCTCTCATGACCTAATGGCAAGCAGGAGAGGTGAATGAAATTAGCTACTGTAAGCCATGCTGAAGCAGTTAGTCTGGTTTGTGTATTCTGCTTTCTAAAAATATAGTCACATAATGTGAGCATTAGATTTCTAATTTACTCCATTATAAAAAATTCAATAAATCCAAGAGCAGACTCTTTTTAAGTTGTCTGCTGAACTTGTACATTATTGAATTTTAATTCAAATACTGGTAAAACATGACAAAATTTAAAATGTGAAAGATAATTTGATATTGCAAAATGAATGCATGGCCTTCCTCAATTATATGATTGCCAAACGGCCAGAGAACTGAGCCCAAAAAAAGGATATTGCTGGGTTCACTATATTCAAGTAGCCTACTGGTGTCCTTCTTTGCTGAGGTAACCTGAACAGTGACTTCCTGATTGTCATTTCATTGTTATCCGCAATCATCAGAATTGACGATTAAATTCTGCTGGAGAGGCCAGGCACAGTGGCTCATGCCTGTAATCCCAGCACTTTGAGAGGCTGAGGCTGTTGGATCACCTGAGGTCAAGAGTTAGAGACCAGCCTGACCAACATGGTGAAACCCCATCTCTACTAAAAATACAAAAATAGCTGGGTGTGGTGGCACACGCCTGTAGTCCCAGCTACTCAAGAGGCTGAGACAGGAGAATCGCTTGAACCTGGGAGGCAGAGGCTGCAGTGAGCCAAGACTGTGCCACTGCACTCCAGCCTGGGTGAGACAGAGCAAAACTTGGTCTCAAAAAAAAAATTTTTTTTTTCAAATTCTGATGGAGAAGATCTAGGGTTTCCAAAATTACACCTATCCTATAGCAGTAAATATATTAATAGCAAATAGATGGCATTTTGCCAACAAAATATCACTAAGTCCTCATTCCCCCATCCTTACACCCCTCAAGCCGGGAGGGGGATATTTAACCCACGGAAAACTAAAGAAAACAATTGTATTATAACAGGTGGAAAAGTGATTATTCTTTATCTTTGGAATCCATCAAAGATAGAGACTTTTTATCCCCCAAGCACTGGGCATGTGGCATCTGTTGAAACATAATCCTACAAACCAAGTAAAAGCCCATGGGTTGCAGGACAACTTGTGCATAGGAACATTTTGTCCTTTGCAATAATGTCTCTATTAAGCATGGTGTGAAATTGTAAAGCTACTCTAATCCACATACGACCAGGATAAAATTACTGCTTCAGGCTTCGGGAAGTCCTTTAATGACCCATTCAATATAATCACTGAATGCACTAAGGAACTTGCCATCTCAATTTGTTTTGATTATAATTACTGTTTTTTTAGTAGACTATTTTTTAGGGGAGTTTTTGGTCTATAATTACAGACCATTTTTTTAGGGGAGTTTTGGTCTATAATTACAGATTTTAAAAAATCTTTTCCCCATTATTATTAAAGAAATGTAATATCAGAAAAATCTGTTTTCTAGTTTTAGACAAAGAATAAGCACATTGTATTTAAAATGGTTTCTCCAGAGCCTAAATGGAAGGTGTAATGGAGGGAAATGACATCACTGTTTGAAAATATTTGCTAATGTTTCTATATCCCGTTAAATGTCATAGATTTTCTCAGGTAATAATTAGCTTTCTTATTCTCCAGCTCACCCATCTATGTCCAATCATTCATACTCATGCCACTATGCATGTGCACACACACGCCCACACGTGCTTACACACACACCTTAACTTTTTTTGCACAGAAGTTGTGTTGTTCCTGGTCAGTGTATAACATTTTTTGCAACTTTTTGAGTCACTCTGGAAGACATATTCACATTCATGTGGCTTAAACTTACTCCTTGAAAGTCTTGGAGGAAAATGCTTAAAATAAAACAAATTTGAGTTTGCGACATGGGCCCCTTATTTAACTGCGGAACAAATGGTTGTTATTTTAATTACCTTTTGTTTCATTGTATTTTAACTCATGAAATGCAAGTGTTACTGCTACTGGTAGGCTTTTTCCAGATGGAACTAAGCCTATTTATTCTTAAAAACATGAAAATTTAGAGCCATGTGGCCCTCTGATAGGTATGACCAATTTATCATGTAAATTTCTTTAAAACATATTAAAGTTAAGTGGATACTTAGAAGCAAGGTTTAATTTTAACTCTGTAGTTTCTGGGGAAGCTTGAGGAATCTGCTTACATTATATATTTGAACACAGTGGATAAGGTCTGAAAAATAAGACTTCCTAGAAATGTTTTAGCAAGGCTTACATAACTAATACAATATAAATTTAGAATTGAAATATTTTGTGTATGATATCAACTGAATTTAATCATGTGTCTCTTTAGGGTTCTATTGGAGCACCTGGAATTCCAGGGATGAATGGGCAAAAGGTGAGTTCTATAGAATATTGTATTTTAAAAATAATTTGGTGAGCATTGAAATCACAAAATTATTCTAGTCCATAATGTTAGTAATAAGCTTATATGCTTATAAAAACACTATGTTTTGAAATACAGGAAAATTGTGCTACAAATTACCAAATTAGTTTAATTTTTAAAGATGCATTAAATAGTCAGGAATTCTTTGAAGATTTTCCATTTCAAGTATTTTGGATGTGTTGCTTTTCAATAAATTATGTATGTGATACAACTATATCCTTCCCATAAATAGATATGGAATTGGGAAAATTTATGTTTAACATTGATAGTGATAAACAAAATGCACTTTAGTTTATTCTGGTCATGGTAAAACTAATATGTATTAATAATTGGCTAACAAAAGTTATTCTCATAGAAGGAACTAGTCAAACTTTCTGAATCCAGAAGGTAGCTCTTTTCACTGTTAATCAAAAGTAGAAGTTAAATAGATTTGTCCCGCTTTGGTATTACATACACTTTTATTGTACTGTTAATAATGAGAGGAAAAAGTAAAGTGAAAGAAACAACACAGTCTACATACACATATCTATGTGTTGTGTACATTTACTCCTGCAACATACTTACTAGTTGAACAAAGCATAGCTCCTCAACATCCCTGACCGGCCCTTTAGTCTGGAACCTTCACAGAAACCAGGAAAGCCACTGTGGCAGCTGACAAAGCCCATTGCTGAGCCGGTTTGTCAGGAGCCAGGAAGCTGAGCGAGGGACTTTCCTGTCTTCCCCAGAGTTCTTGGCCTGGCCCTTTTATACTCTGCGACCCATTATCTTGCCTTCCCAGAGTATTTTAAATCCATGCACCCTGGACCAAATTCTGAAATCATACGTAACTCAACCCTTTCAGGTGCAATAAATACTCCTTGTGTCCTTTTCCATTGAGTCCATCTTTTCTTTCTATCAATAAGACATAAACAACCACAATTTTAAACCTAGTAAGTTGCTAAGAGCATGAGTCTTCCACTCAGAGGCTGTGTGAATTTTGGCAAAGTCCTTGGAATTCTCTGGCCTCAGTTTCTCATCTGTAAAGGGAGACAATGGCAGTGCCTACCTAATAGAGTCAATGAGAGTTAAGGGAGTAAATAGATGTAAAGCCCTTAGACAGTATTTGATATTACCATTAAACTTTTCCTTCACTTCAGTTAAGTGAAATTCCAAAAATTCAGTTAATCTATGTTTTTAAGAGGCTCTGTGTTCCCAGAAGTACTCAATTACCCCATGAAATTAATGTTCTCAGCCAAAGCTTATGGTGTCCTTTAGTCCATAAACCAAACACCGCACACTCGCCAGCAGTTAACCGCCCATGTCGCAGCTACATTTTCCACTTAGTAAAATGCATATCCATTTGCTTCACAAATCCTGGCAAAGACAGAATATTTAGAATATTCTGTTTAGAATATTGCAGATCATGGAGGGAAACCTAAGCAAAAATTTAAAAGTGTATTCATTCTCAGATGGATTTGAAAATTATATAACTCAAGATAACATTTAGAAAGAACAAAATACAGATATGGCATAAATGTTGTTTTTGACATTGGTGAGAAACAAAACTTGTATGCCTAAGATTAATAATGTTTTCCTTTTTCGTCTTTGTTTCTTTTCATTTTTCAGCTTTGACACAATCATGAAAATTTATAGAAACTTTTAACATGAAACAAAACAACTTTAAAACTGTCACATACACTCTTTCAAAGACTGCATATTCTTTATTTTTGCAAAGGAAATATGCAATTTCCTTAGCAAGAGAAAGGAATGTGACATTTTCTTGTCCTAGTCACCAAGTTTAAATTATATTTCAAGGAAATAGTTAATATTTGCAGTTTTATGTCTCGTTATACATCTTTGTGGCATTTTAGAAGTGTTTTCTGTAAAACCCAGGGAAACGAAATGATTTCACACTTTTATGAAGGTATCAGCAAAATGTAATTTAAATTTGTTTTCCCTCCTTCAGAGAATTGAACCTAAAGCTTTGTGTATGGAACTTCTGTTAGGTCTAGTAATTACTTAACATTTGTAATATTTGCTATATCATTTTTAGGAAAAGAAAGTGTAAAAAACACGAGTCTCCTTCACTGAAACAGCAGGTCACTTAGAGAGTAAAAACAAAGTTGGCAATAGAGTAATAATTTTACATACTTAGAGCACATGAAATGAACTCTAGAATTTGTTTTTAAACAAATTTCTTGAACTCTAGACTTTGTTTTTCTGGAATCTTGAACTCTAGAATTTGTTTTTCTAAGAAAGGAGCTTACAATGACATAATAATTTTGTTTTAGTAAGAGCACCTCAATATCCTTAAACTGTCTTGAGAAAACATTTTCTTCTCCATTACAATTTTGCTTTTTCCAAAAGATTACTTTTGATGCTTAGAAAAGTTTTCAGACAGTGGTTAGGGGAGGATATAATTTCTAAGCCATCAGAAATATGGCAAATAATATCCAGCTACTTGGGGTGGGGGCGCTCAGGCAGAAGGATTGCTTGAGTCCAGCTTGGGCACCATAGTGAGATCCTATCCTATCTCTTAAAAAGAAAAAAGTAAGAAATATGGCAAATAAAAACTAGGGAATAAAAAATTATTTTCTTATGTTTGAAAAAAAGAAAGAAAAGTATACTATTTTAAGAAAACACTGGCCAGGAAAGGTGGCCCATGCCAATAATCCCAGCATTTTTAGAGGCTAAGGCAGGAGGATTGCCTAAGCTCAGGAGCTTGAGACCAACCTGGGCAACATGGTGAAACCCTGTCTCTATTTATAAAAAAGAAAGGGAGAGAGAGAGAAAGAGAAAAAGAAGACAAAAATGCTTTGTTTCCCATAGAACATTGTCCATCCATTCAGGTTGGCAAAATAGGTGATGGCCTTAGCACATAAACTTGGTGTGACGTTTTTCCTACACATTATCTTTTACATTTTGATCACCTTGATTGCTAATCTGAATACTTATTTTTGTAATGGTCTTTCAGTTCTTCTGACTGTATTAGGAGAAAGGACTGCTTATGCAGTGGCATGGCATTAGACTCCAATCTTGCCCCTTCTGGCATCACAACCTATGAAGGGCTACAGAACATCCCTTTGTGAAAAGTAGGAGGTAGTGTGGTACAGAGAAAAGGGCGTGGTCTCTGCATCTGAGAGAGAATGCTATGTGTCCTCATTTGGGCCAATCACTTAACTTTCTAAGGTTCCAGTGTACAATATAGAGACAGACCTTGTAGTATTAATTAGACAATATATCTAAAGTGAATATTATGTAATAGATGCCCAATAAATGCTGTCAAGTGTCTCTAGTAGTATTCTCATGCCTTAAGAATTTCAGCAGGCTGGGCGCAGTGGCTCATGCTTGTAATCCCAACGCTTTGGGAGGCCAAGGTGGGAGGATCACTTAAGCCCAGTTCAAGGTTACAGTGAGCCGTGATCATGCCACTGCACTCCAGCGTGGGCAACATAGTGAGACCCTGTCTCAAAAAAAAAAAAAAAAAAAAAAGTTTCAGCAAATGAACCTTAGACTTACATTCAAGCAGGGAGGAAAAGCCAGGTGAATTCCTCATAGAAAGAAAATGAATATGCAGAAATACACATAGAGGTAGAATGTGTTCTCTATCCCCTGGCTGTCTCCCTGACCCTAAGGACTAAGGTCCCCAGCTCTTAAAGACTGGGTAGTTGGAATGTCACTGCTATAGATACAAGAAAGAGAAACACATGTTTCACATTATTATGAAAGCACAGTCACCAGTGGGCTGATGTAGGAGCCCTGTCCTGGCATCAGAACACTCTGTGCTCTTTCACCTCTTGTGTAGCCTTTGAAGGATCCCTTTTTTCTCTGCATTCAAAGGGACTTCATTTGTAAAATGAGAGCAGAAGCTGTACCAATTTATCTCTAAGTTTCTCAGAGATACTATGAGTACACAAAAAGTCCCCCATCCCCCATGTCTTGTTTCCATGCAACCAGCTTTTAGCATCCTCTGTTCCCAATTCTGAAAGCTGATGTTTTCATAATTTGGACTTGTTTCCACCAACCAAGCAGTTAGGGCAGATCTAAAGCAAATCCTACCTAAAAATATAAAATGTTATCTATTTCTTCTTTGGCTAATTATATTGAACACAAAAATAATGTAATTCTCCTGAAGATCTTGTTGGTTTAAACATATAATTAACATTTTATTTGCCCTCCATAATTTATTCTTTCCCCCACCATGCGCGTGTGCATGAGTGCATGCACGCAAACGCACACTCACACATACATGAAGTGATGTATATTTGAATATTGGTCAATTAGTTCCTACTTCAAATACTCTGGAGAAATGTGAGCTATTTAAAATAATTTTATAGTAGAACCATGTTTATAGTGAATAATTTTTTGGCAAAATAGATTGCTGTCTACAATTTTTGTTTATATACTTAGATGTTGGTTTTTAAAAATCTGAACTGTTAAAAGGTGTTATTAAAACTCTGCATTTTTCTACTTTTTCCTGATTTTCATCTTTCTTAGCATCCATAAGAACAAATAATCACTATGACAATTTATTTGAATAGCAGTTAGTGCCCAACACTGTGCAAATGCCATGAAAGAGGAGCTGGAGGTCGGGTGCGGTGTCTCACGCCTATAATCCCAACAGTTTGGGAGGCCGAGGTGGGTGGATCACCTGAGGTCGGGAGTTCGAGACCAGCCTGACCAACATGGGGAAACCCCGTCTGTACTAAAAATACAAAATCAGCGGGGCATGGTGGTGCATGCCTGTAATCCCAGCTACTTGGGATGCTGAGGTAGGAGAACCCTGGAGGCGGAGGTTGCAAGTGAGCCAAGATCATGCCATTTCACTCCAGCCTGGGCAACAAGAGCAAAACTCCGTCTTAAAAAAAAAAAAAAAAAAAAAAGGAGCTAGAGACAGAGACCACACAAAGTCCCATTTTTTGCTCCTCTTAATTCACATCCTTGTCTCTTGATTACTATAAAAATAATGTTGAATATTTTCAGGATTAAAATGAAATTTTTTTTGTCTATGCAAGCTAGAATTTTTCTGAGGCCTGCAGAGTCATAGGGATTGTTTCCAAAAAAAAAGATAAATATCAGATGATCTTGATTCGTGCAATTTTAAGTGCTTTCTAGAGTTTATTGTTATTTTTAAAACTTCAAATATAACATAAATTTAAAAATTGATATTAGTGTGTCAACTATGAATCCATCACAAATAGCTAAGTGATTTTTAAGTAACATTAAATTTTAATTAGTTTATAGTTATGACATTTGAAATTCCTTTTTATCTCTTATACATGGATAACACAGTTCTTCACTGACATTAATCTTCACAGCATATTTTTAATGGCATTTTTATTGTAAGTATATTTAGAGAATAGATAAATTGAAGCTCTCAGACTTTCAAAGCTTAAGCCATTGAGTCAAGTCTATGCAGTGAATGATACAATAAATCCAATATTTTTTATCCCCCATTCACTTACTATAAACACTAAACACAGTTTTTTTGTTATTTATTTATATATTTACTGCCACCTACATTCCTGAAAGTTTTCAACATGTTGTAGGGCTGTTTTTGTTTTCTAGTTAATTAGCTTAAAATTTTCCTTTAGCAGAATTTACCCAGTAATTTATTATGCAGTATGTTTATGACTTTCTAATGCTAAACTTTAAGAAAAGATATTGAGACTAAATTAAGTGATTGATTGATGATTCCAGATTAGTTAGTAGTTCAAGGAAAGTATCTTACAACCATTCAATCTTTTTTGTGTTAAAAGTGAGAATTATATTTTTTAATTTTTCAGTTTTTTAACATTAATAATTGTATAGATTAGAATTCCAAGAGTACGTGACCATTTTCCTCTAGTAACTATAATAAGAGGATGAATGCTTTTCTTCTAAAAGAAGCACCATCATTTCCTATTACAGATATTTCATAAAGTCAAATAACTTCATCCATTCCTGGGAATGATTTATACATTCTCAGCCATTTTTATACACAAGGCTACTCTACTCTTAAAGACATTTTTCACTCAATTTTACTTGTTAAGCAGAACACAAGATATTTCTTTTCTTCATGTAATTATTTTTGGGTTTCTTTAGGGGGAAACAAAAAGTTAGTTGAAGGAAGTTTTTTCCTGCTGGCTTGAAATAAAATAAGTAAGATTTTCTTTAAAACCACTTTCTCCCGACTTTATTTAGGCATGTTACTATAAAGTTTGATACCAGTTATTATTGTAGCGAATGAAAATATTGGGAGAAGGAAGAATAAACAGTTGAACGATTGGGATTGCTGAGAGAATAGGGGTAGCTGAGGAAGTAAAGCTCCTCACTTGCTGTTGCAAAAAAAAAAAAAAAAAACAGCGAAGCAAATGTTTATTAATGAATTATGGCATCATGAAATCCACTATTTTCTATTTTAATGTAAAACACACTGCATTTTATAGAAGAAATCACAAAAATACTGACATATTACATCTGATTAAATTGTATCCATAATTGGGAAAAGCTTTTTAAAGAAATTTCCCTTAAATGTACTCATTGATTAACGTATTAATTTCCTCAGTCATTCATTGAACAAATATTTATTTAGCCCTCACTAAGTGTGAGGCACCAACTGAACACTGAGTTTACAGCTGTCTCTGCCTCATGGAATTTCTAGGCTAATGGGTAGTAGGGGGATTAAATGAACAATTATATGAAGATTAAATGAACAATTATATGAAAAATCTATAGAGTATTGCGAAGTATTATAACAGAAAAGCACAGGGCTCCCTGGCCTGGTACAAAGGGCTGAGTAAGAGCACTTCCCTGAATCGGAGACTTTCAGTGAGGTTCCCAGTGTAAACAGGAGTTGGCAAAAGAAGAGAAGCTATCACCATGTTGCAATGCTTACAATTTATACTACAGATAGCCTTGGTCTTAGAATTCTGTTCCTAAAACACTATATTATTGATATCATTGATCACTATAGGGTTTTGTATTCATCATGGACAGCTTTTCCTTAAAATTTCTGACCAGTAAGATATTAAATCAATATAAACCACACACCCTGTTTTTGTATCATTAGGTCTCTTGATTTTGAGATTTGTATTAAAAATAAGGCTGCAATGTAATAATTTATTGTCAAAACCATAACGGGTGAAATCTACCCCGTTCCATTTATTTGACACCAGGCCACATTGCCAAGGGGTAGCCATGATCCAACTGTGAGACAGCATCAGTGGGATTAGTTTATGAGAAACTGAATTCCTTTCAGGTTTCTCTTCTCTGTCTTCTCTGCCTAGTGCAGAGAATAGAAGCAGTATATCATAATTACTAAAATGTATCCAGTGTTTATTAACTGCTGGGCAGCATCCTAAATGTTATAGGCATCTTAGCTCATTCAGTCCTTATAGCAATTCTATGAAATAGGCACTATGATTATCTCCATTTTCTTAATGAGGAAACTGAGGTGCAGAAAGAGTAAAAGAAGCCCAAGGTCACCCAGGTGTTAGTGACAGAGTAGAGCTTAAAAGCCAGGCAGTATGCTTCCACTGCATAGTAGTGGTCGAGAGTGTGGATTTTTAAATTCAGAAAACCCTAGCTTTGCCGCTCAGTGTTTGTATGACCTTGGACAAATTGCTTACCTTCTCTGAGCCTTAGTTTCCTCATTTTTCAAATAGGGATTATAATGTTTACCTCTAAGTTTAATCAGAAAAGATAAAGAAAGTAATACATATAACTGTCTGTTAAAAGACTGTTAAATAAGGGTAGATTGTTTTCCTCTTTGAATTGGAGGCATTAATACCTCAATGATTCAGAAACCTCTTAGGTGTCCAAGTGAGTATCAGTAAGAAGTATTATCTCATTCTCTTCATTGACCTTTAGAATTTTTCCACGTGGACATAAACATTTAAAATTTCTATTAATAATTAAACACATTCTCTTTCCAAGAGAAAGAATAATTTATCATTCAAACTATACACAGTTTCTTTAAGAACTATACTTTAGGAAATATGGAATTAGCTGGGTTTTAAGACTTTAAAAATGGATATATTTTCAAGGACACATTATGTTACAAGTCATGGAAACTTAAGGGAACCAGGTGAAAAAATAAAGGTATTTCCTTAAGTCAGCTTCCAGGGTTAGTAATGGGCCCTCCCCAGATATGTATTCAGAAAGAGTGGACCATACTGCTGGCACGTGCACCGCTAAGCCCCTGGGTGGCCGTGCAGCACTGTTGACGAGGAGCTATGAGCAGGGCTTGGAGGCTGTGGTGTTCACATGTAATCCCCAAGGCACCTCCTAGAGAGAACTAGGGCTGGAGAGACAAAGAGGATGGGAAGAGAAAGGAGGAAATTATCAGGCAGGGAGTGGAATGGGGGAGTATCTGTGTGACCGTGCATACTCCTGCTTAGACCTTCAGATTTTGTGAGTTTCCTCAAGGCAAATAATTCCTCTCATTTATGTAAATTTCACCCGAATAAAGTCAATTTAGCTATCTTTCGTGATCTCCCCACAAACTTCTAACTATCTCTCTGCATTACATTTCCTTTGTTCAAATTGTGTTGTAGATATTTCTGTCTACATGAACAATATGAAAATCTAAGATTAAAAGTGTTAACTAGCAGACTTATTTCTGAAACACCTCATACTATTATATTATTGATACAACTAACATGTTTTCTTATTTATCATTTTTAGACATGTGTAATTTTTTAAAAAGCATAAGGAAGGTTTGGTCACCAGGTTAAATTTAGTTATTAAACAGTTTAAGACCCATTTCAGCAAATTACCTAAAAGAGGGTATTTGTATTAAGTTCCTGGCTGATATACTTGTCTACTTTTCTACTATTTAGTATTCACATTACCAATGTGGACAAAGAGATTGAAACTGCCTTTGCAAAATTATAACTAAGGAAATTATGACAGTGAAAGATACCAGACTCAACCAACTCCATCTTGCTTTTAACCTCTAAACTGTCCTTGTCCATTCCTGGGCGTAGGTTGAACTAGTCTTGGATTTTAGTTATAGTTTAAATAATAACCCTTCCCAAAAGCTAAACTGTTCTTGTAAAATGAATGAAAGGCCACCAGCCACCAAGTACGGATGAGAGGGGCTGGAATACTAAATGTTACCAGCCGTTATTCCGGAGGTCATAAGATTTGCAACTTACATCACTATTGTGAACCTAAGATTGGCCTTTTGAGATGTCTTTTCAGGTTTTTGCATGTCTAACCGGATGGCCCCACCTCGACCTGCCAACCAGTTCTGTGGCCCTCACCCAGGAACTGACTTAGCATAAGAGAACATCTTCCACTCCCTATGATATCATCTCTGAACCAACCAATCAGTACTTCCAATTCACTGGCCCCCTACCCACCAAATTATCCTTAAAAACTCTGATCTCCAAGTTTTTGGGGAGACTGATTTGAGTAATAATAAAACTCTGGTCTCCTGCACAGCCGCCTCTGTGTGAATTACTCTTTCTCCATTGCAATTCCCTTGTCTTGATAAATTGGCTCTGTCTGGGCAGCGGGCAAGATGAGCCCATTGGGTGGTTATGCGGTTCTAATTTTAGGGAGGGAGTTTGCTGTTTAGATAACGCAGTAGGGATGCCAGTTCTCTGATGCATAAGCAAACCTAATAGTCCAGGCTAGGGGTTTTCTCTTTTTACTTTTGCGTGTTACACAGCTTCCTCTGCTTCCCGGAATGATAAAGAAAAAGAATCAGGGATTGGGGATGCAAGTAGGAGCTAAAGACTACTGAACTGCTACACACAGAGAGAAGCCGATTTCCTAGGATGTTCTAGGAGGGAGGGAAGAAAGAGGACAGTGAGGTGGAAGAGGGAGAGAGGAGAAGCCAGTAAGATGAAGACAGACTCAGCTCAGTGATGACGCCTTCCTGAGAGTACCAAATAGTGAATCTTGAATTCACAAAATGCCTGCAGAGAGGAATTCTTGAGGAAACTGGTGAAGAATTGACTGAACCACCTGAATTGGTATGGGGCAAAGCAGAGACATGTATAGATGCAAGGCTTGAGCAGGGGGCTGGAAAAAGCAAGTCTTAGACTTGAGCCAAATTTAGTCAGATCTCTAAGAAATAAAGAATGAACAGGTAACGTCTTTAGTCCAACAACAACAAGAGCAGCAACAACAACTAGCAATAATAATAAATCTTACTCCTTTAGAGTTGGAAGAAAGCAAATATTTGATTCAGCCCCACACACTTTACAAGAGAAAAACAGCCCCATGGAAGCATAAGCAAATTGTTCTTTGTCAGAACTGGAAGTTCAGTACATCTAACACCAGTGTACTGAACAGCTATTATGTGGAACAGCTGGTATTATGATATTAGGCTGGTATTAGTGTCCTAAAGCCACTTTACTATTTTATGTGAAAATTAAACAGAAAAGAAACGATAAAATTGAATGAGATTTTTAGACACAAGCTGCTTCAATAGAAGAAACACAAGATGAGGAATCAGAAGACCTGGGTTTTAATCTCACATCTACCTCTTTGTGGCTTTTTGTCTCTGGAAAAGTTACTTCCTCTCTCTGAATGTGTTTCTTCCTCTGTTAAGAATGACTGGCTTGGCTCCTTTCACTAAAATATTTCACTGTTTTGTGAGTGCTCCTGCTTAGGGAAAAGCAGATGTTAGTGAGTTCATGGAGTAAATGATGACACTTGTGTAAATTCTGAGAGGGTCTTTGGGGAACTTTAGATGACATGAAAATTTATAGAACCAGCATCGTCCCAGCTACTTCTCGCCCCTCACCTGAGGCACTGGGGGTGAAGGAAGAAGAAGCAGACAGAAGAGATGAGCAGTACATGGAAATGTCGGCAATGCCCCAGGCTCTGGACCCACAGGATGAATTGTTGGAGCCTTTAGTCCTCTAGGTAAACACTCTTCCCCCAACAGAGTCCTGGAGGGTTTTTCTTGGAAGCCATTAAAGTTCTCATTCCTGTCACCCTGCCCTTCACAGACTCCTCTTCTAACTCGCACTCGCCTCGCTTCACTCCACCCCATGCTGTGCCTGTGTCCATCAATCCTAGTGATTCGGACTGAACTGGGCATGACTTGGAGGTGTGCCACTGCAGGGTTAACATTTCTCCCATCTTTTCCTTGCTCCCTTCTCTTTTCCCGTGACAGCTGCCTTGCGGTTCCTGAGACAGAGCCATCCCTTGCCATGACAGTTATATTATTTTCCAAGCTCCCAGTTGGGCAGCCTTGCTGTCTCGTTTTCTACCTGGCCTGTTCAGTGCTTCACATCTTCATGTAGGCTTAATGCATTTGATTCTCCTATATTCATTCATTCCTCTAACACTGATGTACTGAACAGCTATTATGTATGAGTGGTTTTAATAGGCACTGTGAAAGAGTAATGAGCAAAATAGACCAAGTTCTCTGCCCAAGGAGCTCATAGACTAGTGGTGATGGGGATGTGGGAGTGGAAAATAGGGTTGTCAGATAAAATATAAGATGCCCTATTAAATTTGAATTTCACATACCAACTGAGAATTTCTAATGTGAGTACGTACCATTTAATATTTGGAATATATTTAACTAAAATATGATTCATTATTTATCTGAAATTTAAATTTAACTCAGTCTCCTATATTTTTGTTTGCTAAACCTGAAAGTCCTAATGGCAGAAGACAGAAAAGAAACACAAGGTTGTATCTTAGGCGGCAGTTGGTATAATAGAGAAAGGCACAGGCATATGCCTTTATAGGGAGTGGTGGTGTGGTTAGGGGAGTGGGGGGAACTCAGGGGTAACCCCTGTAGTAAGGAGATATTTGATCCAAAGTTAAAGGAGGTGAGAGAGCAATCCTATAGCTATCCGAGGAAAAAACATAGGAGGTCCGTTAGAGAACGCCTAGGTGCAAAGGCCCTGGGCAGGTGGCTGCTTTCCACACTGGAGCAAGGTGGGGGCGGGGTTCAGTGTGGCTGGAGTATGTGAGGGGGCAGCAGAAGGGAGGTCAGAGGAGCAGCAGGGGTCAGATCATGTGGGGCTGGGGCCATTGTAAGGATGTCGGCTCTTATTCTGAATGAGATGGGACAGGCTTGCAGAGAACTGAGTGAAGGAGCTCTATGCCTGACTTGCTTTTAAGAGAATGTTGGAAGCTGGTGGGTGGCAAAGAACTCCGTTAGTTGGTCCCTAGAGTCAGCCTCTAACCACTGGCTTACCGTACAGACAGTACAGAGACCAGCTGTGGCTGTGCCATGTTACACACAAGAACTTGATCTCCTGGACCCTCCAAAAGCCACTCTGTCCCGAGCCAGAGCTTGCTTCTAGTCTCTCCACGCCTCCCCCCGCACCCCCCCCCGACATACTGCTCCAGCTTGGCAGAGTTCTCTGGTGCATTTTAACTGCATATGCAATGGAGTGGAGTCTCCATTCTGAAGTCTTGCTGTATGTTGACTTGCTTTAATACTGATAGTACTCCTTCCTTGGTTTTAAAGGCTTTTGGTTCATGATGTCTTCTAATAATTAAATAATTTTATAGTTTAAACCAATGCTCAATAGAAACAGAAATATAATGCAAACCTCAAATACAAACTGCATATGTAATTTTTAATTTTCTGTTAACCACATTGAAAAAAGGTAAAAAGAAACAAGTAATATTATTATTATTATTATTTTTATTTTTATTTTTTTATTATTATACTTTAAGTTTTAGGGTACATGTGCACATTGTGCAGGTTAGTTACGTATGTATACATGTGCCGTGCTGGTGTGCTGCACCCACTATTTTTAATAATATAGTTTTTAAACTCTATCTATTCAAAATTATCATTTTAACATGATATGAATTAATATTTCAAGAATAATAATATTCACATTTTTAGTGAGATATTTTTTCATTTTTTTCCTACTAAATCTTTAAAATTGTATTTTGCACTTACGTCCATCTCCATTAGGACTAGCCACATTTCCACTGCTCCATAGTTGCCTGTGGCTAGTGGTACCAATTGGACAACACAGGTTTAGAATCTGCTCATTTTCCAGGTATAACGTATAGGTCCATTCCATTCTCATTCCAATTTCCAGAAAGGAAGACTATCGTGATTGAAGTGATGATGAACAATATTACTGCTAGATGACCTACTTCCTTTGAGCACTCAATATTTGTAAGAAAACCGCATTTCTTTTTATCCTTAACTACTCATTCAAGTTGCCCTTGAATGACAGTACCTGAAATAATTGTATGGCCTTGAGTGATGTTTTACATTAGAGTTCTAAAAGAGTTGTTTTTTTAAAAAAAAAATGAAAGCAGCAAGCCATCCTTCTTAAAAGTCAGTCCAACTTGTTTTCAGCTTACAATGGAAATGGCCATTTTGGAATGGTCATACTGGGAATAGCCTTTAAATTTAAAGTATAGTAGACAAAACCCCATTAATCTACCTGTGGTTAAGATGTTAGCTGCTGTTTTTCTTCATTACCATCTATGGAATGCCCTCAGTGTTTTAAGTATGAAATGTGTTCAGAAATAGATGGATAGATTATGCCACAAACATGAGACCAGCTCCCCCCACCCACATACACACACACAACCTGGTTCCCATTTTTTTTGTTTGTACCTTTCTGATATATTTTTCTGTATATGTACATGTTCACTATTATGTAATAGTGTAACATCATTACAACTTTATTTAGAGGACTCATGATAATTTTTGTCCTGATATATTAAAATACATTAATACAATATAAGATGTATGCTTTATTCCTCAGCAAGACTTCTTGTTGTTTTCTATTTATTATGCTTCTTACTTCATGAAGTGTAAGAAAACTTTGCCCCTAAAAATGTTTCATGAACTCAATTAGATGCCACCTAATGTGTATATGTATATGTGTATATGTATACATGTATGTATATATTTTCCCCACTCAAAAATAAGCTCTTTGGGCACAGGCACCTGTCATGTCTATTTTATCTTTATGTCTCAGGAAACATTCAGTCCAGAGTAGAACGTATAGTAAATTTTCACTGTCAGTTGAATAATCAGCACCTACAGATTCCTATAGCTTGGCTATGAAACTCAGACTTGTACAGTGGTTTATCGTTTATATTCTTTTCACAGAACCTGGGAAACTAAGTGTGGACAGTAACAGAATGCTCTGTAGTCCTTTAATCTAACTTGGAGTATGTGTTTCGTGACGTAACTATTATAAGGGTAAAATGCTCTCAGTCATTTTTTCCTCTAGCTTTATTCACTTTTCAGCTGTAAAATTTTGTGAATACCTACTTAAATTATGAACCCATCAGAAAATATTTAAGCTTACAAGTGAAAAATTTAAAACTGAACAACAGTAAGCTCTCAGTTGTGCTTATTAAAATGGCTACAAAAATAATTAAAATTGTGATATTCAATGCTGTTGTGAAAAACCATTGTTGTAAGAAGTTGTGAAAAAGTAACACAGAGTGGATGCCTATAAAAGCAATGCCTATAAAATTTTTTTGAAGTGCCTATAAAAGCAAATAAAACTCAGAACTCTTTTAGAAAGCAATTTAGAAATATGCAGTTAGTGCCATAAAATGTTTCCATTGACTAATAAAACAAGTTTAGATAATTAATCATAATTAAATTATTTGACAGAAAAATGAGTATATTTACAGAGGTATTTATTTTAGTTTATCTTTAATAGTAAAAATTGGAAGAACATGAGTATTCAACAATGTGGGACTGATTAAACAAGTGGTCACACCTGACTTTGATAGATGATTAAACTATTCACAAGACAGTGTTCACAAATACTGTGTGAAAACAAATGTGCGTATAAAGATTTAAAAAATCAGAACATCAAGCTATGCAATATGTTTACAATTGCTTGAAACTATGTAACCATAAATATCAAAGACCAGAAGGAGACAGGACAAAATGAAAACAATTATTATAGAGTGATGGGGATTACAGGTACAATTTTTTGCTGCCTTTTATGTTAAAGATTGGCAACATAAAAAATCAAAGAAAAAAAGGAGATCAAACTTTCATCCCTCAATGTTCATATATTAAGGAGAATGTTATGCAGATACCTAAGCAACATTTCTCTTCCTTGCTTCAAAATCTCAGCATGAATTTTGTCCGGTTCCAGGGGCTTAACCATTTATTTTTTAAAAAACTCTGGCTACCATGGTTATTCTTTGAAAGTCTAAACAATGTTTGTATTGTTTCCTGGCGGCATCTCTTATTTGCATGAAACCATGAGTTATGATATTAGTGCTTCCTGTTGTGGATTCTTTGAAGCAAGCAGACTCCATAGGTCTTTTTCTCGTTGCACAGTAAATGATACTCCTTTTTCAGGGTGTATTCTGTTTCCAAGTTCTTATCCTTTGTTATGTACAAATGGCATATCAAAATCTTCCCATAATGACCATCATTATTCTAAGTCAACATTTTTTCCCATTTTACCAAGGAAAGTGCAAGAGTTACAATTACAGTGTGACTTTATATAGGAAGCAGAATTTTTTTCCAGGAGGTTAAGACTTTAGCAATTTTAATAATCCACTATAATAGTAAAATACTTTTCGCTATTCTAGACACTACAAGCTTCACATTGCTTAGTTTATCTGGTAGATATTTAAAAATCATCTCTATGTAGGTTATATTTAATTCAGGTTTCTACACATTCTGACAGTCATTTATAAGTGGGACTATAAACCAAATAATAATTAAGATAGAAATATTCATCATCTACTCTCTCCCAATTCCTAGATACATTCGTTCACTTATCAGTGTAACATGGTGTTAAGAGCATACCTTCTTAAACCATGAAGGTTCAAGTCCTGACTGTAGTTGTGTAAATCTGGACAAATTACTTAACTTCTCTGTGCCTTAGTTTCTTTGCCTGTAAAATAGAGATAAAAATAGTACCTACCTCATAGGAATTTATGAGAATTGAGTCAATGAATATAAAGATCCTGGCACTTAAGAAATGTTACTATTATTATTAATATATATGTTTTTGAAGCTGAGAACACAAATATAAAAGTGACAGAATTCTTGCCCTCCAGGTGACTTAGAAAACATTCTCAAAAATCAATTAAGTTTGCAGTGAACCTAAAACTGCTCTAACAATAAAGTCTATTTTTTAAAAATCAACCAAAGAGCAACTTTACTAGCCTCAATGGAAAGAAGAAAGTTGTCCAGTAATTGGGGCACACAGTGAAGGGCTTTCAGAATGTTTTAAAATGAGAACAGAATTCTAATTGCTGTAAGTTTGAGCCACATGGAAGCATAAAGGCCCAAAGTATCTTTTCCTTGTTTCTGGGCACTTCAGGGAGCTTTGTCTCTTTGGAAAACAATTGCTGGTTCAGAGTCTTGAAAGACTGGTATACATCATCATCTTTCTGAAATAGGAAATTTTTCTAGCCTAATAGCCATCATCTTTTGCCCAAAAGCCTATCATTCAATATGGCAATGAGATCCATAAGTCTGAATGTTTTATTCTACTTATTTTTACAATGAAATTGGAAAGAAAAACCAAATCTGTTTTTAGTGTTTACTTTTGTGTCAAATGTGTCTAAATGAATTAAGTAGGTGTTCAAAGATGTATATGTTCTTCAAGATTTAGGTTTGTAAATGTTCATTTAAGTCTAATGTGAGAACAGAATGATTTATTCTTTCTTTTTCTGAGCTGATGAATCACTTAAAAGTTTTTTGCCAGGAGAGTCTTATATTTTCAGTTGTCTTTTACTCATTCAGAAAATATTTATTTGATGTTCACAATGTACCCAGCAACATGCTAGATGTTAATTTCCACTGGTAAGTTGCCTCAGTTTTCTTAATGATGAGAAGACTGAACAAAGGAAATTAACCCCATTGTATCCTTGCTCCATTACATGCAGCGTTTTGGACCATGGAAGCTAACTTGAATTTAAACTAATAGTCACTTATTCTTTATCTATTTCTAGAGAATTATTAGATGGCTGTCTCCTCTAATGATCCATGTAATGTATTGATTTTGTCTATTTTACTTAGTAGTATCTATTTTTCTATTTTGAGGGTGAGCCCGGGTTGCCTGGAGCAGTAGGACAGAATGGAATACCAGGACCTAAGGTTAGTACAAATAAAGCCAAGCAGAATCATTTGACACACGAATTGTCAGGAAATTGTAAGCTATTATTTAATACAATTTTTAACAATCTCACCAGTTGCACTTACATGGGTATTTTGTGAATAGTATAATATGCTATAGTATAGAACTTTGTTACTAATGAATTAATTATATTTGTGATTCTCATTAGTATTAAATGCAGAAAAATAAATGGGATGTGATCATCTAACATCTTTATTCTGAGATACTTAAATAACATGAATAGGCCTATGTTTCCAATATGGCTGTTGTCATTTTACCACTTAGTGGGTATATAAAAACATAGGTCATGTCCATATTGCCTAAAATTTTTATATTTACATGCCTTACTAAAGATGACATTCACTATGGCTTTTCCCCAAGATTTGGCCACCTCCAGCTCTTACACAACATAACCAGTTAATCAGATGAAGGCAGAATAAAGATGTTTAAAATTTAAAAATGGATGTAGTCTGAATTACCAAATAGGGAAAAAATGTAATGAAGATTTTTTTATTCCAAGTCTTCTTTGTTTCTTAAAAAAATTGAATCAGTTAAATATAAAAAGATTGGGGACAATTTAGTTTAAATCAAGCAGGCAGCCAAATCCCAAATCCTTTGATGAGTGAACATCCCTTGAAGTACAAAACTAATGTTTAATCCCATCAGCTGTGCTGGTGTGTATTCGTACCCACAGATGCCTGTCAGCTGATTTTACAGATCATTTGCTATTGACAGGCGCCTAGGACAGACCTGAAATTTATAGACCTGTTCTTTGTCCTGCAGGAGAGGAAAGAAAATATTCCTTCTGGGACTCTAGCTGTTTTCCTGTCTTCTTCTCTCTCTTTCTCCATGCTAAAAAGCCAAACAATGGGAGTTAATGCTTAATGCATGTTCACAGTGCTATTCTGGTGTTGCCTAGCGACCATCAGGATGGGTGTTGAGCAGTGAAGGTGACCAGAAATGCAGAAAGCCAAAGGGTCAGGTTGAGTTCCAGAGAAAAGAGTCTTGCTTCCAAACTGACTTCTGCAGTGGGTTATAAATTTAAAAAAATACAATAATTGCCTTATTTCATTTTTTTTCCAAAGCAGTCTGATCTTATGGCAACATTCACTCAAGCTTTTCATAGGAAACTATTTTCATAATGTATATGATTTACTTTAGGACTCCTACTCTCCTGCTCCAACCTCTGTCCTTTCCTGGGTAAAGTGAAAATGAGATTCTCTTCAGGGCACCATTTTGCATTTTAGTCCTCATGCTATCCAGGTCATCATTTTGAATAAGGACATCATTCCTAAACTCACTTCAATTCTGCCCCATTCTAGTGTCTTTCCTTAAGGTGCCTCCTAAAATAGACCTGATCTGGAACATGCTCTTTACCAGAAGCTAAAGAGAGTTTATGACATTGTAAGGGGTTCAAGATTAGGACTATTTATGATCATGTTAGGGCAAGACAGATTGGGTAACTACCCTGGCACCCTAGACCCTGGAAATGATCTATGAACCGGGGAACACTTTGAATAAAAGGATTTTCAGAAAAACATGCTAGTCCACCTGATTAACTCTGAGTTTAAGCAGAATGAAAAATTGTAGGCTAAGAAGCCTCTCAAGATATTGAATTGCCACACCATCATTCTCCTTAGTGCTCCAAAAGCCAGTTTCTGGATGATAATCTTCAAAAACATTTATTTAGTGCTATAAAAGCAAAAAATTAAGATTACATTTGATAATTGATATTCATACTCAAATTCTCCAGGAAACTCATTTTATCATTTGTTTTCATATAGCAACTGCATGTAGCCAAAATAGAAAATGTCATGCATAATTTACCTAGTAAGTTCAATATCTGTTTTGTTTAATAATGATAATAAAATTAGGTGTTTTATGATTTGATGTCACCCAATCTCTGTCTTTTTGCTCAGGGAGAACCTGGAGAACAAGGTGAAAAGGTAAGAATGATTCTGCCTGTATTTCTCTCTCCCTACTCCCCACCACCAGCATACCAAAGAAGTACTCAAACTAAACTATATGCATGAATGGATGGGTGGATGGATGGGTGGGTGGGTAGATTAATAGGTAGGTAGGTAGGTATATAGATATATAGATATATAGATATATAGATATAGATATGACTCCTGTGTTTTTTCAAACTGTTAATTAGTGGAAGGAGGAAATAGTGTGATTCTTATGTATAGACAAAAATTTGGGTTAAAAAAAGTTTTAAAAAATAAAGAGAAAGGTGCCGATGTACCTTCAGAACAAATATTTAATAATGAAGAGAAAGGGAGCAAATTTAAACATTCTGTGTCAGGCTTTTAAGCTTTTAAACGGGTTTCAAAAATCCTTAGGCCTGCAAAATCTGGTCTGCCTACTTGCTAATGCCATTCTAATGCTTCTCCAAGCACCCACATCTCTCTCTACTGCTTCTAATGTCACTAGGTTAAAGGGATACAGATGTTTACCTGCAGCAATTATCTGAAGGTTGCCCACAAAGAATTCCCATAAAAACCAAAAAGAGAAACAGGAAGAGCAGAGTGTTAAGTTACTCCTAGACTCTTTTTCTTACTTGGGCCTGTCCTGATTATTTTTAGGCTCTGATTGCATATTACGATACTTATTTTCCTGGTTCTCATGCTACTTATTTTAATAGTGTTTGAAAAATATGCTGAGTAGGAAACTACCAAGTTACTACATCATGCTCTTTGTAAGTGATATGGTCTTTCTGACAAATCAGTATTATAACCTCTCATCCCAAAAGAAGTTTATGTAAAGATCAAGAAAAATTCTTAATTATAACTGTATTTTTCAACATTGTAAAGAAAAAAAACCATTTATTTAATGGAGGGGGAGCAAAATACGTGGGTGGAAAGGGCAGTTTCCTGAGGGGACAGCTCAGTTAAACCCTTCACTTTGCAATTACTCTGAGCCAGTTTCCCTACTAAGAAGGTTGGTTTGTTTGTTTTGTTCTGTAATAGAGGGATTTTTGTGCAATTTTATAAAAAGCATGCAAATCAACTGCCTATCAAAGATCCCTCATAACACATTACTAGGACATTTATTTAGCATCCAATCAGTTCATGGTAATTAACCTGAAATTAATTAGTCACTGGGTGACTCTTTTGTGTAGAAATTAGGAGGGAAAAGGAGCAGTATCAGCACCATACCAGGCGTTCATCAGAGAAAGTGTCCCAGGCTCTTGTGGCCTGCCGCAGTGTATTTGTCACCATAAACAAATGCCCAGGCAGACTAACTTCATGCTTATTTGAAAGAATAAAACAAAATACAGAGGAAAAAAGTGAAAGTCTGCCTTCCCAACTTCCTTTCTCCCCCCTCCCAAGAAAGTTATGATCAATAGTTTCTGTCCTATTTTAAGAAACTTTTTGAGTAATAGAAAAGTGACTGCATTCCAGCCTATGGAATATGTGAATAGTAATGCATTGTTATCATTAATAGCTTATGATGTGCCAGATACTGCCCTAGTTGCTTTACACACAGTGTAGTACTTATTTCTTATAACTGTGTAAATTATCCTTTCTATTACATTGCACAGGAGAAACCTGATGCAAAGAGAATCTCATTTGCCCAGTAGGTGCTGGAACTGGTCTGTCTCCCTGGCTCCAAAGTCCATAACATTTCCACATAACATATTGTAAGACTTATATTGAAGAATTCAGAATTTAAGGAAGATAATAAACGAATGCTTATTTCCCTAATGCATTGCTTTGTAGGCAGAAAAGAGATGTCAGTGAGGGAACAGGCATAGGAAGTCTCAAAAATAACAACAAAAAAAGCATAAACTATGATTTAAAAAATTTTTCTAGTAAAGCATAAAACATTCATTTCACAAATGCAAACCATGTAGGCCCAGATAAATCAATATTCAGTCCACAGGTTTTGAGGGCCCTGTCCTGTACTTTGAGGCCCTGGAGATTTTGAGATATGCTTGAAGACAGGACAGGATTTATACAGATGGAAAGGGAAAGAGAGGGGAGGGATCCAGGTGACAGGAATGATATGAAGAAGGCCTCAGAATTGGTAAGGCCCATGGCATATTCAGGGAACTGTCAGGAGAAAGCCTTTGTTTGCGTGGAGCTTTGAGCAGAGACAGAATTAAGAAGGCTTTAAGTGCCCAAATAAGGCATTGGAAGACAGATAAGTGTTTTCTGTTAATACTGTGGAATAGTTTAAAACTGTTCAGCCATGTTAGTTGTAGTAAAATTTCTTTTATTGATATCAGACAACTGGTCAAGTATAAATACATTAGCTCTATAGAGCATTTGCAACAGATTTTAATATGTAGTGTTCATGAAAGAAAGCTTAAAATAATGAAAAATATTATCTGCTTGACGTCACCAATGTATTTTACATGTGTCACTTTCTCACCTCCTCAGGGAGACGCTGGAGAGAACGGCCCCAAGGGTGACACAGGCGAAAAGGTACAGTTTTGTAAGACATGAAAGGGTACATATGTGAGCAAGAAATATACTTCAAGTTTATGAAGATGGGGGATTTTTAGAGAGATGAGTGAGAGTTGCTTAATATGAAAAGGTCAGAGATCATTCTCCAAGATTAGAAAACATTTAAATACTTGATTTATAAAAGGTGATTATTCCACAAGCTCCTATCCACAAATTAAAATATTTTCAAAGTAAAATGATATATCAAAAATTATAGAAAATGTGTAGCTAAGTTTTCAGTAATATGGCTTTCAAGGAATTAAAACACTTATTCATGTGTAAATGGGACGCTCCCTTTATGCGCAGGTATATGAAAATAGGGACCCTAAAGTGATTCAGTTTGTGCCAGTTTCAGGAGAGAACATGTCAGAGGATTGGAATGAGATTTACAAGTTTGAGGCCGGGCACAGTGACTCAGGCCTGTAATCCCAGCACTTTGGGAGGCTGAGGCGGGTGGATCATGAGGTCAGCAGATCGAGACCATCCTGGCTAACACAGTGAAACCCCGTCCCTACTAAAAAAATACAAAAAAACTAGCTGGGCATGGTGGTTGGTGCCTGTAGTCCCAGCTACTCAGGAGGCTGAGGCAGGAGAATGGCGTGAACCTGGGAGGTGGAGCTTGCAGTGAGCGGAGATCGCACCACTGCACTCCAGCCTGGGTGACAGAGCGAGACTCTGTCTCAAAAAAAAAAAAAAAAAAAAAAAAAGTTTGATTATAAGGCTTAAGAATGATATATAATGGACTTTGGGGACTTGGGGAAAGTATGGGAAAGGGGGTGAGGATAAAAGACTACACATTGGGTATAATAGTGTACATTGCTTGGGTGATGGGTGCACCAAAATCTCGGAACTCGCCACTAAAGAACTTATCCATTAACCAAACACCACCTGTTCCCCCAAAAACCCATTGAAATCATAATTTTAAAAAGAAAAGTTTGATTATAAGTTAATGTCACTTGATTAGACACTCTAATGCAGTCTTGAAAATTTACCTCAATTCAAATTCCACTAAATCTGGGTATTTTGTCAGGCTTCATATTCAGTCCTGGGGCAAAGGGTCTTTTAAACCATTATTAGCATTTATACTGCAGTAGTCTTGTGGCTTGTCTTCTGCCTCCTCTCTTCTTATTTTTCCTCAGTCTATCGTGATAGCTTTTGCTTGGATTCATACTTTATAGATACCTCTGACAGAGGAAGGATGTTATACTTCACTTGTGCTATGTGTTAAAGATTAAGAAGATCTTTTAAGAAATTGAAAATAGAATAAAGTCAGATGGGTTTTAATTTAAATCAAGCTAAGTAGTTGAGTGATGAAGATTTATTTATTTAGCCTTACAGTTGAGACTAAGACTATTCCACTTTGAAAATTACTACAGTACAGATGGATAATGGTTAGTCATAAAAACATAGCTGCAAAATAAAAAGAAATTTATCTTTTTTCTTCCCACAAATATTAATATAAATATGGCATGTGTGGTAGGAATGAATTAATGTCACCAAGTAGCAATTATATTCATATTCGAGGAGTCTAGAAATTAGAGTGGGCTCAGTTTCTTATAGATCTGTGTTTCTCAACCTCAGCATTATTGACATTTGGGGCCAGATAATTCTCTGTTACGGGGCCCTCAGATGTTTAGCATCATTTTTGGCCTCTACTCACAAGATGCCTATGGCACCTCCAAGTTGTGACAATCAAACATGTCTCCAGGTATTGTCAAACGTTACCTGGGGGACAAAGCCACCCACAGTTGAGTATCACTGCTGTAGGCCCATTTTATTTATCTGCCAAATTTAAGTATCATGCTGCAATCAAATATGGCATGAATCTGTTTAATACAAATGAGACCAATGATATACCCTGATTACTCTCAAAGTCAAAATTTGAAATCCTAAATATATAAACCTGGTGTTACATCTAACTTGCTTGTTTTTGCTTAAAAGCAGAAGTCAGTAAAGTACCAGAACATAAATATTTTAGATTTTGTGGGCCATGTGGTCTCTGTCACAGCTACTCAACTCTGTTGTTATGGCATGAAAGCAACCATAGACAATACATAAACAAGTGAGTAGGCTGTGTTCCAATAAAACTTTATTTCTGGACACTGAAATTTTAATTTCATGTAATTTTCATGTGTCATGAATTATTATTGTTATTTTGATTTTTAAAAACCATTTTTAGCTCCTGGGTCTTGCAGGTGGCCAACTGAATTTGGCCATAGTTACCAACCTCTGCTTAAAAGAAAGGAAATATTCTACACCGAGGGCAGTTTTTTTCAAGTGAAAAAAATTTATACTACGTCTGAACAATGCCTATGTGGATTTATGTAGAGAATTTTATGCTTAAAAGATGTCTTTTTAAAGTTTCATTTTTGGAATGTAGGCCAATAATTGTTTCTTCAATCATATTGTAAAATTAAAATTTTTGAAATTTAATTTTACAATGGTAAAACAGCTTTTTTCTTTGAAAAGACCAAGTTCATCTCAAAGGAATACTGTTCTTATTTTATATATTAATGCAAATCATTTACCATACTGACTCACACATAATAAACTCTCAATAAATATTAGCTTTTCTTCCCACATGGAAATTGAAATCAACTAGATTGTTATTCTTTTTTTTATCAAAAAGTTTTATCAGTCAGCTGAAATTAAGTATAAGAAATACTTCAGGTAAAACGGAAATTATTTCTATAAACCTTCAATGGGTCTAAACAGGGGATTGTAAATAGGAATCTGTAATGTGTATAATATGTAATCCGACCTGTAGCATTTATCCCAAGAATGCTGTAATTGGAATATAATTTTTGATGTGTTTTTTAAACATTTCCTGCTTCTGTCATATAATTTGTTTCCAGCATGTTGGAAACACTCTTCTTATGGCCTTTGTGTTCAGTATGTGAAACTCATTCATCGTTTACCAAGTTTGAGATGTAAAAATTTTAAAAAATCCTTCTTTTCTGCCATTGATGTAGTAAATTACGTCATTGATTGACTTTAATAGGATTTTTTTTTCCTTTTGATTCAACTCAGCGCCTTTGGATGGTAAAGTAATCTAAACCTTTCCAGACTGGTCATCTGGAAATACTGTGGAACTGTAAAAACCACTAGGCTGGGTTTTCTCTGTGGCCAGCAGCTTCAGCACAGTCTGGCCTACAACCATGGTACACCCTAGATTTAAGAGCGTAAACCTGCCAAAGACGGAGTTCAGTCATGCGTAG
This sequence comes from Homo sapiens, assembly GCF_000001405.40. NCBI lineage: Eukaryota > Metazoa > Chordata > Mammalia > Primates > Hominidae > Homo > Homo sapiens. The sequence continues at coordinate 108,893,427 of NC_000004.12, read as the reverse complement.
AGTTACTATTGAAGGATTATGTCCCACTCTTTGGAGTGTTAACCCCACCAATAAATGTAGAAATTGATTTCTTATCTATTTTCCCCTGTGCGAAATGGGGTATTTGTGCTGCACACTAAATGGTTTGGCCACATCACTCTACTCTTCACAATTCTGTCTGTTGGTTCAAAAGCTCTGCCTTCACTTTCTTAGCATTACCTGTTTTTTTTTCTTTGCTCCCCTCTCCCCCATTTCCATTCCTATGTGTATTCACACTGTCTTCATCTTCATACTTCACATCTACATAGCAAAGATGCATGTATGAAGTATGAAGTATGAAAATGCGTCTTTGACTTGCATCCTCTGAGCCTTTTCAGAAGCCACATCATATTTGGAGCCAACCAAACTGTCTTCTTTTCATAAAATCACACCTGAAGGCCTATCCCACCCTAATTGGTGCCGGGCCTTCCCTAATTAGCACACATCATTCCCATAATTTAGAATACTGTTGCTGTCTGTCCTCCGCCCCCTGACTCCTCATCACCACTTCTCTACTTTCTAATATTACTCATTCTTCAGTCCGCTGTAAACTTAATTTATAAGTCATTTCCCTGGAGCAGCCTTCAGTCTCCTCTGGATTAGGTAGGTCACCTGCTATATTCTCCACAGCACTCTTTATAATTCCTTTGATAGCCATGCATTTGCTTATCGTGTCTTCTGTGCATGCATAGTGACACAGACTTTTCCAAACATGACAGTCTCTTTCTACACCAGATTTCAAAAAAAGAAAAGGAAAGAAAGAAAAAAATGAATTACCTTTCATGCTTTCCATCAATAATATTTTTGCACTACATATATTAGAAAATGATCATTGTAATGCAGGACAAGGACAAGGATTATAACTTCATTGTTCACTGTTATCTCCCAGCTCTCAGCATCTATTAATAGATATGTCTGGCACACAATTAGTGCTTGCTAAGTATTTGTTGAATGAATTAATGACTGATAAAAATAAGTCACTACATTCACTTCATATATCCACATGTGCCTTATTAACACACACATATAATTATCTGAGTGTTGTTTTGAAAATAATCACAAACAAAAATGGAAACTGTGCTTGAATGAAACATAGTAAAGTCAAATTCATTTATCTCAAGTATCTTCTCATAGTATTTCCTCATCTATAACTTACCCTGTAGAAATTTTTATTTCCAAGCCAACTGACTTATGAAGCTAAGAGTATACTTAAGACGCAGTTGGGGTTTTTCCCCCTACTTTAATCCAGTATTCATTTTTACTTTGTGGGGAAGGAGGATTATAAACACACACTGTTTTATTTCAGCATTATCCTTTAAAATGTTTAACTTATGACTGTCTTCCAGCAGTCATGTTACCACTTAAAAGTTATAAAAATTCCATGAGATTTCACAGTTCTAAGTCTTTAAAAAAGAAAAAAAAAATCACCCTTAGTTGTCCATCAAATGGAACTGCTCAGATTTCCACAAATATATTGGCCTTTCAAGAAACTGTCTTTTTCTTTCCATCCACTTTTTATGAGAACTAAATCTAGTCTTTATTCACATTAGGGATTATCTGGATGCTTTTCATTAAGATATTGAATTCAACTACAATTAATACAAGCAGCTTCTTTGTATTTACAAGTTTACTACAACCTTTATGTCCTGTTGTCAAAATGAAATAAGCCAACAATTTTTTTGTATTAAAAAAAAAAAACCTAAAACACGGCAGTAGAATTTAGGAAGCCCCAAATTCATTTAACCTCTAGCTGCTTTGATATCCTTGTTTATTAAATGGAAATAGTAATATCTGCCCCCTTTATTTCATGAGAGTTTTGTGAGGTTTAAATGAGATAAAGTAGGAACTTTGTAGAGTCAAAATTGCTTTTATGAATTCAAAGATATTATTGTATAAAATATTGCAAACCTGATTCATTGGTACTGATGGCTTTCAGACTTAATTTACTAGAAATAAATATTCTTTTTATTGGACATGTTGCTTCCCATTTGGAACTCAGTTGGATATTAATGATTGGCAAGAGAAATCAGTCTCATTCTACAGTAAGACAGTATTAGGGTCTTCTTGTTTTTTATGTTTAGTTACATTTTAATTTTCAACAGGAGGAATAGCAATTATAGATGTCAAAGAAACTCACATAACTATCGGTTTACTTAACAAGCTAATTTGCTATTTCCTTCTCTTTCATAAGCGTTTTTTTCCCCCTTCCTGAAGAATTTACATTTTGATCCTTGACAATTAACCTGTTTAAAAATTCTTTTTGAGATCTGTTCATTCGTTCACCTTACATGTATTGAGCATATACTATGGGCCCGGGAACTGAATAAAAATAGATCCAGAATCTGCTCACATGTAGCTAACTGTCTAACAGAGAGATAGACAATGAATAGGCAGGGAACATAAATAGCCAATTAGAAAGTGAGCTGCGGTGGACATGAACAGAGCATGATGCTACGGAGTAAGATGTGTGCATGAGGGGCATGCGTCTGATGTGTCTAGGCTGGTTGGTGAAGGGGTCTTTGAGGCAAAGCCAGCCATGGGCAGAGGGGAGAGAAATTGAGGGAGCTGGGCAAGTGGCCCGTGTACAGAGGCCTGAGGCCTTATGTCTGTCTCTAAAAGAGATTGATGAGCAGCTTCTGGAATCTAGAACAAGGAAATGGGCCCCCGGAGCTCCTTGAGCATTTGTACAGATGAGACAGCTGAGGAAATCCCAATATGTGCCTCCCTCCTGTGGCTGTTTCTATTTTCTTGACAGTCTCAAATGACCTTTTCTTTTTCCTTCTAGCATATTCATGAGACAGAGAGGGCTAGAAGGAACTTGAAATTCTAGGCCCTTTGCTGACTTCATTTCAGAAATAAGCAACATTCCCAGCTACCCTCCATATTATTTTCCCCATTAGTTCCTATCTGCTTATTTATAACACATTTGCTTTAGAGAAGTATTCACCCTCTGTGAAATCTGGCTGGAACACAGTGCCTTATAAAAAAACAGATTCTCAAGACTTTCTCTCAGAGCTCACATGTGTCCCCCTCACCCACAAGTCATCCATCATCCTGTAACTTCCTGGTGCCTGAGTTACAATGAAATAAGTGTAAAGCTGGAAAAAACGTGCCCATTGTATCTGTGACAGTGCTTCATGAGGAAAACAAACTGATCTGCTGCGTGGCTTTTTCTAACTCGACATCATTAACCTCTGACTTCATCTGTTGAACCTTGACTTGCTGAAGAGCAAAAGGGTCAGGGAACTCCCAGTAAATGATAGCTGATGGCATTAATGAATTCCAGGAATAGAGAAAGCCAAAAGTTCCATACCCCTAAATTGTAATTTATTGCTTCACGATGTATTTTTAGCACTGTATCAAGGGAAGAAATTCATGTTTATTTCACGGAATGTAGTCCTTATGTATCTGCATGTGAAGTAAACCCAGTTTTTAGGAAGTACATTGTTTATCTTGGAAATTGTTGACATCTTAACAGCTGAGATATTGGTACAAAGTCTTATGGAACGTAGATCTTAACAGCTGAGATGTTGGTACAAAGTCTTCTGGAACGTAGTTAGGCACATTAGTCATGAGATACCCTTTGAGTACCTGTGTTGGTGATGGCTCTCTGAGTGCTTGTGATGTTTCCTATTCCCATAACTTGTGAGATAATCTCTCCTGGGTTTCGTTTTAGGGTGACCCTGGATCATCTGCTGCAGGAATTAAGGTAACTATAACCTTGCAAGTATTTGTACTCCAGGAGTTACAGTTCTGATTTTTATAGGCCTCTACTTTCTCTCCCTTTTTAGCAACTTTGATGGTTATAACTCTGTTCTTATTCTCCTACAATAACTGGGCTTCCAAAAACAATAGGGAATATCTGTGGGAAATGTGATGAAGGTTTAAATAAGAAGTCTTGCATTCTCTTCCCTTTCTGATTGGTTTTTATGGAAATGTGATTTATATGTGATCTATAGCTATATTTACAGCAAAAAAAAAAAAAAAAAAAATCCGTATGTCTAGTGAGATGTAGAGTCACAGGATAAAGGAAATAAAAGACATGTGGTTGAAGAAGGGGGCTAGGCCATCCCTGTGATGGTGCCCAGAGGTCTAAGTGTTTTAGAAAATTCTTTTAAGACTGTGTTTTTCATCTTTGGTTTTCTTTGGCCAGGGAGAACCTGGGGAATCTGGTCGTCCAGGGCAAAAGGTAATATCTCTATCTCTAGTGTGTTCCTACTGTCTCATATTCACCATTTTATATCTACCATCCACTGTGTAATATGAAAACAATTATTACAAAATGATGCGGTTTTCATGTTTTGCATTACAGAGTGTTATTGTTGTTTTGCATTTTAAAAGGTCTTGATGATGACCATAGCACAATGTGCAAACAAACTTTATATATGTAAAAGATGCTTTGTGAAATAAAAGTCTGCATATACTTAGCTGTTTGAAACTCACAAAGATTAGGTGGGTTGGAATGCCAACAATGTATCCTGCATGCTTCATGGTAATCTGCATGTTTCTATCTTTTTTTAAATAACTTTTTAATAGAAAAAAATGTCTATAATTGGCTGTGTTGCTTTGCTGTTTCTAACTGTCATTAAACTGTCTCAATAGTGATGGACAATTCTTTATGAATTATATTCCTTTTCCTATCATTGCAAATGCTTCCATACTGATAATTTTTTATGTGATTTATATCTACTTGTGCCATGACTGTTGTTATACACACTAAATTTGTTAATGAACTAAATTTTAATTAGAGGCACTATAGCCATACCATTTTATGGATACATTAGTTTTTGTTTTTTTATTTGTATGTCACTTTAGCAATAAGTTAGAAGACATGCAGTGAATATGTTTAGATTCATACTCTCATTTGAGTCTGAAACAGGAAACACATGCTAGCAGTTTATCGTCTGAGCATTTGGATATCAATGCCCATACAGTCAGATTTTAGACCACAGATGTAGCTAGCAAGTAAATGTGGATTCTATATTAGGTTAAATCTCTTAAAGATCATGACTCTGCCTTTGTCTAGCAGTAGCTGATGCTGTAGATAAACATATGAATAGAAAAATAAAATTTACCTATTAGCAGAAAAGGGAAGAGAGAATAAATCCCTTCTTGTATTTTGGAACCTGAAGATGTAGTAAAATAAGGTTTCCAACTTCTTGAAGTCATTGAGAGGATAATTGCTTCATTTTAAACACTTAGGATGGACATAATTTTTGAGGAGGTCTTTCACATTCTTTTAACATTTCTCTAATTTAAAAACAGATTTTTCTCTCAAAACTAAGAGTCTAAGCAATGACTCATTAGGCCCAGTTTTAGGTAAAGTTGAGACTCTTTCAAAGAGCCTAGCAGAACTTTGCAAAATTTACTATTTATTTTATAATATTTCCTATCAATTCTCTATTTAAGAAATTTGGAATTAGTGATACAGAGATCCATGGTCTGCTTTGGTTTGAAAAAGCAACTGATCTTCTCAGACAATCTAATTTTAGGTCCCTTAGTCTTTCAAATTTAAAGGCTAAGTTTTTACTGCTCTCCAAGTCTGTGTTTTGCTAAAAAGTCTGTAAGACAGTTGTGTCTCTAAAAAATAAACCAAAACAAACCTGCTATAATCTCGTATAGTTTACACTGTTTTCAGAGTGGAATATTCAAATAGATTTTCAATTACTTAATAAAACATTGCCTTATCATAATGATTACTTATAAATACAGTTTAGATTCATTCTGGAAGTTTATAGATTTACTCATGGGAACACTGGATTTCCTTTGCATTGCACTAAAAACCAGTTTTAAACTATATTGAGAGAAGGGGTAGAATCCTTAAAGTCTTACAGTCCTCCTGAATGAGTATGTGCCCTAAAGTGAGCATCATCTTTTTCATTAATATTTAGGCCAGATTCTACCCTTTGATACAATCCCACTTTCCCACAATATTATGACTTCCTTTGTCTAATATCGGGACTTGGCAATACTTAGCCCAACACTGATTTAAAAGTAAATTATGTCCATGCTTGCTGCTGATGTAGATTAGAAAAATAAACTGAACTGAGTACAGAATCGCTTCAAGAGATCTTCCACGGCATTTTCCTCTCCATTGCAGAACCATGCTGGGGGTTCATTGGCGCTTAGGCTCCTGTGTCAGAGACACTCCCAGAAAAGTACAGAATATTGTGACACAGCAAAAAGCTCATCAGTTAGCTTTCCACCGTGTGGTCTTTTTCAGCATGAGAGTTTGAGATCTAGAGTTATATTCATAATGTAGGAATAATTCCATTGGATTTTCTTTCTTTTATAGCCTCGAGAGTTTAGTATGTGATTGATGTGTGAGTTGGAGTGTATATATGTGCTTGTAGAGTGAGTGTGTAGATTTATAAAATAAGTATTGTGTTTCATCACCTAATTCTTTCCTTCCTAACTTTCCCACATCTTTTAAAAATAAATATTTTAATTTTAGAGGAGTAAAATTGATCTCCTATCAGAAGGGCCCCTCACAGTTAAACTCTCTAGAAATATTTAGGGCACTCTAGCAGGGACATGAGGTGAAGGCAGAGTCCTGATTTTGAGGTTCTCCTGTAATGGAGGGTGAAAGGTGAAAAGAAGGGGAAAAAAGCAAAAGTCTAAACCTGAAGGTTAAGCTTTATACAGATATGTTACACTTTTGATTTATTTTGATACCCCCTTTGAATGGGATAACGAATCAAATCCTAATTATGACCAAGATCTGATCCCAGATTTTGGGTTGTGCATCCCCAAATTGAGTTCTTGAGAGAAGCCCCTGAGTCAAGGAATAGGGAAGAATGGAGAAGTTAACTGAAAAGCTATCACTTAGTTCAGGAATGTCCAATCTTTTGTCTTCCCTGGGGCACATTGGAAGAAAAACTGTCTTGGGCCACACATAAAATAGCTGATGAGCTAAACACACACACACACACACACACACACACACACACACACACACACACACACAAAATCTCATAGCACTTTAAGAAAGTTTATAAATTTGTGTTGGGCCATATTCAAAGCCATCCTGGGCTGCATGTGGCCCGTGGGCTGTGGGTTGGACACAGTTGTCCTAGTTAGAAAATAACCTTTTATGGTATAAAGACAGAGGATTTATATAGGAAAAAAAAGTCTTTCTAAAAATGTTAGGCGATGTTCCACAAAGGGTAACATTACATGTATTATAATCTTTCATCATATCAACTAATAAACATAAACTTGAAAGGTCAAATTATGAAATATGAAAACTATGAGAAATATGAATTTCTAAGTATCTGTTCACTAAAAAATACATTTATTACTTAACACACATACATAGTACACATATGATGTAGAGAAAAGTTAAATGCTCAATCTCTGTAAGTAGTCAATCTACATTATAAAATATTCCATAATGTCTTACACATCTTTTTCTTGATTAAAAACATGGGTGTGTGTCTATGTATGCATGCGTGTTTAAATAAATATCTTTCTTTAAAGTAATCATTCAATCCTTTCATTTGGTGGGAGGAAAAGAGGTGACGAGAACACCCGTTGGACAATAATGTTACAACCTACATACTTCCACAAATGTTTCAGATAGAATGTCTGCAAAAATGAGTTTGGGGGGACTTTTCTGAAAGAATACAAAGCTATAGATTTGCCATCAATACGTTTACTTTTATTAATTGTATATTCTATTGCAATTTACTGTTTTCAAGGGCCTTATACTTTTTTAACATAAAAGAGAATTTTCAGCAAAAAATATGTACAAGCTCTTTTTACTGGATCCTCTTAAACTCATTGATTGAAAGGTAAAAGAGAAAGTAAAAGAAGATCAAATATATAATGTTATATCTGTGTGAAATTTAATCTACTTGGACATTCTTTGAATGGAATAACAAGTTCTTGATAATCAGCCTTTCTCCTCTGGCTTAGTCTCATTTTAGTCTTATTGTTCACAATGCAAACCTTCATTTATATAGTTTCAGACAGAATCGTTTTTCTTTTGCATTCCTGAAGTAACTTTGACCTAAATCATCAAGAAAACCATTGTCCTTTTTTGGTCTAATCACACAGCTTAACAAGCAGTCTCAGACATCACTTTGTGATAACACCAGAACAAACTATGGTGCTTCATAATTTGAAAGTAATATTACTAAAGATGAAACTTCTGGTTGAACTTAGTGGATGTTCCTTGAAACCAGGATTGTTAAAGCATTTAGATGAAAGGAAATGCTTTCTTTTGTCACTTCACTGTTAGTTTAATGCTCCTGTGTCTTTTAGTATAGTTGTCATCCCACTAACTGGCCATCACGAAGTAGTATCACCCTTTTGCCTTCAAATGTTATTTCCACAAAAAATAATCACTTCAATCCAACAGAGAGGACTTTCATTTTCTCCTGAGATTCCTTTATACTTCTTTAGTAGAATTCAGGAGATTTTCTAAGCAATGGAACCTCTTATTATCATTCTTTGGGCTTAAAATAATGTAGACAACTCTGTGAAAATGAGAAGGTTAAGCTTGACTCCAATATGCTCACCCAAAATGTACTACTTAATCTCAAACCTGTATTCAGCAACAGCTGCATAGTACCATTAGCCCTAAGCTGCTAAGCAGGGTTGCTCAGACTCAACAATTGTCAGAAGTACAGACTGGAGTTAGGTTTAATCTTAAGTATTCATTTATCTTCTCATCATTCAGGAATGAAAAGGAAAGCTTACTATACTTTTTAAGTGAGCAAGACTTTTAATGAATATTGTTTTGATGTGACCATCTGTTCATACAGCCAACTCTTGATTATCTAAGGTGAGGGAATACTGGGATAGGATGCATTGTTGAAATGCACACATTATCTTCATTTGGGCAAATAGATTCAGCCTCCCCACCGAATCATTTAAGGAAGAAATAATGAAATATGGGAGTTTCTTCTCTTTTGACTCCTCTTTCTCGCCATCTGACGGAGATACCAATGTGCAGTGAACTGAAAGGAAGAGAGAAAATCCCAAAAAATCTGTGAAGAGGTCAACCCATTTCTAAATCAAGAGTTGACTGAATTGCATAATCTCATCAAAGTTTTTGAAAGTAGACGGTTTTTTTATTTATCTTTGCAGAAAGTATTGAGCCAGGAACATTTGCCATGTTTTTCTCCACATATTGTGACTGAGTGAATATCATTCTATAATGCTATATGATTTTCCTGTGTAGGGTGAACCAGGGCTTCCTGGGCTTCCTGGACTTCCGGGGATAAAGGTAAATACTGCACGGACAGTCTCGGCTTCACAGAACTGTAATTATGAGATTCACCCAAATTGGAGGAAAATAGGGAAAAATGGAAACTAAAAATAGAATGCTGTTCTCTAAGTACTCTCCAGCCATCTCAACTAACTAAATTTTTAAATTAAAAATTAAGCACAGATACCTCTAAAGTTTGCCATGGCAATATGGATTGTTTATTTCTCCATTTAACTTACTACTGCCCCTTAAATAAATGTAAATGTCCCTTCATTTGAAGTCACAGGAATTCTTTAAAGTCTAAAATGTCTCTTTACCTTCATATTTTAGTTTTATTCTTAAGACCCTATCAGATTTTGATCAGAATTAGAGTCTTAACATCCCCATAAAGCTAACATTTAGGCAGCTGTTTTTGTGATTCACTCATTATAATAATCTCTCTAAAACATTTATCTTCTACTTCCTCTCAGTAATTATCACTGCAAAGTACAAATCATATTACTAAAATATTTTGACCCAACACATACACTGTCCCCATAAACTTTCTAAATATCTTTTGAAATAATTGCTTAAAGCTTAGTTTGAAAACATTTGTTTTAAATGGATGTAAACCACTTAAAAATGTTAAAAACATTTTAAAAAATGTTTTGAAATTTTTTGCATGGCAACTGACAAGACTTAAAGTTCTACTGCCTTAGCTGTAGTTGCTCCTTTAAAATCAGCTTCTTATTTTAAAAGTTTTTTTATATATTCTAGAACTACTTAATAGGGGTTAACATAATGCAAATACATTTTCTTTTGTTGTTCTCATCTTACAAAGTTTTGAATCAATCTCTGTTGTACATTAGTCCATTCTAAACTTAGTATTTCTAGGCCGGGCACGGTGGCTCATGTAATCCTAACACTTTGGGAGGCTGAAGCGGGCGGATTATTTGGGTCAGGAGTTCGAAACCAGCCTGGCCAACATGGTAAAACCCTGTATCTATGAAAAATACAAAAAAAATTATCTGAGTGTGATCTCAGCTGCTCAGGAGGCTGAGGCAGGAGGCTCTCTTGAACCCGGGAGGTGGAGCTTGCAGTGAGCCGAGATCACGCCACTATACTCCAGGCTGGGCAACAGAGTGCTATTCCGTCTCTAAAAAAGAAAAATAAATAAAGTTAACATTCCTACTTCTAGTTTGAGAGTTGTGTATACTGTTTTATGAAGGTTCTGCTTGGAGTGTGAGTTATGTGAAATAATATGATTTTTAGGATAGATATATTATTGAGTTCTCAGAGGTCATATAATATGTATAATATTTTATGAGTATATTTGGTACAATTGATAGACATGAAAGCTATGTCTTCTTGGTTGGCATTCAGCAATTTTAGTTCTATCTTTTTGTTTGATGTTTCTAGATTAGTATCATAAAAGTTCAGATATGTCCTTTTAATAGATTTTTAGTCTTTGGCTTCTTTGGTGAAAAAGTAACACTCTATGACAACAGTTTACTAAACAGTTGAAGTCACTTCCTTATCATTTGATATTTAGCAAAAATAACTTCACAAATTAATAGGTGGTTTCATATTATAGAGTTAAATTATGGCATTTCTTAGTAACACACACACACACAAAGATGGCTTTTTACAAATAATGGGAAGATCATAAAAATTTAAAAACTATTTATTTAAAGTGATAAGAAAGTGATACTCAGCATTAATCAAAAATAACCTTGTAGCATTATAAATAAAGGGGAAGGCATTTAAAAGGAAGGGCTGAAGCAGGTTGCTGCAGTAAGTGCTTGTAGGTTATCGGGGTACCAGCTTCTCTTGCAGGAACCTCCGTGCTTTGAAATCTAGTTGTCCCTTCTCCTGAACTTGAAGCACTTTCTTGGAGAGAGAGAGTACTTGAGAATGTGGAATTGATTATCTCCCTCCAAAGGCAAAAAAAAAAAAAGCAATTTTGATTATACTATTTATCATCTTACTTTAGTCTTATATCCTCCATCACAAAAATATCCCACTGGACCCTCGGAATTTGCCTAGTCATCTGTGGACTAGTCAGAATGTTTTGAGCTTTTTGAAGTTGGGAGGGATGTTAAACGATTTGCCACCTCTAGCAAATGCTTTTATTCCTCAGGTCTTAGGAAATGGCCAGATGGAGTTTGTCGAGGTCAGGTAGCTCTGATATTTTCTTTTGTTTTTCTCTCCTTGACTGCTGACTATAGTGAAAAGAAGCTATTAATTGACAAAAACTCTTTTCATCAAGAGTATGTAGACATACTCTTCTACATAATTATCAAGTACTGTTGGGTAACTATCTGGTATTTGATTTAAATCTTAGGCTCTATTTTTGGTTTAATAAGCTTTGTCTTCTCTAATCAGGATGTGGGAGATACACTTTCCTTATAATGTAGTCAGTGCTCACTATAAATTAGTAATTTTGAAAAGGAGACAATTTAAAGATACGTCACAACTATTAGTGGTCATTGGATATTTATAAATGTAGAGCTAAAGGCTTAAATTTTATGACATAGTTTTCTTAACTTAGAATGTTCTTTTTTCCTTTAATTTACATTTCTTCTATTAGGTAGCCACCACAGGACAGTTAACTATGATTTCATAGTTTGAACGAGTAGCAGTATTTAAAAGATGAAACCACCATATATGGATATAGAATGTGTGGTAGCAAGCGCATTACTCATAATCTTCCTAGACCTGTGTGTTTCTTTATGCTTTGGAAATGCTTCCTGTTGCTATTCATCTCCTTCTTATCTGTTGGTGCTACAGAGAGCATGTGAATGCCATCCATTATTTCCAAGACTTTGAGGAAACCAGTCATGACATACCAGGGAAGCTTTGATTCACCAGCTGTTGCTCTCGGGGAATGGTTGGAAACTTAATGAGCATCCACATGCCTTCCACAGCTCTCAGGAAATGAGCCAAGTGCCTAAATACAGACAGCAGACTCATCTATCTATCACCTCAAGGTCCCACTCAGAGAAAAGTGCTAATACCTTAGGCATACATAATAAAAGTCACTGAGAACAGGCATAACTTAATTTCGAGCTACTCTTAAGCTTCCTGCAGAAGTATCCAAAAGTCCTCTTACCATATGGAAGACATTTGGAATTCCTATTTCGTGCATTCATGGTTCATATAGTGTCACGATGTTCAACTGGGAAAATTAAATTATGTACAATGTACCATGTAGACATTGATCTTCTGGAATAAGATTTGAGCCCAGAAAATTAGTTTCTGAAACAAGCTTTCACATATTTTTAATGGGTAAAATTATTGTAACCAGCTTTTCTGATATCACATAAAAGAGTAAGATTCTAAGTTCCTATTTTCTTAGGCTTTGCTCTCTACACTTATTTTGAAAAATGTAAATACATTACTTACCCCCTTTCTATGGTTATGTTGCCCTAGCAGTAAGCAGGATAGAGCAGACTTCATAACAGACCACCAATGTGCAGATCCTTGTCCGCCCCTTATCAATAACATAATGTGGGGCAACTTCTATCATCTGTCTGTACTTCAGTTTCCTCATAAGATGGGACTCATTGACCATAACTCAGAGAGCTGTTGTGAAAATTAAATGCACTAATACATGTAAAGTTCCTAAAATATTGCCAAGCATGTAGTAAATGCTGTGTCGGTTTTGATTATTGTTATCTCTTTCTTTTGGGGCAGCTCAAAATATTGGAAACATTGGTTACACACATGTTCTATACAATTTTTCCTCATGTAATTTTAACCTATAGGATGTAAAGCCATGTATACTCTGTAGGTTAGTAAATATAAATTCTGAAAACTCCTTTGCAGCGATGAGTGGATGTTACTTTAAGAGCAGTCAGGATCACCTGCTTTTTCTCCAAACATGACATCACACTATACCCTTTTCCTATTACCCAAATGTATCCCAGGAACAAAGGATGAAGAACCACAGTGTTATGGGGATAGGACATGGCACTGTCAATGTTCTTCTTCCTGGTTCTGTTCACAGGAAAAGTAAAAGCAAACCTTGACATGTAATGATGGAAATTCTCCAGGCTCCAGTCAATGTTACCTAACCCAAGACATTTTTCATAAATATAGATTTTTAGGCCAGGTGCAATGGCTCAAACCTGTAATCCCAGCACTTTGGGAGGCCAAGGCGGGTGGATCACCTGAGGTCAGGAGTTTGAGACCAGCCTGACCAACAAGGTGAAACCCCATCTCTACTAAAAATACAAAAATTAGCTGGGCGTGGTGGCAGGCAGTTGTAGTCCCAGCTAGTGGGGAGGCTGAGACAAGAGAATTGCTTGAACCTGGGAGGCACAGGTTGCAGTGAGCCAAGATCATGCCACTGCGCTCCAGCCTGGGCGATGGAGCAAGACTCCATCTCAAAAAAATAAATAAATAAAAATAAATAAATAAATATAGATTTTCAGCACTTGCTTTTCCTTCTTTCAACATGTACCACCAGGCCGGGCACGGTGGCTCACGCCTGTAATCCCAGCACTTTGGGAGGCCGAGGCGGGTGGATCACTTGAGGTCAGGAGTTCGAGACCAGCCTGGCCAACATGGTGAAACCACATCTCTACTAAAAATACAAAAATACCCGAGTGTGGTGGCGCATGCCTGTAGTCCCAGTTACTTAGGAGGCTGAGGCAGGAGAATCACTTGAACCTGGGAGGTGGAGGCTGCAGTGAGCCGGGATCATGCCACTGCATTCCTGCCTGGGCAACAGAGTGAGACTCCATCTCAAGAAGAACAACAACAAAAAAAACCCATATACCATCAGTTTATTTCACCATATTCAGAAAGCAAATTGGGGGAAAAAAAAACATGGAGCAAGGGAGGTGTAATACAGTAAAAAACATATGAAATCATTTTAGTGGCAAATACATTTTCACAGTAGTATCATGCTTCAAAGCTTGATATTTTTGTTCTGGCTTCCACATTAGTGAAAATTTGACATTAAGATCAAGAACTTGGGGACTAGGAGGGTATGAGACAGTAACTAACTCTTTATATCCCAGCATATGAAATCATTCTTGCCACTAAATTATATAAAGACTAGCTTTTACAGGTGGCAGAAGCATTTACTCTGGCATTCCTAGGATTAAGTACAGTGCTCAGTAATCTAATAGAAGCTTATCTTCTAAATCCACCAGAGATGAGGTTCCTTCCTCACAAACATCAGATCACATTTTAAAAATAGCAGAGAAAAACTTCTGAAGCAACATAGGATGTGAAATGAATTCCTAAAAGAGAAAAAGGAAATGGAGTACCGGTTAAACGAATAACATTGTGTTATCGTTACTTATAATTATTTCCTGTCTGCACAAAGTTCATCTGAGAAGTTGAATAATTGGAGAGTCAAATTAGGAAACTCACATAACCAGAAATCAGAGATTTTTAGCTGCAAGAATGAAACCTCCAATAAATACAAGGAATATGCTTTCATGATGTAAGCCAGTTAAGAAAAAAAAAGTCAGAAAGGTATGTTTTCTGGATTTTAAATAAACCTGCTATTATAGTTCATTTTCATCAGTGCCACCAAGATGTTTTAATTTACACTAAAATTTGATCCTTACGGGAAATAAATGTTTTGGGGGCAGACTCTACTTTCTCATTCTTTTTTCCCCTCAATAATTTTACGTATCAATCATTACCAAAACTGGCTGCCTGGTGGTTCTTATTACAACAAATGTTCTTACTGTAATCCTCAAAAGCAGGTATCATGCTGCCTTGAATTCTAATTAGCCTTTAAGCAAGAGGAATATTATGTGGCTAATGCATTCAGTGTCAAGACACGTTAATCAAGATTATTGGTGATGCTTTTGGCACCCAGGCAGATCAGCACATATTTTTTAAGCCCTGCTGTACTATTTATTGGGCAATGAAAACTGGATCTTCTCGGGGGTAATAAATATCATGGAAAATATTACCTGCTTTAACCTGGTATACTAGAGGTTTTTTTAGAGGGGTTAAAAAGTAATTTTTTTACTCCTTTAATTGATAATGACTTATAAAAATAAAACAAATGGTAAAATGAAAAAACCAGAGATTTTTCTATGGGCAACAGCTAATCAGTCAGGACATTCCGGCCACCATTCCATTTAGCAGACGGTAAATTCTGCAAGTTTATAGAGAAACACCTGATGAGTCATTTCTGTATGAATGAAGCTGTCTCCTCCTTTCTTACATTGACTAGTAATCCCATCTAAGTATTTGTTGATTCTTCTCATCATTATGTAAATTGGCAAAAGAGTGTTAGGTGAACTGTCCCAATAACCATTTTAGAAGATAAAATAAGGTCACCTGAAATACTTTCTTGCTATGTATTACATATGTGTTTGAAGAAAAGTCAGTCAAGATTTTATTATTGAATTCTAAGACTTAATGAGACCTTTGATGGTCATTGTTAGATTTCAGAAATGTCATGTTCCTAAGGAATTTTCCAGCTTTGCCTTGCCTTTCTGTAAAATAGAAGACCAGTTTTTGTTTGTTTCCCTTGTGGCTTCTAGAGATGGTAGTTGTTCATGTGTTGTTTTTTTTTTTATTTGTTAGTTTTTTGTTTTTTGGCCAGAAGACAGTATTTAAGCTGCTATCTCAGTAGACTATTTGAATTTTTTAAAAGTAATAGCAAAGGAGTTGAGGAGAAGTGGCTTCAGTCAAAAATCTTACCTTAAAGGTATCTATCTTATATAGAATGAATAGGACCCACTTTCCTATAGCTAAATCTTCTGTAGTTTACATCATTTCTGTGTGTACATATAGCCAGTTTATGGACACAAGAGGAAAGGAGAGAGAGAGAGGTTTAATGCTCATACACTAATTGACAATGGAACTTTTTGTTTCATGCAGAAACAGGATCCTGTTTCAAATATAGTGCACATTAGGTACTGTAGCTGATAGTCACTGAGCTTATACTACAAGATTGAAGTTATGACTGCCTAAATGGAAAGATCAGTGTGAGATGATGAGGCCCTCCGTAGTTGGTCATGTGAAGATACACCTCTGATTTCAGCTATAGTTATTCTCCACAGACTTGCTTCTGTATCTGAATGCGCCCTGGCTGTTTAAATCTTTTGTTCAAATTAGCAGCCTGTGTCAGATTTTCAGCTTGCGGCTGCTCCCAGCAGTTTACTGTCAGGCCTACACTGTGCTTTATCCTGAATTAATAGCATTTCTTCTTTCCTAACTGAACCCCAGGTTAGTTGCCAAAATCACAGCTATTCTATTATTCATCTTTTCTACCAGGTCAACAAAGGGAAATGTGCTGTAGTCTTAGTTTTGAGACCTGGTTTTTTAACTCATTGATGGTGAGCTATTAATTAATGTTAAGAATAACCAAAGGATAAAACTCATGAAACAATTCAGGAAGAAATCAGATGCAATATCCAGGAGAAGACCAGAAAATTAGACCAAATTTGTCTTCATTTTGGAATTTGAAGCTGCATTAGTCCTATGCTATAATAACACCAACAGGGCTGAGATATCTGTATTGTGGACAACCTATTCAGTCACTGGTTAGCATGTGGCTTGGGGAACAGAACAGGATGCCAGCTACTATGTATTAGTAATTAAAATTTTGGATTGTCTTAAGGGTTCTGATAAATAATGTTATATATATTTTATCCCCAGGTTTTGATTAAATCATAGTTCTGTACTGATTTTAAGGGTTAGATAATACATTGTTTAGATTATTCTGTTTGTCCCAAGAGTAGATCTAGTTGGAGATTTCCAGGACACATAAAAACAAAACAGAACAACAGAAAACAACAAAAACAAAGAGAACAGATTAAATCTGGATTTAATTTTTACGGTAATGTGGAAAGGAGGAGAACATTTTTAAATGCCTGTTCCTCTCTATTATTTCTCTCTCCTCTTGTCTTCCTCTCTCCCTCTCCTTCCCTCCCTCCCTGAATTCCTCACTACTCCTTCTCCTCATCCTTTTCTTCCTTCTTTTTACTATTCTCTCTCACCTTAGTTAGGCACTAACTTTTTTTTTTTTTATACTTTAAGTTCTAGGGTACATGTGCATACCCTGCAGGTTTGATACATAGGTATACATGTCCATGTTGGTTTGCTGCACCCATCAACTTATCATTTACATTAGGTATTTCTCCTAACGCTATCCCTCCCCCAGCCCTCCACCCGCTGACAGGCCCCGGTGTGTGGTGTTCCCCGCCCTGTGTCCAAGTGATCTCATTGTTCATTTCCCACCTATGAGTGAGAATGTGCGGTGTTTGGTTTTCTGTCCTTATGATAGTTTGCTGAGAATGATGGTTTCCAGCTTTATCTATGTCCTTGCAAAGGACATGAACTCATCCTTTTTTATGGCGGCATAGTATTCCATGGTGTATATGTGCCACATTTTCTTAATCCAGTCTCTCATTGATGGACATTTGGGTTGGTTCCAAGTCTTTGCTATTGTGAATAGTGCCACAATAAACATATGTGTGCATGTGCCTTTATAGTAGCATGATTTATAATCTTTTGGGTATATACCCAGTAATGAGATTGCTGTGTCAAATGGTAATTCTAGTTCTAGATCCTTGAGGAGTCGCCACACTGTCTTCCACAATGGTTGAACCAATTTACAGTCCCACCAACAGTGTAAAAGCATTCCTATTTCTCCACATCCTCTCCAGCATGTGCTGTTTCCTGACTTTTTAATGATTGCCATTCTAACTAGCATGAGATGGTATCTCATTGTGGTTTTGATTTTCATTTCTCTAATGACCAGTGATGATGAACATTTTTTCATGTGTCTGTTGGCTGCATAAATGTCTTCTTTTGAGAAGTGTCTGTTCATGTCCTTTGCCCACTTTTTGATGGGGTTATTTGTTTTTTTCTTGTAAATTTGTTTGAGTTCTTTGTAGATTCTGCATATTAGCCCTTTGTCAGATGAGTGGATTGCAAAAATTTTCTCCCATTCTGTAGGTTGCCTGTTCACTCTGGTGGTAGTTTCTTTTGCCGTGCAGAAGCTCTTTAGTTTAATTAGATCCCATTTGTCCATTTTGGCTTTTGTTGCCATTGCTTTTGGTGTTTTAGTCATGAAGTCCTTGCCCATGAGTTAGGCACTAACTTTGCAAGCAGCAGTGATCTCAGATCTGTCTCTTGGTTGCCTTCATTCATTCCCTTCCACACACTATCTATCCTCAGCACCAATGTGAGGAATCCCAATTGACTTTGTCATCTTGTTGTTCTCACTGATAACAAAAGTAAAAACCTAACATGCTATCTAACTTGAGATAGTGAGTGAACAGATGGAGAGATGGAGAATGTGGAATATCTGTGAAATGAGAGAAGAAATATGTATAATACCTGAGGGGAAAAAAAACGGATTAAAGTAACTCTGAAATAATTGGTGCTCTACCCAACTTATTCTTATGCTATTCATTGGTGTCCTGATATATGCAACAAGCCAGAGGTTTAAGTCTTTGTCTTTCCCTCATTTTTCTTAGACATTTTTGTTATTTTCTTTAAAATGCACTAACAGAACATTAACTTTAAAGATAAACACTTTCAGAAAATGTCCTACTTTATTGTTTTTACTTCAATGGTAGAGCTATTTTACTTGCAGTCTGCCTGTTTAAAACCACATTTCCCTGATAATGGGAGCAGGACATGCCCTTTTCAAAGGATCTCTGCTTTATGTTCCCATGTTATTTCTAAAATGGCTCATTTTGAAATTATGATTTAGATTTTGTAATTTAGGTAATTGCCCAGTAAAAAAGAAAAATAAAAAAAACCCTCTGGATTTATTTTTTTCCTTCATTAAAAGTAATGTTAAGTACTTAACTCCATTATAGTTCCAGTTTCCTCCGTCACTTTGTCTACTCAGACAAATACGTGTGGATAATTTTCAATTTACTACTCTCCTATGTCCCATTCATTAAGGGAGATTAAATATGTAAAACAGCTGTGATAATCATTATACATTCCAATATAAACAGTTATTTCTCCTGTTTGTTGCCATGAAAACTTATGTAAGCTCATTTTTATGAAGTCTGATTGACTCCAAAGATGATTTCCCAAAAGTCCTTTGCCTTTGAATCGTACTTCAGCTGCTTCCTCCCGCCTTCTTCCCCGACCTGGTCTCTTTCCTCTACCCTGGTTAACAGAAATTGTGACTAATTGGGACTATAGTATAGTAGTCATTTGCTTATGTTTTTATTACAAGAAAATATTTCTATAAACTTAGGCTGTCATTGCCTTTTGCCTAGACATTTTAGGAGATTCTAGAACCTTTAAACCGTACATCAATTCTTTTCAAAAAGATGGGTTTTTTTTTTAAGATTACATTCATTTAGGGAAATTTATAAGTAGGAACATTTTCTTCTTTCCGTCTTTGAAGGAAGAAAACTCATTCTTAGTAAACTCATCACTTTTCTATCTTACACCGTTCTGATGTGTTTTAAACCTCTTTTGGTTTTGCAATCTCAACTGCTCTGGCAGATGGATATTGTCTCATAAATTAATGACATATTCAACTGAGAAAATTTAGGGTTACTTCTTGAAAGAAGTTGAAGTAGTATTGAGTATAACCCTAGGCAGGTTAAAAGGTGACAAGAAGACACTTTGTATATTACCAATTAGGTTGCAGAGATGTTGTAACACTACTACTACTACTACTGCTACTGCTGCTACTGCTGCTACTACTACTACTACTACTACTACTACTACTACTACTAGACAGCTAACATTTGTAAGCCTGTAAGATAAGGGAAACAATAATAACAAGCATTTATTGCACACTGACTTAGTTCTAGGGAGAGGTTAAGTGCTTTGCTTGCAGTTTTGTATGGTAAGTCTTAACTAAGCCACACCTTAACAAAGCCAGAATCCTCTATTAAGACTCCAGCTTGAAAAGTCAGCCTTTAATAAAATTCTGCATTTTTGTTCTAGCAGTTCTTGAACTTTTTGGTCTCAGAATCCCTTTACATTCTTAAAAATTAGAATTGAAAGAGCTTTTGTTTATGTAGAATATGTCTTGTGTTATTTCTGCATTGGAAATTAAAGCTGCCTGGGGGGAGTGGCTCACACCTGTAATCCCAGTGCTTTGGGAGGCAAAGGCAGGAGGATTGCTTGAGGCCAGGAGTTCGAGACCAGCCTGGGCAACATAGCAAGACCTAGTCTCTACAAAATATTTAAAAATTAGCCAGGCGTGGTGATGCACAACTATAGTCCAAGCTACTCAGGAAGCTGAGGTGGGACGATCCTTTGAGCCCAGGGGATCAAGCCTGCAGTGAGCCATGATCATACCACTGAACTTCAGCCTGGGCACAGAGTGAGACCCTGTCTCAAAAACAAAAACAAAAGAAAAAAAAAAGAAGTTAAAACTGAAAAATTTCTAAAAATCAATTACATGTTAATCAAATAGTATGTTTTATGAAATATAACTGGTTTTTAAGACAAGATTTTTTAAAAAGAGCAGGAAGAATGACATTTTGAGAGATATATGTGTGTGTATATATGTATATGTATGTGTGTGTGTATATATGTATATGTGTGTGTGTGTGTGTATATATATATCAAATCTAATGCCTGACTTAATAGAAGGCAACTGGATTCTCATATCTGCTTCTGCATTCAGTTTGTTGTTTTCGTTGAAGTATATGAAGAAAAACTGGCCTCATGCAGATATGTAATTGGACAGGGGAAGGTTAGCCTATTCAGATAATTGTTGATATTTTTCTTAGCTACTATCCTAAACCCCACAAGTGGTAGTTTCTTAAAGGTTAGGTGCAACGTGGAATCTGGAACCATATAATAAACCTTTCTTTTTGGTTTGTTTGTTTGAAACAGAGTCTCCCTCTGTTGCCTGAGCTGGAGTGCAGTGGCGCAATCTTAGCTCACTGTAACCTCTGCCTCCCAGGTTCAAGTGGTTCTCCTGCCTCAGCCTCCCAAGTAGCTGGAGTTACAGGTGCATGCCACCATTCCCGGCTAGTTTTTGTATTTTTAATAGAGATGGGTTTTCACCATGTTGGCCAGGCTGGTCTCAAACTCCTGACCTCAAGTAATCCATCCTCCTTGGCCTCCCAAAGTGCTGGGATTACAAAACATGAGCCACCACGCCTGGCCTATTGAACTTTTCATACTCCGTGTATTCATGAAGGGATGAAAGTAAAAAGGCAAATAATGTCTTCGTGTTATTGTAAAAATAGTTTGACCTTAAAGACTTCCTGAAAAAGTCCAGAAATCTCCAGAGGTCCCCAGAGCACACTTTGAGAACCTCTGGTATAAGCTTAGGGAAGTAAGAAATAGCCCAACTAGCTGAACACCATGAGTCAACATATCCATGCCTTATTTACTTCAACAATTGTTTTTGAAGTCTGAGAGAGAAAAAAGGGAACAATAATTAACTCCTGCCCATCCTGCCAAGATATAGAGAGAATGGAGATAATGTTTCTAAAGTGATTCAGACCTCTGGAAGTAAATAGACGAAAACTGTGATCCTAAAATTAAGTATGTGGTTTTTCTCCTTGAATAAATCGAAATAAGAAGTGTATCAGAATGTATAGATACGGTAGATACTTTCTTAAAGTGGCATAATCAGGTATAATGTATCATGCTCAAAGCCTTTAAAATTAGCCAATCAGGCCCGGTGCGGTGGCTCACGCCTGTAATCCCAGCACTTTGGGAGGCCGAGACGGGCGGATCACGAGGTCAGGAGATCGAGACCATCCTGGCTAACACGGTGAAACCCTGTCTCTACTAAAAATGCAAAAAAATTAGCCGGGCGTAGTGGCGGGCGCCTGTAGTCCCAGCTACTCGGGAGGCTGAGGCAGGAAAATGGCGTGAACCCGGGAGGCGGAGCTTGCAGTGAGCCGAGATTGTGCCACTGCACTCCAGCCTGGGCGACTGAGACTCCGTCTCAAAAAAATAAATAAATAAAATTAGCCAATCAATATTAATTGTGCTAAAATCATTGAGATTGTCAAATGCAGTGCTAATTTTGTATCTAGAAATAAATTTTCCCCTGAATTTTCTGTTTCAAAGAACTATCGATGCTTTCAGCTAGCACATAAAAAAAAGAACTTTCCATACACTTACTAAAGGAAACAACATATCTTCTATTTTTTAAAAAGGAAGAAAAAAACAGTTTTACCTGGCAGCTGAGATCGCAAAGCCCTATTTATTTGTTTGTGAATTATGCACCTGCATGGTTCATCTTTTTATAAACTAAACACTAACCTGTATAAGAAATATGTATAAGAAATATGTTTTTGCAACATTTACTCTTTTTTTCTTCTCTTTTATTAGTATGCTTTAATGGTGCATCTATTTGTTTTTCTAAAGAATGAAATCATTTTATTTTCACTTGAATATATACAAGAATTCTGGTTTCCGTGTAAACTTTCAACATATTAACTTGCATTACATTTCCCTGACAGTAAGTTGTTACCAATGATACACATTGACTTTAACACAGCATTTCTCTTGGGAAGGGAGAGGAAATATTTATTTGTATATATCATTTTGTTAGGTGAAATATTTTACATGTAAACAGATGTATTCCTTATAATGTTTTTGTTTGACTTAAGTTAAACTCTTTTACTAGAAGTAGAATAATCGCCATTGATTTCTCTGAATATAGTTCAGATTTTCGTTTTAGGCCATTAAGAGATCCACCCAAAATTATATTTTCAGATTCTCCTTTCTAATAGTCGTAAGGGTATGGGACAGGTAGACTAGGGAGTTACAGAAAATGTGCAAGCAGTAAACCTAAAGCATTAGTTACTCACTCCTGCCTTTTTTTTTTTTTTCTTAGATCAGTCTCATGAGCACCAGGGCTAGAGATAAATACATTTGAGTTATATATCAATATATGTCTGGTGGTGGTGATATCCTTTTGTTCCCCACCCAATACCCAAGGTTTTTTATAGCATATTAAAAAAATTGACTTCTGTGAAAAATATTTGATGACATTTTAGTATGTCTTTTTGTTTTGTTTCTTTGAGACAGGGTCTTGCTCTGTCAACCATGTTGGAGTGCAGTGGCGCCATCACGGCTCACTGCAGCCTCAACCTCCCGGGCTCAAACGATCCTCCCGCCTCAGTCTCCTAAGTAGCTGGGACGACAGGCTCGCACCATCACACCCGGCTAATTTTTCATATTTTTTGTACAGAACGGGGGTCTCCCTATGTTGCCCAGGCTGGTCTCAAACTCCTGGACTCAAGTGATCCACCCACCTCAGCCTTCCAAAGTACTGGGATTACAGGTGTGAGCCACAGCACCCAGCCTGACATTTTATCATGTCTTATAAAACGTTTTCTCTATACATTGCTGCTCAGTTGCAAGTATCATGAAACAAAGGTTGAAATACTACTGCCTTAGAAAGAAATCAAATATATTTTAAAATATTAACAACTGCTCCAGAAATCATCCAAGAGGGGAAAAAACAGGAACTGAGAACAAAGCCATTATGGCTTTTGCTTTAAAATTTTCTTATAGATTTTGGGTAAACTCTTATATTTGACCTCAAATAGTTAAAAAAAGAAAATAAAACTTTATGGATAGTCAAGCTAATGTGAACGCTCATCTCAAGTATTTTCCAACACCAAATATGTAGTGTATTTTCCAACACCAGTTCTCTACCTCTCTGATTCTCTGACACCAACTGGGTGTCCTACAATTCGATCCTATTCTGGCACTAACTCCCCTGGTTGGTATCAAACAGATTTAAGGGCTCAGTCTTATAAGAGTGACCTGATTTTGGTCACCAGGCACAGGTATTGAGCCCGCAGGTTACCTGTACTTCTGTCTGACTCAGCTACAAATTCAGGGGTTTGCACATCCCCTCCCCCCGACTCAGGATTGATATTTGCTACAGCAACTCACAGAAATCAGGAAGGTGCTATATACTATTACAGTTAATAAAAATGAACAGCCAAATGAAGAAGTACATAGGGCAAGTAGCTGGATCTCGGCAAGAAAGCTGTATACAACCAGGGAAGTAAAATCTCAGTAGAAGAAAATGAGTTTAGTTTTTATTTATTTATTTATTTATTTATTTATTTATTGTCAAATGATTAATGATCTCATATGCCCATGTTTTTAAAGGGAGAACCAGGTTTCATTGGTCCTCAAGGAGAACCAGGCTTACCAGGTTTACCAGGAACAAAAGTAAGTGGG
This sequence comes from Homo sapiens, assembly GCF_000001405.40. Taxonomy (NCBI): domain Eukaryota; kingdom Metazoa; phylum Chordata; class Mammalia; order Primates; family Hominidae; genus Homo; species Homo sapiens. Next base: position 108,869,078 of record NC_000004.12, on the reverse strand, counting down.
CCTCTTTCTTTCCTTCTTTCTTTCTTTTTCTTTCTTTCTTTTCTTCCTTCCTTCTTTCCTTTCCTTTTCTTTCCTTTCTCTTTCTTTTATTGTCTTTCTTCCTTTCCTTTCTTTCCTTTTTCTTTCTTTCTTTTCTTTCTTTCCTTCCTTCTTTTCTTTCTCTTTCTTTCTTTTTCTCTTTCCTTCCATCTTTCTTCTTTCTCTCTCTCTCTTCCTTCCTTCTTTCCTTCCTATCTTCCTTCCTTCATTCCTTCCTTCCTTTCCTTCCTTCTTTCCTTCCTTCCTTTCCTTCCTTTCTTCCTTCCCTTCCCTTCCTTTTACTTTCTTCCTCCTTCCTTCCTTCCTCCCTTCCTTTCTTCCTTCCCTCCTTCCTTTCTTCCTTCCCTTCGCTTCCCTTCCCTTTCCTTCCCCTTCCTTTCCTTCTTTCCCTTCCCTTCCTTCCCTTTTCCCTTCTTTCTTTCTTTCTTTCTTTTTCTTTCTTTCTTCCTTCCTTCCTTCTTTCTCTCTCTCTTTCTCTTTCTTTCTTTCTTTTTTCTTTTCTTTCTTTCTTTTCTTCCTCTCTCTCTCCCTCCCTCCCTCCTTCCTTCCTTCTTGCTTGATTTCTTCTTTCTGAAATCTTTGTCATATATTTTTAGTCCACTATGTTGAAAGAAATGTGGGACAACTTGGTAATTTAGGTGACCATATATTTTTGCCTAATAGAGAATGAAAGCAGCTTAATCTACCCATTACTAACACTTCTAATGGCACCACTGTGTTCAATATTGAGTAGTGGAAAGTTAATCTAGAAAGCCTTAGGCAAGACAACAGGATGGTGAAATATTTCAGTTGTTCCACTTGTACCCCAAATTGCTCCTAAATTGATGGGATGCTATTAGCTTCCTGGCCATATGGAAAAGTAGAGAAATTCTGAGGAGGAGAGATAGAACTCATTAACTCCTGCTCCTCATCACCAATTTCAGGATATACTTGTAAATCAAAGGTTATTACTATTCCCATTACTCCCCAGATTTCAAAGGCAAGTACTGATGTCATATAGATTCCTAAGTGCCTCATCCCAAAAGGATCTACTCTGAATAACGTCTGCAAAAATATTCTATAATGAAAACCATCTCATGATCTTCTACTTGGCAAACCTAGGGAGGGCTCTAAAAGCAAAATCTATATATACTGCCATGCAAAAAAATATATATATATGCTGCTATGAATACAGTCAGACCCAGAGTTCTCTTTTTATCTACCCTGAAAGACATAAAAAGTACAGCTCTGATGATGGAACTTTACTCATGACAGACTCATGAATCAAAGAAGGGGCAAAATTACATCAAACTACATTCTTTTATTTTTAAACCATAGCAGGCTTTGCCTCAATGTGTACTGCATTCAACAGAAATAAGCCAGGGATGATTTCCAAGAGTTACAGAAATATGTTCATGGTCTGTTCTGACAGAAGGGCCCTCATTTCTGCTGGTCAAGTGAAAATAACTCTAAACCTAGTAAATGGAAACTATGTGTGTCCTAGGGGGGACTGAAACTCCATCAGATTATGCAAAATTGTTTTCTCAAGAAATTTCTTCACATAATGAGCTGTCAGGCTTATTAACAAAATATGAGGAATGCCTGTTTTAGCCTGAGCAGATTCACACAAGAAATGTCTTTCTGGAATAAAAAGAGAGAGTGAGAGCAAGAAAATAATGAGCATTCCCTGTTAATACAAGAACGGTTGCATTTATTCAGGCTTGCAGCCTCGGACCCAGGGCAGGAAAGAAGTCAGCCTCGCAGATGGGCATGATACACAAAGAAAGGGCGGCCTGGTCAATGAAGGAGAAAGCCAGGCGTGAACTGGATCTAAAAGTGTGTGTGGCATTTTGTGTGCTGTGCAAGGGAAAATAGAAAAAACACAAGCAGTAGAGAGTGAAGTTCATTCCTAAATATCTTTTCTTTAGTTTCCTGATTTTAAACTATTCTGCAGTTTCAGAAAAATTTCCAGATGTAGAGGCATAAAATCCACATTAATTACTGTTATGAAGAACCCAGCATGATTTTATAGACCAGGTACTCATATAACAGATACTACTCTGAACCCTGAGTAAAACTAAAGAATGTATTCTACCTATTTTGTATTTCCACAGAAGGGATATGGATAGGAAATTCATTTTACTAACATTACTTTGAGGTTAATTGTCAGCTGAATTACCTACCTTAACTCAGCTGTTAAAACAGCAACATGCATGTGCACACATATACACACATCATCGGTATTATTTGAAATATCTAATTTGTGTTGAATCCACATATGTTAAGTATCAATGTTATGGTTGGTTCAGTGTCATCATGGGAAAGTCATGGTTATTTTAAAAATCTCTTTCAGCTGAACACCATTCTTCCACTTGTGTAGACAGTCTGGATTTGTACCACTAAATTCAGATTTAAAAAGTAACTAAGACTATATTTCTTATTCCCAACACAGTGAGGAGAGATCATAATGAAGGAAGATGTACAATGGCATCAAAACATGCTGCATCTTTTATACCTACATTAGTGCCTGAGAGGGACCTCTATCAGGCTAAGGAAATAGGGGGAGGGGCCTGGGCATGGTGGCTTACGCCTGTAATCCCAGCACTTTGGGAGGCTGAGGCAGGCAGATTGCTTGAGCCCAGGAGTTTGAGATCAGCCTGGGCAACATGATGAGACCCCATCTCCACTAAAAATACAAAAATCATCTGGGCATGGCGGCGCATGCCTGTAGTCCCAGCTACTTAGGAGGCTGAGGTGGAAGGATCACCTGAGCCCAGGAGGCAGAGGTTGCAGTGAGCCGAGATCACAACACTGCTCTCCAGCCTGGGTGACAGAGTGAGACCTCAAAAAAAAAAAAAAAAAGAAAGAAAAGAAATGGGACTATAGTCAGAATATTTTAGAATACTTTTACTAATACTGTTTATTCATTAATTCACCAATGTTTTGATCAAATATTTTTCTGCATTTAAGCATGGGAAGTAAATGCAACAGCAACAGTTTCTATTCTCCTGAAGCTTACATTGTAGTGTGGACAAGGAAGAGATGGAAGGAGGGAAAGAAGTAGACAAATAATATAATTTCAGAGAGTGATAGGGAACTAATAAGAGACATAATAAAAAGTGATTCTAGCTGAGTGTGGTGGTGCACACCTGTCATCCTACCTACTCAGGAGGCTGAGGCCAGAGGACTACTTGAGTCCAGGAGTTTGAGGCTATAGTGTGCTATGATAGTGCCTGTGAATAGCCACTGTACACCAGCCTAGGCAACATAGCAAGGTCCCCTCTCTAAAAATATATAAATGTTAAAAAGTAAAGATGTATTGACTTCACTCTTGTGGTGAACTACAGATAAATTATTTTTAAGGGTTTTTGTTTTTCATAGTGGACTGTTTTAGAATTCTGTAATTCTTAAAGTAAAACATTAAAAGAAACACCAAATACTTTACAGTTTTTTAATAATTTTTATATACCAATAGAAGCTCCTTAGTCTCACTCAACAGGGTAATGGGGTGGGGGATGACAAAAAGCAAAAACTCTTTTCATTTCTGGGCCATTGTGTCTATCTCCTGTATCTAGAGAAGTCCCTTGTCTTTCTCCCAACCTCTCCATTTTCACAACCTCTTCAGTGCTGTTAAGAAACCTGAGTCTTTAACACTTGCCTCCTGTCTTTCTTAACCCTTGACTAACCTATCCCACCTCCCCTATAAAACCACAAAGGCTTCCCAAAGTGGGCATGATACAGATAAGAATCTTGGAATTTCAAGCCCTACATGACCCACCATAGATCTAATTCTATTTTCTTATCTTTTCCAAGATGAAGTATTTCCTTCAGTGAGGAGAGCACCTCTTTCATCCATAAATATGTCATCAACAGTCTGAATTCTAAATGTTTGATGATTGAAATTCTACCCCTTATGCAAGAAGCCAGACACTCTTTACTCTGTGTTTAGGGAGTATTAAAAGGTACCATCTTCCTGGAGGGCAATTTAGCAAGTTTTTAAAAATATTCATACTTTTTTGACCTAGCAATTTTCCAACTAGGAATTTATCCTGAGAAAATGATCAACGATGTGCAAAAGATTTACATTTGAAACATTTATGCAAAAGTTGAAGATCGAGTACCATCAGTTTTACCCACTTTAAAAGCTTTGTCACTTTGAGCAAGTTACTTAACCTCTCCAAACTTTGGCTTCCTCATCTGTAGAATATGGATAATAAAACTTTTCTCATTTGTCCTGAGGATTAAATAGGATAATACATGTAAAGTGTTTTGTGCAGTTTCTGCACTCATCCATGCTACAGTCATTAACAGCAATAATTATGAAATAAACCCTACTCATCCTTCAGGACACGACTCAAGTCTCACCTCCAGGGATCCAATCCACAATAATAGATACCAACAGGGATTCCCCTTCTGTCACATAGGGCCTTACATTACTCCTTAATCCTTAACTATTTTGGTTCTGCAGCTCTTGTCTGCCTAACTAGATCACTAGCTCCTTGAGGACAGTAGCCATATTTATACTTCATAGAGATATGAATATATTAAAAAACTGTAAAACCCGAACACTTTTACATTCATAAACTATGAGATGAGTACTATAACTTTGTCCATTTTACTGAGGAAACTGAGATGTACAAAACCTAACTAACTTACCCTAGAACACAGAATTGGTAAATAGCAGAGCCAGGAGTAAAACCTAAGATGCTAGATTACAGAGCCAGGAACTTAACCACTTTGCCATGCTTCTTGCCAGCAGTGCTTAAAAAGTGACTGCAGAATGAAAATGGATATTCATTCCTATCTTGAGGTATAATGATGGCCTTTATCAATTCCCTTTAAAGGTCTTTCTATTTACCAACATAGCTATTTGACAGGCATTTACCAAACCATTTCCTTATCTGTAAAATGGAGATGATAATACAAACATTGGATAATTGCATATTAGTCAAGTTTCTCCAGAGAGACAGAACCAATAGGATATATATAGGGAGATAGATAGATGAGTGGGGATTTATGAGGGGAATTGGCTCATACAATTATAGAGGCTGAGAAGTCCCACAACAGGCTATCTGCAAGCTGGAGGAGACCCTGGGTTGACGGTAGCATGGCTCGGTCCAAGTCTGAAGGCCTCAGGTCCAGGGAGGCAGATGGTGTAACTTTCAGTCTGAGGCTGAAGGCATAAGAGCCTGAGGGGCACTGGTACAAGTCCCAAAATCCAAAGGCCAGAGAACCTGGAGTTCTGATGTCCAAGGACTGAGAGGAAGGGCTCTCAGCTGCGGAAGAGAGAGTTTGCCTTTCCTCTTCTATCTGGGCCCCCAGCAGATTTGATGGTGCCCCCTCACGTTGAAAGTAGATCTTCCGTACTCAGTCAACAGACTCACCTGCCAATCTCCTCCATTAACACCTTCACAGACAACCCAGAAGCAGTGCTTTATTATCTTTCTATGTGTCCCTTAATCCAGTCAAGTTGACACCTAAAATTAACCATCACAAATTGTTTTGATTATAAAATGAGATAATTCATGTTAAGAGATTAATAAAGTGCTGGGTACAGGGTAAATCAATGAAAACTCTCTGCTTTCTTTGGTTTCCTTCAACTCATTTATTAATCTACAGGGACCAGCCTGGGTGGGGGGAATGACCATTTACCTGTTTTGCAATTTGTGACAGGGTGAACGGGGGGAAGCAGGGCCTCCTGGAAGAGGTGAGCGAGGGGAACCTGGAGCCCCCGGACCAAAGGTGAGTTATTCTTAAACTGGAAAATAACCATTCTCTGGCTTGATTTGATTTAGAACACAAAAAACTAAAACAACATTCTTAACAGGTATTAAAACAGCCCAAATCACAAATAGTTTGTTGAAATGCACACCAACTGGTTCTTTTCAAAAGAGATTTTACAATTCACCTCACCCTGTTAACTCTGTTCTGTTCAGTGAGCAAATTGATAGCATATCCAAATGTAAAAGAAGTGCTGTCATATTAACACATTATCACTCAATGTGTATTAAAACTTACTGAAAAAAAATCCCTGTTGATAAGTGCTGTGTTAGTTTCTATGGTAACTTAATGGAGTGTAACACCTTGAAAATATTAGAGCTAAGGACTTATTTGTCTGTTTGACCTTATTCATTTAAACTTTCTGCAAACTAATGTGGTCACACTTTATTTTAATAGCCCATCCTAGAGACACAGGAAACTATTTACTCACTGATGAAAAGGAAATTGATGCAGCCAAACACTGTTGAGACTAATGAGAATTATTCACAGAACTCTTCTCATCCACTGATGGGAGGGCAGCCTTCAAAATAATAATGGAATGAATTGATGATATGGTGATGATACTTATGTTTAGTATTATAATAACCGACATTCTGTAGAGCCATATATTGAGGCAGTTAAAATAAAGTGTTTCCATTTTTCTTCATTATTCTGAGTCACTGCTAATTTCTATTTTTCTGTTCTTATCTCTTCTATAATTTTATCTTTTTCATCCTCTTATTCTGCTGTAATAGGGGAAACAAGGTGAATCAGGAACTAGAGGCCCAAAGGGGTCAAAGGTCAGTAACCAGATAACCATTTAAATATAACATGAGGCCTTCAAGATCTGTGCTTTTTGCCTTTGCCACAGAGGCATGTTTTTCATGTTTTAGATTAAACTCTTTCACACAGTGGAACTGCAATACTTATTGCAAAAGGGATTGCAGTATCCCTATGATGATATCTCAAAACAATACGTTTGTTTCATCTTGCTTGTTTTTGAATAGTCTAGTGCTTCAGAAAATTCTTTAAGAGAAGTTGTATTTCCTATTTCATAGGAATAGCTTCTTTGAAAAAAATTAAGAACTTTCCTTAAATTGTGTATTGTATAATCTAATTTTTCATTTCCTCGCTGTCTTTGTGATAAATGCTCGAATTATACTCTGCTTTTTAGTTGACTCCCTTCGTTGCATTAAAATTCTACTGCCAATTGAAATTCTCCTCTATATCATACTCTTTATACTATCTGCAATAACATATATACTGTCAGCAGAATCATATTATTTAAAATGCTGTTAGCTACTAATGTGGAAAAAAATGTGTGCAAGATGAAGAAAACAGAGAGCAAAGATTATTAATGCTTCATTCATAGCAAATTTATTATGATCAATGTTATTGGCATACTGTGGATGGGAAGAATTATAATCCTTTTTCCTGCTTATCTTTATTCATCCTTACCCAGTTTATAGGAATCTGTAGAAAGACATATAAAAATGCTTTGAAGTCCATACAGAAAAAGAACCCTATCAATTTAAGGCTGTTTTAAAGAACCTTTAAATCTACACAGGTTCGAATCTCTTCTCCAAAGTTTCAGTTTACATTTCTAAGAATTTTGAGGGCTTGGACTATTCCTGCTGCTCTACAGTTGAGGTAATGCCACCATCAATGAAACTTCAGATAAATTTCCTATTGCATTGAAAAAAGAGAGAGAGCTGGGTTTGCCCTGCCCCTGACCTTCAGCGCTGCCAACCTGTTCCAGCTGGCTGCTGTCCACTTCAGCACTGAGTGTTAAAATGCCTATACCTACAGATGAACTTTTCCTTAGATCCCCATCATCAGAGGGAGGCCTAGCCTGTGACCTTCCTTTCCTAATTCTCCCTAGAATGAGCTCTCTACTCCTTTCCTGTCCCAACTATCTACACTTTTCTTCTCAGAGGAAAAACAATTGTTGGCTCTTTTTCCCTTTGCCCCAAATCTCTTCATAAAAAGGAAGAAAATGGCTCAATTTGCAAGGTAAAAGCTTACTTTGGGTGCCATAGAAACCACTTGCTTTGCCTTTGCAGATCCTACCTAGTGAGACAGTTACCATATATATTGTTGTTTCAAGATACTCTATTACCTGAAAAGGGAGTTTTTTAAAAAAAGGAATTTTAGTTCTTTTCAAGCTGCATCTTAAAAAAGCATTTGCTATTTTGGTGGTGGTTGCTGTTGTTTTTCACTTCAGAAGTTCATATTAAAGGTGCTTCTGTATGGCATAAACATGTTCTTACACGAGATTTCTAGATTCCCCCACTTCTGATTAAGTTTTTTCTCTTTCCAACGGGAAAAGGGGGATCGTGGAGAAAAAGGGGACTCTGGAGCTCAGGGACCAAGGGTGAGTGTTCCTCTCATCCATCTAAACTTTTGCTCCCTACAATCCCAGATTTGAATTCATGTCTGCATGGCTATTCATATGACATCTGTATTAATAATACTTAATAATAGTATTGGAGGTAGACTACTGTAATTATTCCTGAAACACCCCTACCTCCTTTATTTTCCTCACCAGGAGCAGTGCATGTAGGGATTCCAACACATAAACTAAGCTTCTTTGAGAAGGCCTAAAGAACTCCCCCTGTCTACTTTCCCTCTGTTCCCATCCAGCTAATGGAATTTTCCACTTTTCAATTAACTCAATTATAAAGAAAGCAATAACCCATATGTTCAGTGTCTTTTTTTAAAAAAAAAGGGAATTATGACATGACTAATGGAAATTAAGTAGCAGATCTAATAAGCAGGGTAGAAGTCTTAAAAATATACATGTATTCTATTGTTTGTTCCCTATTTTGTTTAATTTTTGTGGCATTCATTCCTGATGGGAAAGCCAAGTATTTTTCTACAGAACAATGTTCTATCTTTTTAAAGAATGACGGCCAGGTGCAGTGGCTCACACCTGTAATTCTAGCACTTTGGGAGCCAAGGCTGGTGGATCACCTGAGGTCAGGAGTTCAAAGCCAGCCTGCCCAACATGGTGAAACTCTGTCTCCACTAAAAATACAAAAACTAGCTGGTCATGGTGGTGCATGGGAGGCTGAGGCAGGAGAATTGCTTGAACACAGGAGGCAGAGGTTGCAGTGAGCCGAGATCACGCTACTGCATTCCAGCCTGGGCAACAGAGTGAGACTCCGTCTCAAAAAAAGAATGAGGAAGCAATGTATGAGGTATGGATGAGGAACAAAAGGTTAGAGGATGCTTTAATAAATATGAATAAAGCAAATAAAATTTTACATGTCACATCAGAGTAGCCTATATTGTAATTTTCAGAAAATAGTTTCAAAAATTAAATCGTATTTTTTATCAGATTTCATATATTGAACCTACCAAAGACAGGATATAAGAAGTGGTTTGCCTCCTTTGAGATAAGGATACATTTTGAACATAATTATTTATATATTCTAAAGTACAGTTGGGCCTTAGTAGGGAAATGATATTCAGAGAGAGCTGTGAGTTGTATTTCTGTTTCTGCCACAGTCCACCCTACATGCTAAGCTAATACCCATGATTTTCCCTTGATTGGTTTTGTCATAGGGTCCACCTGGTCAAAAAGGGGATCAAGGAGCCACTGAGATCATAGACTACAACGGCAACCTCCACGAAGCCTTACAGGCAAGTGACTGGTCCCTGCCCTGACACACACTGAGAAGGATGCTGAGGAGCACCCATGTAATGTGTGCAAATATGAGCTTCCACACCCTCTATCCTCAGAGGACTCCACTGCTCAAGGCACCCCTTCTCCCTGTTCTCAAGAACTCATCCCCTTCTCTGTGCCCCAGTTTATCTTCTTTATTTTGTAGCATTTTTCAATCATTTCTTTCCTTTCCCTTCCACCTTCAGATATAGTTAAGCCTTATGAGGGATAAACCTTGTGTTAGTTTGGCCAATTTTTGCCTCCTTCCTTGCAGAGGGAATGTGGCAAGGCAATCAAGAGCTCTGTGCCTCTGGGGCTGGAGCTGCTTGCATTCAAATCTCAGCTCTCTTGTTTACTAAATGTGTGACCTAGGGCAAGTTATTTCACTTCTCTGTGCCTCAGTTTTCCCATCTACAGAATGAGGATGGTAGCAGTATCTGCCTCATAGCCTTGTTGAGAAGAGCAAATGGCACAATATATATTATACTCTTAGAACAGTTCCTGGTACATAGTAAGCCCTCTGTATTTCTTATTACTGCTACCATATAATTCTTTTCTTCTTATTAAGTAAGCAATAGACTATGTGGCTTGTTTCTATCACCTTTGCTTCCTATTCATTCTTTTCATGTTTAGACTCCTGCATTCTAGCCTCTATCATCATTCTGTTGCATCTTCTCTTACAAAGGTCAACAATAACTTCTATGTCAAGTCCACTGGACTCATCGCCCCTGACATTTTTGTGATATTGATATCAAACCACCTTCCTTTGAAACTTTTTTTTTGTCTCTCTGACCTTCTACTTTCATTTTTTCCATTTTTTTTCTCTGGCGTATCACCTTTATTTTGGTGTTTCTAATTTGTCTGTCTATTCCCTAGTTTTTGGTATCCTCAAGTCTCTGATCTTTTCTTGGTACAGTCACTCCCTCTGTGTTCTTCCACATTATGGCTCTCAATTCTTTCATCTCTAGATATAATCTGTGTATGCCCCCAGCTGTCCAAGAATATTTCCATTATGGATGTATGAATGCCTTATCAGCTTCCACCAATACAATTATACTGGTTACCTTTCCCACCTACGAAATGAGTCCCTTTTTTAAGTGACCGGTTTCTGTTAGTGATACCATGAATCTGAATTTTGAGGGAATAGAAAGTTTAGAGTCATTTTTAAACTATTCTTAGTCCTTTACTTATTCTGTCTCACCAAGGGGCTGCTATTTCCTTTTTCAAAGTATCTCTTGAGATTGCCTGTTCTTTCCATTCCTAACTGAGTCCACATCCTGTTTACTTCATGCCTAATACAGCAACAGCTCCTTGACCAATGACTCTTTCCCTAGTGCCTCCTGGTCCTTCTAATTCATCTTGTGTATCACTCCAAGATTAATTTTTATAAATGATCATGGCTTCGATGGTTCTAATTTGCTCAGAAACCTTAATGACCCCCCTACTGTCTGTTCTATCAAGCCCAAGCTTCTCCATCTTAATCCTCTATAGTCATGCCCTTCCTGTGGAGAACTTTTCATTTCTCCACAGCAGAATTCCCCCTGATATAATCATTGTTATCATATCCATACAAGTCTCCTCCTTTTTGCATGTGTTCATCCCATTCTTCCTTCCTTTCTTTCCCATATAAATTCTACACAACAATCCACTGCTGCCACTCAGATGAGTTCTTCCTCTTAATCCTTTTAAACATTAGTGGTGGGGTTCTAGTGGTTTACTATTTAAAATCAAACTCCATAGTTGATTTTAGTCTTACCTCTTATGAGATTGTAAGCTTGGTGACAGAAAAACATTTTATGCTTATATTAACCAGATATGTAAATATTAAGTAAATGGTTATTGGTTGAATAAGTATACTTCATTCGTATGTACAAGCCATTTCTTTGCTTGTAAGCCGAATTAGTTGTTTTAAATATATCTCTGCTACTTTGTACCTGTTTGAATTATTTTTCCATCTTTATGATTTTACTAACACAATCTAATTATGACAGATCTGTACCTGTATAGGTTCTTTGCTCCAACTATCATTTTTAACTAGTAGAGCACTAAGTCGTTTTTTTTTTTTAAATCTATTTTCAGCTCAGCCTATTTTTTGGCCTTTTCATTATTTTTCTTCTGGTAAAATACAAACAGAAGCATGTTTACTGCTTGGAGAAATGTTGCTTGGACAGTATCTTTAGTTAGGAGCTTGAATTAGTGTTCCTCTGTGTAATTGGATTCGATGTAAGTAGTGGCCTCTGGGTTACTGTCAAATTCTAGAACTAGTTTTCTAAATTATTCCCTTTTCCCCACAAGTTGATAACTATGTAAGGAAAGAAAGGGAGACAGAGACAGGGAACACAAAGTTTTGGTGTGCCTACTGTTTTCAAAGTTCTTATAAAATATAGGGACTTTTTAAAAACTTAGTTTATTAGCAATGTTGTAAATTGCCCTTGAACTACTTCCAGTGGCCCCATAATTCCAGCTACCTTTAAGAGGTATCTACTTTCTTATCCTCCAAGAACTGTTCCAATATAATTGGGCATTTTCTGCAACACTGTGATCAAGTTCTCAAAGCATTCTTTGCATGAACTGGGCCTGGCATGAGGCAAGCTATCCTTAGTCTAAAATGGAAATCTCTATTTTGATCTCCCCTCTATTAGCTCAGTCATTTGGGGAAAATTGCTTAATGTATCTATACTTCATTGATCTTATCTGCAAAATAAGGATGTTATTGGAATAAATTTTTTTCTATGAGTCCACGAAACCTAATACTATTCTTAGGGTGATTTTTCAGAGCTTCTGAACACTTTTTACTGATATGCCTAAAAGCATTGTACTTTTTAAAAAATGTGACACCTATATTTCAATATGAAACGATATACTTCTGTTTCTTTTTCTCATCTTTAATTGTATATGACTACTAAACAGCCAATATCCATCATAGTCAACTAGTTCATGCTTATGTCTCAACCTAAATGTTTATTATTCTTATTGGGTTGGTTGTGAGGCAACTATTTGCCATGCTTATAAATAGCTTATAGTTATCTTTTCACATCAAAACTATTGGTTTCCCTAACATAGTGCTCTAGTGAATTGAGTCCCTCATAAAATTAATACATTAGATTGAGAAGAGATGGTAGACATTTATTCTTCTAATTCTCTAACCAGTGATGGATATTTACAGTTTTGCAGGTATGTCATTGTTATCCCTTTTAAAACAATCTGCCAAAAATACTCTAGGATAATCAGATAAATAGAAATATATTACAGTTATAATCATACCATATTAGAAATATAAAATTTTACTGTTGCCTCTATTGAAGATTGTGATTTACATAAACATTGCCATAAGCTATTTATTTTTATTTAAGGTGGCTAAATTTCTACAAATTAGCAGTAAAACCTCTGTTTCCTAACTGACTCTTTAAAAAATTCTCATCGCCATCTAAACTAAACCTGTTCTCTAGTATGAATCGTGGGCGAGTTTAAGCTTTCATCATTATGAGAAATGAAAGAAAGTAACCTTTAATTCTAAAGAGATTCAGATAAACATTTCAGGGAATAAATCACAAAGCAGGCTGCTGGGCTTTACCCAATTTGCAGTTTCTGTAGTTCATGCCTCCCATTTCACGTCGCGTCTCACTAGAGAATGCCATGTCTTTCTCCATCACCACCAAAAATTCTGACTTTCAAATCATTATTTGAGTTCAAAAGAGAATCCTGTTGAGTTTATATAGCTTTAACTTGGATTTGCCACATATAAGAAATGCACAGTGAGCCACATCGTTAGGACTTCTCTGTGTGTCTGCATACTGGTGCTTCCAGTTGGTGGTCAAGACTATGTATTTGTGAAGTTAGCTCAGTTTGTTGTCATTGAAACCTATTAGCTGGATGGAACATTATACAATTTTAAAGTTTCACAAACATAGTTATTTAACAAAATCATTTAAACTCCATCTGTTAGGTCAGTTACTATTAATAATATTCTTTTATTTTGCAGCTCATTATTAAACATGTTATCTTTAAATTTAAAAAAATACAAACTAGCATTATGTTCAGGTGAAAAATGAATTAGTATATGGCACATGTTGGAAAACCTCAGAGAGCTCAAATTTGAAAATCCCTTTCCTTTTTAGGGCTTTATGATCCTGTTTTCTAGTTAAAAAGTAACATGTAATTGGAAGACAATGATAAAGAAATTATTTCTACTCCTTAATTTTCTGATAGCCTTGTTTAAATGACTTCTCTACACTGTAGGAACAACAAAAAAAAAGTAGCTTTACCATAACTACAAATCCAATTCTTGTTCTAGGTGAATTCCTGAAGCATAAACTGAATGGAATTATGTTACACAGATCTGGTGGTGTAAAATTCTGGGACCTTATTTTTTTCTTATAACCTTGCCCCCAGTTTGTGGACATTTTACCTTTTACAACAATTTAAAAAATAAAAAAAAAAAACAGTAACAACAGCTCAAATCAGAAATTGGAGTGGAACAGTGGAAAACAGAAGGATGGTGTTCAACTGATACCTACAAGTTTGAATGTAATTGAATAATGTTTCTCTATGACCAGAGTCCCTAAAGGAAATGTTCTCCCCTCTGTGATTTCATAAAGTGGTTATCAACCCCATAGAACTTTCAGCACAGAACCTAGACCAGAAAAATGTTAATTCAAAAATATGATTCATGGATCAGGAATTATGTTTTAGAGATTCAGACTTAGACACGGTATATTTTGTTACAGTTCTCTAACACTTTAAGAAATTAGATTAATTCTTTCAGTATATACCCAGTAATAGGATTGCTGGGTCAAATGGTATTGCTAGTTCTAGATCCTTGAGGAATTGCCACACTGTCTTCCACAATGGTTGAACTAGTTTACACTCCCACAAACAGTGTAAAAGTGTTCCTATTTCTCCACATCCTTTTCAGCATCTGTTGTTTCCTGACTTTTTAATGATCGCCATTCTAACTGGCATGAGATGGTATCTCATTGTGGTTTTGATTTGCATTTCTCTAAAGACCAGTGATGATGAGCTTTTTTTCATATGTTTGTTGGCTGCATAAATGTGTTCTTTTGAAAAATGTCTGTTCATATCCTTTGCCCACTTTTCAATGGGATTGGTTTTTTTTCTTGTAAATTTAAGTTCTTTGTAGATTCTGGATATTAGCCCTTTGTCAGATGGATAGATTGCAAAAATTTTCTCCCTTTCTGTAGGTTGCCTGTTCACTCTGATGGTAGTTTTTTTGCTATTCAGAAGCTCTTGAGTTTAATTAGATTCTGTTTGTCAATTTTGGCTCTTGTTGCCACTGCTTTTGGTGTTTTAGTCATGAAGTCTTTGCCTATACCTATGACCTGAATGGTATTGCCTAGGTTTTCTTCTAGGGTTTTTATGGTTTTAGGTTTTACATTTAAATCTTTAATCCGTTTTGAGTTAATTTTTGTATAAGGTTTAAGGAAGGGGTCCAGTTTCAGTTTTCTGCATATGGCTAGCCAGTTTTCCCAACACCATTTATTAAATAGGAAATCCTTTCCACGTTGCTTGTTTTTGTCAGGTTTGTCAAAGATCAGATGGTTGTAGGTGTGTGGTGTTATTTCTGAGGCCTCTGTTCTGTTCCATTGGTCTATATATTTGTTTTGGTACCAGTCTACTATAAAGATACATGCACATGTGTGTTTATTGCAGCACTATTCACAATAGCAAAGACTTGGAACCAACCCAAATGCCCATCAATGATAGACTGGATAAAGAAAATGTGGTACATATACACCACGGAATACTATGCAGCCATAAAAAAGAATGAGTTCATGTCATTTGTAGGGACATGGATGAAGCTGGAAACCATCATTCTCAGCAAACTAACCCAGGAACAGAAAACCAAACACCACATATTCTCACTCATAAGTGGGAGTTGAACAATGAGAACATATGGGCACAGGGAGGGGAACATCACACACCAGGGCCTGTCAGGGGGTGGGGGGCAAGGGGAGGGATAGCATTTGGAGAAATACCTAATGTAGATGACGAGTTGATGGGTGCAGCAAACCACGATGGCACATGTATACCTATGTAACAAATGTGCACATTCTGCACATGTATCCCAGAACTTAAGTATAATAAATCAATCAATCAATAAATTTTAAAAACTCATTTGTTTTTCTGATTAAGTTCACAAAAAAATTGGAATGCCAAAAAAAAGGAAATTAGATTAATTCTATGTCGACTAATATCTTTAGTTATGGCACACACACACGCACACACACACACGCACAAACACAAAGTTAGTTTTAATGCAACAAATGAGCTGCAGACTAAAAGAGAAAAAATATGCAATTGGGTATTTCAGTTTTCTCTAATGAAGTACTCTCTAGAATAGTGCTTTTATCAATAGCAAAATTTCTCAGTTCACAATTATACTGACAAGCCTCTAGCATATATGACTTTACTGCATTATTTTTTTCAATCAGGTGAATTAAAATTTTGACATTTCTTTTTCTTCAGCCATAGATTTTTTAAATAGGATTCTAAAAATAATTTTTAAAAAATCTCTACAACTATACTGTATTGAAGATAGGGTAATATGTTCTCAGTATCTTGTCAAATCCTTTTAAGATATCAGACTAGCCAAACATATTCAAAAAGTTGATTATTTCACAAATGTATTACTGTACTTTGGCACACAAAATAGATAACTCTGTCTTTGTCAACACATTTTCCCAACAGAGGATTACCACCTTAACTGTCACGGTAACTCCTATTGCATGCTTTCTGTGGTTTGTGGTTTTGTATTTGGTGTTGATGCATGCCAGCCAAAATGGTACTAATGTAGCTATTGTTTTTATCTGATACTTAATTTTATGTTTTCTTGTATTAATAATCTTTTACATTTGCTCCAGTTGAATCACTTTGTCTGCTTAGTGAAAAGGTCAAGAAAAAAGTGATTGCTAATTTTCTTAAAAGTCTCTGGCCTTATCTGAACAATATAGCTTTATTCTTTAGGGTTTGGGAAATCAACGCCTTTGGGGTGGAGGGGTAAGGAGTGTATGTAGAAACAAAGCTAATATTCGTATGCTAATTCATCCCAATACGATGAGTGTGGAGCATGGCAGCAATTTTACATTGCCTTACCGAATCTACCCAGAAGCACCTTCCACATTATTTTGACCTCAAATGTGTTAATATTTTAGCATATAAATAGGTGTTTTTTTCTAATTATGTAACTAGTAAAATTTTTCCTCATTGCAAATTTATATTTGGGGAGATCTGATTACGATAGAAATAAGGAAGGTGTATAGTGTGCCTATTTAAGGTATGAATTTTAATACATATAATTACTACTTTTAAAAACTGTGCTTTTTCTTGATTTAGGGTCCCCCTGGACCTCCTGGACCTCAAGGACTACAAGGGCCAAAGGTTATTCTTTATTTACTTGTTTCCATTTATCACATACAGTGCAGGGAATACCGTATTAAGTATATGCATCTTTGAAAATCAGTCTTACAAAATGCTGAAGAAGCTGAGATCAACAGTATTGTTTTAGAGAGCGAAGAAAAGAAATTGAGGTCTGGACTGAAGGAAGATAGAAAATTAGAAAAGAAGAAGGGAAAATAGGAAAAGAAGAGAGAGAAATTTAATTTAGGGAAGACATTGAAAAAAGATATTAAACAAGGGAAAAACAAGTTCCACAGAAATTATAAATGTAAAAAACACTAAATGTGGTGTATGAAAACAAAAGAAAATGTTTGATTAAAGGAGGATTAGAGAAAATTTAACTTGACACCAAGAAAGATCCTTGCTTCTAATGCTTTTATAGTAAAAAGAGTAAGAAAAGTTTTAGTATGGTGCATTCACAAATCAAAATTTTAGGAATCATTTTTCATAATGCATTCTTTATTATATACTTTCAGACATTTTGCCATTTAAATCTTATCTAATGAAACATACCAACTAAAAATAGTAGAAGGCTAGAATTGCTTTATATCTAAACTTTGTTGATGGCTTTATCCCTCCAAACTGAAGCTTAGTCATTCAACCATGTTTGATCAATTAACACATGGCCAGTGATTCTGGCTTTTCAGAACTGAGCTACATGTGTTGAAATATGACTTTCGTCATTGGATTCTTGTAGGAGATTCAAGTTATTTCAGAATTCATCTTTTGTTAATGCTTCTTAAGGCAGTTTATTTGCTAAGTCTGTCATAACACACACTCACACGTATCAGCTTTCATACTCTCTCAAGATACTTAAAAACAGAAATCTAGTATATAGAAACTTTATTTTTCTATCATATAAAGGAATATAAATTACAATATTACTGAGCTCCTTGCCTATATATTTAGAACATAGATCCTAATTTCAAATAGATTTCTTGTATAACATTAATATAAGGTGTGGGATTTTTAACTTTCTATTTCTCCAGCACATTCTGGTCCCTAAGAGACATAACACAAAAAAACTATATATAATCTTTATTCTTGGTGAGCAACACTGCCTGGATCCCCATTCAATAATATCTTGGTGAGCTGGACTAGATATCCTAGAAGGAAATCTGCAATTTCTTTTTTTCCTTTGTGTAGAACCAACCAAGTGTCTAAGTTCATTATTTCACCTCCTCGCTTGACTAAGACTCCAGAACCAAAATTGTCCCCAAAGCTAAATACATATCTCATTTCCCACAAACCTCAAAAGTTTCCAGGACTTTTCTCTTCTCTACAGTCCAAAGGCCTAGAGAAGCCCCAAAGGCACCCATTCTTTGACCCAAAGAGGCAAAAAGGACCTCCTAGGTAAAAAATCTGTATCACTAAAACCTATATTCCCCTGGTTTTATAATCCAATTGCTATTCGTGTATTAATTCAGTTATTCAGTAAGTAATTTTTGAGCCTCTACTCTATGGTAAGGACTAATATCTAGTAAGGATACTAGAAAGAAATTCCAATAAAGGGCTTATGGCCTAGGGAGGGAGATAGGCAAGTAAAGGTACAATTATTAATAGAGTAAGTGCATAGAAGGTCCCTCTAAGTCTTAAGAGCCAAGGGTGGCTTTGAGTTGAAACTGAAAGACAGGAAGAAGTTGCCCAGATGAATATCTAGACAAGCAATATGGAGGAGGGTTGAGTCATTCTCGCTTACCTCCTACCCTTGCCATCCTTCCCAGTATGCTATCATCCCTACCCCACCCACCCCACAATGGTCTTATAATTGAGATCTTGTGTTAGCTGATGTAGTCCTTTATGTTTTTCATGGTCTGTCCTTGAGAAGGTTGGGATAATTGGGGTGGAATGTAGCTATGACCAAGAGACAGCAAAATGTAGCCTGAGTCAAGTACAGAACCCCTTCTGATCTTGGAATTCAGACTGAATGGGAACTTACTCAATTAGCATTTCTCCTTCATTTATCACACAAGAATTGTTTGATTCCCTACACATCAAATAACTCTTACAAACCCCATTTGAGGGGTGAAGGATAAATGAATAACTCATGAATTATGTTTTCCTTTTAAACACTTGTGAATCATATTTTAAAGGGAAAAGCCTAGCAAAGCCATCATTATTGGACCCACAGTGCTGACAAGTATTCAGACTCTGAATGAAACTAGGGCTTAGCCAGGTGCATCCAACCTCAGCAGACTTGTTTGTGGCAAAATAAAATTTGCTGCTACCACAAAGAGCAGGAAACCTGAAATAAGAAAAGGCCCTTCCCCCGCCGCTTTTCTTGCTTCATTTGTTTATAACCACAAGATCATGCCTTCCTTAAACACTGGAAAGCTCAAATTTCATGCTGTACCTCATAGCTCTTAAAGTTTTTACCAGGGAAAGGAGCTCTAACCATTTCAATATTGTGGTTTATAGTATCACCAAACAGGCCTTTCTAGAAAATACAGCCTCAGGTCAGCTCCGTTGGAAATCTGTCTGTGAGGCAGGCCTCTCACACTCAGAAGAGCTGTTTTTACAAAGTTTCCACAGTGTGGGATTCAGGGATATTTGTAATGGGATCCACATAAATGACTCATTGATACAAAATAATGCTTACTTTTCAAGGAATTTATTTAGTCACCTTTCAAAACTGAGAAGTGACTAAACATTTGCTGTTCGATTAACTTTCTGGCGTATTGTATAAATTTGCTTTTAATGAACATCTTCAGTTTAAAAAAGCAAACAAAAATCTCTATATTTTGAGTTTGTCAAAAATCCTTATAAATCATAACATGAATAGTAAATTTTAGTTCATTCATAGCACAGTATAAGAAATTGAATTGATCTAAAAGTTATTTCATATGCATTAAGATATCTGATTTATGATATCCTTCAGTGAGGCTTTTCTGGAAATTGCACACTCACAATCATGAATTTGTAACTAACTGTTTGAACTGTGCCAATTAAAATATTGTTGAAAATTCATGGGGCTTTGCATTTTACTTTTTTAGGTTAACTGTTATGTTTTCCTTTTTACTGAAATTGGAAAGTGAGAGAAATCATACAGAGGTTGTATGGAGAAAAAAATTAACTAACTGAGGCAGATAGGTTGTTGCTATAGGATATGGTCAGCTATCAAATTGTGTCTATCAGTTTTCCTTGACCACTCTTTTTTAGCCTGCATCTCACATGGAGAAAAAATAAAAACACTAAAAGCATTGGATCTTAGCTACATATAAATACTATACATAATCTTGAAGAAAGATTATTACTTCCCTTAGTTTAGATATGTGCTATAATAGAATATTCTCGGGTTATGATGCATTTGCTGAAAGTCAAATTGTGGTGTTAACAAACTAGCATCGTTTTTTTATGTAGTGCAGTATGTTACCAATGAGAATGGAGGCAAGTCATCTATTTTTATCTTAATAGGGAGAGCAGGGATCTCCAGGAATCCCAGGAATGGATGGAGAGCAGGTAATTTTCAAAGATGTATACTATTATTTAAAGCATCATTCTTGATTACTACTTTTATTGTAGGTTTGAAGCCAAAATGTCATGAGCATTGATATTTGATACCCTCTTTCTTTTAACCATTTGTTCTAGAGACTTCATTGACTCTAAAAAGCAGACATTAGTTTTCTTCGCAAAAACATCTAAGCCATATGATACTTCAGTTTTGTTCTTAATACTTTATATCAACCTACCAGTGACTCCCCTGCAAATTTTTAATAGACTTGTAAAATCATTACCAAGTTAGTAAAACTAGCCTAATTTTTGTCAGTGAATACAAATATGTCAAGATTAAAATCAGTGACCATAGTTTCCACAAAACTAAATCTTGCCTATATGCCTTTTTTAGACAATGTTTTCTTTTCCCAAATAAAGATGACACCTAATCCCTAGATCCTTAGAAAATACAGAAACAAGCAGGGAACTTGTAGCTTGACAGAGTATGGTAGTGTATCTCTGAGGGTTCCCTCTAAAACAGAAGTCGGCAAGCTTTGTTAATAAAGGTCCAGATAGTAAATGCTTTAGGCTTTACAGGCCACATACAATCTGTGTTGAAGTTTCCTTTTTATTTATTTATTTTTGGTTAACACCTCAACAATTTTTTTTTAAATTCACTCTGTACAAAAACAATCCCTGGGATGAATTTGGCCTGTGAGCCATGGTTTGGCGACCCCTGCTCTAAAAGAATCTGAGTTGGAGAACGTGGACAGTATTCAGAATTTGGAATGGAATCAAAAGGGTTAATTTCAAGATCTTTAGTGTTTTCTTGATTTCCATTATTTACCCAAGAAATGGCTAAAATCAGGAAAATCATAAGAAATCAAAAGGATTCTTAATACAGTTAGTGCACATATACTCCTCAGAAGAAAGTATTAGATAGGAAAATTAGGTTTAGGATTATTTTTACTATCAGAGTTATATGCTGAAATAATAATAATGCCATATTAAATGAACATGTGGTAAACAGAAACATAGATACCTTAGATGATTTGCTATATCATAGATCACTTAGAATTTTAAAGTCTGTCTATGTTACTTCTCTGACCATTGGTCATTATAAGCAATTAATTTGACATGCATAATGATATACATTATGGCTCCTACAGATATAGTAGCTAGCTTTTTTTTTTCTTCTGTAGGCTTTGCAAGGTCTTCTTCTATCACTAAGTACATTGGGTTGCCGTCCTGCTGCCATCACTAGATCCCTAAAAATAATCCAGGTCTTATTAATCAGTAAGATCCATCTATTCATTCAGGCACCTACTTACCCATTGGGTAATTCTGAATGCTATTAAATAGGAACAGTTAACAAGAAAAGTTCCTTTCCATAAATAATTTTTCTCCATCGGTTTTAATAAAAAAAAGATAAACAGGTTTGTGCAGCCTAGAAGCCCCTTACCATAATAACTATGATCATCTCTACTGAAGAATGAGCCATTAGTATATTGAAGTGAGTTTCCTAGGATGAAAATGCTTAAAAATATAAATTAATGTCAATATTAATATTATAAAATTCAGGCCAGGCATGGTGGCTCACGCCTGTAATCCCAGCACTTTGGGAGGCCAAGGTGAGCAGATCACCTGAGGTCAGGAGTTTGAGACCAGCCGGGCCAACATGGTGAAACCTCGTCTCTACTAAAAATACAAAAATTACCTGGGCATGGTGGCGCATGCTTGTAGCCCCAGCTACTTGGGAGGCTGAAGCAGGAGAATGGCTTGAACCCAGGAGCCGGAGGTTGCAGTGAGCCAAGATCGCACCATTGCGGTCCAGCCTGGGTGACAGAGTGAGACTCCAACTCAAAAAAAAAAAAAAAAAATTACAAAATTCAGATTTGTTAACATTCAAAATGCATATTTATCTATTTCCTCACTGTAAAGGAGAATAAAAATACCATTCTGACTCATCTCATAGAGACATCATGAGAACAAAATAAGAACACTGTGAAGAGGTTGTCATACTTTTAAGCATTGATTGAGCGTTAGTGTGTGGTAAATGATCCAGTGATTTATCAGTCTGTAGACTGGACCATTGAAAACTCATTGTGACTGGAACTTCTGCCTGCAGTTAGGAGGGAGGGGAGTATAGTGGGTAGAGATGAGAGAAATTTGGACATTTGTTATTATATAACACTAGGTCCCAGTTCAAAATACATCCTGTATTGTTGAGAATTAAGTCTATTAAGTTGTTTTCAGGTCTGGTGAGATAGAATTAGCTGCCAGGTAAAAATACAAAATCAGGAGAAATTATGTCAAAACCTAAGTTCATGTTTTTTATGCTTACATGGCCTAATAGAACTTAATCTATTTCATTACAAGGAGAAATAGTACTGATTGCATGTAGAAGGTTGCTGTAAGAAATAACTCTACCTAAAAACAAAAATCAGAATCATCTCAACATTGAACCCACCTATTAACGAAATTGATCGGAATTCTGTTTTCCCTAGGATGTAATTATCGGGGGTCATTATGCTGCTTACATGCCAACCTTGTCTATCATTTTTAGGGACTCAAAGGCTCAAAGGGAGACATGGGGGACCCAGGTATGACAGGTGAAAAAGGAGGAATTGGACTTCCTGGATTACCGGTATGTTTATACTTTCTGTTTGTTTATACTTTTTATATTATGTTCTTATTAAGATAAATTAAACAATCAGAAAAGAGTTATATTATTAGCTGCAATCTCATCTAGTGGTTCATCTCATATTTTTATTTTGAAATATTTGAGGTATTATTGGTTAATTACTCTAGGGAACTCAAATTGTAAGGCATGTAACCAAATGAATTATAAAGGAAGCCTTCATGTTTTCCTGAATTGTTTTCCCTAGAAGATAATAAAATAAACATAGTTGGCCACTTTAATTTAGTATGCATAAGATGGTGGTAACTGGTTATTGTAAAATAAACCATAATAAAGAAATGAGCCAAAAAATATAGGAGAATTAAAAAACAAATTACTCTGGAAAGTGTCCTCTGTGTGTATGATACTATGGGATGGTGTTTTATGGTTTTCCCCGTAATTCTAACTGAGAATTTGGAGGAGAAAATGTAAAAATTGTTTTAAAAAATGCAGTAAACTCCACTGCCTTAGACTTTTCTGTAAAACAAGGAAGTATATAAATGTCAGTAAAAACTAAGTTAAAAGCCTTACCTTTGCTGTTTAAATTGCGCACCACCATAAAAGATATAACATTTATAACTCAATGTATTTAACACTGTAGGTCTTTAACCAATCAAGCTCAAACTAGTTTTCATTTACTTTATATTTTATTCTACATATCACCCATAATCCTAAGGATTTTAATAAGCTTGCTATTTTAAGCTAGAATTCAAGGAGATAAATCCTTCTTTTATGTAGCAAGTGCATAATATTATAAAATGTCAAGAGAACAATGGGTTTGGGGAGAAAATTCAGTTGTCTCTTACACTGGAAATAACTTTACCTGCTTAACTCTGCTTAATGGTTATTTATAGGGAGCCAATGGAATGAAAGGAGAAAAAGGAGATTCTGGAATGCCGGGTCCACAGGGTCCTTCTGTAAGTCCATGGTGGCTGAACTTCCATTGTTCCTGAACCTCCTCACACACTGACATGTTACTTACCTATTCCACCTCTGCCAGATGGCTGCACAACAGTAGACAGACCTCAAACCTCTTGGTTTGTCAAACTGTAGAAGAAACATCCGTCAGCCCTGCACAGTGATACACAAAGTATATCAGAGGTCTGAGGTAGAAGCAGGTTTTCAGAGGACTGTCTAATCCTGAGGAAAAAAATCAATGGTTTTCTCCTAACAATGGGTAGATCTTTGTGAATATAGAACATACTTGTTTGTTTCTCCAGAGCCCTGCTTATGCTTAGTGAAATATTTGAGTTTGATAGTAGTGACATTATAGCATTTCTTGGTAATTAGTTGCTTCCTTTTCTTTTAACATAGTTTTCATTTATTCTGGCTTTTGGAGAACTTTTTTTGGAATTTTTTTTTTTAATTCTCATAAGGGAATTTCTACATCTAGAGAATCAAACACATCACTTATTCTAGTATCTTTCTTCCTCTCCAACTACTAATGGCCTTAGCAGAACCCCAGCACAAGATTCAAGTTGAACTGCCTTATCTAAATGAAGTAACCAAATACATTTTTATTTTTTGGACATACAGATCATAGGCCCACCAGGCCCACCAGGTCCCCATGGCCCACCTGGCCCCATGGTAAGTTTCCCTTCTTTCTGAAATGTAATTGCTTATTTATGAGCATGCTGCTAGAGAGAACATGAACACATCCCTCTAAACAGCCAGCTTGTATTTTGTACTACTCTCTGTGGAATGGATGGAAAATACCAGGTGCTTTGAGATATATTAACTTTACAGTGTTGTCATTCACTCTCCCAAACACATATGTTGGGAAGAGATAGAGTAGTTTTGCGACAGAGGTGAGGAAAGACAGACACATATAGCAAGCTCTACTACAACTTTACAGTGTGAACACTGGCAAATCATTTTATCCGGCCACTCCTCTAACCTGATACCAGCAGAATAAGATTTAGAATTGGCTGGACACAATGGCTCATGCCAACACTTTGGGAGGCCGAGGTGGGCAGATCACTTGAGGTCAGGAGTTACCAGCCTGGGCAACATGGCAAAACTCCATCTCTACTACAAAAATTAACTGGCCATGGTGGCACATGCCTGTAGTCCCAGCTACTCAGGAGGCTGAGGTGGGAGGATTGCCTGAGCCCAGGGAGGCTGAGGTTGCAGTGAGTTGTGATCATGCCCTTGCCCTTTAGCCTGGGAGACAGTGAGACTCTATCTCAAAAATAATAATAATAATAATAATAATAGTAATAATAGCCATTAAAGAATGTTTTCTGACAAAGTTTGAGGTTTGAACTCTTTAATGAAATGTTCAATAGGAACATTTATGTATAAGGTATCAAAATATCACACTATATCCATAAATATATAGTTATTATGTGTCAATTTTAAAAAAGAATATTTGTAAAATAGTATGATAAAAATTGCAGCTTACTTCCTCAGATAACATATATTGTTAGATCTTCCTTCTTACTTTTATGATACTTTGATTGATTCATTGAGCCAGGGCCAGTGTTAACTGCAGGTGTCTTGCAGTGGCCAATGGTGACAGTGGCCCTGCCCTCAAGAAACTGATGTCCAGTGAGGAAGGCAGCCATTAAGCAAGTATAATTCTCTAAATGTCAAACCAAAGACAGTTGTTAAGGTTAGAATGTTGAAGGCAGAATGCTTCAAATGCTTTTGACTGGGGCAGAATAAGAGCAAGTCAGGCAGTCTAGAAGGTCACATGTGTCTCTCAGGTGTCAATAAATCAAAGGACTTCAGTATTACAGAATAAGTAAATTATGGTCACTCTTTCCTCCCATTGCACAAGAAAGAGCATTATTGGAATGATCTAAGCCAAGAGCATAGCCAGTGATTAGCTCCATTTCTATTTTATAACATAAACAATTATTATTGACCTTATTTTCTTTTTCTTCTTCTTTCTTCCTTCTTCCTTCTTCTTTCTTCTTTCTTCTTCTTCCTCTTTTTTTTTTTTTTTTTTTTTTGAGACAGGGTCTCACTCTGTCACCCAGGCTGGAGTACAGTGGCACGATCATGGCTCACTGCAACCTCTACCTCCTAGGCTCAGGTGATCTTCCCACATCAGCCTCCTGAGTAGCTGGGACAACAGGCACATGCCACCAACCACGCCCAGTTAATTTTTGTATTTTTTGAATAGATGAAGTTTCACCACATTGCCCAAGCTGTTCTCAAACTGCTGGGCCCAAGTGATGCACCCGCTTTGGCCTCCCAAAGTGCTAGGATTACAGATGTGAGCCACCTCGCCCAGTGTGACCTTATTTTCTTAAAACTGGATGGTTCATTAAGAATTAAGCAAATGGCATACTTTTGGCTTTTTAAAAATACTCCCTCTACTATAAGATAGAAGGTTAAATTAGAAAATGCTACAGCCTGTTCATATCATAAAATTAATTAGTTTAGAGGAATTTTAAGCCATTATTAAAATGAGGTAAGAATACCTGATAAAGTAACAGCCATTTCCTGAAAATCCTTATCTGAAACTTATTGAAAAGGAAAATATTATTCTAATGTGGACATATGTAACAAATATATAGGCATTGCTTAATAAAAACTTTTTCCTGCAGTTTTATAATTTTACTGATGGATATTTAAATACTCCTTTCTCCAAATAGTTTGTTTAAATCACTTGAAAGGTTTACAGCAATCCACAGTAACCTTAGTTAATTTAAGTTGACTAGTCTGTATATTTAGATTTTCTACAAAGTATGTGTTTTGTAATCCTGATTCATGCATGCATTATGACTTTCTTCCACTGATAAACAATTATTACAAGAGCTTTGAGGAATTTGTTTTTGTAAAAATAAATGCAATCTAAATAATAATGCTTAGCTTTCCTACATAATAATCTTTTATTTAATCTTAAATAAATGATGCTACAAAATCCAAAATTTGGGTGTCATCTCCTCACTTCATGTCTCCTTTAGATTCTTCAACACCTTGGGTCTGGAGGAGTTAATGGAAAACTTCTCCTCTTCCCTGGCACTTAAAGTCTGGGGCTTCTCTTTGGCAAATTTCTCTTTGAAGTCATATTTTTATTTCATTTAAACTCATGAAGCATCTCACATATTCCACTCAGACTTTGTAATGGTAATTTGAGTTCAGAATACCTCTTTTTCCTACTTCTTTCTTCCATGTAACCCTGGCAGATTTCTCCCTCCTCAAAGGTATTAGCAGACAGAATTGCTATTAATGAATTTCCTATTACAGAGCAATCCAAGAGCTGGAAGGAACTTTTGGTGGGTAATAAATAACATCCACTAGCCTGCCTCTACCTATAGCTCAAACAAGAAGATGCTTGTCTCACATCTCTTTTGTTATGTGATATAATATTCACTCTTGCTGGGAAACAGGGAATCAATTCTTAATTAAAAGCTCTGTTTTCCATTTTCAGGGACCTCATGGACTTCCTGGACCAAAGGTAATCCAACAAATCCCTTGATTATTTGATTTCTGCTTCCTTGATAATCATGGAGAAGCATGACAGAAGCATGTCTGTCCTATCTTATTTATTTGTCAAGTAATGTTGATAATCTTTGAGCCTTTAAGCATCCATATGTTTAAATCTCATAACACAAAATGACTTATAACAAATTTAAATGATATCACCTGGAGAAAAATTATTCTTCATTTTGCCTTTTTCCTGGTCACTATGTAACCTCTCAAATTACAAATCATAATGTACTCAAGTCAACCATTTAGAAGTGAATCTGATGAGATTCTCAGACTAGTCTAGATGCTTTTTTTTAATGGTGTCTCTAACTGTATATTTGGATGTTATTAATTGATATTTCTTGCTTGCCATGTAGTCATATCTCATCTAAATGCTTTGCCTCTCCAGCATCTTAATTTTGTACTCGCCCAGAGGTCATTGGTCTAGAAGTGGGTGGGGTATTTCAGGTGTGCTATACTGGGAAGAAGATCACATCACTTACATGCATTCTATACTTTTGGGTTAAGAAGAGAACAAGGGATAAAAGCTCCTCTTTGTCAGAATTAGTGTAGCTTGCATGATGAAGATGGTCTCCACCTGTCCTTTGCCTTTGTCTAGACCGCGAGGACATCCTGGCAGATTAAAATAAGCCCTGAAAGACAAGGTCCCCCTTTCAGGGAGCATACGTGATGAAGACTTATGTTCTAATCTCAATCTTGCCAGGCTGTATCACCTTGAGCAGATTATGGACCCTCTCTGATCCTTTATTTACTCAACTGGGTAACTCACCTTACAGTGCTGTGATAACTTAATGAGGTATGCTTATAAAACACTTAGCAAAATATCTGGTGCAGCTGTTGATAAATGTCAGAAGACAGCTGTTATTGTTGCTATGTGATACTTGGTTCTGAACAGAAAAATTCTATAACTCATCCTCAACCCTGCTTGAAAGAAGGTTCATGAACTCCTGAGAGTGCTTCAGTAGTGAGTTGGTGCAACTAACAGGAAGGGAGGGGCTGGGGAGACACATAAAGGCAGTGTTGGCACTAGGTGTCACAAAGCCCAGAAGCAGGCCACTGTCTCCTCTGGGGAGGCTGGCTCTCTTTGGCCCACCCAGCTCTAGGAGTGGTGGCAGGTATTGGTCTGACTCAGGAAATCTGGGTTTCCTTTTCCCAGTCAGGCAGGTGACACCCAAGAATGTGTTCATGCCTCTTTATTCTTCTTAGACTACCTTACCTTCCAGTAAGGCCAGTGAGTAACTATCTCAGAAGCATGAATTAGACTTTGGGGTAAGAGTACTATCTGGGAGGGGGGGTCAGAAGAGAGAGCCCCATCTATCAGCTTTGTGATCTTAGTAGTCGTTTAATCTCTCTGGGCCTTTTTCCCCATCTAGACTAAATCAATGCTTCCTACTCATGGATTTTTTTTTTTTTTTTTTTTGAGATGGCGTTTCGCTCTTGTTTCCCAGGCTGGAGTGCAATGGTGCAGTCTTGGCTCGCTGCAACCTCCGCCTCCTGGGTTCAAGTGATTCTTCCGCCTCAGCCTCCCAAGTAGCTGGGATTACAGGCACCCACCACCATGCCCGGCTAATTTTTGTATTTTTAGTAGAGACAAGGTTTCACCATGTTGGCCAGGCTGGTCTTGAACTCCTGACCCCAAGTGATCCGCCCGCCTCGGCCTCCCAAAGTGCTGGGATTACAAGCATGAGCCACTGCGCCCGGCCCTACTCTTGGATTTTAAGATGCCACCAAAAACCAGCCTGGTCATAATGACTAAGGATAATGCCACCAAGATATTTAATTTCATAAGTGATTCAGATATGCCATCACCATTGGATTAGGAGATGCCCAAGATGCTTTTGATTTCTAAAATGCAACAATTTATTTTGTCCATACAACTTAATTCTTACTTAAATCATAAGTTTCAGATAATTATAAAGTTGAAAAGACCTCATAGATATCTATGCAAGTTCCCTGATTTCATAGATGATAAACTTCAGGCCCAAACAGTTTAGGTTATTTGCCCCTAATTACACAGCTAGTTCATGACAGATCTGGGACTAGAACTTAGGTCCAGACTTGAAATTTGGTCTTTCTGTCACTGGATTTAACCTCAAGTACCTCAAGACCACGTGCTGAAAGTGCACACACATGCAAAGCCACGGATCTCAAATTAGTCACTGACTACTGAGCCTTGGCCTTAATATGGTGTCCTCAATCAATAGCATTCCCGGGATACTGTCTTACCAACACCAACACATTTGGACTTGCTATAGTGGCTGTACTGCAAACATCCTATCTTCAAAATCCTGAAAACTTTTTATGCCATGCCAGTGTGTTCATCATTTTGCAACCCCCTTTGAAAGTTCAAATATATAGCATGATTCCATGCATGAATCTAGCTCAGTGTTTCCCAGAATTTCCTGATAAGAATCACCTGGGAGACTTATTAAAGATACCCATTTCTGTGTTACCATGGACTGGGTGGGGCCCTGAACTCTTTATGTTTAACAAGCGCTACACTGACTTATATCATCAAGCAAGTTGAGTAAATACTGCCTAGGTTAAAAACCCCTTCTGCCATGTCAGTATAGCCTCTCCCCTTTCCCGCCCCCACCCAGCAAGACTCTATAGGGTATTTGTGTCTGAAATCATCTTTCTTTCACAAGCCCTTCAAGATTTTCTTGGCAAATTAATGTCTACGCTTAAAAGTTGAAAAGTATACAGGTCAGAACTTGATATCTAACATGCCGTTACTGATGGAAAATAGGTATACTGTATTCCTTGGTTTTTAAAAATGGAGTCAAGAATTTATCATTTACCGTGGCTTTTATAATGTCACGCTGAGTTAAATTCATACTTTCTTTATTCTAACACTGGGCAGATGGATAGTTAGTAAAACTACATCTAAGTTCTTTGATCTTCATATTTTCTCCTGGGATTGGTGATTTGTTGATTAGTCCATGTAGGGATCTGACTTGGCAAGGGCAGTGAATGAGGACTTGCTAAATGGCATTACTTCAAACATCAGCTGCTACGTTTTTAGTTCATTCCCTTGGGCAACATGCTTAAAGGCTTAAAATATCTGTCTATAACCCTGTCCTGCATATTCCAGTTTTCCATTCCAGCAGAGTGGGTTTTTTTTTCTACCGAATCTTCTTCAGCATCCTCCACTCGATTGTCTTTGAATTATTTGATCATAAAAATGTGGTATAACATGAATTTCCTTGAGATGGAACTGAAAAATTTAGGAATTCAACCATACATATTTTTATTGTAAGGAGCATACTTTCTTGGGAGTTTTGGTTTCTAGAATATTAATTGTTGATGTCAGTTTAGTAACTATTTTAACTTTAAAAATTAATGTTTCGTGCAAGACAAATCTAGCCTGACTCTGCTGTTTCCTAAAACTGGAATCTGCAACTATTTCAGAGACTGGCTCTCTTCTCTCACAGTTTAAACACCCATAATAGCAACCAAAATTGGCATTTGCTTTTGCATTTAGGGTGAACCAGGGTTAAATGGTGTTAAAGGATTGAAGGGTGAACCAGGTCAAAAGGGTGACAGAGGACCCCTTGGTCTTCCAGTAAGTAAAGAAAACTTTCCATTTTAGTGCAAATCTCAGATTTTTCTTTCTACCCTACATGATAACTCTGGTTTACTCAGCAGCTCGTACTGTTGAGGTTTCTGTAATTAGAAAACATATTATATTAGAGCAGAGCTCAGCCCAGTTTTGTTTTCTCTGATGTCTTCTCTTGTGTCAGAGGAAGACCCACAACAAACAATGCTATAAATGTCCTGTCATTCTTCAATTACATACATGCCAACCTTCCTCTTTTAGGGCTGACAATTCCTCTTCCATTGTCCCCTTCTTTTAAAAGTGTTGTGCTCATTATTTCATAGTTTCTCCCAAACACTTTTTATAATCTAGTGCAGTTTAAAATGCTTCCTCAACTGTTTTTTCTCCTTGGATACCAAAAACTGTAGCCCTCTGTTGGTGGCAGGTATGGAATTGGCCATTGTTGATGGAGTGAGGTCAATGCTGTGGCTCCTTACATTAATCAATCATATCATGTTCTACGTGTTTTATGTTGTTTGTTTTGAAAATTCCCTGTTATGAGGTTCTTGTGGCAATAGTGAGTCGTATAAAAGAAGTATTTTGCAGTTGTTTAGAGATTTTTATTTTTAATGAAGAAGGAATCTCCCCCAGGCTCTTCATTTTCTTTATGTCAGCCTTCTTTCCACAACAACTAAATGGAGATTTTTTTAAATTGTTATTAAATACGAGGCTTTAATTTCAAGCCTTTAATATGCTATCTATTTGGTGAATACAGATACAAATCAACAAAGAACAATATAGATTACATTAGTAAAATATGACATAAAATCAGTAACAGAATATAGTTTATACACAATTTGAAATGTGGGAGGAAAAAAAAGCTGATGACCACTTTTTCATTTTTGCCATGGTTATTATACTTCACGCTAGTTGATAGCAAGTGCCTTACATACATCCACCATATGATGGTCAATAGTTATTTATTTATTGAATGACTGATATAAACCTTGTATTAAAATATAGGTTTATTTTATTTATTTATTTTTGAGACAGAGTCTCTCTCTGTCACCCAGGCTGGAGTGCAGTGGTGCCAACTTGGCTCACCACAACCTCCATCTCCCAGGTTCAAGCAATTCTCGTGCCTCAGCCTCCTGAGTAGCTGGGACTACAGGTGCATGCCACCATGCCCAGCTAAGTTTTCTATTTTTAGTAGAGACAGGGTTTCGCCACGTTGGCCAGGCTGGTCTCAAACTCCTGACCTCAGGTGATCCACCCGCCTCGGCTTCACAAAGTGCTAGGATTAAAGGCATGAGCCACCAGCCCAGCCTAGAATATAGGTTTAATCACACCAGTTAGATCAATGGACCATAGGCATAAAACCTCTATAATATATGTGAGTCATTATTTCAGCATTCTAGGTAGATATAATATTATCAGTGTAAAATTATTACAGTTTCCCCATTTATTTTCTTTTTTCTTTGTTTGAGACAGTGTCTCACTCTGTCACCCAGGCTAGAGTCTAATGATACACTCACAGCTCACTGCAGCTTCAAAGTCCTGGGCTCAAGCGCTTTATTTTTAAAAATATTTTATAGAGATTGGGTCTCGCCATGTTTCCCACGCTGATCTCTAACTCATGGCCTCAAACAATCTTCCCGCCTCGGCCTCTAAAAGCTCTGGGATTATAGCTGTGAGCCACTATGCCTGGCCTACATTTGTTTTCAAATGTTATAATGTAACTGAAGAAGGTATCAAAAGGCAAAAGAAAGTTTGGATTTTCTATTTTATTTAAACTTTCAATCTGATTTATTTAAAGTCTGCCCTTTTTTAAAATTTAGGGCTATTGATAATTTTTATGCAACATTTAGCTAACAGCTGTACCTATGCTAGCCTTAAACAAATGAACAACAATATATATTTTTATTGTAATTATTGCTAACAAAAGACGTATGTAAGGCCGGGCACGGTGGCTCATGCCTGTAATCCCAGCACTTTGGGAGGCCGAGGTGGGCGGATCACCAGGTTAGGAGATCAAGACCATCCTGGCTAACATGGTGAAACCTGTCTCGATTAAAAATACAAAAAATTAGCCAGGCTTGGTGGTGGGTGCCTGTAGTCCCAGCTACTCGGGAGGCTGAGGCAGGAGAATGGCATAAACCCGAGAGGCAGAGGTTGCAGTGAACTGAGATCGCGCCACTGCACTCCAGCCCGGGCAACAGAGCGAGAGTCCGTCTCAAAAAAAAAAAAAAAAAAAAAAAAAAAAGACGTATGTAAGCCGGGCACTGTGGCTCACACCTGTAATCCCAGTACTTTGGGAGATGGAGGCAAGTGATCAGTGGAGATCAGGAGTTCGAGAACAGCCTGGCCAACATGATGAAACCCTGTCTCTACTAAAAACAAAAATTAGCCGGGTGCGATGGCGCATGCCTGTAATCCCAGCTACTCGGGAGGCTGAGGCAGGAGAATTGCTTGAACCTGGGAGGTGGAGGTTGCAGTGAGCCAAGATTGTGCCATTGCACTTCAGCCTGGGCAACAAGGGTGAAACTCCATCTCAAAAAAAAAAAGAATGTATGTATTTTGCAGTTATAGTATGGCTCATGGATTATACAGAAGAAATTTTAAAATAAAAACTCAAAATACTCAAAATGTATGTAGAATAACATCATTGGTAGAGTTTTCATCTGGAATAGATTTTTTTTTCCATTCTGTATTATTAACTGCATCTGAAGCATAAAATTGGGAAATAGTTCTGCAATCTTGACAATAGAATTTTTAGGGCCAGTGCATTTTCTTTCTTAAATACTCCTTGGTCTAACCAATATTTTTAAAGGACTATAAATAAATATTTGGGCTTTGAGACACAAAAACCATATTAAAGAAATAATTGTACTTATTCTTGAAACAAGCATTGAAAATGCCATTGTTTAATCATACGCTATTTATTTGTAGCCTAGAGTTCAAAGTGAAGAAAAGCATGCATTGTCTGAGAACATTCGATTTTTAAAGTTATTTCCCCCATCAGGCTTTGATGCAAAGATTATTTGAAGGAATTGAGAAACAATTTAGTTTGGAAGTTATTTTTTGCTTGGTCGCACACATTGTTTTCTGGCTTTTTCCCTTTCCTAGAAGTCCCTCTAGTGGAAAGTAGTGTGAACAGTAGGAACAACCCAGAAAACAATGAGTAATTATTGTTCATGTAAAATCCACTAAGAGTCATCCTAACATGTGAAAACCCTGTATTTGTTATTCATAAATACTGTTTTAACAAGTATAACCAGAGCTCTTTCTTCTCCTCTGAAATGCTAAATTTGATTGATTATTATAATGAGCGCTTTTTTAGGAAATTACCGTTCTTTTCTCTTCAGAACCTAAAGAAATATATGGTGAATAGCACAGTCTTTAGAAAATGAATTTCATATGGAAATTAGATAGAAGCCTGCAACTGTTATGAGTAACTACTTTGTAGCCCAGTTTATACACTTCATTAGCTTGATTTCTAAATAAGAACTTGTCAAATAGAAATGTCATTAAAATGCCATCATCTGTGGGGTGTTTGTCATGTGTTTTTTTTTTTTAACTAACAATTTGTAGCAATGTGATATTCATCCCAGAACCCTGTAACTGCGTATTATGTTGTTTGAAGTGTTACATTTGTTCATCGGTACCTCATACTAATCTCTGTTCTTGTCATTCGTGTTACACCCACCAACCCTGCTACCAACCAAATCACACAGGGAGCATCTGGCTTAGACGGAAAGCCAGGATCCCGGGTGAGTCAGTCCCTTGTCTTGCTCTGACATGTTTTGTGGCTGTGAATCATGTGCTTCAGCACAGACCCCTTTGCTCCATGTCCTCTCATCAAATGATGAGGGTGTACTTAGAGCTGGAGTAAAAGGGGAAGGTGGACAAAGATGGCGGCAAAAGGGGGAAAGGTGGACAGAGGACGGTTGCAACTCTGTCCGGAGAACAGCTAAACTGCCAGAATGTCTTTGTGAAGCTCGTGTTCAAGTCTGGATAATTTGCTAGGTGGGAAGAATGACCAGACTAATGGGCTTCATTGTCTTAGAATTCCACATGAATTTTTCCAGAACCAATAGACAGACATCCCCTACAATTCCATGAGAGCGGCCCTCTGAAGAGATTAAAATAATGTGAAATTATTGTAACTTGCTTTTCCTTTTAGACTGATGTCCATCAAATGTAACTTCTTCCTTGGCACTAACTTTCAATTTCTGTTCATAGAAATGACTTGTCTGTCTTCTGTCATTTTGTCTTTTTTTCTTTGGTTCTTAACAGCTCCAGCTCTTAAATTTCAGCTACAGATACTCAGTATTTAGAAGTCTTCTGAAGGTGAACTTTGAATTCAGGCAGTAAGAAAAATATCAGTTAAGCTGATGAGAATTCAGCAACATTAGAATGAATTTAAAACTCTGAATTCTTTCTTATCACAAAGCTCTCACAGAATAAACCAGAATAGTAGAACAGAAATGGGAATACTAAAGAAAAATCATGCTGGAATAGTTCCTACATTTGCAAATATTATAATCAATTTTTTATGAATCTAAGCATAGTCATACTGGAAATGAGCAAGTATACTTGAAGTCCTGGCTACAGTTTTAAGAATCTAAAAGAAATTCCCATCTTTTCAATTCTAAAAACTTGTTTCAGGCAATCATTATTTTCACTGGACCTCAGCGTTCTTACATTCATTCAAATATCACCTCTTCTACTGCAGAAATCCTAATCCTGAACTAACCAGGGGGACAAAGGGGAATTATACCTTTAAGTCATCTTGGCTGCCTGGTTTGTGAGTTGTAAGCCTAGTGACTGGCCACTGCCGCAGAATCTGTAAGAATGATTCCTTTCCTGTAAGCCCCTGCTGCCCCCAACAGAGCTGCAGGAAGTTTTTGGATTGAACAGTTACACACTGTTTTCATTTACTTAATAATTTTCTTCTACTTGTGTAACAGTTCAAGCCTCTTAAACAGCTGAAAACAAGAGTTCAGAGCACGCCCGGTTAAGGGTGGCAGTGGGTGTAGAGAAAGGGCTTGAGGAAGAGGTGACAGGAAGGAAAAACAATTACATTTTTCTTCTTAAGATTATGGGGCAAAGTGAAGATGCTTTATTTATTTATTTATTTATTTATTTATTATTTTTTGAGACGGAGTCTCGCTCTGTTGCCCAGGCTGGAGTGCAGTGGCACGATCTTGGCTCACTACAGTCTCAGCCTCCCGAGTAGGGGAATGCAGGCACCCGTCACCATGCCCAGCTAATTTTTGTGTTTTTAATAGAGACGGGGTTTCACCATGTTGGCCAGGCTGGCTGGCTTCAATCTCCTGACCTCAGGTGATCCACCCACCTCAGCCTCCCAAAGTGCTGGGATTACAGGCTTGAGCCACCGCACCCAGCCAGTGATGCTTTATTTAGTCAGAGGAAAAAGATATAATTAAATATGATATGCAGCTTTTCGTGTGTGCCTTTCATTGAAACATGCAGTTATATACTTCATCCTTTTTGCATGAGTTTCTTGAAAACCGCTGGCCTGAAATAATCAAGCATAAAGCACTTTGAAAGGAGATGAGTTGTCTTACTGATATTCTTAGGCACCATTCACCTAGGAAAAATCCAGGATAAATTATAACTGCTATTCTTGCAGCCCTTGTGATATATCTCATATTATCTTTTTTTTAGGGTACAGATGGTCCTATGGGACCCCATGGCCCTGCAGGTCCCAAAGGAGAAAGAGTAAGTTGTTGCTGAGGTTATTAAGCTTGTACTAAAGAAAACACAGAGCATGGCTTTTCCATATTAATTTAACTGTTCATTTTTCAGAAGAAATAAAGGGCTATCTAATATTAAATAAAAAGAGATACCATCCTAAGTTCTATTCAGAGTCCTAATATTGAGAGAAGAAAACCACAGAGCATAAAATAGAACACGGCTGCCTTAATAAAAACAATACATACATTTACATAGCTAAAATAAATAGCTCAGATGATTCTTCCTTCACCCATAAGGAAGATATTTTCATTTGGCCTTTATCCAGAAAGTCGAAGTCAATGGAGCTAAAATTTCCGGAGTATGTATTCTGGTTGATAATCTTTTATATAAAGCTACTGTACTCATTCAGAGCAGGTTATAACTTTTTTCCAAAGGAAATAATGAAACCTAAGTATTCTTTTCTGCACAGTTACAAATGCTCCCCCTTTTTTAAAGCTAAAGGATAGGCTGTTTTTCTTTAACCATAAGGAAATAATTTCAGTGCATTATAAAATGAAAACCTTTCACTAACCTCTCTATTGCTAGGCCATGTTTCCATATCTTTTGGGGGAAAAAAGACATTCAGAATGGAAGATAAATGGTCATCTGTCTGGAACTTTCTTCTCTCTTCTCCCTCTCATGCATGCGCTCTCTCTCTCTCTCTCTCTCTCTCTCTCCCCCTCTCTCTCTTTCTGTTTTTCTCCCACTATTTCTTTTCCTCACCTTGGAAATCTTAGAATTATTTTTGTGTGTCTGAGTGGAATTATGTCATCAATTTCCCTACCATCCAGGAGAGGATATAAAGAAAGTATTTTAATAGTGAAGTCTTCAAAATGTCGGAATGATTCACTGTGCAAGTTTGTGGTCTTTTAAAAACTAGATAGATTTTCATCAGTCTGAGATAATTTGCTTTAAAAAAAGAGGGCCAGTAGTCATTTCTTTAACATACCTTCCAATTCCATAATTCTGTGTTCTGTAGAGTGATCTCATTCATTCAGGAAATATTTACCAAATGCTACTATGTGCAAAGCATGGTATTACTAGTGTGAAATGGAAACTCTCCTCCCACTTAGGTAAAGCCTATTTTGCTAATTTGCTTCAGTACATTGAATAATACCATTATAATTGATTAATTATCTCTTGGTCTTTTATTAATATTTTTATTAATATTTATTAATATATACTGAATGCTGCAAAAAAAACAGCTATTCTTCCTGACCTAGAAGAGTTTACAATCTAATTGCAGAGAAAAAAAAATGCATGAAGGAAATAACCAGAGAATGAGGCCAAAATAATACAAATAGTACAAGCTGTACAGTGATGAAGATTGGCTTTATCCAAGAATGCTTGTAGAAAGAGATGAGTTCTAAGGGAACATGTAATCTGAATGTGCAATTGTCATATTTCTAAGATCAAACCAATGACTTCTGAAGATCATCTTAATTAAAAATATTTAAAAGCTAAAAGCCTCAACGCTGCTGATGCAGATTGGCTTTCAAGCATTGTATGAAGAAACCCAGCCCATGTACTAAAAATGGAGCAGCAAATCTCAGGCAGTGTTTTGGCAGAATGCCCTGGGGCTCAAGAGGGTTTACCGTGTGGTAAATCAGCTGCTACTTCCGATAGCTCCACAATGTCACAAGAGTATCAGGTCTCAGTGCTGGAGCAGAATTAACCAGAAGAGCAAATGAAATTGCTAAGAATTTTGAAGGCATAGTTTCAGTCAAATGGTGTGCAGCGTAAAGTGTTACTCTTGTATTTACTCAGCATGTTAACTATCTTAACTGGATCATATATCAGTACTCTCCAAGTGCCCCTCACTGGAAGTGCTAAACTGGAGTGTGATTCTCAGAGTTAATTGATAGAGGCGCCATCTGGACTCTCCTGAAAAAGTTTCAAATTTTAAAGAAGTCAGAATCGGCAAAGGGAGGTGTTCTAGGATAATGCCTCAGTGTTGATGTGCAAATTAAAGAACCCGAATGAAATTAGAACAACCTAAAAGAAACCACACATTTGACAGCCAATGTTATTCAAACATTTTCAAGTGTATGATTGACAGCATCAATATTCCACTCTGCAAGCATCTGATCCTCCCTACCTTAGCTGATTTCTTCATTTGGCTTTGGAACTCTATAAATGTGTTAAGCTTGAGAGGTTGAAAAATACTTTTGGAATTGCTTAATCCAGGAAAAGGAGTTGTACATTCAAATCCCCGTGTTAATATTTCATTCCTAAAAGTTTTCAAGCTCGAATCATTA
This sequence comes from Homo sapiens, assembly GCF_000001405.40. Classification (NCBI taxonomy): domain Eukaryota; kingdom Metazoa; phylum Chordata; class Mammalia; order Primates; family Hominidae; genus Homo; species Homo sapiens. The sequence continues at coordinate 108,830,106 of NC_000004.12, read as the reverse complement.
GAATGCTTTTTGGCTCTAAGTGACAAATTCAAAATGGCTTACACAATAAAGAAATACATTATTTTATATAAGAAAATATTCAAAGGAGGACTCTAGGTTTTGCTTGGGAGCCCTTTTCCACATGTTGGCATTGTCTTCTGACCACGGACAAGCTGGGCACAGTGGTCCAAGCATCCTCTCTGGTGAGACACTGGCAGAGAACAGAGAGACTACCTCATGTCTCTTCCTGAGCAGAGAGGAACCTTCCCCAGAGCTTCCCGGCTGATGCCCCTGACACCTCATTTGCCAGAACTGGGTCAGCTGTCCATTTCTGAGGCAGTCACTGGCAAGAGAAATGGAATTGTCGTTAATAGCTTAAGTAATTTTTGGGGGTGGGCTGTTCTAGAAGAGTAGTTTCACAGACAGCTGTTTTAGTGACAGCTTTATTCAAATAAGCCATAGTATATTTGTTTTAAGAATAAGACAAAGCCAAGATTCTCAAGTGAGAAGGGAATGGTTATATCAAAATAATCTATGGAGATTTTTCCAATTAGACCCACCCTAATCTGTGGAGTTATTTCAGTTATTTCAAACTAGACATAGTCCAGTTTATGTGGCTCCTCCCTTAAAACTCTCACCTCCCACTACACGTGCGTGTGTGGGCGCACACACACACACACAGATAGATAGATGATAGATAGATAGATAGATAGATAGATAGATAGATAGATAGATAGATACACACTTACACATACACACCTTACTAGTTATTTTGTTTGGTTGTTTTTTTAGAGATAGGGTCTCACCTTGTTCCCCAGGCTGGTCTCAAACTCCTGGCCTCAAATGATCCTCCTGCCTTGAACTCCTAAAGTGCAAGGCATAAGCCACTGCGCCCGTCCTTTGCTCCATTCTTAAAGGGACTGTTTTTGATATTTCACTATTAAGAAATATGCTGTAGATATTTTTTATAGATGTCTCTTAACAAATTAAGGAAATTCCCTTCTTAAAAAAATGTTTAATGTTTCATTTAAAATCTGGCCACTGTGCTGAGTGCAATTGCTTCTGCTTTGGTAATAACCGTAAAGTAATAATGAATAAAAGTTCAAACTTTTATCGTATTTATTTTCAGTAATCTCACCCATACCATATTGCCTCTAGGTGACAGTGTTAATTAGTTCCACTGACCCCTCAAATTTAGATAAAGAAAATGCTATCAGGGACCTGAAATTTGCTCACACGGGAATCTGGAGAAACACAGGCATATCAGGTGGCTCTGCAGGCACTGTTATCAGCTGAACCTGGCGTTTTGCCAAGAAAAAAGATTTGCTAACCTTTAAACTCCTTCAGGGGTATGATAAAAGGAGATAAGATTTTCTGTTTGGCTACTCATATAAAATCACCATTACTCCTGAAGTTTTCCTACTAAATACTGACAAACACTTCAATTTGGAGATGGCAGCAGCAGAAAACACCATTTGAAATACAGAACATCTCTTTCTTTATCATCACAATTATTCTATTCACAAGATTACCTCCAATAACACTTATTCTTTATAAGTGTTCAAGAATATCGTGTAAGATGGGGAAAGCTGTTCTATTTAAATAGGCACTTAGAGAGAAAGTGAGGAAGATAACATATACCTACCTTATCTGGCATTCAGAGGGGTTGAAAGTTTTTAAACCCTCTTTTTCAGGCCAGGCACGGTGGCTCACGCCTGTAATCCCAGCACTTTGGGAGGCTCAGGTGGGTGGATCACCTGAAATCAGGACTTCGAGACCAGCCCGGCCAACATGGTGAAACCCCATCTCTACTAAAAATACAAAAATTGGCCAGGCGTGGCGGGCACCTGTACTCCCAGCTACTCGGGAGGCTGAGGCAGAATTGCTTGAACCTGGGAGGTGGAGGTTGCAGTGAGCCGAGATTGTGCCACTGCACTCTAGCCCGGGCAACAGAGCAAGACTCTGTCTCAAAATAAAAAATAAATAAATCCTCTTTTTCAGAAAGGAAGCAAACTGTGTACATGATTATATAGATTTGCTTTGATTCATTCATTCAACAAACATTTACTGATGTGCCATACACTATTCTAAGCTGTAAGGATGCTATAGGGAACAACAAAGCTAGAGGCCCCAGAACCCTCCTGTGTATATTCTAGTGAGGGTAGCAGAGAATAAGCAGGTCATAAGCTTTATGGGTCTTCTGGTGTCTAAGGGCTGTGAAATAAAATATAGCTGGGGGTAGGAAGTGGGCAATCGAGAAAGGGTTTCCCTGAATAATTGTTTTTTGATAGAAGGAAAGGTATTTCAGGCCACACACTGTAGTTCAAGCCTGTAATCCCAACACTTTGGGAGTCCAAGGTGGGAGGATTGCTTGAGGCCCCAGAGTTCAAGACCAGCCTGGACAACATAGTAATCTCTACAAATAATTTAAAAACTACCTGGGCATAGTGGTGCTTGCCTGTAGTCCCAGCTACTCAGGAGGTCGAGGTGGGAGGATCACTTAGGCCCAGTAGTTTAAGGTTTCAGTGAGCCATGATCATGCCACTGCACTCCAGCCTGGATGAAAGAGGGAGACCCTGTCTCAAAAAAGAAAGACACTTTATTCTTACATTTAAAGGTGCTAACAAAATAATTAGTAACAAATAAATGTTTCACACTAATGCCAAAGAAACCTAAGTATGACATCTGAGATATGCAAATGCTTTTGCACAGCTGGCCAGCAGCAATCTTGTGCTGCCCCTCTTTCAAAGGTGATTTAGTAAAAGATGCTACTGTGGATTACTTTCCAAATATCACTGGCAGTGACTCTGCAAGAGGCTAAATCTTTGAGATTTTCATAGAATGGTCCTTGAAATAGAGGCTTTAGACATAGGGCATGAGAGAAAGTGTGTGAATGTAGGTGGGTGTGTATGATTTGAACTTTCTACTTTTCATTTTAGGGTGAAAAAGGAGCTATGGGAGAGCCTGGACCAAGAGGGCCCTATGGGCTGCCTGTGAGTTCCTGGTCACATGCACCTCCCCACCTTCCGCATGCATAGATGACCAGTCACTGACACGGTTAACCCTTCGCTTGTGGGGCAGACTAATGTTAGAGAAGAAACAACAATCCACTCATTATCTATAAATTCAGTACTTCCATGTCCTTCACAAATAGGTCATATTCAGTCTCTTGCCCTCTCATCATGTACAGACACATATCCAGGCACTTCACGAGATTGACAGGATCAGAGACTGTCTCTAGAATAAAGTATTAACTCGAGAACAGGATCCTAACTGTCAGAAGATGCCCTCCCTACATCATCTGACTGGACACTCATAACTGGCACTTCCTTGGAAAATCACTGGATCCAAAAATGGCTGTGGAAGCTTCACTGAAAACAGCCTTCTTCAGACTTTATCTGTTCCTATAGACTATTTACTAAAATGACTCTTGCTAGTAAAAATTATTCCCCCAATTACATTGATATTTATGACGACTTGATGTTTCTGACTTTCTAAATTACCGTGATGACAAATGATCTGCAGAACATAGAACACTGATAGTGCTCTGTCTTCTGAAAATTCTTCTCTTCTTATTATTATTATCATTTGAGATGGAGTCTTGCTCTTTTGCCTAGGCTGGAGTGCAGTGGCATGATCTTGGCTCACTGCAACCTCCACCTCCTGGGTTCAAGTGATTCTCCTGCCTCAGCCTCCCAAGTAGCTGGGATTACAGATGTGTGCCACCATGCCCAGCTAATTTTTGTATTTTTAGTAGAGATGGGGTTTCACTATGTTGGCCACGCTGGTCTCAAACTCCTGACCTCAAGTGATCCGCCCTTCTCGGCCTCTCAAAGTGCTCGATTTATAGGCGTGAGACACTGCGCCCGGCCTGAAAATTCTTAATTACACAGAATTCAAATTGAGACCTCTGGTTTGCTTTAAAAATATCATCTTGGGAATAATTATAATTGATTCATTAAGATAGGGTAGGACGACAGTAGAAGCGTACGTTGCATTAAGGGTTTTAACCTTTCCATATCTCACACATGCTCTTTATGAATTGAAATAATAAACATAAACCATGATTACCTCAGTGCTAAATCAAAAAAAAGATGCTGATTTTGAAATAGGTTTCAAAATCTAATTGATGAAATCAAAGTAACCTCTCGTGAACTTTGGATGGATCCATAATATGACACAATAGGGTCATCACCATGATAATCTGCACCATGGGAGTGAATTTATCATTCTTGCCTAACAGTCTTACAACTTTTAAAAAAAATTTGGGGATTATTCATTTACAAAGCTTACTTAAAAACAGCTTTTAAGTTGCAGCCTTCACATCCTTCGTACACAGTGTGCACATCCTAGCCAAATTAAAACTGTATTTCTACATTCTTTACTCATTTGTGAGCTAACTACTAAGTTATCAAATTAAAGTAGCATTGATTCACATCCTCTATTAGTGCTGGTATGTTTTTAAATCAGCTAAACAGTATTTTTGCTTTTAACTTAACTCCTGGACTGGTAACTTAGATACCAAGCTTTAAACATCAGTAGAATATTAGTCTATTTAACCCAATATATCATATAAAATTTTCATGACCCTTAACTTCAACACTAACAGTCACTAATCAACTAAACAGTATTTTTTACTTTTAATTTAACTCCTGGACTGATAACTTAGCTACCAAGGCTTAAACATCAGCAAAATATTAATCTATTTAACCCTATATATAATATAAAATTTTCATGACCCTTAACTGCAACACTAACAGTCACTAATCCAAATGAGAATCTTTTTCACATTTCTGAAGTAGTTGTTCTAGTACTAGTGTTGCATGTTCAGACAGCCTTAAATAAAGCAATAATCTATTCACAAAACTTAGAAACACTAATGTAGCTACTATGGTTCTTTGGCAGGGGAAAGATGGAGAGCCTGGTCTTGATGTAAGTAATAAGTACAATAAACATCATCCTATTATAATAGATGTTGATGGTCTCCATCATCGATAACAAAAAGAATACTTCTTTTTTTTCTGTGCATATAGGTATGCATAGAACATATATTGCTGTGCATGTAAACAGCAATATAAAATACACTAGTGTTTGCATGAGATAAAACAGAAAAGCAAAAAAACACAATTATCTTGTATAAAATTAATAACTGGTAGTGGATAGTGGCACTTCAAAATACTTTCCCAAATTGAGGGTACTCTTAACATCAGCATGACCTATTTATGAAAAATATGCATAAAATCAATATACTTCTCACATGCTATCCTTACAGAATGATATATTATGTTTTTTTCTCAAAGCAGTTATGCAATATTTTTTTCCTTTTAACATTTAGTCCCTATATATCTTATGCTAATATGATTCTGTGAAAATAGAGAATGTCAAAAGTAAATGCCTCTAGACACAATCACTGCTCATCCTGTATTACCTGAATAATGAGAATACCAAAAGTAATACTAGTTACTGTTTATGAGCACCTGTTATGGGCAGGCATCATTCTGGTACTTTGTAGTACATCATCACATTTAACATTCACAACAGCTGTCTGGTAGATATCATTAACCCCATTTTACAGTCAACGGACTAAAGTGCAGAGAGGTAAGTGATTTGCCCAAATCTGCACAAATCAGTGAACTTGCCAGAATTCAAACTAGTATTCTGGTATTCTTTCTACTCTGTATTTCTTAAAAGAAAAAGCAAGAAACCTGTTGTGTATAGATAATTGAGACATTAGAAAACTTATGTTTCTAAGCACTGCTTTATTATCTAAGTCTTAACACTGGTGAGCCATTTCTTGTTATATTTAAGCTCAGAAATGTAAAATCCTAAAATATTTGTTTCTATATGATTTTGCCACTATTACACCAATAGATCTTTTTGGTTTGCTTTTTATCTTACAGGGCTTCCCTGGTCCACGGGGTGAGAAGGGTGATCTAGGAGAAAAGGGAGAAAAGGTGACCTCTCCATCCCAGCATGTACCTTGTTTGATTCTTCTCCTGCTGTCTGCTTTGCTGTTCAGCTTGTGTGATTCCATTTGACACTTAATCTTTCTCCATCCTGTGCTCCAAAAACATACTGATGCCTGATTTAAGGAATCAGGTCTTCAGAGAGGAATGAAGAAGGCTGTACTGCCAGATATAAGGGCACTGCCTGGCATAGAAGAAAAAATTATTATCACCAGATATTCTAGCTACAGTTTTTCAACCACCTGACACCAATTTATGGAAAAATAAAGGATTTTTGAAAAAAAAATCATTTTAAAAAGTAAAATTAAATGACACAAATCTGCAGTAGTATTTGGCAGAGCTCATTGAACCCTGCAAAGGCAGCATCTCACTTGTCTTCACTACTTCCCAGTAGAGAAATGGAGATATGTTTTGTACGTTGATATTTTTTATATGAAAATGGAGGAGAAGCAGTGTGACTGATAAACTACAGTAAGTTCACTACACAGGACTAGGACTTGCCACTTTCAGATTCAGAGCAACAGAGATTTTTAAAACAGAGATATTGGTGTATTTTATGAGGTTGATGTTGAAGTTCTATCTCAGAACCATCAGCTCCATGGTCTTTAGGAGCCCATGTCAGGCAATATGGTTTTATGACTTGAAAGAAAAGTTTGGATTATGGATTTTAAAAGTCAATTTTTCCTTTCCTCTCCTTTGTTCTTTTCTCCTCCTTTCCCTTCTTTACTCTCCTCTGTTTCTTTTCTCTCCTTCCCTCCCTCCCTCCATCCTTCTCTATCTCTGTCTTCCCCTACCACCCCTTTCTCAGTATTTTGCTTGGGTCTTTTACCTGGTAGTAAATCTAAGGAGAATTGTTTACACTGGACACAACAAAAGAAGCCATCAAAAACTCAATCCCTCAATAGAACAGTGGAAATCTTAAAGTGGCTGAAACTACATTTCACAGTACAAATTTAAACCTTATATTTCTCAGGTTAATTTATGTCCCTGCTCTATTTAACCTTATGAATTCTCTTGAACAGTGACATTCATAGCTGTTGACAAGCAAGGCTAAATGAGAGTTGTGAAAGAAAGAAGATTATTAAGCTTGTGGTGTAAGTTTTAGGCCTTAAGCATTGCTTAGACTCTCCTCCCACCCATTGGTAAGAGAGCCCGTGTAAGTGGTTATCTGAAAGCCCCATCATCATCACCAGTATCATCACATTTACTGAGCATTATGTGCTTTCCCAAGAGCTATACATATGATAAGTCTTTTAATCCTCATAACAACCCCCGAAGTTGGCATTATTTTCCCCACTTCACAAACAAGGAAACTGAAGTATAAAAAATTCTTTTATTCTGAATTATAAATTCTGACTATAAAATACATACGTTTTGAGATAAATTGTGCATATAAGCTTTTAGCCCAAGATGAGTGTGTTTTAAAGATGATATGTAGCTGGGTGCAGTGGTTCATGCCTATAATCCCAGTGCTTTGAGAGTCCAAGGTGGGAGGACTGCTTAAGGCCCAGAGTTCAACACTAGTCTGGGCAACCCATCTCTAGTGAGACCCCCATCTCTACTAAAAAATAAAAAAATATGGTGGGGCATGGTGGCATGTACCTGTAGTCCCAGCTACTCCAGAGGCTGAGGTGGGAAGATCACTTGAACTCAAGAGTTTGAGGCTGCAGTGAGCTATGCTCATACCACTGTACTTTAGCCTGGGTGACAGAACAAGACTCTATCTCTAAAAAAACTCAAAAACATATATATATGCATTTTATATTTACCTAGTTGGTTGTATGAGTCTAAAATCTTAATCACTCAAAAACATATTACCGCCGGGCGTGGTGGCTCACGCCTGTAATCCCAACACTTTGGGAGGCCGAGGCGGGTGGATCACTTGAGGTCAGGAGTTTGAGACCAGCCTGGCCAACATGACGAAACCCCATCTCTACTAAAAATACAAAAATTAGCTGGGGGTGGTGGTGGGTACCTGTAATCCCAGCTACTCAGGAGGCTGAGGCAGGAGAATCGCTTGAACCCAGGAGGCAGAGGTTGCAGTGAGCCGAGATCACGCCATTGCACTCCAGCCTGGGCAACAAGAGTGAGACCCTGTCCCAAAAAAAAAAAAAAAAATTACCATTAGGAGGATACTCACGTTTATGAGAAAGAAATTACCAGCATTACAGCATAGGAAAGCATAAAAGCTAGAAACTTGATCCTCAGAATAATGTTAATCACCCATACAAAATATTTCCATGTTCAGCTTCCATGATTAGAAGTTTTAAATTTACAAAAATTGGTTCTAAATGCGAATAATTCATGTATATAATTCTTTGACATGGGAAATAAAAGTTATCAAGAGCTCTCATGTACTCATACCCACAATGACATGGTTTTGTATTGCATGGGGAATCAGTGCATATTACAAAACAATGCTGACTAATAATAACATTGGCACGTTATTCTTCATACTGTAGTGTTTCTTTCCCATAAAGCTTGAGGCTCACTAAAATATTACTGAAAAATGATTCCTATAGCCTGGCACAGTAACATTCATATGACATTTTTCTGTTGAGTGGTTAATCTGAGTTGATTTACCAATCAAATAATGAATTGAATTCCAAAGTGATAATACCCAAGACACCTGGTCTCAGACACACCTATGTGAAGAAGAGTCCACTGCCCTTTGGGAGGGAAGAGCTCACCCAAATGAGTTTACATCAGTTTTATGTCATGGTACTGAAGTGATTTGTTAAGGAAGAATGTTGATCCATCTTGAGTGAGTGACCAACTTACTCCTGAATGTTCTTCCCATCTTACTTCCTATCACAACTGCTCTCATTTCACCCTGACTTCTGGGGTCATCATTGTCTTTGATCATGATCAACTAAGCCACAGAGAATGTCTCTTTGCCCCATATTCAAGAAATCCAAGTGTTTTTGATTCTGAGCCTTCTGATGCAATCTTTTTGGCACACAGGAGATAAATGAAGAGCTTTTGCTCATGCTGTCAGAATGAATGTATTGATTTGAATGCACATCTCATATATTTCTGTTATGTATATCTCTTTTAACCTTTCAATATTCATGTTGCTTTGCTTCAGACATTATTCAGTTTTATTGTAACTCCCATCCTGATTGCAGAATGAATACATTTATTTAAGTATGTATTGTATAGTATTTTGAGTTCTGCACGGCACTAACTCCCTGTCTATAAATATGCAGAGATACTGATGTTAATATAAAACAGCTGAGGTGCATTCCTTCCTACTCCTCCTTTTGCCTCCTTTCCTTAATTCCTCTGGCCTTATGATCCATGCAGATTTCCCACAACCTTTACCTTGATTCCTAAATACTAATTTCCATAGCTACATTCCCACTATGTAATTATCCTGCCTACCTCATTTTTACTGAGTCCAAGCTGCTTTTCCTCTCCTGAACAGATTTTTTTTTTTTTTGGCTTTTGTTACATTGTGAGTAAGCTGGAAACTCATTTACCATTGTAAATACATGGCATGAGATCAGTAAGAGAGTGAATTAAAGAAGATCCCTAGGTTTATAAATAAGTCTGTTTCTCCAGTTGGCATTGCTGCAAAGTATTAGCACTTTTAACATTTGTTTACCTGACTTAATAAGGAAAGTATTTGCTTTTAGTTTCTTTTAAAAAAAGTTTTGCTGTAACAAAAGGATGTAAAAAATATTAAAAGATATAGAAGCATATTTTAAGATATTGAATATTTTTGAATGAGAGTTACACAAGTAATATCAATCATAAAGTTGGATACATTTCAAAGAAATAGACACTGTTCATATTCTTTCCTTTTCCTCTGGTTCAATGCAGCTTTCATCTGTTACAGGATTAGAAAAAAGCAAGGTGACAGGTATTGAAAATTGAGTGAAGTATCCATTATTTCCCTGAACTTCATCTGCCACTGGCTGGCTTCAATGGTTTTGGTACCTGTCATCCTCACAGGATCTGTGACTCAGACACCTAATTCATGATCGTGACATTGTGGTCTAAGTTAGCACTTCTGATGTATCAGCTTTTAAGCCTCCTTCTTCTGTCTTGTTGAGTATCTTAAATAAAATCCCACATGCCCCTGCCCAGAATCCATTGTCACTCTGAAAATATGTTAGCTGTTATAATATCATGCCTTACCTAAATCAGAAAACAGTGGTAAATGCCCTTCCAGAATTTTCTTACCTAAACCATCTTTTGAATTACCGTTATTTTCCCCCAAATAAAATTTGTCTTTTATTTAAACCCTTGTATCCACAGGGGGAAAAGGGAAAGAAAGGCAAAAAGGGGCCTAAAGGGGAGAAAGGAGAACAGGGTGCTCCTGGATTAGATGCACCCTGCCCGTTGGTATGTCTGACTTGTGGAACTGTCTCCAGATGTTTGTGTGAGGGGATCAGATGGGAGAAGAGCAAGCCGGAGGGATCCGTAACAGGAGGGTTTCTGATTGGGCTCATTTAACATGGACTTCAAGATACCCAGAAACATTTATCAGTTATCCTGATACGTTCCACATCTCGTCTTGGGCCACTAGCTCTGCCTGGTTTCTTAACCCCCAAATATCACGGCACAATTGGAACCTGAATGTAAGATCCGAAAGGAACTGGCACGATTCCATACCCTTCAAAAGAGGAGGCCACTGTTTTCAGACAAGCCCCTGTTGTAGGAATATGTCTCCCTCCATTTTACTTTGCCCAACTTCACTGGATGTTACTTTTCCCTTCAGAGTTGCTCCTCTCCCAGCCTTTGTTGTTGTAGTTACTTCTTTCGCAGAATTTGTGCTTAAGTGATTTCTTGTGTTAGTAACATTATGAGTTAATCTTTACAAACAGGGATTCCGTGGCGTTAAGGGGGAAAAAGGGGAGCCAGGCCAGCCTGGCCTGGATGGGCTGGATGCCCCTTGCCAATTGGTACAGTATTTCTCTTTCCTACCACCCTGCATGCAGTTCCTTTGTTTATCACATGTTCATCTCTATCAGTGTAAAGTGGTGCTTTCTGGGCAAGCTTTACATGATAAACACACTACATGCATGTGCATGAACAGGCTCCTTCTGCCACTGTGCAGAGTCAGAGAGCAAGCACGCGTTTCTATCAATGAATGCAAATTAATCTCCTGATGTTGTTCTCACAACTGACATGACCACCTTTTCTGTGTTCTTTGGGATATTAATTTTTTCAATAAATATTTAAAGATTACATTAAAATTATGTGAAAATATTTGATGCAAAGACACTGCTAGACCATAACTTTTGGTTTTCCACCTAAGTTTGACTTTTTTTCTTTTTCTCTAAAAAAAAAAAAAGGTATTTCTGCCTTTTTCGCTATATTTCAATCAGGCTATAAATAAGGCCCAACCTACGGAATTCAGCTTCTGTCGTCAAGTGTTAACCAATTCAAGAGAATGCTTTAAGAGACCACAAAGAAGAAGACCAAACTTCTCTGAGCTTCTAAAGATGATAAAAGTCTGCAGCCCCAACCTTCTTCTTTGCCACATAACCTTTTCAGTTTAATGGTCTCTCCTTTTGAAACTCACTTTCCTAAAGTAGACCAAACTCCCTTATCTCCATTGGCATGAACTCAAAATCCTCCTGATACTAAAATCTAAAATTCTGCTGGTTGAACCTTCTCCTTGTACCAATCTGGCATTACCAGTTTTTCCCAAATATTTATGAAGCTTTTTAAAAGTGTTCTTTTTTTACATTTAAAATGAAAGTATATTCATATTTTCTGAGGTATAAATAAAAATTTTTATGTTTGCGTTGATGGTTATATTGGTCTGCATGTTCTTATATTATTCTTCAGGTATAAGCATGATTCTTTAAAGATAAATTTATATTTCTCTTTAAGAGATTGTATTTATATTTTTAAAAATTAAGCAGTCAGTGATTATAGTTAGAAAATCTCAATATGAAGTTCCCAGTTCTTTGTTTGCTTGGTATTGATGATAAATCATATTTTATGATCATTTTGTTGGTGGAAAAGTAGAAGCATGCCTTCTTGATGTACCAACTCTTCCTGCGTTATTTGTGTCATTTGTATCTGAAGAATGCATACACTTTAAAATAAATTTTGCAACACTTAGGAACCTCTTATTTTATTCAGAATTTGTTAACTTTTGAATAATTTAAATAGAGAAATCGATAAATGCTGTAGATAATATTTTATCATAAAAATATAGATAGGCTGCCTGTCCTCTAATTCAATTGAGTATGTTCTACTGTATTTACTTTCAATATAGAAAAGTGAAAAATACTGGCATGTGAAGAGCTATAAACTTCAGATAGAAATGGTTTATCATTGATTATTCATCATTATCATGAATTCAGCCATAGTCTAATAGTGACCGGGAAGAGAAGTTATTTTGGTTTACGTAATAGAGATACCAGTGAGATGTGTTTTAATGGAATTAAGAGTATAGATTTATTATCTAAAAATATAGATATGAATAGAGCACTATGCTTTGTAAATTGCTTTTTCAAAATTAGGCATAACATTTTCTATACTTCATGTGTTTTCAAAATGTGTACTCACTCTGGAAAACATTTGAATTTTCTTTATTTTACCTAACACTGGGAAATATATCGGGAGTTGCTAATTAGTAAAAGATGCCCATGACCAAAGTCACTAATGGGTAGAAATTTATTTTTAAGCCTCTGAGCATGTGAATTATGAAGTTTAATCACTCTTATGGAACCTGAGGAATTCTTTTTCTTCTCTTTAAAACAGGGGCCAGATGGCTTACCCATGCCTGGCTGTTGGCAAAAGGTAGGCTTTACTGAATAATTTCTCAAAAGAAGCACTCTCCCTTTCTCTTAACCTGGACTAGCCTTTTCCATTCAGAAAAGACCTTCGGATATTAAAAAGCAAAAGATTTCATCTCCAGAATATCTTTTGATCAGTATATTTACTGCTGATTTCTTCCTAAACTGATCAGCTAATGCAATTCTTAGCAAACACTGCAATTTGGAACCTTCCCTATCTAATCTTTTCTTTGGAATGGAAAGGGGCAGTGCATCCTGATAATGTTTTGCTTGTCTCTCAAAATCTTTGTCTTCCTAATGTTTAAAACTATTCTTAATTGTGATTCTTTTTCTATTTATCCTTACTTACACTGACAAACATGATAATACATGGTAGAACCCTGTCAATATTAGTCACAGAGCTGAGAAAGCAGAAAAATATAAGCATCATTTGTTTAATGATGTCTTGACTTATGTAGGAAAAACTGAATTAAATTTAAGTGGTGTCCTTTATGACATCAGTTTATTCTAGCCTCTTCATATGACTGCCCATAGTCACTGTGTGTGTATTCAGTGATGAAAGAAGTTTATTCTTTATAGAGAACCTTCTATGTGCAAAGGCTGTATGACAAGCCTTTTCATATAGAGAATATCATTTCATTTAATCCACACAATGACTCCATAAAGTCTTATTACCCTCAGTGATGCAGATGAGGAAACAAATTCGAGAGGTCAAGGACCTTCCAAGAGCACAGAACTAGTATGTATCACAACTAGGAGAGGGAGAGAGAGAGACAATGGAAAGCAACAGTAAAACTGTAAGCAGGGAAGAGATCATCCATATGTGCTGTGCTATTCAGAGAATATCAAACCTTTATGCAATAATGGTGAAGATCTAATTATAAAGGCTGTGCACATGCTACTGAAGGATAAAAGCATTCCAAGCATGTAAAAATGAGCTGAGGAAATGCACAAGATGCTTCAATCATTTTGAAATTTTTTCTCCAGCACCTTGTGGCTTCTTCAGTAATTTTGGACAGGCATGCTTCATTAGCAAAATTATAGCAAAACTATGTAGCAATGCAGAAAGATGGGAAACCTGACTCCTAGTTGCCTCTTACCTTAGCAACTCCATTGGTGAGAAAATCCTGAATAACTCACTCTCTTTCTTAATCAGTTTCACCTACTTGACCAGAGAAAGTAAAACCTCTCTAAGTAGCGTCATTTATTTAGTAGCTTCCCATACTCCGCTTTCAGCCTGTCAGATAATTAGCTTGATCACACACAGGGTCAAATGGGTCTCATGAAAATGGACCTATCATCAAATTCTTCTTCACCTGAGAAAACTATCCCTCCACTATCATAACCCCCGTTCACAGAATTTTTAATACCATCTTGAGCTGGAATTACCACTTAATCTCTAACCTTTGCCCTGTAATCTAATAGTATAATGATTTTTTAAACCAGCCATTAGCACACTTCACATAGAGGAGATGCAATAGGCTTGCTTTAGCCAGCCTTCTGACACCACTCAGAACTTGGGTTCGCAATCGTTCTTAGCCACCTCTGAATTGCTGCCTTTTTAAAGGGGTTTATAATCTGAATCGCTGCCTTTTTAAAAGGGGTTTATACCCTTAAATGGCAACAAAGAACTCATCATCTTTTTGGTTCATGAAATGGGCATCATCTTTTTGGTTCATGAAATGGTTCATGAAATTCATATTACTGGTAGTAATATGAATACGATTAGAAAATCAGAAATTTTCCTTTTAAATACTCCTTTTTCCACAGAATAGACACTATACACTACATAAGATTAAAGATCTTATGAATCCAGCATCTTCTTATATAAAGAATAAGAATTATGAAAGTTTAGTATTGTTTACCACACCCACCCAACACACACAAATGCAAATCATTCTGATCAACCTCTCCCACCCATCCCCAGAAAGGAAAGAAACAATTTAGAAAATGAAAACGTTCTCAAATTTCTTATGTGGTCAACTTAGCTGTTACATTGAATAGTCAAATAAAACTATTTTTTAAATTATATTTTTAAAATAAAGTCAGCGGATTGCTTTTAGTGAGTCCTATTTTTGGGTGTATCACCCTTTTGAACACTGCTGTGTTTATTAGGCTGTAGGGCACAGTGGCAAATGTTTGCTTGACTTAAAATTCAAATTGTGGCAGTCGTATAAATCACTGATTAATTACCAACTCCTCTTGGTCATGCTCCTCTCAATGATTTATATATGCAAAACTATTTGATCTTTTTTTAAATTAGTTTTCTTTCTAGATATAGTTCCATTTTCTAAATTTACCAACACAAGAAGAGTTAAGAGAGATAAGTGAGGGTTTGGAAAAAGGAGTGCTTCCTATAGACACATTTTTTGGCATTGGCATGACAGGCAAGAATATTGAGTGAACTCCTTCTCTGAAGATTAGAAAGCAGCCTCCAAAGCACACCTAGTAGAGCATCTATATTCCTTGAATAGAGAAAAACAAATGTTAATAAATAAACTTAAAGATGACTCCATGCATTGTGGAGGGTGAATGAAGAGACCTCCGTTATTCTCCTTCCCTATACATTCTGCTTACTGATAATCAGTGATTTATACGACTGCCACAATTTGAATTTTAAGTCAAGCAAACATTTGCCACTGTGCCCTACAACCTAATAAACACAGCAGCGTTCAAAAGGGTGATACACCCAATGTCAAGGACGTCTCTAAGATCTGCTTTGTAAGTGTATATCTCAAAGACCTCTGTTCCTCAGACCTCTGACTTAATGCAGTTCTAAGAAAACCTTAGTTATTATGACTGCTATGAGAGAGAGATGAGAAAGCAGAAATCTGTGGTGAGAAACCAGAAATCTGGTGAGAAACCAGAAATCTGCGGTGCCTTAGGTCACAATGGAACCTGTAATACAGATTGAAGGCCTGACAGCAGGCAGGTCTACCTTGCACAACATTCACAGAGGGCAAGGCTTGCAAAAGGAAGGAGGAGCCAAGAACTGAAGATAGAGGATTAGAGTCAGGTGTTGGTGACGTAAACAACATTATCGAGGTCAATCCTCAGCCCTTTCCACAGTTGTATTGTAATGCGTGCAGAAGATTATGTAGGTTACAAATACAAAATTAAATTTAATTATGGTACATATGTGATAAACATCCTAATTTTCTGCTTTCCCAGAACAGTCACTGAGCAAAAGACTTACCCTAAAATTCTCAGTGGCAAAGGAAAGATAATTCTCAGTGGCAAAGGAAAAATGTGGAATGAACCTCAGATGGAAATTGCCATGACATCTTGGAGTTTAGAAAGTAATATATAGCACACATATCAGATAATCAATTGGCTCATTGATAGCCAGTCAGTTGGCTTATAGACTCTATTCAAGGTTCTACCAGTTTTCTGAAAATAAATATTGATTTAAAATTTTAATTCAAGACTACTAATTCCATGTATTTGTCTTTTTGTTGTCTTTTTCTGCAGTGATGAATCTAACCTTTCAAGCATGAAGTTGTGTATATAAGGGTCCATTTTTAATATTTATAGTTGAAAACTGAATTGCAGATTTTACAAGTCTGAGATATGTTTACATAGGGCTGCTTCTTCCTGCTGGCAGTAGTATACATGTCCATTTTTACTCCACTTACATCTGAAATTGGGCAATTTGTGAAACCAGTGAGAATCCTGCAAAAAATATAGATCAGTATCTCCTTATCTTATGTGAAGATACGTATTTATATGGACAAATCAGTGGTAGAGAATGATTGATTGTACTAGCTATTTTCCTTCTTTTGGCTTGCTAATTGCATGGACAAAAAGTGCCATGAAATAGTTTACATGAAATGGTGACCAAATATGGACTCAAAGCTATGAAAATGTACTATACTGACTGATTTTAGAGCTGATTATCACATTCCCATTCACCTTTCATGTCGGCGTTGACTCATACCTACACCACCCATTGAAACTAACTAAAAAAGCATGACTGTGTGCCAAACCTGCTTGCTGTGCAACTTCAGATGCTAGCATGTTGATCAGGAGTCCTTTGATTACATCTGAACCTTTATTCCTTTTGTCATCTCAAGGGGGTTACACCATGGCTTATTGCCAAAAAGAGATAAGGTGGCGGAGAGCACACACACAATTTGTCTTGTATTTTGAGGGAGTTGCAGTCCTGACTGCAGATCTACAGCTTCCAGTATTGTGGGCTCATGTGGCCACTTTGGTTGAAATACGAAGGGGTTGAGCCTGTTGCTGCCACCAGTTTTCCTTGGGCTGCCCTTGGCAGTGAAGACATGGGAAGAGGACCGATTCAGCCTCCAGCACTGCCTCTCATGTGACCAAGTAGGAAAGAGGTTTACAAATGCAAACATGCAGAACCACAGACTTTAAAAATATGTATAAATAAACTGAATTTCAGCAAGTGTTAATATAGGTGCTTTTAAAAATGACAGAGGCACAGCACTTCTTTTGGAATAGGAGATTCTTGGAATGGGAGATCCTGTCCCTGAGGGAAAAGGGATGTCCATCCCACCAAAACTTGGGTTGCTGAAGAAATAACATGTTCTGAGAAGGGATCAGCCAAAATCGCCTCTCCCGATGATATAGGAGAGCTTACTGGGACAATCTGTGCCAAAGTTGTTGTGAGAGCTTTCCTTCCTCCTACGATCCAACCATGTCAAACATTTCCTACAAAGTTTGAGAAACAGGTATTTTTCATTCTTTTTAATGCTTTTTTCTTTTTCTTTCTTTAGTCCCAAGAATATTGAAAAAATATTAGTTTCAGTTTTTGTCACATATGTTTTGAACAATTTTTTTAAGAAGTCTTCAAATCATAATAATTTGGCTCCAGTAGTCAAAATGACCTTTTACTAACTTCTCTCTTGTTTTGGATAATTGGATAGAATATAAAAGAAGCTCCACTTTCAGTCTAATCATTGTAAAGCATGAAAGTTATGCATTTTTAAGTAGTTTTGACTTTTTTTACATGATGAATGTAACGTACATGGAGATTATCAGTTAATATAAAGCCAAGATTTTGTCACATTTGGTAATATTAACTAATTTCTATTTTTATGGTTTTAAGTTTTGTCTATATTTAGATTTCTTTCTCTTTTTAACATTTCTAAATGTTTGTCTCATCCTCATATCCACAGACCAAATCTAAGATCTCAGAAAGCTGTGAAATATAGTTGCCATAAAGAAAATATTTTTCATCTACTTGCTCAAACTTTACCTAACCATATTAGATGGAACATTTCTTTGCACAGTAAAGAGTTGGTAGCGTGTTTTGAAATGGCTTATTCTAAGTGGAAGTGTTACATTGAAAGAAACATTATCAATGAGGAGTAGGCACCCTTTCAGCCCATTAGAGAATTTAATTTCTCTCCTGACTCAATGCCATCTTCTGGGAAGATTTCTAGTTTCATGCATAGGTGTCACCACCAGAAGGGAAATTAACTCATCCTTGGCTTATAGTTAAGATATAACCATAAGACAAGGAACCTAAAATCCTCATGATCTCATTTATGTTATGTAACCAAATGACAGTCATACAAAATGGCATCTTCTTTTTTTTCTATTAAATTTTTAAGGTTGAAAGATGTTTAAACTATTAGATCAGTCTAATTGGTAACATTTCTGGTAACATTCCACACCCCTAAGCCAGTTTAGCATTTTGAAAATAATGGAGGACATTTTCTAACAATTTCTTGTATGGCATGGTGTTAGGATAACGTATTGCTCAATGTCTGACACAATTTGTCTTAAATGGTTTGGAAAAATGAACTGAAGTGGGTGGAACTACATTCTCTTCAGGAAAACAAACTACAGTGTCCAGTGGCTATATTTTTTTCCCTTCTATCTTTTTTTCTGCTCCTCTAGTAGAAAGAGGTGGATTGAAATGGATCACTATTTAAAACTTGCACAGCTTCAGGAGACGATACCTCAACATCAAAAGAAAAACACTTTATGTATAAAAAAATTTTTTGAAATACAGCCCTTCAAAGAATACTATTCTGTCCTGTGTGTATATTGAGTTTTTGCTCTATAACTGATTTGACAACATCAACTTATTTCATGATTAAATGAGGTTGTAAACTTTCATTACATTTATTTCCTTGGGAAAAACAAAGGGATGGAAATACTCCTCCTTGTTCAGTGGAATTGCTAGGTCTTAACCATGATGGATAATCTTTAACTTTTGGTTACTACAATGTTTTCAAGCATCCATTTTGTCATATAGAGAATTCTTAAATAATTTCTAAGTGAATGAAAGAATTGTGTTTGTTGATATGTGTTGATAGATAATATACTTTCCTTAAAGATTTCTTTAATGTGTGTTATTGGATAGAGGGTTGAGAAAATATACATGAAAGACACATTGGAAATAAGGCAAGGTCAGTTTCTATTTCTAATAAAACATTGAAGGATAGCAAATTGATATGTGTTTTAGATTTAAAATTGTTTTTCATTTATGTTGGTTGGTGCTAATGTATCTCTTTTCCTTTTTCTCTATGGACAATACAACTACTATGGATAATTTTATTTCCCTGTTTAATAGCATTCCTAAATCATTAGTGTGTTATTTTATTTTTAAAGTTCATGAATTTGCTATAATTATGGTCCAATGACCAGGCTTTCTTAATGTAAAACAAAACAGTGTACCAATAGATGATGTGTGTTTACTCGGATCATGGATCCTCCTATTTCATATTCATTTCATACATCATATGCCTTTATCTACTTTCATGTGTCTCATCTTTTTCATTCACTCGTCTTTTAGTTTATATGATTTGATGAAACATGACAAAACTAGCATCAGAGAAGTCTGCACACACCGTATAGAGTACCTAGTGCACAAATATACCTAATTTTTTCTTTCAGTTTTTGTTTTTCATTAGCAAAAGCAGTCTTGGAGGATTTTTTTTTCTCATGTGATTTTATAGAGGACATTAGAATATCTTTAATTCCTACCAGAAGAAAGGTCTTGTTTTTGAATTTACATTCTGTGCATACGATGTTCTGATGGGACAGCAAGAACTTACACATCAACTAGTTTATACTACATGTCCTTTGTCTAACTATCTATCTATATAGACATATGTGCTAGTTTAGAAAATTGTCAAATCAGCATGTCAGTACCAATGGAAAAATTGTCTTTGATATGTTATATTTTTCTCACTTAGGAAATGTGCTTAATTTCCAAGGGTTTTTTTTTTTAATGTTACTATTGAAGCATGAAAAGTTAACATCATTTGTTATCCTTTCTTTCCCCACTATATATTGTCTTACCCAGAGTAGGGCTATACTTTGGTGGTGTTTTAACATCTTCTAATAAGTGATCATAAGCAACATACAGATGCTAATATTTGAAATCTTGTTTTTTCTTACTTCCTAATAATCAAATTATATTAATATTTCACACTACAAAAAAATAGGATTTTCTAATTTGTAAAAACAAGAGCTCCTGCTATCTCTTGGAAGTTAAGTCCTTAGGAACCCTATCTTATCTTTCTAAAAATAATAAGTAAGAACAATCACATGTGATTCTGGCTATTAAAATCATACATCCCTAGTGGAATTAACAAGCTTGACCAATTATGATTATGCTAAATTGTTTTAGGCTAGGAGGACTGTCAGTCCCTACTTCTTCCCATTTTTCTTGGGATATCTTTATATTGGCTAGATTTGTTGCCAATATAAAATTGACACAGCAGAGACACTCCTCTAACTTAAATTTTTAGTGGAGTTTGGTTTTTGCTAACCCCGTACTAATAAACACTTTAATGACTTTTTTCATTTCAAAATATTTAAATGTATAAAATTGCCTATGCTGCTTATTGAAAGAACCGTCCTTTTGGGCATAAGAAGACTTTTTCAACCTAAACCGTTATGTGTGATTTATTAACAACTTAACAAAGAAAGTACCAACATCTCTCAAAATGTAGTTGATATTCTTACCTATCTCAGAAATATTAACGAATTGGATTCACAAAAGAATGTCTTACATACTGTTGACATTTATGTGAATATTCTTTATACTGTTGTAAATGTTTCATTCAACTTAATAACATTTTAAAAGATGTATGTATCTGATTTTTCTTTAGAAAATATTATATTTTTATTTGTATTTTTTACATTTTAAAGTTCATCTCTATGTGCAGCTATTTTTATATTGCCAAAAACTCACATAAATACAAAATAAGTGAAATATGCAAAAAAAAATATTTTGGCAAGCATTACACTGCATATTTTTTTAAATGTTTGTGGGCCAGTCTCATACAATTGATTATTCTAAGAATGTGTTGTGTCTTATCACTGTAAATATGGCACAAACCTGTTTATCTCAGTAGTGTAAATAATTGAAAGATTGAATTCTCCCTGTTCAATTTTTATTTTAATTTCCTTGTAATTTCTCCAGCTGACATTACTGTATCAAAAGATGCATAAGATTTTTGATTTGCGGTTTGGAGATAATTGCATTGTGTTCAGTTTCCAGTTTGTTTTTATTTGCTTTTTAAATTTGTTTTCAGGGTTCCTAGTTTGTGAGAAGTTGATCTTCAGAATTATTTTTACACTATTTATGACTTATTTTCATAATGTAAAAAGTGTGTAATTATTACAATATTAATCCAAACAATGATAATGAATTGTATTGTTATAAAGCTTTATTGATGTTCATGAAAACCTTGGCCTCTTTTCTTTGATTTAAACATTATTCATAAAGAATTTTATTCTACTCTTCTACAATATTGTAACCCCACCATTTAACCTGGTAAACATACCTAGCTATAGGGATTTTCTAAAACTAGAACTTTCTGGTTTGTTGTTGTTGTTTTTTTTTTTTTTGAGACGGAGTCTCGCTGTGTTGCCCAGGCTGGAGTGCAGTGGACCGATCTCGGCTCACTTCAAGCTCCACCTCCTGGGTTCAAGCGTTTCTCTTGCCTCAGCCTCCTGAGTAGCTGGGACTACACGTGCCCGCCACCACACAGGCTAATGTTTGTATTTTTAGTAGAGACAAGGTTTCATCATGTTGGTCAGGCTGGTCTCAAACTCCTGACCTCGTGATCCACCTGCCTCAGCCTCCCAAAGTGCTGGGATTACAGGCGTGAGCCACTGCGCCCGGCCTCCCCTCCTAATTTTCCTCCACTATTTCCCATCTTGATGAATTAAGTTACCTTACGTTTAGTTGCCTCTTACCATCCTCCCATCAAATTAGTCATCAGTATATGATTAGAATGTAGCGTATAATAATCACTTAATAAATATTTAATGGGCTGGGTGCAGTGGCTCACGTCTGTAATCCCAGCACTTTGGGAGGCTGAGGCGGGTGGATCACGAGGTTAGGAGATCAAAACCATCCTGGACAACATGGTGAAACCCCATCTCTACTGAAAATACAAAAAATTAGCTGGGTGTGGTGGCAGGCACCTGTAATCCCAGCTATTCAGGAGGCTGAGGCAGGAGAATCACTTGAACCTGGGAGGCGGAGGTTGCAGTGAGCCCAGATTGCACCTAGGGGACAGAACGAGACTCAGTCTAAAAAAAAAAAAAAATAAATAAATAAATAAAATAAAATTACATATATATATATATGTATTTAATGAATGATGAATGAATAAATGCCTCCACAAAGACACCAATTATTTACAAGTCCCAAATAAAAGAGTACTTCCCAATGCTCACCTTTCTTATATTTTTGCTTTTGTAATTGAAAGATAAAATTGTGTGTATTTGTTGTGCAAAATACGATGTTTTGAAGTATATACACACTGTGGAGTGGCTAGACCTAGCGCTCATCTTTGTTGATCTTGCCAGCAGCATTAGATGCAGTTGACCACTGCCACCCTCTTCAGCACTATTTTTAGTTCTCAAGTCTTTATATTCTTGTCATTTAATCCTACTATTCTTCCTTATTTTCCTCTGCCAGCTCTTCCTTCTCTACCTGATCGTTAAATGATGATTCTCAGGGCTCTCACTTTCATTCTCTCTTCTGCTTTTGCTCTTCTCAGCCACGCATTCCCTCTCTCCAAAAGAGCTCATTCTTTCTCACAAAGACCACGTTTCTGTCTTCATCAGACTTCCTTCCGACTTTCAGACCAACTGATAAAGGCATGTCCACCTGGATGTCTCACAGGTGCTTATCATCTTCCACTTCACCCCTGGTTCTCTTACAGACTTCCATATCATAATAAATGGTGCCACCTTCCCCACCTGCCATCCAGGCAAACAAGATGGAGGCCTCAGAATCATTATGGACACTACCCACCTCCATCACCCACCCATCCCCTCATACACACAGCATCTAATTCACCAAGTTCCTTCAATTCTGCCTCCTAAATCTCCATCAGATCTACCCCTTCTCTCCATCCTCATCCCATGGTCTCAGTTTAGACTTTCCTCATTTTTCAAACTTTTGGAGAAGCCTTCTAACTGGCCTCTCTGCAACTATTAACTATCTCATACCCTCTATCACTCTGAGGATGGTGATTCAAAGAAAGTAAATATGGCTTTATTTATAAATTCATCCTTTTATTTCACTTCCCATAATATTTAAGAAAAATTAAAAGAACATTTATAAAGAACACTATTGCCAGGCACGGTGGCTCACTCCTGTAATGCCAGCACTTTGGGAGGCTGAGGCAGGCAGATTGCTTGAGCCCAGAAATTTGAGACCAGCCCAAGCAACATGGCAAAACCCTGTCTCTAAAAAAATGCAAGAAGAAATTATTCAGTCATTCTTGTACACACCTGTAGTCACAGCTACTTGGGAGGCTGAGGCAGGACGATCACGAGCCTGGGAGGTCAAGGCTGTAGTGAGTCAAGATGGTGCCACTGCACTCCAGCCTGGGTGATGGAGGGAGACCCTGTTTCACAAAAAAAAAAAAAAAAAGAAAAAAGAAAACTTCTAAAATATATGAATTAGTTTAAAAATAAGAACCTGGAAAAACATATGTAAACATAGTTCAAGACCACAAAGAAAGTTATAATGAAAAGATAGAGAATATAAAAGTACATAGTATCATTAAATCAAACAACCAGCATGGCTCTGAGTTCCTTGTTGTTCATAGCAAAAAGAAAAATCAGTAACACACTTATCCATAAAGTGACAAGGCACAGTTTCCTCAAAATAACCAAAGCTAATTGAAAATATATATATATTTATTTATTTAAAGTATATATTTATTTATAAATTTGTATATTTATGTTATATAAATATATATACTTTAAATATTTAATTTAGTTTATATAAATATATATTAAATATAAATATATATATTTTTAGATGGAGTCTCACTCTATCACCCAGGCTGGAGTGCAGTGGCGCGATCTCGGCTCACTGCAACCTCTACCTTGTGGGTTCAAGCAATTCTCCTTCCTCTGCCTCCCGAATAGCTGGCATTACAGGTGTGTGTCTCCATGCCTGACTGATTTTTTGTATTTTTAGTAGAGACAGGGTTTCACCATGTTGGTCAGGCTGGTCTCAAACTCCTGACATCAGGTGATCTGCCCACTTCAGCCTCCCAAAGTGCTGGGATTACAGGCCCCAGCCACCACACCTGGCCTGAAATTTTTTTTTTTTTTTTTTGAGACGAAGTCTTGCTCTGTTGCCCAGACTGGAGTTGAGTAGTGCGATCTCGACTCACTGCAACCTCCGACTCCCTGGTTCAAGTGATTCTCCTGCCTCAGCCTCCCAAGTAGCTGGGATTACAGGCACGTGCCACCATGCCCAGCTAATTTTTAGCAGAGACGGGGTTTCACCATGTTGGCCAAGATGGTCTCCATCTTCTGACCTCAAGATCCGCCCGCCTTGGCCTCCCAAAGTTCTGGGATTACAGGCCTGAGCCACCACACCTGGCCTGAAAATATTTTTTATGTGAGATTTCTTATAAAGAACACTTCTATAACTACATCAGCAGATTTTGATAATGTTTCTCAATGTAAGCCAAGCACGAGTATGTCTTAGTCTATTTTTGTGTTGCCAGAAAGGAGTACTTAAGGCTTGGTAATTTATAAAGAAAAGAGGTTTATTTGTTTCAGGGTTCTGCAGGCTGTACAAGAAACATGGCACCAGCATCTGCATCTGGTGAGAGCTTCAAGCTACTTCCACTGATGGTGAATGGGGAGCCAGTGAACAGAGACCACATGCAGAAAGCAGAAGCAAGAGAACAGGGGAAGGTGCCAGGCTCTTTTTAACACCAGCACTTGGGCAAGCTCTCGCAAAAACTAATAAAATGAGAGCTCACTCATTACCATGAGGATGGCACCAAGCCATTCATGAGGGATCCATCCCCATGACCAAAACACCTCCCAGTAGGCCCCACCTCCAACAGCGGGGATCAAATTTCAACATGAGACTTGGCATGAACGTGCCATATCCAAACCATAGCATTGTGCCAAAACCAGCTTCCCTAAAAACAGTTCTACGGGGAAATTTAATAATGCTATTCCTTTGCTTAAAATCTGCCAGTAGTCTCCCATCCTCATGCAGATACCTCAGTGTAGAATCCGAGGCCCATTGTGATCCAACCATGACTAGCTTTATAACCTCATGCCTTGCTGGCCAGCAACCCTCACCTAAGGTTCTCCTATGTTAAACTATTTGAGGATCACTTTGGTTGCTCTCTAGCCTTGAAATAGTCTCCATCCCCATCCCTGCCATTCATTTGAAGAATACTTCCTCTTCTTCCAAGATTCAACATATGCATCAACTTACTAAACACCTCTTCCTGCCAAGTTGAGATGCTCTTTCTTTACTCCAATAATCTCTTGTACTTGGCACTGCTAAAACACTTATCAGATGGTTAATAACTGTAGTTTGTCTGTCTCCTCCACCACATGGTAAAACTAAGCAGGAACCCAACTCAGTGAGTTCTCAATTAATATTTTTTAGTAAATAAACGGTTATTTCTCTTGGAAGAAAAAAAGAAAAGAAATAACAAAAGCTGCAAGAACAACAAAACTCACTGGGACTTCTGAATTTTATTAATGTGCATGATGGGCAAAACAATCCACAGAGCTTGTCTGTGGCATGCTAACTAGTTCTCAAACTAAGGGAAGATGTGTTGTGACCTTTTACTAAAGATATGTTTTATATAAAGTATGGTGTAATATCACCTGCTTGGTGGTAGATGGAATATCACCTAATAAGTGATCAGGGAGGAATTTAAAGAAAGTAGAGAGGTTTGAATTAGTCCATGGAGAACAGGAGTAAGAGCAGGAAGCCTACGATGATTAATATGTGGTTTAAAGCAAGCCAGTGAAACTGAGGACCATGATTTTTTTCCGATCCCTCTGCACCTTTGTACAGTACACATGTTGTTATCTATTTGAATATCAAATGTTTGCCTTCTAAATCTTCTCTCAATTTGTATTTGTTGACTTTTCATTGTCTGTTCATGTTAGGAAGCTAGATCTAGTCTGGAAGTTCGCAAACATCAGCATTTATCAGAATCACCTGGAGAACTTGTGAAAACAGATAGCTGGGCCCCACCCCCTAAATTTCTGATTCAAGAGATCTGGTATGGGACTGGAGAATTTCTATTTCTAACAAGCTCCTAGGTGGTGGTAGTGCACTTGTTCCAAGGTCCACACTTTGAGAAATACTGCTAGTCTAGTCTATTTTATTTATTTATTTATTTTTATTTTTATTTTTATTTTGAGACAAAGTCTCGCTCTGTTGCTCAGGCTGGAGTGCGCTGGCACAGTCTCAGCTCACTGCAACCTCCACCTCCCAGGTTCATGCCATTCTCCTGCCTCAGCCTCCCGAGTAGCTGGGACTACAGGCACCTGCCACCATGCCCAGCTAATTTTTTGTATTTTTAGTAGAGACAGGGTTTCACCGTGTTAGCCAGGAAGGTCTCGATTTCCTGACCTCGTGATCCACCCACCTCGGCCTCCCAAAGTGCTGGGATTACAGGCGTGAGCCACCGCACCCGGCCGTCTAGTCTGTTTTAATAAAATATAAGTGACTGACGTTAATTCAGGGGTGGTGACCTTCCTTTTATTGTGAACCTCTTCTGTGAATTTTCTCTCCTCATCAGTGCCTTAACTAAAACTCTGAGGTCACTCTTTTGCAACTCCTTCAAATAGAGGCTGCTAATTTTCCCACAATTCTCCCACCTAGATGGAAAGAAAGTTGGCATCCACATTGCTCCTTATTGCCAGTTCCACACAATTCTTCATCCATGTATAGAAAGCCCCACTTATTTGAGTCTTAATGATAACTGGTTACTAGCACCCTCTGCCCTTCTTCTTTGCAGCCATCTTCTGTCGTTCCCTTCATTAATTGAAGCCTTTAGCACGTGGTTCACAGTCTTATTTTTCTCCCTATATGCCATCATTTGAGGTAACTTACGTGTCAACATGGTCAATGTAACCAACACCTTATTCCATTATCTTCTCAGGCCTCATTTCTAATGGCTTTTTCCACCCTCCAATTCTGCCACTCACTCCTCTGACACACTGATTTGTGTCAGTCCCTGAAACTGCTCCAACTCTGGAATGATGCATTCAAACATCCCACTCTGAGGACTCTCCACTATCCTGGCAGGATTTCCTTCCCAGTGACTCCCACTGTACCCATTCTTGCACCTAACAACCACCTCCACTCCCTATATCTCTCGGCCCTCCTTACCGTGCCCCACACAGCTCCACTTCCTCTGCTCTCCAACTTAGGTTACACAGAACAAATTTTCACCTACACTGACGCCAACAACTTCTTTACCCCATTGCTCCACGTGCTCACTTGCCAAAAGCCAAATATGTAATAGCCCATCTGTCCACCTTCTCTGCATCTTTGTCTGGTATAGTCCACTCAATGCTATGGGAGAAGATCACTCAGTAGCCCAGATTGGTTCATCGTAAATTCAAAGTCTCCAAATTCACCTGTGCATTCAACAACTACCAACAACTGACAATCTGTCTGTGTTTCCCTAATCATGGTGGTAATTCAAACTTTTTCTACTCTCCTTTAATTTCTTCCTTTTCATTCTCAGTGGATAATCTTGCATTCACAAAAGAAAAGAAATCCACAGAGAGACTCTCTCAAACCCCTCGAGCCGACTGAAAGTGTGCCCACCTCTACACCCTTGATTCCTTCCTTCCCTTCTATTACAATTGAAAATGATGTCACTCTCCCTGCTTAAGGCTAACCTCTGCCACAAATGCTTCACATCCACCCCAGGCTTCTCAGGGACCTTGTCCTGTTGTTTCAACTTATCCTTCCCTTTGTCTAAACACATTTAAGTATATTCAGATATCTTCCATTTTTATAAAGGCCTTTCCTCAAACCTGTGCACCCCTTTAGCTGCTGGCCTTTCTTTTTGCTGCTTTCCCTTAAAGACTGACTTCTAGGAGGTTGATTATGTACTCACCATACCCGCTTCCTCACCTTCCATTCACTCCTCAATCCATTATTAAGCCCTCCCCCACCACACAGCGAAACTACTCTCTCCCCTAGGGAGCTCCTAAAGCCTTCGGAATTAAGTTACCATCAATATGCCACTATCTCTCTCCAAACTCCAGTTTTGATTGCAGCTGCATTCTTCTGGATGTGCAACTGGCACCTCAAATTCAACACATGCAGAACGGATCTTGCCCACCGCCCCTCTGCCACATTCCTCCTCCTCTGCCCCACATAGTATCACTATGGGAATAGTATCACCACTCACACAATTGATGAAACCAAAACTTACCTGTCACTTCTGACTCTACCCTCCTCATCATCCCCAGTCACTCTTCATGACCAGCAGATTCTACTGATTCAATATAAACTACAACTGCCATCTTCACAGCATTGCATGGTCACAACCTAAGGCCAAGTAACTTATGTGTCATGTCTGAATTACTGTAACTGCAGGTCTTACAGTGGTTGGTCCTGCCCTACACAGTAGCCAGAATTATCTTTCCCTGCTCGAAACTCTTTAACTTGAAGCTCTGTTTCTCTCAGGATAAATCTCAAATTCCTTACCGTTTACAAGGCCCTTCTTTATTCAGTCCATATCTACTCCTCTAGCCTTACCTCTCGCCATTCTTTTCCTTGTCATTTATGTAGACAACCTGCACTTATTTTTCAGTTATTCAACCAGGCTCTTCTCTGTCATTTCCAGACTTTCTCTCTGCCACTGTTTCATCCCTCCTTTACCTAAAAACCCACTTTACCTCCCTAACTTCTACTTATCCTTAGTGTCAGCTTAGTTGAACTTGTCTCAGAGGCTTAAAAAAAAAAAAAAAAAAGAGGCCAGGCGCAGTGGCTCATGCCTGTAATCCCAGCACTTTGGGAGGCCGAGGCGGGTGGAGGACCCAAGGTCAGGAGTTCAAGACCAGCCTGGCCAACATGGTGAAACCCCAGCTCTACCAAAAATTCAAAAATTAGCTGGGCGTGGTGGCGCATGCCTGTAATCCCAGCTACTCGGGAGGCTGAGGCAGGAGAATCGCTTGAACCCGGGAGGCAGAGGTCTCAAAAATCAGTGAGACTCTGTCTCAAAAAAAAAAAAAAAAAAAAAAAAAGAAAGAAAGAAAAAGAAAAAAAATCTCAGCTTAGACGTTACTACCTCTGGAGAAGCTTCTCTGGATTTTCCAGTGTTGGTTACGTAGCTCTCCTCTGTGCTCCCTTTGCCTCTTTTGACATGCTATGACTCCATGAAGAGAGAGAGAGAGCTCTGTGTTGTTTGCCCTTATGTCTTTAATGTCCAGCACATAGTTGGCACTCAAATACGTACTAATTAAAATAATATATTAATGAAAGCAATTAACCAAATGAAAAAAAGAACAAGTCATCCAGGGATAATATTGGGTGTGTGAATATGCAATGCAACAGTGAGCATGTAATTCATATTAAAATCTGCATGACTTTTCTACTGATTCAGAATTGATAATAAAGAATCCCTTGGCTGGGCGCAGTGGCTCACACCTGTAATCTCAGCACTTTGGAAGGCCGAGGCAGGCAGATCACAAGGTCAGGAGTTTGAGACTAGCCTGGCTAATATGGTGAAGCCCCATCTCTACTAAAAATACAAAAATTAGCCAGCCGTGGTGGCGGGTGTCTGTAGTCCCAGCTACTCAGGAGGCTGAGGCAGGAGAATCGCTTGAACCCGGGAGGCAGAGGTTACACTGAACCGAGACCACACCACTGCACTCCAGCCTGGGTGACAGAGCGAGACTCTGTCTCAAAAACAAGCAAACAAAAGAATCCCTCGATACAAGAGACATAAGTCTATGTGCATTTTCCCTTCTATTCTCTGTGATATCAACATCAAATAGTGATAGCAGAAAAGACTTGGTGGTGGGGCTGTTCTTTACTTCTTCTAAACCAAGCTGTGTCCTCCGGAAAACAATTATCCAATAAAATAGTGATAAGTATTCCACAAATAAGATAATTCAACATAAGAATATGAACTGGGGCTGGGTGCGGTGGCTCACGCCTGTAATCTGAGCACTTTGGTAGGCCAAGGCAGGCAGATCACCTGAGGTCAGGAGTTCGAGACCAACCTGGCCAAAATGGTGAAACCCCATCTCTAGTAAAAATACAAAATTATCCGGGTGTGGTGGTGTGTGCCTGTAATCCCAGCTACTCAGGAGGCTGAGGCAGGAGAGTCACTTGAACCCAGGAGGCAGAGGTTGCAGTGAGCTGAGATCATGCTATTGCACTCCAGCCTGGACAAAAAAGAGCGAAACTTGGTTTCAAAAAGAAAAAGAAGAATATGAACCAGAATGTCTGTTAAAGGGATAAAGGATATATCTTTCATAGACACAATTTGGGAAATGCTGTCCGGCAGCGGTGTTTGCTCCAATTCAGTCAAAACTTGCCATACCCGAGGTACGCAGGGCCTTGTTTCTCAATTGGCATTCCTATCACAGGAGTTGTTCCAAGGAGTGACTATTCAGAGCTGTCTTCACTGGTAACTCCTCATTCTTTGGCACTCCTTTCCATTCTTTTCATCTCCACTGCACTCCACCCTCAATCCCCTCTCATATCTCTACCCAAAAATGCACCAGGATTCACTTCTTAGCTTGAATTAAAGCCTGCTTTCAGCATCCGCCAAATCCATCATTCAAGGGCAATGACAAGTTCTAAAAGTAATAAAGTCCCATTTGGAAAATGTTTTTCAGTAGAGTACATAAAAGGCAGTCAAGTAGATATAAGCTTTTCTAAATCATGAGTTTATACTTACAAATTAAAAGGAAGGTTGGAATACAGAAACAATGAAAGAAAGAAAATGAGTCATACTTATAATGAGCAAATATATCAAGTCACTGGCTGAGAAGACAGGAGTTCTGAAATGGTCAAACTGTGGTGGAAATAGTTGTTGACTTCATCTATGGTTGAGATGTTTAGTAAATGGACAAGGTATCAATATCTTAGCCATACTGACATTGAATAATTATGAAGTTTCCTATACTATTCTGTCTACCTGCAGAAAATGAAAACAAACCTAAAAGCAAGTGATAATGAAAAAATTGAGTAAAAATGTTTGACTTGGCCAGGCGCAGTGGCTCACGCCTGAAATCCCAGCACTTTGGGAGGCTGAGGCGGGTAGATCACCTGAGGTCAGGAGTTCGAGACCAGCCTGGCCAACATGGTGAAATGTTGTATCTACTAAAAAAAATACAAAAAATTAGCTGGGTGTGGTGGCTGGCTCCTGTAATCCCAGCTACTTGGGAGGCTGAGGCAGGAGAATCCCTTGAACCCGGGAGGCAAAGTTTGCAGTGAGCCAAGATCACCCCATTGCACTCCAGCCTGGGCAGGCAACAACAGCAAAACTCTATCTCAAGAAAAAAGAAAATAGATGTCAGACTAGAGAACCTACCCTTAGATAGTTTTAGCTACATATTTTACACTATTTGCTGTTTTAAATTTACTGCCCACAACTTACTATCTATAATTTACTGCCACAATAAGCTCCCACTTTCTTCTTTAATTCATCTAGCAATTTTTGGTACTGCTTTGAGAACTCACCAACAATAAAATTACTTTTTCTACTTTTAGGGCTAAATTATTCATTAATTTTTAAAGAGTACTCTCCTCCCTGACTCATCATCTTTTCCAAAAATGTAAGAAAGAGGGAGAAAGCCTAATTATGCTATTTTGGGTACAAAAATTGGATAAGAAATGTATAACATAAGAAAGGGGAAATTAAGTTATAATATTTGATAAAATTTAATAGGTATTCTCTGATTTTAAAAGATGAAATAGAATGGAGTTTTCTTAACCTGACATAGGAATGAATATATTAAAAACCTATAGCAAACATATTTCTTATTAGCAAAAAGTTATAAACATTCCTTTTAAAATGAAAAACAAGAATAGAACATTTAATACTATTCTATTAAGAGAAGCAATAATAGTCTAATTAATTATACTAGTAATTATTAATAGTATATTTAATAGAAGCAACAATGCAATTACAATATGCAATTAGCCGGTACAAATAATGCAATTAGCCAATGCAAGTAGAAAAGAAAAATAGGCCAGGCATGGTGGCTCACGCCTGTAATCCCAGCCCTTTGGGAGGCTCAAGCAGGTGGATCACGAGGTCAGGAAGTCAAGACCAGCCTGACAAACATGGTGAAACCCCATCTCCACTAAAAATACAAAAATTAGCCGGGCTTGGTGGCATGCACCTGTAATCCCAGCTACTCAGGAGGCTGAGGCAGGATAATTGCTTGAACCCCGGAGGCGGAGGTTGCAATGAGCAGAGATTGCACCATTGAACTCCAGCCTGGGCAACAGAGCGAGATTCCGTCTCAAAAGAAAAAAAAAGAAAAAGAAAATAAAAGGGTTGAAAAGAAAGAAAACTGCCTGT
Organism: Homo sapiens; assembly: GCF_000001405.40. Taxonomy (NCBI): domain Eukaryota; kingdom Metazoa; phylum Chordata; class Mammalia; order Primates; family Hominidae; genus Homo; species Homo sapiens. The sequence continues at coordinate 108,797,604 of NC_000004.12, read as the reverse complement.
GTTTATTCTATGGCTGCTATAACAAATTACCAAAATTCGGTGGCTTAAAATAACACAAATGCATTATCTTACAGTTCTGTAGTTCAGAAGTCCAAAACGGATCTCACAGTGCTAAAATTAAGGTGTTGGCAGGGCTGCACCTTTCTGGAAGCTCTAGGGAAGAATCACTATCCTTGCCTTTTACAGCTTCTAGTGGCTTCTTGCATTCCTTGGCTCATAACCCTCTTCATTATTCCTCAAAGACAGCAACATTAGGCCAAGCCCTTCAGATGCTGCAATCATTCTGGGTCTCTCTCTTCTACCTCTTTCACTTTTTAGAACCCTTGTGATTACATTGAGCCCACCTGGATAACCCAATACTCTCCCTATTTTAAGGTCAGCTGATAGCAAGCAACCTTAATTCCATCTGCAACCCTAATATCTCCTTGGCATACAGCACAACATATTCACAGGTTCTGGGGATTAGGACATGGATATCTTTACAGTGTCACTATTCAGCCTACCACACTGCCACCGCTCACAGGTTGTGTATATAGATAAACCTAAAGAAACTGTAAACCATCAGATTTTGTGGTATTGTCATCCTCTAAAAATTATAAGTAGTTAGCATAGCATTGCTATGTTTTTATAAAATACAGATACTTAGCAGAAACATGGGCTGTAGGTAAAAAATAAAAATAAAATAAAGATGCCATTGGCATCTCATACCTTTCACATGTTCCTCTAGTAAGAATACTTAAAACACTTCTTTTTTTTTTTTTTCTTTTTTGAGACGGAGTTTCATTCTTGCTGCTCAGGCTGGAGTGCAATGGCACCATCTCAGCTCACTGCAACTTCTGCCTCCCAGGTTCAAGTGTTTCTCCTGCCTCAGCCTCCTGAGTAGCTGGGATTACAGGCACGTGCCACCATGCCAGGCTAATTTTTTGTATTTAGTAGAGACAGGGTTTCACCATGTTGGTCAGGCTGGTCTCGAACTCCTGACTTCAGTTGATCCACCCGCCTCAGCCTCCCAAAATGTTGAGATTACAGGCATGATCCACTGCGTCCGGCCAAAATACTTATTATGGTAATACTTAACAAATGTTTATTGACTTCCATTTATCTTCAAAATATTATGGTGTGTGATTTTTGCTACTTGTATTAATCTCAGTTGGCAGGCTGTTTCTGGCTTTGTTTTGTTTTCTTTTAGGCTGAGGATTTCCTGAGAGACCATGTGACAGGACACTACACTTAATCCTCATATCCCTGGAAAGAAAATATAATTATCTTTCACAAATAGAGCCGAGACTCAGAGAAGTTGGATCACCAGTCCAAGATTAAGTAAATAAGTGGCTGAGAAAAGATTTGAATGCAGGACAAATGTTACAGCTCTTTCCACCCCACCACTATGCCTTGTTCCTAGGTGACTCTAACACTTCTTCCAATTCTGAGATGACATGATTCCATATATGGCTGGTGACAATAAACAACTATAAATACCACTTTATATTTCCATACTGCTTGGTATTTTTAAATCATTTCCTATCAGTTCTATCTGATTCTCTCAATAACTATATAAGATTAATAGCATTAATATTTTCACTTGGAAAAAATAATCCAAAGAGAATGAGTGACTCAGCCAATGTGATACAACTATTAACAGCAGAGCCTGGAACCAGAACCTCCCAGCTCTTAGAACTTTGTCCTTTCACTGAGACATGAAGCATGAAAGCCCAAAAAAGCAAACAGTGTTCCAAAAGCCTTTCTAATGTGTATTTTCCATGAGATGATTTTGGGCAAGAAAAAAATCTACTCTAAATTTTTGTCATTTTCTTCTTTTTCTTTTTTTTAATTAGGAAAAAGTTATTTCTAGACTCTTCTCAACTGATGTTTGCGAAGTTTTTTTTGGCATCCAAAACACAAATAGTTTAGTGTTGAAGAACTCAGTTACTGGAGCCAATTAGGCTATTTTTTTTTTTTTTTTTTTTTTTTTGAGACAGAGACTCGCTCTGTCTCCTAGGCTGGAGGGCAGTGGTGCGATCTCAGCTCACTGCAACCTCTGCCTCTTGGTTTCAAGCAATTCTCATGCCTCAGCCTCCCAAGTAGCTGGGATTACAGGCAAGTGCCACCAAGCCCGGCTAATTTTTGTAATGTTAGTAGAGACTGGGTTTTGCCACACTGGCCAGGCTGGTCTCGAACTCCTGACCTCAGGTGATCCACCTGCTTCGGCCTCCCAAAGTGCTGGAATTACAGGCATGAGCCACATGCCTGGCCCAATTAGCCTATATTTGAATCCCTGTTCAACCACTTACTAAAGCAAGTTATCTGATCTCTGTGGGCCTTGGTTTCCTAATTTGTGAAATGGAAAAGATAAAATTACCCACCTCAAGGTGGTAAGTTAATACACATATTTAGTGAGTTAATACACATACATGCTTAGGTCAGACTCTGGCCCAGAGTCAATTCTCAATGAACCACTAGCTATTTTTCTCTTCCGAAGAGAAGCCTTGTATATCTATCAGATCGGTAGAAAGTTTGCAGTGATTAAGAAGGTCTGCTCTATGTTAAGAAAGTGAGACATTTGGCCAGGCGCGGTGGCTCACGCCTGTAATCCCGACACTTTGGGAGGCCGAGGCGGGCGGATCACGAGGTCAGGAGATCGAGACCATCCTGGCTAACAGGGTGAAACCCCGTCTCTACTAAAATACAAAAAATTAGCCGGGCGAGGTGGTGGGTGCCTGTAGCCCCAGCTACTCGGGAGGCTGAGGCAGGAGAATGGCGTGAATCCGGGAGGTGGAGCTTGCAGGGAGCCGAGTTCGCGCCACTGTACTCCAGCCTGGGCGACAGAGCCAGACTCCGTCTCAAAAAAAAAAAAAGAAAGTGAGACATTTGCTCTTAAAAGCTAAATGCTTTTTCTTGCATTTTATTGACTATTTAGTGTCCCAAAAATACCTATACACTATATATACCGGCTTAAGGACTAAATTTGATATAAAAGCTAGTGAGAGAAAAGGGTAGTTTTCTTCAGATAAATTGAAAAATAATGAATGTCACCACCTCTTAAGACAGTTAGCAAGTTTCCTTGCTAAGTGTAAAGATGGTAAACTATTGATAGGAAAAAAATATGGGACTCTCAGGACTGAACAATTTGTGAGAAAGCCATCAAAAGACAGCTATATTAAGAATAGTTGAAATAGGGGCATTTTGCTACATTCTTGCCCCTATTGTTTGCGCAGCCTAGTTAAACTGCTGGACAAGCTAGAATTCCAAGTGTCTTGCTCAAAGAGTTGTGCATGCCAGAACACTTACATAACCCTGAACTTTTGTATTCCAAGCCTGGCATTATGCAGCATATTGTAATATTAACACAGACAAAGAGATTATTAACACCTAGCTTAGGGTAATGGGCTTCTTATGAACTAGTCTCTTCCTATTCAACTAGAATAGTGCAGAATTTTATTGACATTCAATAAAGATTGACTCATAAAAATGTCATTACAGCACTCTTTCTTTTGTCATATAACTTTTTAGCAATTCAGTGTGTGCTTGAGCTCTCTTAAAGATATTTTCATTTTGACTAAAACATTATTAAAGCATTATTTAAAATATTGCACAGCAAGAAGTCAATAAGTAACTATAATGATGCTTCCTCCACAGAGGTGATGCCTCTAACACACACGTGCGTAGGTTATTTTTCTAACACTAGTGATAGGTTTGCAATGAACCAAGAAAATGCTCTTGTTCGAGGGCCTTCAAGGCCAGTAGCATGAATTTAAGTGATCCGCCAACATGTCCAAAACTAACCGGTTCCTTGGCTCTATATAATGTGGGCACTAGGTGACCAAACTCTGATCAATTAGTTCAGTTTAACAGTCTCAGAGGGCTGCAGCCAAGCTCTTTGCAAGTAAGACACGCATCCTGAGCAGCACAAGTATAGAGGTAATAATAGATGTCATTGACTTAGTGCTTACCACATACTATTATGCTGAGCCATCATATATCTTATTTCATCCTTACAACCACACTGTGAATTGGGCACTTTATTATTCTCATTTTACACATTAGAAAACTAAAAGTCAGAAAGATGAGTAATTCACCCAGGCTCACACAGCTAGAAAGTAGCAGAGCCAGAATTTGAAACTAAGCACTGCACTCTCATCTACAAAGCTGAAAGGAAGAACCTTACAGCCAATGCAAAGTTAGGGATATGCCCAGAGTACACCATGGCAAAAAGGAGGAACATTTGACCAAAGCAACTCGTTTCTCACTGTACAATTCAAGAATGCTAAAAAAAAAATTGTGACTGGACTTAGGATAGGAGGTCACAAGTCCACACAGGACTCCAAAGATCTCCCAAACGTCTGTTTCCAACATCTGGAATTGGTACATAGGGGATCTGGAAGGTGAAGTCTTCCCTCTTCTCTAAGACCCAAACAAAAATTAGAAATCATGATGCTGGCTAAAAATGTTTTCTATCCCCTCCATCAAACATATCAAATCCCATAATAAATTGGGTCACTGTCTCTTGAGATTTTCATTTCAAAAGCTAGCCATCGTTCAATACACCCTTCCTTCAATATAATAAACAGTAATCTATTTGTTAGAGTAAGTCTGACAGCAGTAGGACGCCAATTATAATGGTTAACATAATAAAAACTTCAGATGTAACTCTGGACCCAGACATCAAGTACAAATATATATGTAAACATTATATACATGTAAATATTATATGAAAATATATATTTTTTTACTTTTGTGTCTTAGAACAGCAGGAAATGGCACAAAATACATTAGAAAACATGGTAAGAATAAATCCTATTGTATAGAAGTAGCTGGCTGGAACTAATGCTAACACCTGAAATCCCAGGACCTTGGGAGGCCAAGGTAGGAGGATTGCTTGAACTCAGGAGTTTGAGACCGGACTGGGCAACATAGTGAGACTCCATCTCTACCAATAATGTAAAAATTAGCCAGGTGTGGTAGCTCATGCCTGTAATCTCAGCTACTCAGGTGGCTGAGGTGGGAGGATCACTTGAGCCCAGGAGGTTGAGGCCGCTGTAAGCTGTGATCATGCCACTGCACTCCAGCCTGGTCAACAGAGCAGCAAGACTCTGTCTCAAAAAAAAAAAAAGGAAAGCTGCTGATCCATATTCCAAAATATATAAGGATAAAACAAGATAAAATTAAGACAGAAAAAATAACCTTATTGTGAGATTAAGGTGCTATGTTGTTATATTTACTATACTCTGAGAATATTCAACCATTTACATTAACATCACTCATGAGAGATGTGAATCAGATAATGAAAAGGGATGCATAAGAAAAAACTGATACTCAGAATAAATCTAGTTAATACTTCAATACTCTGAGTTAGAGTGTTTTGTGGTGAAATGACCTTCACATTCTCCTGAATGTAACCAGCCCTTTCACAGTAAGGGAGGAGATAGGAATCAGAGTATATATAACTGCATGTATCATGTAAAATTGGTAATTATAATAAAAGCTTCCATTTAGTGGTACTCCATGGTTCAGAGTACTTCTATGTACTCTCCTAAAAGTAATTATATTTTGAATTCATACTGTATATGTCCTCTAAAGTGCTGAGGTTACCTTTACATGTACAATTTAAGCAAGCAGAACCTACCCAGGGAAAGGCAACCTAATGTCAGTGAAATGCAAGTAGGAATTATTTGCAGTGTATTCCAGGACACCAGTGAATTCAACATTCAGACTTTCAGAAAATCAAAACCTGATTTAAAGAGAAATGGGAACGTGGTGGGCAGGTAAAAGATATGGATGTTGGGGTATATGCAGGAAACCAAAAAGTAAACATACAATCAGAAAACTGGCATTTTTGTCAAGTGTGGTGGCTCACACTCGTAATCCCAGCACTTTGGGAAGTTGAGGCAGATGGATCACTTGAGGCCAGGAGTTTGAGAACAGCCTGGCCAACATGGCAAAACCCCATCTCTACTAAAAATACAAGAAAAAAAATTACCTGGGTGTAGTGGCACGCGCCTGTAATCCTAGCTACTCAGGAGGCTGAGGCACGAGAATCGATTGGACCTGGGAGGCGGAGGTTGCAGTGAGCCAAGATCATGCCACTGCACTCCAGCCTGGGTGACAGAGTGAGACTCTGTCTCAAAACAAACAAACAAAAAACCTGGCATTTTGATTATTTGAAAGGGTTCTTAGTTTCTGGGAGCCTCAAGGGTTCATTGGCTGGTATTAAATAGATGGCCTTATCCCTGTGTATTCACATTGTCTTCTCTCTCTAAGGGTCAGTTTCTGTGACAAAATTTCCCCTTTTTGTAAGGACTCAATCATATTAGATTAGGGCCTACCCAAATGACCTCATCTTAACTTGATCATCGGCAAAGATCCTATTTTCCAAATAAAGTCATATGCACAAGTACCAGGGGTTAGAACTTCAACATCTTTTGAGGGGACACTTTCAACTCATAAAAGGAGGATACAATAGGCTGAGCGTGGTGGCTCACACCTATCATCTCACCCTTTGGGAGGCCGAGGTGGGCAGATCACGAGGTCATGAGTTCAAGACCAGCCTGGCCAATATGGTGAAGCCCCATCTCTACTAAAAATAAAGAAAAACTAGTCAGGCATGGTGATGCACACCTGTAGTCCCAGCTACTTGGGAGGCTGAGGCAGGAGAATCGCTTGAACCAAGGAGGCAGAGGTTGCAGTGGGCCAAGATTGCACCACTGCACTCCAGCCTGGGCAATAGAGGGAGAATCTATCTCAAAAAAAAAAAAAAAGGGAGGATACAACAGAAGAAGGAAACTGAATACAGGTATGACAGGTACTACCCTGCTTTTCTATTCCCCAAAACCATGGAACCCAGTAAACTGCTGTGAAACTTGGAGTCATTTTCTAGAAGTGATGCTGATATTCTGGCATACACTATATTGTTTGTTTCTGCTGAATGCTTTTTAAAAAGAGAGGGCTTCATAATAAAGAAACTTTTGTTCTGGTATTCTTTTGAGTTTGTTTATTAATAACAGGATTTTATGTAGTTAACAATAGGAATTTTATACTTCAGGCTGTACCAAAGTCTACAAGTCAAACAACAGGGACAACAAATAAGTAGATAGATAACTCCTAACTTTAAATAGTAATTTCCAGGCCAGGTGCGGTAGCTCATGCCTATAATCCCAGCACTCTGGGAGGCCAAGGCGGGTGGAATACCTGAGGTCAGGAGTTCGAGACCAGCCTGGCCAAAATGGCGAAACCCCGTCTCTATTAAAAATACAAAAATTAGCTGGCATGGTGGCAGGCACCTGTAATCCCAGCTACTCAAGAGGCTGAGACAGGAGAATCGCTTGAATCCAGGAGGCAGAGGTTGCAGTGAGCTGAGATCAAGCCACTGCACTCCAGCCTGGGTGACAGAGCAAGACTTCATCTCAAAAACAAAAAAAGAGAGAGAGAAAAATAGTAATTTCCAAAGACAGGGATTTCTTACATTTTATTGTATTTTTGACCCATAATTTTGCATACTTATGGGACACAGTGTGATCTTTAAATACATGTATACATTGTGAAATTATCAAATCAGGGTAATTGGCTTACCTTCATCTCAAACATTTATCATTTCTTTGTAGTAAGAACATTCGAAACCTTCTCATTATTTTGAAATATTCAATATTGTCAACTATAGTCAAATATAGGACACTAGACCTTATTTCTTCAAACTAGCTGCAATCCTGTACCCGTTCACTAACCTCTCCTCATTTCCCCATCCTTCCTACCTACCCCACCCCATCCTGACCCTCTGGTAACCACTCTTCTACTCTATTTCTATGAGATCAGCTTTTAAAAATTCCTCAAAGAAGGGGCAGCTGGGACATGGGGACACCAAGAGAGTGGAAGCCCCCAGACTCATCGAGGGTCTCAGCCACAAAGTGATCGTATCTGCAGCATGTGGGCAGAACCACACCTTGGCCTTGAGGGAAACTGGCTCCGTGTTTGCATTTGGGGAGAACAAGATGGGGCAGCTGGGCCTTGGCAACCAGACAGACACTGTCCACAGCCCCGCGCAGATAATGTACAATGGCCAGCCAATTACCAAAATGGCCTGTGGGGGCTGAATTCAGTATGATAATAGACTGCAGAGGAAACCTCTGTTCCTTTGGGTGCCCTGAATATGGTCAGCTGGGACACAACTCGGATGGGAAGTTCATTGCCTGGCCACAGCAGATAGAATACGACTGCAAACTGGTGCCCCTGCAAGTGGCCATCTTCATCGAGAAGACCAAAAATTGACAGATGCTGCCTGTACCAAACGTGGTTGTGCAAGATGTGGCCAGTGGCACCAACCACACTCTGGTTCTGGACTCCCAGAAGCAAGTCTTCTCTGGGGCTCCAGTGGCTATGGCTGGCTGGGCCATGCAGAGCAGAAGGATGAGATGGTCCCCCGCCTGGTGAAGCTGTTTGACTTTTCTGGACGTGGGGTGTCCCAGATCTATGCTGGTTATACCTGCTTCTTTGCCATCAGTGAAGTGGGTGGTCTGTTTTTCTGGGGGTCACCAACACCTCCCATGAATCTACCGTGTACCCGAAAGCAGTGCAGGACCTCTGTGGCTGGAGAATACGGAGCCTGGCTTGTGGAAAGAGCAGCATCACTGTGGCCACCAATGAGAGCACCATCAGCTGGGGCCCGTCGCCGACCTTCGGGGAACACGGCTATGGGGACCACAAGCCCAAGTCTTCCACTGCAGCCCAAGAGGTGAAGACTCTGGATAGCATTTTCTCAGAGCAGGTCGCCAAGGGCTACTCACACACCTTGGTGATAGCAAGAGACAAATGCTAGACTGAGAAAGAGAAGATCAAGAAACTGCCAGAATACAACCCCCCAACCCTCTGATTGATGCTCCTGGAGACTCCTCCAACTCCACACTTCTCGCAGCAGCTATCATTTCCATGAGCACTGGGACGTGAAGTCAAACTAGGAATTTAAAAAAGCAAAAGTTGCTGGGCACAGTGGCTCAGGCCTGTAATCCCAGCACTTTGGGAGGCTGAGGCGGGCAGATCACCTGAGGTCAGGAGTTCGAGACCAGCCTGGCCAATGTGATGAAACCCCGTCTCTACTAAAAATACAAAAAATTAGCCAAGTATGGTGGCATGTACCTGTTATCCCAGCTACTCAGGAGGCTGAGGCAAGAGAATCACTTGAACCCAGTAGGCAGAGGTTGCAGTGATCTGAGATCGCGCCACTGCACTCCAGCCTGGGTGACAAGAGCGAAACTCTGTCTCAAAAAAAAGCAAAAGTTGACCAAAGGTGCATTTTTGTTTAGGCTCCCTGAGGTTCCATTTTACAAGTGATCCAACATTAACTACCTTTTCTTGTGTATGCTTTCCAAAGTATGTTTTTTCCTCTTAATGTTGAATTAAAATATTTGCTCATAGTTGACTTACCATTCCTACAAAACAAGCAGAAACTTTGAGCAATCTAGGTTTTTTAAAAAGTTTTTTCTTTCTTCCTCTCCTAAATACACTCCCCAAAACACCCCTTTCCAGTTATAATTAGCATCGTGATCCAAGAGGATGCTACATGGAAGAGGAATCGCCATTTACTCAGAAAAAAATGTCCCTTACAGGAACCGGCAGCAGCTAGACAAAGTCGGTCCCTGCTGGCCGGCCTCCATCCAAAATCACGCTCGCGTGCTTCAGAAGCATCCGTGACACTCCCTTCCCGCTTTTTCTTGCACATCAGCCGAGGCCGGTGTCGGTTCTGTTTCTCCCCTTTGCTGCCTGTACGCCCACAGACTTCTGGCTGCGCCATTATAGAATCTGCCGTGTTCCTCCTGGTGGGGGTGTTGGGGGTCTGTGTTTAGCCATTTATGCCTATTTTAGCTGTAAAAGAAGTCCAAATGAAAATCAGGTGATGGTGGAACCATGGGGACTTGGGGGTGGGGCAGAGATGGGAACATTTGTATCAGTTGAGTCAGCTTCGTGGCTCCCTGTGGAGCCAGGGCCGAGCCTTGTCATGCGCACTTGCCAATTAGAGATTGATCAGCCAGCAGTCAAGTGCATTCTCCCGTTCTTGCAAGAAGGATCAGCCCTTTCCATACCAGCCTTGTGCAAGACGTGCTTTGGTCTCCTTTTCTCTCCTACCTGGATCCTGCCTCTCACGGGCCGTCCTATTGCTGAGACTCGGGGTACCTTTCTGCTGACCCAGCTCCCTTTAGTCACGTTTGCTTGGCTCTGGTACCAAATAGTTGGGATTACCAAAGAGTCCCCTTCCTCGTGTGTCAGCACGGATGCTGTGACTGCCAACCGCGACCCTGTCAAGTGCCCATGCCCGAGCTTGCCACCCTGTGCGCTGCGCTGAGTGACTAACGGGGTGCCTTTCCCAGAACCCTGCTCTCACCTGGACCCAAGACAGGCGACAGCTCTGGCTGGGGCTCTTGGTTTCCAGAGGGTCTGGACTGGTTTGGGTGCTTTAAAATAGATATTTAGTTCAGTGGTGCTTATGGAGGCGATGGGAATAGAACTTAAGTGTGAGACTTGGGTGAATGGTTGTTAAATATTGGTGTCTTCAAGTTTTTCGTTTTTTTTTTCTTTTGCTGTTGTTACCACTTATCACTGTCTCTATGTTAAAATGCCAAAAGCTATCTAGTTGTTGTTGCTTTTTTCCCAAGTTTCCACCCCATCACTCCTTACCGTGACTCCTGCTGGCGGAGGGTACGAAGCAGTGTCTGTCCCTGCAGTCCAAAGGCCCTGTGGGAGGAGACTGGCCTGCATCTCTCTAAGACTTAGTCTGACACCATGCTCATCTCTTGTTCTGTGTTCAATCAGTAGTCCAGGAGAGATCTTCTGCCACTTCAGAGCTTTGTTAAACTAACCTAATTTGTCCAAATCACCCCCAAACCACCATCTCTGATTCAATCTTACATGCGACAGCCTGATCCGTTTCTCTGGACAGGTGTCTTTCCTGGAATGCAGCCCAAGCACTGTTGCTCCTCGCACCCTTCAGGTCTCTCCTTTGAGTCGTGGTCACTGAGAGGGTTGAGGAAGCAGCACCTGAGGTCCCAGCCTTTGCAGGAGCCGCCTTGGGCAGATCTGGGCTTAGATCTTCCGGTGGCCTCATGTAAACCCAACAGCCAGCCTCTTCCAGAACCCTTGACAGGGACTGGGGGAGGAAAGGGATCTTCGAAGTGAAGACTGCCATGTCCCACACCTCTTTTTGGCTTAGACTGAAAAATGAACTTCCTAATGGGTTAAATCCTTTAAAACAAGGAGTTGGGGGGAAGGACGTCATGCATTCTTAGAGAAAGGTACACAGTCGCCCAGCTGGGAACGTGCTTGGCACTGACCCTGCGGGCATCTGACTGGTCTTCCAGCTCAGGAAAAAGAATTTGAAAGAGGCCTAGAGTGAAGGGGAATCAAAGAGGAGGTTGTGATTTGGTCAAAGGATCCTGGTTTAGTGCTGTAATTATTTCATATATATGTATTTCTTGGAGTAAACATTTTAAATAATTTTTTTTGAGACGTAGTCTCACTCTCTTGCCCAGGCTGTAGTGCAGTGGTGCAATCTCCACTCACTGCAACCTCCACCTGCCGGGTTCAAGTGATTCTCCTGCCTCAGCCTCTTGAGTAGCTGGGATTACAGGCTCCTGCCACCATGCCTGGCTAACTTTTGTATTTTTTAGTAGAGACGGGGTTTCTCCATGTTGGCCAGGCTGGTCTCAGCTTCCCAAAGTGCTAGGATTACAGGCGTGAGCCACCATACCCACTTTCATGCATTTTTAAAATTATATTATTTGTTTTCTTGGTATTGAATTGTCTGAGTTTCTTATTCATTGTTTCTTTTGCTGTGCAGCTTTTCAGTTTTGTATAATCCTATTTGTCTATTTTTGCTTTTGTTGCCTGTAAGTTTGAGCTGTTATCCAAAAAAATCTTTTCCCAGAACAATGTTATGAAGCATTTCCCCAGGGTTTGCTTCTAGTAGTCTCATAGTTTCAGTACTTACATTTAAATCTTTTTTTTTTTTTTTTTTGTGATAGGGTCTCAAAACCTAGGCTGGAGTGCAATGGCGTGAACACGGTTCACTGAAGCCTCAATCTCTAGGGCTCCAGCAATCCTCCCAACTCAGCCTCCCGAGTAGCTGGAACTACAGGCACATGCCACCATACCTGGCTAATTTCTTTAAATTTTTTGTAGAGAAGTGGTCTTGCTGTATTACTCAGGCTGGTCTTGAACTCCTGGCCTCAAGCAGTCTTCCCACCAAAGCCTCCCAAACTGCTGGGATTACAAGGGTGAGCCACCATGCTTGGCCTACATTTATATTTAATCCATTTTGAGTTGACTTTTGTATGTACTGACAAATAGAGATCTCTTCAATAAACGGTAGTAGGAAAATTGGATATTAGCATGCACAATTTATTGAAGAGACTGCCTTTATTGTCGAGACTACCACCATTTATTGAAAAGACTGCCTTTTCCCCAATGTATGTTTGTGATGTCTTCATTGGAAATCAGTTGGCTATAAGTGTATGAATGTATTTCTTTGTCCTCTATTCTGTTCCACTGGTGATGTGCCTACTTTTATGCCAATACCATGCTGTTTTGGTTATTACTATAGCTTTGTAGTATATTTTGAAGTCAGTTTTAAAAACAAAGATAGTTCTTTTAAATTTATGTTTTTTTTTTTTTTTTGAGACAAAGTCTCACTCTGTTGCCCAGACTGGAGTGCAGTGGTGTGATCTTGGCTCACTAAAACCTCTGCCTCCCAGGTTCAAGTCGTTCTCCTGCCTCAGCCTCCTGAGTAGCTGGGACTACAGGCCTGCACCACCACGTCTGGCTAATTTTTATATTTTTAGTAGAGATGGGGTTTCACCATGTTGGCCAGGCTGGTCTCAAACTCCCAACCTTAAGTGATATGCCCGCCTCAGCCTCCCAAAGTGCTGGGATTACAAGCATAAGCCACTGTGCTCATGCTTGTAAACTGTCAAAGACAGTTTTTAAATTACAAAAATGTCAATGTGTAAACCCAGTTAGATTCCACAGCCCACTGATGTAGCATTTACTACCTAGAGAGTAATATATAAAAATGTATTTTTCTTCTCCAAGATTTCTCACATATGTTAGTTTTTTAATGCCAAAGAAAAGGTTGAATAAAAAATAAAAACAATGCAAAAGAGTATATAATTTTAGTATTTTTACACTATTTAATAATCCCATTAATGTTAATTTTTAAATAAAGTTATATTATAACTTTGTTTCATGAAGTTATAATTTCATTATAAATTTAAAACCCTTACATTGGCAGTATTATGCAATGAACTAAAAAAGTTATCTCTCTGAATATTTAGAGTCTCATTAATAATTAACAAGACTGCTAGGTTTACTATTAGCGAGTAACTGGTTTACAAAAAGGATCAAGACACATTTATGTAAAATCAAATAGTGTATTCAATGCATGGAGAAAATGGAGTGGCCTTTACTCCTGCATCAATGAAAATGTCCAATCCCTCATTTGATTCAAGATTTTTAAATTACTTCTTCTAATTGTGAAATTGAAAAATGTCTGTAATTTGTCTATTTTTCTTTAACTTTATCCCTATCCTTTCTGCATTAACGGCAAATCCCACAGTGAGAAAAATTATAATTTAAGTTTGAGTTTTTAAAGGGTTTTCTACTTCATTCACATCTGACTTCCCATACACTATGCCTAATTGATAAAATTTATTTCAATCTAGTGCAGAATTCTGAGGGATAAAGGTATTTTTATGCACATATCACCGACAGAGGGCAGACCCTGAATGCCAAGGAAAGTTATGTATCCTTCAATGCCCTTGAGCCCAGTTTCCTTATAAGCTCACACATAATAAAGAATTGCAGCTGCAAGTCTTTCCACTCATGTCAGTGACCTCAAATCTAATGCACTTATTTGAAATATATCTTCTCTACACATACATCTTATCTTTCAAATAATTTTCTGTTTTTAAGAAAATGTATCAAAAAGCAAGTAAATAAACAAACAAAATGTTTCTACAAGTCCCAGATCCAAATAATGCAAGAATTAGAATAAGACTTCACATACACAACTAGCACATTTTTCCCGTAAATCCAAGGAAAGATGTGTATTAATAAAATCCAAAGGCCGGGTGCGGTGGCTCATGCCTGTAATCCCAGCACTTTGGGAGGCCGAGGCGGGCGGATCACCTGAGGTCAGGAGTTGAAGACCAGGCTGGCCAACAGGGTGAAATCTCATCTCACTAAAAACACAAAAATTAGCCAGGCATGGTGGCGCATTCCTGTAGTCCCAGCTACTCGAGAGGCTGAGGCAGGAGAATCGCTTGAACCCGGGGGATGGAGGTTTCAGAATGCTGAGATCGTGCCACTGCACTCCAGCCTGGACGACAGAGCGAGAATCCATCTCAAAAACAAAACAAAACAAAAATCCAGAAATCTAGGTGCTAACTATGTAAAGATTTATATTTCAATTAAAATAATAAACTCTAAACAAATATATTGCCCCAGGAGACTCATCTAATGAAAACTGGCTTTAATGAAAACAGCCTTTGCAGGAGCCGCCCTGAGCAGAGCTAGGCTTAGATCTTCCAGTGGCCTCATCTAAGGGACTTGCCTGAGTGTTAATGAATTCTTAACTTTTAAAATTTAAAATTAAAAATTTAATTAAAATGTAAAATTAAATGAATTGTTTAGGTTCTTTTTTAAAATAGTAATATTATATCCTATAAAGTCAACTCTGTAGAGCAAGTTCTAAAAATTCAATTAATATAAAATTATTGGCCAGGCGCGGTGGCTCATGTCTGTAATCCCAGCACTTTGGGAGGCCGAGTCGAGCAGATCACCTGAGGTTGGGAGTTCTAGACCAGCGTGACCAACATGGAGAAACCCTGTCTCTACTAAAAATACAAAATTAGCCAGGCGTGGTGGCGCATGCCTGTAGTCCCAGCTACTCAGGAGGCTGAGGCAGGAGAATCGCTTGAACCTGGGAGGCAGAAGTTGTTGTGAGCCAAGATTGTGCCATTGCACTCCAGCCTGGGCAACAAGAGCAAAATTCCATCTCAAAAAAAAAAAAAAAGTATTTCATTATATTCTAAAGGTGAAATTTGTTTAATATTTTTCTCCTTCTATCTTTCTCAACCTATCTCTCCCACCCTCACGCTTTAAGTCAAAAACACTTTAGCACACAGCATATACAAAGCACCAGAATAAGATTAAGCATTCTTATCTTAATTCTGCCGAGCACCATGCCCGGCAGGTGGCTCATACCTGTAATCCCAGCAGTTTGGGAGGCCGAGGCGGGCGGATCACCTGAGGTCAAGAGTTCAAGACCAGCCTGGCCAACATGGTGAAACCCCATTCTATTAAAAATACAAAAATTAGCTGGCAGTGGTGGTGCATGCCTGTAGTCCCAGCTACTTGGAAGGCTGAGGCAGGAGAATCGCTTGAACCCAGGAGGTGGAGGTTGCAGTGAGCCGAGATTGCACCACTGCACTCCAGCCTGGGCAAGACAGTGAGACTCTGTCTCAAAAAAAAAAAAAAGAAAAAGAAAAAACAAAACAAGGTTTCTGCCTTCAAGGTATGTGCAACCTATATGACAATATAAAATCAACGCATTGGAATGTTCCAGTAGCATAAAATAAATTCTATATTAGTGGCACAAAGAAAGTGTTATGGGGAAAACTGAAAAGAAACATTAAATAGTTCTTGAACTAATGGTTCTGAAAGTGAAGAAAAAGTGCTTGTATATTATCTACCTGGTTTTTAAGCCCTGAATCAAGGTTTTCTTAGTGAGTAATTACATTCCAACTAGAGTTTAACAGAGGTTCAGTTACAATTGAAAATGAATTTGTTTCTGCACAAATTCATTTTCAATGGTAGATTTTAACTATAGAATAAATGGTAGATTTTACTATTTTTCAGTGGTAGATCTTTAACATATAAAATCTTTTGGCCAGGTATGGTGGCTCATGCCTGTAATCCCAGCACTTCAGAAGGCTGAGGTGGGAGGACAACCTGAGGCCGGGAGTTCAAGACTAGCCTGACCAACATGGAGAAACCCTGTCTCTACTAAAAATACAAAAAAAAAAAAAAAATTAGCCGGGCGTGGTGGTGCATGCCCGTAATCCCAGCTACTCGGGAGGCTAAGGCAGGAGAATCGCTTGAACCTGGGAGGAGGAGGTTGCAGTGAGCTGAGAGCATGCCATTGCACTCCAGCCTGGGCAACAAGAGTGAAACTCCATCTCAAAAATACGTACGTACATACATACATACATACATATCTTTTATATATCACCAATGGACAGGCAGAGCAGTGACCTGTCTGGGAGTGGACTGGAGTCCTAGGACTGTCCCCTGAAACCAGTGGTGGCTTTGGGCCATGGTGACCCTCAAAATGAGAGGAATTCAAAAGGAGGGGTTCCCAGAAAATGGTGTACCTAATGGTTCTGCTGGAACACATAGGACAATCCTCATTTTTATTCCACGACAGAATGTAGTTAAGACTATGGAAAACAGCTTGTGATTTCTCCTTCAACCTCTGCTAATCACTAAGTGTGTTTACTGAGGTACAAAATAAGAAAGTAGTTCAAGGATCAAGAAAAAAGTACATCTGGAAATAAAGGAGAGTGTATTTTCATTTATTTTTGAGCATGAAAGAATCTGTAGAGCCAGGTACAGTGGCTCATGCCTGTAATCCCAGCACTTGGGAGACCAAGGCAGGAGGGTCACTTGAGCCCAGGAGTTTGAAACCTGCCTGAGCAACAAAGTGAGACCCCCATCTCTACAAAAAAAATTGTAAAAATTAGCCAGGTGTTGTGGCATGCACCTGTAGTCCCAGCTACTCAGGAGGCTGAGGTGGGAGGATCACTTGAGCCCAGAGGTCGAGGCTGCAGTGAGCTATGATCATGTCACTACACTCCAGCCTGGGCAACAAAGTGAGACCTTGTCTCTAATAAAAATTTTAAAATTTACAAATGATCTATAAATATAATGCCTATATGCCCCCTCTACTCTCTCCAAAGTTATCCAGAAAGCACATGGTTAGTCTAACTCCACATAATAATCTCCCCAAAACTCTATCTTCCTTCTTCAAGTTATATATCATGGCAAATAATTAGCAACATTTGACTAACATACATTTTATAATCTTTCTTCTATATAATATCTTGCCCAAATACTGCCACCACTGTAAATGGTAAAGAATCCTATGCCTAGGATCTTCAGCATTATGAGGACTAAAAGAACTAAAAACACACTCTAGGTAAGCCTTGAGGTCACACCTACTAATAAAATAAGTGCACTTACTACTGTTACCATTATTATCAACATATCACACAATAGCTTATCTTTTGCACATTCCCCAACTTAAAAATCATTTCATGTAAAATGACATCTGAATCTTACCCAATCTATAAAAACAAGCTCAGGAAAGTGAATTGCCTTGCTGCCAATCCCCCATAGGAAGTGAGGAATAGGGACTAGAATCCAAGCTTCCTGGCTCCAGCTCCAGGCAGAAGGAGTTTCAGATGTCTCATGAGACCTCTCAAGAAAGCTAAAGCTGTCAATAATGAGTTACTATTAGGAGGCTCAGAACCACTTTAATTCAAGATTACAGCAAAGTGCAGGGTGATGCACATTCAGGGATAAGGAATAAAATCAACCACTAGCCCTACACACGTCCTGGTAATTCAGCACTATTAGGTTTATTATCTTCCTGAAACTGGAGGTGGGAAACTGGTTTGGGTCAGAAATAACTCACTAAAATAGCCTAGCACATTACCAATAAGAACCAACATATTTACCATTCGTCAGGATTATTAATTTATTTACCCTCCTTCCCTGCAGAGCCAGCTACCCTATTTTACCGAACGAAACCAAAAAAGAGAAAAACTAAGTGATTTGATCAAGGCCACAAAAGTAAGCTCAGAGTCAGGACTTGAACCCAAGCCCTCTAACTCTAAAGTCTGAACTCTCACACCAAGCTATTCTATATCTCAGCAGAGCTCCTCACAATCAGAGCACTAAATAGTTCGGCTCCACCATGACAAAGGGCAAGCAGGAAAGCTTCTTTCTTTTTCCAAAACTTCCTTTTAAAAAACTCTTTGCCGGGCATGGTGGCTCATGCCTGTAATCCCAGCACTTTGGGAGGTCGAGGCAGGTGGATCACCAGAGGCCAGGAGTTAGAGGCCAGCCTGGCCAAAGTGGCGAGACCCCATCTCTACTAAAAATGCAGAAATTAGCCGGGCAATGTGGCGTACACCTGTAATCCCAGCTACTCAGGAGGCTGAGGCAGGAGAATCACTTGAACCCAGGAGGTGGAGGTTCCAATGAGCCAAGATTGTGCCATTGCACTCCTGCCTGGGTGACAGAGTGAGGCTCTGTCTCAAAAACAAACAAACAGACAAACAAACAAACAAAAAACCTCTTTATTTATCCAAGTACTTCGGGAGGTCAAGGTGGGAGGACCGCTTAAGCCTGGGAGATTGAGACCAGCCTGGACAACATGGCAAAATCCTGTCTCTACAAAAATTACCTGGGTGTGGTGGCATGCGCCTGTGGTCTCAGCCACTTGGGAGGCTGAGGTGGAAGGATTGCTTGAGCCTGGGAGGTCGAGGCTGCAGTGAGCCAAGATTGCACAACTGCACTCCAGCCTGGGTGAAATAGTGAGACTCTGACTCCAAAAAAAAAAAAAAAATCCTCTTTATTTAGTATGACATTCAAAATCCTGGCATTCGGGTGTATGCCTCAAATACCACGGAAAGATGCTATCAACCTGAAGCAGTACTAGGAAAACAGAACGAAGTGTGAGGAAAACTGAGTAGCATGAAAAGGCAGAGTGTGCTGTCCACAGGGAGAGGATGCACACTGGCAGGTCGAAGATTCTGCATTAGAGGACAAATGACAAGGAGATTGTTGAAGTGCAAAGAAAAACACGGAGTATATCTCTTAGAACTCACAGTACCTTTTTTTTTCCAAATAAAATATATGTATGTATCAACATTTTTTTTTTTTGAGACAGGGTCTCGCTCTGTCCCCCAGGCTGGAGTGCAGTGGCGCCATCTCAGCTTACCGCAAGCAAGCTCTGCCTCCCGGGTTCACGCCATTCTCCTGCCTCAGCCTCCCAGGTAGCTGGGACCACAGGCGCCCGCCACCACGCCCGGCTAATTTTTTTGTATTTTTAGTAGAGACGGGGTTTCACCGTGTTAGCCAGGATGGTCTTGATCTCCTGACCTCGTGATCTGCCCACCTCGGCCTCCCAAAGTGCTGGGATTACAGGCGTGAGCCACCGTGCCCAGGCTCAACAACATTTTAAACTTCTTTGGTCAGAAATCTTTATTTTTAAAAAATGCAGAGGTGTTTTTTAAGCTTCTATGAACCTTCATAACTAACATAAGTGATCGGTTGAGTCTCTTTTAGTTAATTCTTCTGGGAAAAAGAGGTGTGGGTAGCATGGGAATTCACAGCTCTTATATTTCAATAAAATGAAAGTGCAAAAGTCATTAATCGATGTCTTACCAAACCAGACATTTTACATACATAATAATAACAATAATAGCTGCCACTTATTAAGCACTTGCTGTAATACCAGACATGATTGAAACTGCCTTTGCAAAGATTATGATAATGGGAAAAGTCTAGCATGGCTGACTCCATCTTGCTTCTAGCCCCACAAGCTGGCTGTCCTCACTCATTCCTGGGCATAGGGCAAACTAACCATAGGAAGAATTTAGTTTACAGTTTAACTTTGAAGCAAGGATGATAACAGTCCCTCCCTAAAACTAACCCCCTCCTTGCTCAGGAACTGAAACCACCTTTGTAAAACTAATGAAAGCCCCCAAGGGTTTATGGGAGGGGCCTGAGTTCTGCTAAAATGTAGGCATAGCATGCCTTGCTATAATCCTTTACTGTGCTGGAGGTCACAAGATCTGAGACTTCCCCAAATGCTCCTATAGATAACATCATTAATGTAGAACCTAAGATTGATATTTTGAGATGCTTTTTCAGACTCCTGCCTTCTGGCTACTGACCAATTCCACCCAAACCTATGACTCAGGACTCCACCCAGAGGAGTACTCCATGTTTTTCCACACCCCTATGATTGCATCCCCGACAAAACAACAGCACCCATTCCCTAATGTCCCCATGTCCACCAAACTATTCCTGAAAAATCCTAACCTCTGAGCCTTCATGGAAGTGAATTTGAATAATAAATCCCGTCTTCCTGTTCAGCTGCCTTGCAATAATTAAATTATTTCTCTACTGCAATAACGTGTCTCAGTGAATTGGGTTTATCTGTGCAGTGGGCAAGAAGAACTTGTCTGGCAATTACACTAAAGTGCTTTACTATATTATCTCATTTGACACTACCAACAACATGGAAGCTAGATGCACTGATTTGCCCCATTTTCTTTTCTTTCTTTTTTTTTTTTTTTTTTGAGACACAGTCTCACTCTGTTGCCCAGACTGAAGTGCAGTGATGTGCTCTCTGCTCACTGCAACCTCCGCCTCCCAGGTTCGAGTGATTCTCCTGCCGGCGTAGGCCACCACACTGGCTAATTTTTATATTTTTAGTAGACACGGGATTTCTCTACCATGTTGGCCAGCCTGGTCTCAAACTTCTGACCTCGAGTAATTGGCCCACCTTGGCCTCCCAAAGTGCTAGGATTACAGGCGTGAACCACCACGCCCAGCTGCCCCATTTTTTATAAGAGGAAATTGAATAACTTATCCAAATTCACATGGCTAGCAGATGGTAGAGCCAGGATTTGAATCAAGCACTTTGGCGTTAAGACCTGAATTTTTAACCTGTGTATGAGATGTCTTTTAATTTAAGCCTCTTCACAATCCTGTGTCCTGTGAGACTTTTTTTTATGGCTGAAAAACTAAGTGGCTCAAATAGGTTAAGCAACAGAAACAGAGATTGGTTGCAAATTCAGGTTAGCCTGTCTCCAAAACTCCTCTTCCCTCTACCACAGTTTCCCGAAAAAGAAAAGAGGTACCAATGATGAATACAAGAGACAGGCCTGGGAAACTCCACCGATGCAACCCAAATGTCATCTTGCCCCGTCAAAATCCAGGAAATAGTGTCTATAAACCCCCTTCTGCATTTTGGGAGAAGTCCTACACAGGATCCAGAAGCCAATGGTTCCCAGGCATGGCCGAGGTTGCTGTTTTCTCCTTACCATCTCTGCTTCACTTTCCCACGCCTGCAAAATCCCAGTTTCACTCTTCCTGGGGACACAGGTGTGGAATTCAGCCCTGTTCTCACGATTTCCACAAAACAGTGACATGATAAATACAGTGTGTGTGTATGATACACTTGCCTAAGACTTGGTGGCATAAAGGGTCTACATGACTGTATCAAATCAAGCAAATCAGAATGGAATAATGGAAAGATTCCTTGACCTTTTCTTCTCTGCAGGCTCATCTCATCTCTCTCTTCTTTCCCCTGGTCTCTCCTCCTTGAGCCCTCCATCTCCAGAGCAAGAATGCTCTTCCTCTTTTCCAGGGGGCGCAATTCAGTCACTCACCCTGCCCATTTAAGACCCTGCCCCGAAGCTTACAATTTCATATCCAGAAGCCTTAGGCATTTTGCTTTCCACAGTAGCCCTCTTTCGCAAAGGAAGCGTGATTCTGGTTTTTACAGTACCAATTTTCTCCTTGCTATAAATCATACCACGTATCTTTATAATCAGGAAAACTAAAGGGGAAGGAGTGGTATTTAAAGGTTCAAGACTACAAATATTAAATGCCATGAAAACCTCAGTATACTAAACTTTTTTAAAAGTTTACGTTGGGAGGCCGAGGCGGACGGATCACAAGGTCAAGAGTTCGAGATCAGCCTGGCCAACATGGTGAAACCCTGTCTCTACTAAAAATACAAAAAAAAAAAAAAAAAAAAAAAAATTAGTCGGGTGTGGTGACGCATGCCTGTAATCCCAGCTACTCGGGAGGCTGAGGCAGGAGAATTGCTTAAACCCAGGAGGTGGAGGTTGCGGTGAGCCAAGATCATGCCATTGCACTCTTGCCTGGGCGACAGAGCAAGACTCTGTCTTGGTGGGAAAAAAAATAAAAAGTTTATAAGGGCCAGGCGTGGTGGCTCCCATCTGTAATTTGAGCAATTTGGGAGGCCGAGGCAGGTGAATCACTTGAGCACAGAAGTTAGAGACGAGCCTGGACACCATGGCAAAACCCTGTCTCTACAAAAAATACAGAAATTATTTAGCCAGGCATGGTGATGCATGCCTGTCGTCCCAGCTACTCAGTAGGCTGAAGTGTGAGGTTCAGCTGAAGCCAGGGAGGTCAAGGCTGCAGTGAGCTGTGATCATGCCACTGCACTCCAGCTTGGGTGACAGAGTGAGATCCTATCTCAAAAATAAATAAATAAGTAAAAATTTCAAACAAAAAGTTTATAATACCTAATTTATAATATTAAATTAAATACCCACTTTACTTCTACTTTTAAAAGTTGAACACACATACTGTACAACTTTTGCTGCTTCTGGTCTGCTTCCATGTCCCTGCAGTCTCAGGGACAAGCCAGGAAGAAAGGTCTCTCACTGGGCAAGAACTTGGCAGCCGCATGGCTCCTAAGGCCTGCCAGTTCCCAGTGAAGCTGTTTCCTGGAAAGCTGCCTGGAGGCGTGGGCACCCCTATGTGCCATGTCTGTTATTGCAGTGTCACCCATTATTTCTGTACCTACTTACCTAGAGACTTATTGACATTTCTGGACTTCTTCCACATAAAAAGGAACTATAATATGTCAGCTGAATGCTGCTGCATAGATGGCTTTTTAAAAAGATTGTTCCATTTCACTATGATTTTCAAACATAGACTTTCTCCAGGAAAATCAGCTGATGCTGTCATTCTCAGTCAAATGTGCAAGGAGCTTTGTCTTAACTCTATGTTAGCAGAGACTGTCTTGGTAGTGCCTTTCTACCCTTTGAGAAGAGGGTAGAAAACAATGGCACATCAGGTAGCCCTCAAAGCAGTCACTCAGAATGGAAGGGGCACAGATTTTAGAGTAAAACAGAAACAGACGGGAAACTTGTCCTGGTTCTACCCCAAAGCAGCTTTGTGGACTTGGGCAAATCATACAACCTTCTGAGTCTCAGTTTTCTTCTGTGAAAATGGAGATAATATCTACCCTGCTGATATGAAGATAGGAGAGATGTAAATCCAAGTACCCAGCGTATGCCAATCACATGGTGGGAAGAGGCAATAATTTGTAGCTGTGATTGCTATCCACTAATTACTAAAATTGACATCTATTTGTTAAGTATTTATTGAGACTCTATTGTATGCCAGACCCTGGACTAGATGCTAGGATAAGTGGGATAAGGTTAGATACAGGCCCTAGCTTATAGAACTTTGAACTTTGATTCTAGGGAGAAAAAATAGGCCTTAAGGATATAATGATCACTGCTCTGCCCATGGAGCAGCCATTCTTTTATTCCTTTACTTTCCTAATAAGCTTGCTTAAAATATATATATATATATTTTTTAAGCAAGCTTATTTTACATATATATATATATATAAAATGACACATCTAATTTTTTAAGTAATTAATTAAAACAGTTTACTTCAAACACAATGCCATCCTGAGCTTTTTCTGAGAGGTGGCAGCAGAGTGAACATGACTGAAAAGCACATGCTAATGGCTTTTTTCATTGCTAGGTGTTTTGCCATTATTCTCCTGAATGATACAGAAGTCAAGCTGTCTTTTCTCCTCCTGATTCTTCATCTTCACACTTCCTTTGAGGAATGTTGAACATACTGGTACAAAAGAGCCTTCCTACTTCTTCCTCAATCTCTGTCAAGTGTTGACTTTGGAAAACAATCCAAGGCATGTATGTACAGAAAGTAAAAGGACTCAAAAGAGTTTCCAGTCTTTCTGTGTATCTGACATTTTCTCCTTTCCACAGCACATGTAATGCTTTTTGAACATGCCCAATACTTCTGTGCCAAGTATTACTGTGCTCTTCTAACTTACTTAAAATGAATTTCATCTCTTTTTTTCTCTACTAGGCCCATTGACTGGTTTATTATAAAGGATATTACAAGGGAGGCCAGGTGTGGTGGCTCACACCTGTAATCCCAGCACTTTGGGAGGCTGAGGTGGGTGGATCATTTGAGGTCAGGAGTTCGAGACCAGCCTGGACAACATGGTGAAACCTTGTCTCTACTAACAATACAAAAAACACAGGTGCACTACTGTAATCCCAACTACACGGGAGGCTGAGGCACAAGAATCACTTGACCCCGGGAGGTGGGAGCTGCAGTGAGCTGAGATCACACCACTGTGCTCAAGCCTAGGTAACAGAGTGAGACCCTGTCTCAGAAAAAAAAAAAAAAAAAAAGGATATTACAAAGGATACAGATGAAGAGATGCATAAGGAGAGGTATGAGGGAAGGGGCATGGAGCTTCCATGCACTACCTGGGGCACCAGCCTTCAGGAACCTCCACATGTTCAGCTGCTGGGAATCTCCTAATTTATTTATTTATTTACTTTTGAGATGGAGTTTCTCTCTTGTTGCCCAAGCTGGAGTGCAATGGTGCGGTCTTGGCTCACCGCAACCTCTGCCTCCTGGGTTTAAGCAATTCTCCTGCCTCAGCCTCCAAAGTAGCTGGGGTTACAGGCACCTGCCACCATGCCCAGTTAATTTTTATATTTTAGTAGAGACGAGGTTTCACCAGCTAGGTTTGGCCAGACTAGTCTCGAACTCCTGACCTCAGGTGATCTGCCCCTTGGCCTCCCAAAGTGCTGGGATTACAGGCATGAGCCACTGCGCCCAGCTTCTAATTTATTAATTACAATTGTGACAAGTGCTGCGAAAGAAAAATGGGATACCATGATACTACTAAACAGAGATAGACTAGCTAGACTTGATTTCCTAAGCGGGAGAGAAGGGTAATGGGGTCATGAAGCCACCATGAGCACGCCTCGTTGAAGCTGAGGCCAACAGCCTTGGAGTGAAATGGAGAGAGGTGGGAGGTGACAGTGGGCAGGTGCCAGGAGAGCTTCACGGCTGAGAACTTGGATGAGGGCCAGTGTGGCGAGAGTTGAACAAGCAATAGGGAGAGAGCCCAAGGTGAGGCTGGAGGACACAGGACTTGCAGGCTCCCAGATTTTATTTTTAAGGAGAATGGGAAACCATTAAGAAATATTAGCAGAAGGCTGGGTGTGGTGGCTCACATCTGTAATCCCAGCACTTTGGGAGGCCGAGGCAGGTGGGTCACCTGAGGTCAGGTGATCCAGACGAGCCTGACAAATATGGTGAAACCCCGTCTCTACTAAAAATACAAAAATTAGCTGGGCGTGGTGGTGTGCACCTGTAGTCCCAGCTACTCGGGAGGCTGAGGCAGGAGAATCGCTTGAACCTGGGAGGTGGAAGTTGCAGTGAGCCGAGATCGTGCCACTGCACTCCAGCCTGGGCAACAGAGTGAGACTCGGTCTCAAAAAAAAAAAAAAAAAATAGAAAAGAAAAGAAAAAGAAGTATTAGCAGAGGAGAGTGGTGCCCCAGCTTTTGTAGTAAATGTGTCACTCCTGATGCTCTGAGGATGAGACACTGGAAGGGTACCCAAGAAGAAACCTACAGCGACAATTCTGAGGCTGTCATTGTGATTCAGGCAAGTGGGCTGGGTGCAGTGGCTCATGCCTGTAATCCCACCACTTTGGGAGGCCAAGGTGAGAGGATCACTTAAGCCCAGAAATTTGAGACTGGCCCGGGCAGCACAATGAGAAACTGTCTCTACAAAAATACAAAAACTGGCCAGGAGTGGTGGCACACACCTGTAGTCCCAGCTGAGGCTGAAGTGAGAGGATCACTTGAGCCCGGGAGGTCGAGGCTGCAGTAATCCATGATTGTGCTACTGTACTCCAGCCTGGGCAACAGAGCGAGGCCCTGAAAATAATAATAATAAATCAGGCAAGAGACAGTGGTATCTGAGACTAGGAATACGTTGAAATGGACACATGGCTCTATGCTATCTCCTGTTACAATGCTTCTCAAACTTGCCTGATAATAAGAATCTATGAAACATGTTAAAAATATTGGTTACCAGTACTCCACTCTGGAGATTCAGTTTTAGTGGGTCCAGGATGGGACTGGGGATTTGTGCTTTCCACAAGCTTCCTGGGTGATTCTTGTTATTTGGCAAGTTTGTCTAGTGCTAACCTGTCATGTACACTGAGAAATACACTTTCCTTTTCCTTGCAAAATAAATCCATACTTTTAGAAATTGTGCTTTTCATGGCCCTAACCAAGCCAGGTTGCAAGTGTAAACTTTTAGTTCACATTATGCCTTCTCTATTTAGAACTAAAAGCACTTCAGCTATCATATTTCCAATGTTCAGATCACCTAGATCCATGTTTTTTGAAATGTGTCCTTGAAATATGAATTTTTCAGAGTATTAATGGAGGTACGGCTGTCAAGATAGGCATGAAGCAGATACTTCGTGTCTGCCAAAACTGTGTGGAGCAGCCAGAATGAAGAGTTATAGAATAAAGCAACTGTCTTTTTCTACATTCTGTGAAAGTCCTGCAGAGCTGAATGGCACCTCCCCAGTTCACCATAAGGATACAGTACTTCTCTGCCAAGTCGTCAGATTTGGGACTTTGTTACTCACCTCCCAAACTCTGCCAGTTGTTCCAAAAGAAAATATCGAGACCTTAAGTGGATAGTGTCCTCAGAAAATTCTTATGTATTATCCAGTTGGAAGAAGAAAACTTTTTGCAGTAAACTCTCCTGTTATCTTTTCTGTCTGTTCACCCACAGAGAGGTAGCATAGCATAGTAGTTAAGAGAACGAGCATAAGAATCAGACTCCCAGTGTTCACATCCTGGCTCTTTTACTTTCTAATGGCAGAAGTACTTAATCTCTATGTTCTTCAGTTTTCTCATCTGAAAAAGGTAACAGTAATAGTATATTAATTTGTTAGGGCTGCCGTAACAAAATACTACAGGCTGGGGGGCTTAAACAACAGAAATGTATTGACACAGTTCTGAAGTCTAGACGTTCAAGACCAAGATATTGGCAGGTCTGGTTTCTTCTGAGACCTCTCCCCTTGCCTTATAGATGGCTGCTGTCTTTCAGTGTCTTCAAATGGTCTTTTTCTCTGTGTATATCTGTGTCTTAATCTTTTTTTTCATTTCTTTTTTTTTTTTTTTGAGATGGAATTTCGCTCTTGTTGCCCAGGCTGGAGTGCAATGGCGCGATCTTGGCTCACCGCAACCTCCGCCTCCTGGGTTCAAGCAATTCTCCTGCCTCAGCCTCCCGAGTAGCTGGGATTACAGGCGTGAGCCACCACACCTGGGCAATCTCTTTTTTCTTATAAGGACACTAGTCATAGGGGATTAGGGTCCCTCACCAGTGACCTCATTTTACCTCATTAAAGTCTCTGTCCCCAGTAGAGTCATGTTCTGAGGTATTGGGGGTGTAGACTTCAACACAGAATTTTGGGGGGGACACTAGTCAGGCCATAAGAAATGGTATCCATCCAACAAGGTTATCTCAAGAATTAAAAGACATACTGCATGTGCCTGACATATAGTAAGTGCCCAATAAATGCTGTCTATTGGATGGGCGCAGTGGCTCACACCTGTAATCCCAGCACTTTGAGAGGCCGAGGCAGGTGGATCGCTTAAGAAAATTGCTTGAGCTCAAAAGTTTGAGACCAACCTGGGCAACATGGTGAAACCCTGTCTCTACAAAAAAATACAAAAGTTAGTTGGGTGTGGTGGTGCATACCAGTAGTCCCAGCTATTTGGGGGACTGAGATGGGAGGATTGCTTGAGCCCAAGCAGCGGAGGCTGCAGTGAGCTGAGATTGTCCCACTGCACTCCAGGCTGGGTGGCAGAGCCTGGCTCTGTCTCATAAAAGAAAAAGAAAAGAAAAGAAAAAGAAAATGCTCTCTATTGTTATCCACTCATTCATACTGAGCACCTGTTATGTGTGAGGTACTGT
This sequence comes from Homo sapiens, assembly GCF_000001405.40. Lineage (NCBI taxonomy): Eukaryota > Metazoa > Chordata > Mammalia > Primates > Hominidae > Homo > Homo sapiens. Next base: position 108,769,662 of record NC_000004.12, on the reverse strand, counting down.
GCTTAAAGTGCTGGGGGTGCAGTGAAGAAAAAGCTTCTAACGTCTCTGCCCCTGGGAAGTTCATGTTCTAGTGGGGCAGGCAAAACAGGTAAACAGAAATGGACACAGTGAGAAGTGCTATGAGGAGACTAAAACATAGTAATAGGATAGAGCGGTAATGTAACAGGGCAGAGAGGGGCATACTTTGTCTCTAAAGAACCAGATAGCAAATATTTTCAGCTTTGTAGGCCACAACTACTCAACTCTACTGTTCTAAAGCAAAAGCAGTCATACACAATACATAAGCAAATGACCATGGCTATGTTCCAATAAAACTTTATTCATGGACACAGATTTAAATTTCTGTTTTCTTTCTTTCCTTTTTTTTTTTTTTTAAAGACAGAGTCTCTCGCCGTCACCCATGTTGGAGTGGAGGGGCACAATTTCAGCTCACTGCAACCTCCACCTCTTGGGTTCAAGCTATTCTCCTGCCTCAGCTTCCGGAGTAACTGGGAATACAGGCACATGGCACACCTGGCTAATTTTTTGTATTTTTAGTAGAGACAGAGTTTCACCAAGTTCACCAGGCTGGTCTAGAACTCCTGACCTCAGGTCATCCACCTGCCTCGGCCTCCCAAAGTGCTGGGATTACAGGTGTGAGCCACTACACCTGACCACACATTTAAATGTCATATAGTTTTCAAGTGTTATGAAATACCCTTCTTCTTTTGATTTAATTATTTAAACATATTAAAACTGTTCTTAGCTCATGGGTCACACAAAAACAGTCAGTGGGGCTGATTTGGTCCCTAGGTCTTAGTTTGCCAACCTTTGCTCTAGGAAGTTGACCCTGGCAGAGATGAAAAACTTTACCCACTTAGATTCAGTGCTGAGGCTTGTGAACTAAACTTGACAGAAGACAGACTGATGAAAGAAAAGACAAATTTTTATTCATGTGTGTATGTGGGAGCACAAAGAAAAGTGTGACTTAAAAGAACAGTTAGTGGCCAGGCACAGTGGCTCAAGCCTGTAATCCCAGCACTTTAGGAGGACAAGGCAGGCAGATCTCTCGAGGCCAGGAGTTCGAGACCAGCCTGGCCAACATGGTGAAACCTCGTCTCTATTAAAAATACAAAAAATTAGCCAGGCATGGTGGTGGGCATCTGTAATCCCAGCAACTTGGGAGGCTGAGGCAGGAGAATCACTTGAATCCAGGAGGTGGCGGTTGCAGTGACCTGAGACTGTGCCATTGCACTACAGCCTGGGCAACAAGAGCAAAAATCCATGTAAAAAAAAAAAAAAAAAAAAGAATTGGGAGCTTATAAACCATCTTAAGAGGAGAAAAGAAGGGAGAGGAAGAGAGGAAGAGCACTTACGAAAAAAACAAATGGGCCGGGCGCAGTGGCTCATGCCTGTAATCCCAGCACTTTGGGAGGCTAAGGCGGGCGGATCATCTGAGGTCAGGAGTTTGAGACCAGCCTGGCCAACATGGTGAAACCCCCGTCTCTACTAAAAATACAAAAAAATCAGCCAGGCATGGGGGCAGGCAGCTGTAATCCCAGCTACTTGGGAGGCTGAGGCAGGAGAATCGCTTGAACCCAGGAGGCAGAGGTTGCAGTGAGCTGAGATCACGCCACTGCACTCCAGCCTGGGTAACAAGAGTGAAACTCCATCTCAAAAAAAAAAAAACAAAAAGAAAAAAAGAGAAAAAAATGACATTTAGGAATAATAATGGGACATTTAGGAAGAATAAATGGGTCCTTAGGAAAATACTTGGGAGATAAGATAGCTTTGTGGCAATATCTGCTTAGGCGATCTCTTATCCTGAAGCTGGCTTCTTGGCTCTGGCGACAAGAGTCAATCTTCCCTCTTTGTGAAACTCCTAGGGAGGGGACTTAAGATGATTGAGTTCGTTTGGGAGACTCTGCTTTTAGGTAGATAAGGGAGTTGAGAAAACAAGCCTCTCTGTCATCTGTTGATTCTCAAATGCCTTCAGCTCAAATTAACTTTTATTCTACAGTGGCATATTCTGCTCCACTTCACCATTGGAGATAAACTCACGAGAAATAAACTGAAGCCATATTCTAGATCCCTGTCTCCATCTGGAGCACCATGAAGTACAAGTACCAGTCATCAGCTTCTTGAGTTTTGTATGTGGCTCCTAGGTTGGCTAGAGGTTTCAGTAAGAACTAAGATGAGCCTGGGGTATTTAAAATATAACCTTACTGCCCCCTCTCCAGAAGTCTCCTCCACCACACACAAACACAAGTCTGGAAGACTCCTCTGGACTTAGTTTGGAAGGGAACTTCAGGATGAAGGGAGTAGAGAAAAAGGTTTATACAATTTTAAAATTTAATTAATTTATTTAGAGAAAATAAAGATGGAATCTCACTATGTTGCCTGGGCTGGTCTCGAACTCCTGGGCTCAACCGATCCTCCCACCTCAGCCTCCCAAAGTGCTGGGATTAGAGGTGTGAGCCATTGTACCTAGCCAGTTTACACAATCTTGATGTGCCATTGATACACAGTAGAGGCACACATTCACACATATTGTTTTGTTTTGTTTGAGACACAGTCTCACTCTGTCACCCAGGCTGGAGTTCAGTGGTGTGATCTCAGATCACTGCAACCTCCACCTCCTGGGTTCAAGCAATTCTTCTGCCTCAGCCTCTCAAGTAGCTGGGACTACAGGTGCACGCCACCATGCCAGGCTAATTTTTGTATTTTTAGTAGAGATGGGGTTTCACCATGTTGGCCAGGCTGGTTTCAAACTCCTGACCCCAAGTTATCCACCCGCCTTGACCTCCCAAGGTGCTGGGATTATAGGCGTGAGCCACTGCACCCAGCCCACACATATTGTTTGGGGTCAAATGGCTTCTTTGAAGTGGTTTTGAACTCCCAGAGATGGACATCTGTTTTAACCTGTCAGCCTCCTTCTAATCTGAACTAGGAGCTGTGTGCACAGTTATATGCACACGTTGACAGCAGTGTAGACTTCTCAGGTGAAGTTTAGACACGTGAACTATATTGCTCATGCAAAGTTCTGTCTGGGGTCAAGGATGCCCTCTTTGGATACCGTGTGTCAGGTCAGAAAAGCACCACACCCAGCATTTGTCCCAGATGATGTATGATTTTCAGAAAATACAAATCCCTATGAAGGGTAGGGTAGATTAGGGCATGACAGGGTAACAGGAAAGAGTGAAAAGTTTCAAATGCCCATGTTCCATCTTGAGTAATGTCTAATAAGCTGAATAATCTCTGTTCTTGGGAACATACAGTTCACCCACCCATTTTTACAGGGTTTTTACCAAAAAGAAAATTAAAACTTGCCATTCAGACTCTTCTCATTGGACTATTGAATGGAATTCTTATTTTCCCAAGCTTGCGTGGGCTGTACCTCCTCATTTCAGTCATGCACAAGTATGGTTTGTTTGGCCAAGCCTAGGTTGTTGAGAAATCTATGACCTTCGGATCAGGACTCACTTAATAGAGTGAGCCAATCAATAATGTCAGGACCAAAACTGAAAGAACGTCAACTTCTTTTTTTCTTTTCTTTTCTTTTCTTTTTTTTTTTTTTTTTTTTGAGACAGAATCTTGCTCTGTTACCTAGGCTGGAGCTGGAGTGGCATGATCTCAGCTCATTGCAACCTGCACCTCCCAAGTTCAAGTGATTGTCTTGCCTCAGCCTCCTGAGTAGCTGGGACTACAGGCACATGCCATCACAGATGGCTAATTTTTTGCATTTTTAGTAGAGATGGGGTTTCACCATGTTGGCCAGGCTGGTCTTGAACTCCTGATCTCAAGAGATCTGCCCACTTCTGCCTCCCAAAGTGCTGGGATTGCAGGTGTGAGCCACCATGCCTGGCCCAAGTGTCAACTTCTGGAGAGAAAAGACACTACAGCATACATTCCTACCAAATAATTCTACATTTGAGAAGTACATGAGAAAATATACCCCAAAATACCTTGGGATTTGTTTTTTGATAAAGCTTTGTATAGTGTGGATGTCTGTCGACTTTCATCCATCCTTATTTTGATCCATTATGTGTCAGTTCTTTATTTAAAGACTGTCCTTGGTACTCAGTCAATGTTATATATTCTATCGTGAAAAAAGTTAAATAATGGGGAAATTATCTTTTATGTAACAGTGACTTGCTTTCCCATAAAAGATAATGAATCTAAGAAGCCTTCTCCTAAATAAATGGTTAAAACATAAGGTAGCACTCTTGGGAAAGAGTGAAGAGAAAAGAAGAGGGTTCAGGACTCTACCCTTATAAAGACCAAATCATGATCTCATTCAAGCCCTACTTGTAATGCTTTGAGTCAGAGAGTTTCTTCTTTTTATGAGACAGGGTCTCACTGTGTCATCCAGGCTAGAGTGCAGTGGCACAATCTTAGCTCACTGCAGACTCTTCCTCCTAGGCTCAAGGGATCCTCCCACCTCAGCCTGCCGAGTAACTGAGATTACAGGTACACGCCACCATCTCTGGCTCATTTTTAAATTTTTTGTACAGACAGAATTTCACCAGGTTGCCCAGGCTGGTCTCAAACTCCTGAGCTCAAGTGATGCACCTGCCTCAGCCTCCCAAAGTGTTGGGATTACAGCTGTGTAGCTCCCCACCAGCCACAGAGCTCAGTTTTCAATACAAAGAAATTGGGCCTCAGAAAGGTTAAGAAGCCCAGCTGGTTTATGGAAGAACCAGATCTAGAACCCAAGACTCTTAATCCAGAGTTTCTTAAGGCACTGGGAATATTAACAACAAGAATCCATAAAGTTTTATGAAGGAAGTGTGACTATGACTTCACCAGGTCAAGGTGGTTTGAGAGTAGATATACAGTTGGCAATATCTTTCAGGCACAGAACTAGACCAAGATTACATAACTGGGATTTCTTGCAAGTCTCCAAAGTGCTTCCTGCTCTTCATTTATAAAACACGGAATTCTTTTTTTTTTCTTTTTTTTGTGGAGGGGGATGGAGTCTCACTCTGTTGCCCAGGCTGGAGTGCAGTGGCATGATCTCAACCCACTGCAACCTCTGCCTCCCAGGTTCAAGCAATTCTCCCTGCCTCAGCCTCCTGGGTAGCTGGGATTACAGGTGCCCACCACCACGCCCAGCTAATTTTTGTATTTTTTTAGTAGAGATGGGGTTTTGCTATGTTGGCCAGGCTGGTCTGGAACTCCAGACCTCAGGTGATTCGCCCAGTTTGGACTCCCAAAATGTTGGGATTACAGGCGTGAGTCACGGCGCCTGGCCTAAAATCTGGAATTAACACACTGTTCCTCATAGGACTCCATTTCTCTTTCTACCTTAGGCAATCCAATTCTACTCCTCCTGCAGTGCATGAATATATATTAATAACTTTTTTCAAGAGAAAGATCAGTTGCAAATACTTATCAAATGTGTTGATACATGCAAATTAGGCTTTCCCTGCTGCCCTTTCAAAACACAGAGAGAATAAAATGACCTATCCTTAACCCAATGACTAAGTGTTTGTGTGAACTTGAATAAACCTTCACCTTTCCTGTGCCTCACTGTTCTTATCTACAGAGCAGAGAAGTTAAACCAGATGACTTCTAGTTAAAATAATGTATGATTTAATGATTCAGTTAATTAAGATTCTATTGGGAGGCCGAGGCGGGGGGATCACGAGGTCAGGAGATCGAGACTATCCTGGCTAACATGGTGAAACCCCATCTCTACTAAAAATACAAAAATTAGCCGGGCGTAGTGACGGGCGCCTGTAGTCCCAGCTACTCGGGAGGCTGAGGCAGGAGAATGGCGTGAACCCGGGAGGCGGAGCTTGCAGTGAGCCGAGATTGCGCCACTGCACTCCAGCCTGGGTGACAGAGCCAGACTCCATCCTCAAAAAAAAAAAAAAAAAAAAAAAAAAAAAAAAAGTTTCTACCTGTGCACATATTTAGCTTCAGATATGATCTGTGTGAGAAGACCATCTTGAAGGAAGTCAAGAAATCTAAGAATGAGTCCCGTTTTCAGCATCAAGTGGATATATAATCATTAGAACAGGGAATAACCTCACTTTCCCCGTTCATTAAATGGGGTAACACTCGTGGTCATCTCTCAGGGTTGTTTTGAAGACTGAACAAGATAAGTCATGTGAATGTGTTTTGTAAGTTGTATAGTTAGAGGAATTAGAAGTGTAATCATTGTTAAAGGAGATGTTTGAAACACTGCATATATCATCACTGCCAATGGAGATAACAGGCTGAGTCCGGGTTATTTCTCGTTAGGACGCGTCCTTGTGCTGAGTAAATGGTAGGTTACCTTATCAGACTGCGCAGTGAGTCTTGATCCGGGAAGCGCCTAACTCCTGAATTTTTACCAGAAAATAAAGGACTACACTAAAAAGAAACCAGAAAGAACGTGGGAAGGAGGGAATTCGCAGGCAGAGGAGGAGGAAAAGCAAAGACGAGGCAAAGTTAGGAGAATGAAAGGCGAATTCAGAGGAATGATAGGGGCGGGTAGGGCCGAGCCGGCCTGGCAGGACAGGGTGGTGGCGAATGAGCTGCTAGCCCGGCGACCTGCCCGCGGCCCCGGCGGGGGAGGAGGAGGGGCTTGGCAAAGGGCAACGCCAGAGCCAGACTTAAAAGGGAGATGATCCTAGCTAGTTGACGCCACCGGTGACCTCCGACGCCCCGGGCAAGAGAACGCCAGGAGGGATAACGGGAGGAAGGCCGGCCGGGGCCGCCAAGGCAGTCCCAGGCTCGCGTAGGAGGCGCGCAGACCTTGCACCTTGCACCTTCGCAGCGCCCTGCACCCCGCCACCATGTGCGAGCTGTACAGTAAGCGGGACACTCTGGGGCTGAGGAAGAAGCACATCGGGTAAGGGCACCCTGGCCCGGAAGTAAGTGCAGAGAGGGGGCAATAACGAGTGCAGAAGGTGGAGAGAGAAAGCCGGCTAGGGAACAAACGATGCGCTGCAGCCGCACTCCGTGCCCGCCGCGCCTGTGCACGCGCCCCGCGCGCCTCCACCTGCAGGGGCCGCGCGGACTCCCAGAAACGCTCCTGGAACCCGGAACGCTGGGCTTCCTGCCCGCTCGAAAGTCCCCGGCTCGCTCTGCAGCCGGCGGACTAGCGGGGGCTGCCGGCCGGCTAGAGGGGTTGGTGGATGACGGCCAATAGCCCTAGCAGACACCATTCCAGGGATGGGAGATGGGTGGAAGAAGGATAGCGCTCCGCCACCCCCACACAACTCGAAAGTTTTTGGAAACTGTGAACTGAGAAATATTTTTTCATGATGGCTCCGCAAACAAACCAATTCTGACAATTTTTACTTAAAGTGAGCTTTTTCTTCTTGCATGCTTGGTTAAGTGATGAAGGGTTTATCTAGCCAATAGAAAAACTTGAAACCACCTTCTGTTAGAAAAGCAGAGACTTTATTTAGATCCCTCTTACCCAACTTGCTCTCCCAAGCTGTGTTCTTCCCAGCCTGCTTGTCTTGCCCCCGTCACAAACGACTTAGTAATATAAAGGTGAGTATATAAGACCGACAGGGGCTCTAGCTCTCGTTGGATGTCATATTCCCTGTGTGGACCTCTGTCAAATTAATTGTCTCTTCTATGAAAGTAGGAATAACATTCTACTTCACAGGAGCAAGAAGATGAGATTAATATGTTAGTGTTTTGTGCGTGGTTTTTAAAAAGATACGTGTAAATATAAATGATGATTAATGACCCCGAATACTGTAAAGTCAACCGTCTGCAATATTCACTTGAAATGAACGACTGCAGCCGGGCCAGTGGGCATGAGAGAGCACTTGGGGTTACAAGGAAGAAAACAATCCGCATCCTCTTCGGAGGAATGCTGGACAGTTTCTCAGACTGAAGCTCCTCACCCCAACTGGAGGGGTTTCTGGGTGGTTTGGAAGACTAGTTCCATCTCTCTCAGCCGCTAAGTGGGATCAAAATAATCCAGTTCTTTCCCCATTAATCAATCACTACCCTACTTTTTCTAATCACTCACTGCGTTAGTTTTCAATCTTAGTTAGATTCCGGTAAATGCCTAATGGTTTCTGACATGAGCAGAACAAATTTTCTAAAAGCACGAGTGTAGCCATGGGCTGACTGGATAAAGGAGAATTTTACCTGAAGTCTGACGGGCAAGGTGGAAAGTGTATTAAAAAGGCAATGTGAAGTCTGCAGCTTTCAGCTCACATCCTTAACAAAGTTTTTTTTTGGATTTTAACTTGTAGGTATAAACTAACAGCTGAGTTTGAACCAATAAGAAATTCTTATAAAATACTATTTTCATTTCAGCTGATGATGCTTAAAAAAAATCAATATATAACACAACCTTATGCAATTTTAAAATTTGAGGTTACCTACTGTTTGTAATAATCAAAATTCCTTCTAAACAGTTACATATCAATTTAGTATATTTCTACTACTAGAACTACCTCCAATGTGTGTGAGGGTTTTTTTGTATGTATGCAAAATCACCAAAATAAATAAATATATTTAACTTTAGTTCTTAAATGTTCATAAAGCCAAGATTAGAAGCCTTTGTGAAATTTCTATGTGCTAAAATGTATAATCCAGCCATTCATCCAAATAAAAGTATGGATGACCTTATTATGCTCAAAAAACATATTAAATGCTTAGAAGAATAATTGAATTTCACTATTTAATAATGGAAAATCCATTTGATACTGGACAAGTACCACTCAAAATACATGAAAATGAAAATAATCTATAAAACTTCCTGCGTAGTATTTAACTCTAGGTTATTTGCATTTAGCTTTCAGTGCTATTCATGTCTTTATACATTAGATTGAAGGGGAAACAGAGATGTCTACCTTGGGCTACAGCACAACACAGCCTACTTGCAAATTCTGGTTTTCTCATTTACTGTCTGTGTAGCCTTAAACCAGTTACTTAATTTCTCTGTGCCTTGGTCTCCTCACCTATAAGAGTGAGAAAGATAATAACCTCTCTTTCATAGGATTGTTGACAGGATTAAATAATATTTACAAAATATATAACAGCTTCTGACACATTAAGCCCCCCAAAAAAACTTGGTTATTTTTTTTCTGATAGAACAAAATTTCTCAAAGGAAAATTAGTTATTGGTCTGTGTGATTAGAACCATCAGAGAGTGGATTCCTGTGCCTCTAATAAATTGTCAAATCATGGCATATTTAATATAACAAGCATAAGGAATGTGAACAATGTCATGAATGGGGGATTAACATAAAAGTTTCCAGGTTTACATGAAATGAAAAGAAATGTATGTCATCCAGGTTGTGTTTTCCCTTTCCTTTATGTAACTGTACTTTTCCACTGATGGGGACCTTCATTGAGAAGGAAAAATACTGAGAGTAGTCCTACCAGACCAAAGTGTTTCCTTTGATTATTTCTAGGCCCTCATGCAAAGTTTTCTTTGCATCGGATCCCATCAAAATAGTGAGAGCCCAGAGGCAGTACATGTTTGATGAGAACGGTGAACAGTACTTGGACTGCATCAACAATGTTGCCCATGGTAAATGTCCTGTCCTTGCAGTGCTTTGGAGGAAATGTTCATGGAGTAAAGCTGACTTGGAACACTTAATTTTTGTTTGGGGAATTGCAGTGGCTGCAGTTCCTTTGCTGAGTGGGCCAGTAGTCCTAGTGGGGAAAATCGCAGCAAAATATGGAAGAGAAAGGAACTCAACTTTTGTTTGTTTGTTTGTTTGCTTGCTTGCTTGCTTCATAATTCCTCTTATTCCCAGGCACTTAGAATTCTAACTTATTTCTTGGGCTTTTGTTTCATAAATTTTAGTGGGACACTGTCACCCAGGAGTGGTCAAAGCTGCCCTGAAACAGATGGAACTGCTAAATACAAATTCTCGATTCCTCCACGACAACATTGTTGAGTATGCCAAACGCCTTTCAGCAACTCTGCCGGAGAAACTCTCTGTTTGTTATTTTACAAATTCAGGGTATGCTTCATGGTTTCCCACCCCTCCCCATTCCCACTAAACTTTGTCTACTCTTGCACACAAATCTTTCCTTTTGATTCATGGTGGAGCTTGTCCAAAAGGGTTTGCTGAGTTTCTTGCCATTCACTAAGTGATCACACATTAGGGACCTAGCCTTTCTGGTTCTCCCACTTTATTCTACGACTGTGAATCTAACTGATCAAATGATGCTCACCTCCTCAGGCAGTGCAATAAGTAGCTGAAGGATTGATAGGCCAAGATATTCTTTCAATGAGTGTATGAGTAACTTTAGCCAAGAAATAACTCTAGTAAACAAGCTAAAACTTTTTTTTTTTTTTTTTTTTTTTTGAGATGGAGCCTTGCTCTGTCGCTCAGGCTGGAGTGCAGTGGTGTGATCTCAGGTCACTGCAAGCTCCGCTTCCCAGGTTCACGCTATTCTCCTGCCTCAGCCTCCCAAGTAGCTGGGATTACAGGCACCCGCCACAACGCCCAGCTAATTTTTTGTGATCCACCCACCTCAGCCTCCCAAAGTGCTGGGATTACAGGCGTGAGCCACTGCGCCTGGCAACAAGCTAGACTTTTTAAAGATTTTTGATTGTTGAAAATTGAGCATATTTCCCCAATACAAACATAAGAAAAGAAAAAAGAAGGAAACTCAAATAGATACATTTCAACTTTCATTTATTTATTTATTTTTTTGAGATGGAGTTTCGCTCTTGTTCCCCAGGCTGCAGTGTAATGGCACTATCTCTGCTCACTGCAACCTCCACCTCCCGGGTTTGAGTGATTCTCCTGCCTCAGCCTCCTGAGTAGCTGGGATTACAAGCATGCGCCACCACACCCAGCTAATTTTGTATTCTAGTAGAGATGGAGTTTCTCCATGTTGGTCAGGATGGTCTCAAACTCCCGACCTCAGGTGATCCACCCGCCTCGGCCTCCCAGTGCTGGGATTGCAAGCATGAGCAACCGTGCCCAGCCAGAAGGAGCCCCAAGAGATGCGGGCTGGTCTGGAAGGCCATGCACAGGGCCACCAGCAGCGCCTCGGGGTCAGCGTGGGGACCCTGGGGCCAGCACCAACACCCACAGGCTGGCCATCTCCAGGCAGGCACCTCGGGCTGCCTCAACTTTTTAACTTAGTTTTTTGTTTTGTTTTGTTTGATTTTTAGTGACAGTGTCTCATTATGTTGCCCAGGCTGCTCTTGAACTCCTGAACTCAAGCAATCTGCCCACCTCAGCCTTCCAAAGTGCAGGGATTACAGGTGTGAGCCACCGTGCCTGGCCCCAACTTTTAAATTCTGTAAATTCAAATCATTATATATCCATTCTATAGACTATTATGCAGATATTTAGGAGTATGTTTTTGCAAATGCATGTCTAAATATGTGCTTAAAGTGCAATATTATATTGGGGAAAGCTTTATAGATATATAGTAGAAACTCCTATTTTAAAAACGAAATATGGTTCGGCGTGGTGGCTCATGCCTGTAATCCCAGCACTTTGGGAGGCCAAGGAGGGTGGATCACGAGGTCAAGAGATCAAGACCATCCTGGCCAACATGGTGAAACCCTGTCTCTACTAAAAATACAAAAATTAGCTGCACGTGGTGGTGTGTGCCTGTAGTCCCAGCTACTTGGGAGGCTGAGGCAGGAGAATTGCAGTCAGGTTGCAGTGAGCCAAGATCACACCATTGCACTCCAGCCTGGCGACAGAGTGAGACTCCGTCAAAAAAAAAAAAAAAAAAAGAAAGAAATATATATGAAAATTAACTATTAGACATTCCGTGAATATTTGATTATATGACTCTCTGTGATTCACTTTCCATTAAGATATTTTAAAACCAATTTATGTCCAGCATGGTGGTCACACTACTGTGCCTGGCTCGGCTTCCCAAAGTGTTGGGGTTACAGGGTGAGCCCCTGTAACCCATAGGGGTTACATAACCCACTATGCCTGGGCTAATTTTTGTATTTTTTGTGGAGATGGGGTTTCACCATGTTGCCCAGACTGGTCTCAAACTCATGGGCTCAAGCAATCTGCCCGCTTCAGCCTCCCAAAGTGCTAGGATTACAGACATGAGTCACCGCACCCAGCCAAGACTAATATTCTATTTTTTTAATTTAAAAAATTACTTTATTATTTTTAGAGACAAGGTATTGCTAGATTGGTCAGGTTGATCTTGAACTCCTGACCTCAAGAAATCTTCCCGCCTTGGCCTACCAAATTGCTAAGATTACAGGCGTGAGCCACCGCCACCATGTCTGGCCAACAAAATACTCTTAAAAGTAAAAAAGTCTTCAGTCTGAATCCTGCTCTACCTCATATTAGCTATGAGACCTTATTCTGATTACTTTACCTCTCTGAGGCTGTTTTATCCATATAAAGGAGATGGCAATACTTGTAATGCTGTTATGAGAAAAAATACAAGTAAAATCCTCAGCATGATGTTTAACGGATAGTAAACATTCCACTTATTATTATTTTCTTCCTTTTTTTGGGTAGTATATTTAGATTGTCTGAAATATATAGGAAAAAATTTGATACTCATTTTATAGAGAAGGAAGCTAGTCAAATGTTGGGTAAATATGACATAGGGTTGGCAGCCAAGCTAATGGGCCCTCAGTCTCCCATTCCTCCTGTGGAGATCAGATTTAGTGAAGGCTTCTTCGTGTCCTCAGTCACTATGTGGCTGAACTAGACTAAAGTCTGGAATGGGCAGCATATCCTTAATTTTTATTGGGTTTCTTCTATATGTCTCATTCTTTACTGAAAACATCTAAGGAACCTTATATTAGAAGGGTAAAGTGGGCAGGCAAGATAGAGGAAGGAGAGGATTTCAACTTATTATTTTATAAGTTTCTGAATAAATGTAATCTTACAACTTTTGTAATTAACATCCTAAATGTTTTTTTTTGTTGTTGTTCTGGAGATGGAGTCTCAGTCTGTTACCCAGGCTGGAGTGCAGTGGGGCAATCTCCACTCACTGCAATCTCCACCTCCCAGGTTGAAGCAATTCTCTTGCCTCGGCCTCCCAAGTAGCTGAGACTATAGGCGCACGCTGCTGCGCCTGGCTAATTTTTTGTATTTTAGTAGAGACGGGTTGCCTAATCTGGTCTCTAACTTCTGAGCTCAGGCAATCGGCCCTCCTTGGCCTCTCAAAGCGCTAGGATTACAGGCGTGAGCTACCGTGCCTGGCACATCCTAAATGTTTTAAAAAGAGACTGTCACAGTGTCCTCTCTCTCTATGTTATCTTAATAGATCCGAAGCCAACGACTTAGCCTTACGCCTGGCTCGGCAGTTCAGAGGCCACCAGGATGTGATCACTCTTGACCAGTAAGTCTTGGACACAAGATTTTTAAGCAAGAAGCTTCTTCAGAGACAAAATTGTATTGATCCTATCCATACTAATACCATGAACGCATGTGAAAGAGGACAGATATATGGAGCAATGTTTTAATGTTTTTAAAAATTATGTATTAAGCTATCAAGGCCAGCTTAAATCCAGAGGGATATTTAATTCCTTCTAAGTACCAGGAAGTAGGAGAGGCTCTCTTGGTTACTGTGGGGGATGTAGCTTCATGGAGTTTGCATGAATCATGGATTACTTTTCACACATTATTCATTGAGCCACTATTAACATGTAAGTAATTAAATTGTTTTCCAAATAAGAATACAATTAATTTCAAAAAAAGTTCAAGCATTCACTTCACTATTGTGATTATTCGCAGTCACTAATTTTAAAGATAACAATTTACAGCAAATTTTAAAGAAAACCGGCAGCCACGTAAGATTTAAAACTTTTTCATTAGCCTGTAATTATTAACAGTCACTATCTAATCTTACCTGTCAAACATGAATTTATTACATTTTAAACCAGAAATCTGGCAACTTCCATCTTTATTAGAGTTTGTTTGTTTGTTTGTTTGTTTTGAGACGGAGTCTCGCTCTGTCATCCAGGCTGGAGTGCAGTGGCGCGATCTCCACTCATTGCAACCTCCGCCTCCTGGGTTCAAGCAATTCTCCTGCCTCAGCCTCTGGAATTAGCTGGTATTATAGGTGCCCGCTGCCATGCCCAACTAACTTTTTTTGTATTTTTAGTAGAGACAGGTTTTCACCATGTTGGCCAGGCTGGTTTCGAACTCCTGACCTTAAGTGATCCACCCGCCTCAGCCCCCCAAAGTGCTAGGATTACAGGCGTGAGCCACCGAGGCTAGCCTACGGATATTTTTTCTTTTAAATTTTTGTCTACTCCTCCACCCCACTCACTAACTTCAGATGTAGAGGGTGAAGTTAAATATGCACCTCATTTCATGCCCTTCCCAATTGCTTTTGGGAACTTATTCATAAATTCTTTGCCAAGGCTGATGTCCAGAATGGTATTTCCTGGGGTTTCTTCTAGGATTTTTACAGTTTTAAGTCTTAAATTTAAGTCTTTAATCCATGTTGAGTTAATTTTTGTATATGATAAAAGGCAGGAGTCTAGTTTCATTCTTCTGCATATGGCTAGCCTCAATCTTAGTTCTTAAAAAGATCTCCTTTTCCTTCTCAAGTAATATTTGCCTAATATTTGCAAGTGGACATGCTTTAGAAATCATCCCGAACAGAAACAGATGCCCATTCTATGATATAAAGTTGTTTTTAAATTTACTAGAATGTAACACATATTCTTTTAACACATTTAAAGAATACATACACGTAAAGTATTGCATGAGGATATAGAAAACAATTTTTCACATTTAGACAATCTAATTTAGCAATATAATCCAAATACATCAGTTTTTCCCAACTAAAAAGAAATTGTCAATGAGGACACATGCTTGGCTTTCTATGAGTTTTATTACATGTAAAAGAAGAATTGTACACATTAAGGGCCAGTCTTGCCATGAAAAATTAGATCCCATATAGTCAAATCTGGCACCAGTGTTGAGATTCTCCCTGGATGGATGCATATGGATGAAATGCAACACTGGTTTTCATATACTTGAAAATATCTCTCTTGGAATTATTTTGATTACTGCTTTTTTTTCTTTGTCTCTTCAGTGCTTACCATGGTCACCTATCATCCTTAATTGAGATTAGCCCATATAAGTTTCAGAAAGGAAAAGATGTCAAAAAAGAATTTGTACATGTGGTAAGTGTCTTAAAATCCTAAATCAGAATGTTTGTATTGGAGGAATGCTTAATGATAATCCAGCCAATGCTTTCATCTAGATGAACCATGAAAGAGAAACTAAAATCAAGAGCAGTTATGTGGCTTGCTAAGGTCAAAGGGCTAAATAATGACAGAATGTTATTTAAAATTTATTTATCTATTTAAAATACATTGATGAGTATTACAATAGGCAAATTAGTTTAGTAGTTGTTCAGAGCTATCATTTTATTTTTCTTGCTCCTTAATCTTCAGTTACATTTTCTATCACAAATGCCAACTCAAAATTCAGAGTTGAACTAAGTGTGTTTTTAAATTGCTCTTGGCCGGGCACAGTGGCTCGTGCCTGTAGTTCTAGGGCTTTGGGAGGCCGAGGTGGGCGGATCACTGGAGGTCAGGAATTCAAGACCAGCCTGGACAACATGGCGAAATCCTGTCTCTACTTAAAAAAAGTACAAAAATTAGCCAGGTGTGGTGGCAGGTGCCTGTAGTCCCAGCAACTTGAGAGGCTGAGACAGGAGAATCGCTTGAACCTGGGAGGTGGAGGTTGCAGTGAGCCAAGATCGTGCCACTGCACTCCAGCCTGGGTGACAGAGTGAGACTCCATCTCAAAAAAAAAAAAAAAAAAGAAAAGAAAAAGTAAATTGCTCTGTATAATAATGCTAAATTATTATATAGCTTTATTAAGTAAAATAAAGAAACCAACCAAGTTGTTGAAAAGGTGAAATTTATTTGGTGTGTTTGTCTTAACTGAGGAACAGTATAATTTCTTTTTTTCTTTTCTTTTCTTCTCTTTTCTTTCTTTCTTTCTTTCTTTCTTTCTTTCTTTCTTTCTTTCTTTCTTTCTTTCTTATTTATTTGAGACGGAGTCTCATTTTGCTACCTAGGCTGGAGTGCAGTGGCACGATCTTGGCTCACTGAAACCTCCGCTTACAGCGTTCAAGCGATTCTTCAGCCTCAGCCTCCCGAGCAGCTGGGATTACAGGCATACACCACCAAGCCCTGCTAATTTTTGTATTTTTTGTAGAGACAGGGTTTCATCATGTAGGCCAGGCTGGTCTCAAACTCCTGACCTTAAGAGACCTGCACACCTCAGCCTCCCAAAGTGCTGGGATTACAGACGTGAGCCACCGCGCCTGGCCAAATTTCTTGAGAATCATCAATATTTTCAAGATTTTAAGATCTGGAGTGAGTGCTAACACACTCTAGTTTTCTGAATGATTACGATTTGCAATATAGTTGATCGGTGTTGGCTCATTTTAAATCCAGACTAGTTAATACAGTTTCCATTCACTGACATTTTTAAATACTATCATCACATTTGTTGATTTGAATGTTCTATTTATGTGAGGAGGGATATAGTCTTGATGTATAACAGTCTGGAAGCAAATCCAAACTTCTGTTCACAATTCAAAGATGTCAGTTCTTCACAGAATTTAGAAATGTTAAGGGAAAAAAAGAACAAAAAAACCTAAAGTATCTTAAGTTCACATGATCACCATTCTAACATGTTCTTGTGGGGAAATGCCTTTTTTTTAAGGTTTGTCGAAAAGGCAAATTACAAGCAACTGCATTATTTGATGTTTTCAGGCACCAACTCCAGATACTTACAGAGGAAAATATAGAGAAGACCATGCAGACTCAGCCAGTGCTTATGCAGATGAAGTGAAGAAAATCATTGAAGATGCTCATAACAGTGGAAGGAAGGTTTGTATTTATAGCTTTGGAAACATCTCAACATCTTTTATAAAAGGGATTAAAACTGTTGGGATTCACTGAAGAGATGGAAAAGGATTATATCTAATGTCCCTTTCTGTTCTTCTCTAGTTACGTTTTCACTTGATTCAAATTTCAAAAATGCGTTATTACAATCATGCCTCTAAGACTGTCTACTTGTATTTATCCTGGAAATACAACCATTATCTGGTTCCAGAACTGGTTGCCTAATTCTGACCTTTTCAGTGGTATGCAGGGTCTAGTCTAGAGGGGTAGGGGTCATTATATGGTGAAGGGAAGAGAAGAGACAAAGTAGCCCTTGGACCTGAGGACCAATGCAGATTTCCAGACCCACAAGGGAGCCTTGGTGCTTCCCTTGAACTTCGACCTTCTTGAAGCCATGGAGCCTGGGGCTGGTTTGCACCTGGGTAAGCCAAGGCAGAAAATGTTCTTCCGATGTGGGCCTGGACTTCTAAGACAGAAACAAAATCCTTGAGAGCAGGAAAAAATTGTTTTCACTTTCTTGGTCTTCACCCTACTGTCTTCAGCTTAATGTTCAATTCTCAGCCCATCTGTAGGTTATTTATGTGGATGTTAATGCAACCTGACAGTACTTTGCCTTAAAATTGGCTTATAGCATAGACTTGGCTATTTTAAAAAAAAACCTTAACTGAAATAAAAATGAGGCCTTTTCTTTTTATAATTAACTCAAATATTTTTGTCTTCATGACTAGAGAGCCATTCACATTTCTTAACTGTTTCTTCTTTTTTTTCCCCAACCCATTTGTTTTTCGTATCTTCTTATGTGAAACATCTGTGCAGGTAGACCTAAAGCTCTACGTGTTGTAGGAAGCTTCATACTCTTCCTCTTCAAATGTGGTCTGTACCTGTTTAAACAAATGGCAAACAACACTTTTAGGAAAAAATTTACATTAACAAGATCTTACGGACTCTTTGCTGCTAAAAGAGGGTTTGAATAATTTTTTGAGAACATTAGCATTCAACATTTATTGGATTGTTGCTGTCATATTAGCAGTGCTGAAAGCAATGAACAAATATAAGATCAGTGCTTCAGAATATTAGATGTGCTTGCAAAGTCATGGAATTGTACAGCAAAAGTCTTGAGTCCAACAGCCTCATTTTACAGCTAAGAAACCAAATATCTAAAAAGTGAAGGATTTAACCCAAGGTCATACAATTACTAAGGGGTAGTCTGAACTAGAACTTGGGTTCTCTTGATTTCTTATCTCACATTCTTTGTGCTTTCTCTTCAACATTATCTGTTTCCTACTTCTCTTTTCTTAGTCTCTAGAATGATTCATCTGTAGTTCCTATTGTTAACTGCCCACTGTTGAGTTAAGCGTGGTTTAGGGCAAAACCTAGAAATACGGCACAGTAACTACAGTGTGTGGCCACAAACCACCCTGCCACTTTCATGGTGCAAATTCCAGCCTCAAGCAGCCCTACTTCACCAAGCTTAAGAAACAGGCATCACGACAATGCCTTTGGACCTAGGTAACTTTTTACAGGTTCATAACCAAAGACTAATAAAAATAGCAGTCTTATTCAGTTCATCCTAATGAAACTGCTGCATGTAATGATGGAGAAATGGAAGTTGCGCTCTCATCTCCTCTATTTCTCATGGTAGCTTTATTGGTACCCTAGATTTTCAGAAGTTAATGCTTTAAATCAATTGCTTTTCCTGCATAGACACCTTTTCCTTTTTCTTTAATCAAATGGCTAATTTGCCACTTGCTACAGGTCTATTCCTAGCCATTTTTAAAATAACCTGCTCTATAAGATATACTCTTTTTAGGGGGGTTGTAGGGGGACCTAATGGACTTTGACACCATCTTCTCTTGTATAGATTGCTGCCTTTATTGCTGAATCCATGCAGAGTTGTGGCGGACAAATAATTCCTCCAGCAGGCTACTTCCAGAAAGTGGCAGAGTATGTACTTGACTTGGGCCTCCTTGGTCAAACTGAGAGCACTGTGACAATTCTGTAGGGCCATACTAGTTGCTAAGATATTAAAATAATTCCTGATTAGCTGGTAAATAGCCACACCTGAGTGCCTGCCAACCCAGGACTCCTGGATGCTCTCTCAGCCTTCCCCAAGATCCAGCAAGTACAAGGTTTACACATGGTCCAACAGCGGGGGTTCAGAACTCTGCTCCAGCCTCCAGCCTGCATCCTCTCTGATTGGCTAGTACCAAATCTGTATTGGTCAGGGTTCTCTAGAGGGACCAAACTAATAGGATATATATATATCCTATATATATCATATATGATATATCACATATCATATATATTGTATATATATCACATATCATATATATCGTATATATATCACATATCATACACACACACACACACACACACACACACACGGCGGTATTAAGTATTAACTTACATGATCACAATGTCCCACAATAGGCTGTCTGCAAGGTGGGGAGCAAGGACAACCAGTTTAAGTCCCAAAACTGAAGAACCTGGAGTCTGATGTTTGAGGGCAGGAAGCATCCAGCATGGGAGAAAGATGTAGGCTGGGAGGCTAGGCCAGTCTCTCCTCTTCACATTTTTCTGCCTGCTTTATATTCGCTGGCAGCTGATTAGATTGTGCCCACCAGATTAAGCATGGATCTGCTTTCCCCAGCCCACTGACTCAAATGTTAATCTCTTTTGGGAACACCCTCACAGACATACCCAGGAACCCAGGATTAATACTTTGTGTCCTTCAATTCAATCCAGTTGACACTCAGTATTAACCATTACACAAGCCTTCCCAATTAGTAAATATTTGAAGACTAACCCTGTTAACAACTACTTGTTTGATTCTTTCTCTTCCCACTTAAAAGGTAATATGGTAATAGGACTGGGTGCTGTGGCTCATGCACTATAATCCCAGCACTTTGGGAGGCCAAAGCAGAAGGATCACCTGAGGCCAGGAATTCAATACCAGCTGGGCAACATAGCAAGACCCCCCTCTCTACAAAACCTTTTTAAAAATATTATCTGGGCATGGTGGCACACGTTTGTAGTTCCAGCTACTGGGGAGGCTGAGGTGGGAGGATGGCTTGAGCCCAGGAGTTTGAGGTTACAGGGAGTTTGATCATACCACTGCACTCCAGCCTGGGCAACAGAGTGAGACCCCATCTCTTAAAAAAAAATACTGCAATATAGCTTACTTTAAGTAGCACAAACCCAACTGGTATGGAATATATCTAATCTAAAAATTATGTGATTATATTGTAAAGTCAATGACATTTATGTGGGGTTTAGAGTACTGAAATGTTTTTTAAGAAAAATTAAGGCTTCAGGTTAACAACTTTTTTTTTTTGTCTTCAATAATTTGCATCTTTGTGGGTGGGTTTGGGGATCTCAGTGACCTGAAGGCATTAGACTGCCGCTTTGCTTTTCAGATATGTACACGGTGCAGGGGGTGTGTTTATAGCTGATGAAGTTCAAGTGGGCTTTGGCAGAGTTGGGAAACATTTCTGGAGCTTCCAGATGTATGGTGAAGACTTTGTTCCAGACATCGTCACAATGGGAAAACCGATGGGCAACGGCCACCCGGTGGCATGTGTGGTAACAACCAAAGAAATTGCAGAAGCCTTCAGCAGCTCTGGGATGGAATATTTTAATACGGTACATTTTGGTCTCCAACTTTAATGCTAAGAAGGAAAAATAATGCATGTTCTTATATTTTTTGCCAATGTAGTAAAGAATAAAGCTCAGTATTGCCGGCTAACCACCCAGAACTCTGGCCAAAGTTTTTTCTTATTTTAATAAAACATCTTAAATACTTACATATATATATAAAATTATACTTTAAGTTCTGGGATACATGAGTAGAATGTGCAGGTTTGTTACATAGGTATACATGTGCCATGGTGGTTTGCTGCACCTATCAACCCGTCATCTAGATTTTAAGTCCCACATGCATTAGATATGGCCAAACTTTTATCTAACCAGATTTTATTCTGTCTGACAAAATGCTCCTTGTATTTCTGCTTGTGTATCTTTACCTGTCCTAAAACAGGCTTATTAATTTTTCCAATGATAGATGGTTGCCCTGCTAAATTCTACAGGTTATGATATTTTCATTTCTTTGTTTCATATCATACTTAAATTTCCAAAACACTTTTAAAGTATTTTTATGACTCAGTACTATAAATGTTATACAGCTGTCATAAGAGATACTAAATTTTTATCTTTGGGATATTATATTTTTTTGACTTATCCCCATAAGCTTTAAGCTTGGAAAAATTATTGTAGTTTGTTCAGTATATATAATACGACTTGTTACAGCTAAAAGTAAGATTCAAATCTGAGGACATAAATTGCTTGGGGAAAATGTCATTGCTTAGCTACTTTTACTCAGCTCTTCAAGGGCAGAAACCCCTATTTCCCTCACTGGGCAACACTATGAAATCCTGAACTCCCAACATAATGTCTGCTTTTGTTTGGATGAGCAAATAAAATCACTGGTAGTCCTTCATACCAGTTATGCAGCTTGGATAATATAATTTAGAATGAATTTTCACTCAGTCCTGAATATATAGAATCATGCTCTATTCTAAATATGAGAAACTAATATTATAAGAGAACATTTTATTTAAATTATATCTTCACTTATGTATGTATGAGCCAAATTTCTCATGGATGAGGGAATACCACTCATTCAACTGGTATATTTTCTCATTTGTCTTTTTTTTTTTTACAGTATGGAGGAAATCCAGTATCTTGTGCTGTTGGTTTGGCTGTCCTGGATATAATTGAAAATGAAGACCTTCAAGGAAATGCCAAGAGAGTAGGGAATTATCTCACTGAGTTACTGAAAAAACAGAAGGCTAAACACACTTTGATAGGAGATATTAGGTATGTTCATTATGAAGTTGTCATGTAGTTACTCATTTTTTTCAAAATAATAATAGTTTATAGGCTGGGCAACATGGTGAGACCCCGTCTCTATTAAAACTACAAAAAATTAGCCAGGTGTGGTGGCACACACAAATAGTCCCAGCTACTCGGGAGGCTGAGGCATGAGAATCACTTGAGCCTGGGAGGCAGAGGTTGCAGTGAGCCGAGATTGTGCCACTGCATTCCAGCCTGGGTGATAGGGTGAAATCCCGTCTCTAACAATAATAATAATAGTTTATATTTTATCTTGTAAGTTTATAATAAAGTACATAAAACTAAATCTGGAAAACACCAAAAAAGAGAGATAGCAAAAATTATTCTTATTCCAGAATCCAGATATCACCACTGTTAACATTTGGGTGGGGCCGGATGTGGTGGTTCACATCTGTAATCCCAGCACCTTGGGAGGCAGAGGCAGGAATATTGCTTGAGCCCAGGAGTTTGAGACCAGCCTGGGCAACATAACAAGAAACCTTGTTTCTATAAAATAAATAAATAAACCAACAACAATAAAAAAACATTTGGGTATATGTCTTTCCTGGCTTTTATACTTTTTTAATAAAGTTAGGATAATGTCAGCACCCAAAAGATGAAAAGAAGGAACTTAATGTAGCTCTAAATAATTTATTGAAAATTATTTAAAATGCTATTCTGAAAAGCTGGATATTTTTCATATATATGTATGAAATACTGACATATATATATATAATATATATATATATTATATATATATATATAATATATATATATATATTATATATATATATAATATATATATATATTATATATATATATATAATATATATATATATATTATATATATATATATATATATATAATGTTAACATTTATCATCATTAACATCCTGAGAAACTAAATAGCATGAAAGGGTTGTTTTTAAGCCATTTTCTTTTATAATTGAGAAAAGAAAACTGGATGACAAAAACTAATTTATTTCCAAAAGTAGAAACAACTGTGAACATAGATTGGTATCTTGATTTAGTTAGAATTAAACTTGGAAATTAAATGGAAGTTTGGTGATAGTGTTAACTTTTTGTGACAGTGAAGAGTTGGACAGATTGTGGGTCAAGTTTTTCTTCACCTCTCGCAGGGGCATTGGCCTTTTTATTGGAATTGATTTAGTGAAGGACCATCTGAAAAGGACCCCTGCCACAGCTGAAGCTCAGCACATCATCTACAAGTAATTCACCCCCACACCCACCTGTTTGGTATCTTGGCTGCAGGATGCCTACCCACTTGAAAGCTTGCTTGACTTCCTCCCATCCCTCTGAAAAAGGAAAGTTTAAATACATCCTATTTATAATGTGGGCTTCTTAAATGCAGAATACTTAAACTGCTCTATGTTCACATAATTCTTCAGTAATCGTAGTTATCCTTTGCATACACTCACATGTATTTCCTACACAAATTAGGATGAAAGAAAAACGAGTGCTTCTCAGTGCCGATGGACCTCATAGAAATGTACTTAAAATAAAACCACCTATGTGCTTCACTGAAGAAGATGCAAAGTTCATGGTGGACCAACTTGATAGGATTCTAACAGGTGGGTCCATGGATCTTTAAGATGTCTTCTTGTTCCCTCTCCCAAACCCACCCCTCAAACCCTGGTCTAGTCATAATGAGCATATGCATCTTGTTATTCATGATGGAAGTGAGGCAGGGCAGAAATAAATGTGTAACTTTCCATTTAGGACTAGAAAAAGATAGCTGAAAAGTAACTACATGGACTCTTAAATTGAAATTTTCAGTTTGTATTCATATAACTCCAAATATAAGTTTTTGCTGAAAGAACATAGTTTTGTCATTTATTTTTACTTTAGACTAGCATATTTAAAAGTGCATGTCTGCATTGTGCCATGGACCACAAATACTACAGTATATAGTATTTCAGCATTGTGTGATTAATACATGAAACATTTCTAATAAAAAAATTATATAGGCTACAGTGTGACAGTTCTTTGCTATATGCTGAATTGCTTAACTTTGCGTGGTTTTTTTTTTTTTTTTTTTTGAGATGGAGTCTCACTCTGTCATCCAGGCTGGAGTGTAGTGCTGTGATCTCGGCTCACTGCAGCCTCCGCCTCCCGGGTTTCAGCGATTCTCCTGCCTCAGCCTCCCAGGTATCCGGGATTACAGGCACCCGCCACCATGCCGGGCTAATTTCTGCATTTTTAGTAGAGATGGGGTTTCACTATGTTGGCCAGGCTGGTATCGAATTCCTGACCTCAGGTGATCCACCCACCTCGACCTCCCAAAGTGCTAGGATTATAGACGTAAGTCACCGCGTCCAGCCTAACTTTGCATTTTTAACTTTTATTTTTAAATTTTTATTTATTTATTTATTTTCTGAGACAGAGTCTTGCTGTGTCACCCAGGCTGGAGTGCAGTGGTGGGATCTCGGCTCACTGCAACCTCCGCCTCCCAGATTCAAGCAATTCTCCTGTCTCAGCCACCTGAGTAGCTGGGACTACAGGAGCATGCCACCACACCCAGCTAATGTTTGTATTTTTAGTGGAGACAGGTTTCACCATGTGGGCCAGGCTGGTCTCGAACTCCCGACCTCGTGATCTGCTCACCTCAGCCTCCCAAAGTGCTGAGATTACATGCATGAGCCACTGCACCCGGCCTTAATTTTTATTTTTTTCTTTTGCTTTTTTCTTTAAAAATATTTAAAATATTGAAAATCTTTTACTATTTAACTTTTGAGGACTTTTGTTATTCAGAATTATAGTCTATCATAAAAATATATCTTGTTTACCTATATTATGCAACTAGGTTAATTTATTTTTTTGTTATGAACATACATTGGATTAGAAAGTAAATTAGCACTGTAAAACCATGTTGAAGAGCATATCATGATAAAAATGATAGATATTGTCGTTTTTGCTTTAGTTATATTTTTACAATTCAGGCCAGCATGGCAGCACATGCCTATAAGATCCCAGAGGCCAAGGTAAGCAAATTGCTTGACTTGAGATCAGGATAGCTCAGGAGCTGGAGACTAGCCTGGGCAACACGGTGAAAGGTTGTCTCTACAAAAAATAAAATACAAAAATTAGCCGGACATGGTGGTGCGTGCGCCTGTAGTTCCAACTACTTGGGACTTGGCTGAGGTGGGAGTATTACTTGAGACTGCAAGGCAGAGGTTGCAGTGAGCCGTGCCACTACACTTCAGCCTGGGTGACAGAGTAAGACCCTGTCTCCAAAAAAAAAAAAAAAAAAAAAATTTCAACTTCTCTACTTGCTTCTCAGCCTTCTGGGGTTAGGATAAAGCCAAGAAGCTAGGAATCAATATAGCATACAAAATAGATATGAATAGTGAATGTTTGGAAACTTGAGAGTCCACATAAGTTATTAATAATAGGGTCACTGTCTTTGGACTCAGAGAGCATGCTCACACCCAGACCTGGCAAGCATTCCTCACAAGCAGATGTGTCCTTTGATCCCATAGGGCAGGGTAGAGGAGAGAGTGTGGCTTGTGGCTTGGGGCAATCTGTCACTCTATGTCTGCATCAACTCAGAGCTTGAGTGTTATTAATAGTGGGCCAGAAGAATTTCCTTTGAATAAAGTGAATGAGGAGTAGGTAAAATGGGCTTAGTGCCACTTATAAATGATAATGGTAAAATACTACAAAAGAATCTTAAAGTAATTTTGATAGTGATTTTTTTTTTTTTCTTTTTGAGACAGAGTCTCACTCTGTCGCCCAGGCTGGAGTGCAGTGGCGTGATCTCGGCTCACTGCAACTTCTGTGTCCCAGGTTCAAGTGATTCTTCTGCCTCAGCCTCCCGAGTAGCTGGGACTACAGGCATGTGCCACCACATCCGGCTAATTTTTGTATTTTTAGTAAAGACGGGGTTTCACCATATTGGCCAGGCTGGTCTCAAACTCCTGACCTTGTGATCCGCCCTCTTCGGCCTCCCGAAGTGCTGGGATGACAGGCATGAGCCACAGCGCCCAGCCCATTCTTTTAACACATAACATTTCCTTCCATTCTTCATTAAAGGTATTGCTAAGATACCAAAAAGTTTTTTTCTTAAGGTTTTTATGTTATTTTGTCTTCTCCATAATACCTTCCTTGATTCAGTTTTAGAAGAAGCTATGGGAACCAAAACCGAAAGTGTGACCTCTGAGAATACTCCATGCAAAACAAAGGTAAGGGTTGGCTACTTTATTTTTAGGGGGAAAGTTTAAAATTTGGGGAATGTTTAAAAAAGGAATACAAATTTTCAAAAAATTGTGCAGTGACCATTAGAACAATGCCAGCCTGTATTAGGTTCACTTATTGTTGCAATTTTGAGTGCACAATTAAATTTCCACAGCAAGTGTCACATCATTTGACGCATCAAAAGCCAAAGAACCATTCTTACAGGATCATTCCCATTCCAAAAACAGCCTTGTGGGCCTGCAAAGAGGGCCTATAAAATATATATAGAGAGAATTAAAACGGCCTAACCTCCTTCCTGCTTTTCCTGAGGGCTGCCTGACACTGCCTCCGATTCTCACACACTGACTTTACAATCAGCAGAAGCATTAGTAGGGAGGTTCTGAAGTGCCAGAGTTTGGTTCTAAAACGAACTAAAGCGTAAGCTTCGAATGGCAGTGGGGCCTGGGAACTGTCTGGCATTGCCTGGCCTAGTTTCTGCATTTGATGTGCTTCCAGCAGAGGGCCTTGCCATTCTCTCCTGAGCTGCCCAGGGTGTGAGAAAGAGCACCCTGGGCTGGGAAACAGAAAGGCAAAAACTTGAGAGGCTTTGTTGCATAATTTGTTATTTGTTTATGAGTTCGATGCATAAAGGAACACTCAGTGCCTCGAGCCCGCCTGCGCATCCAATGGAGTCAGCAAAGTCTTTTTTCATGATTAAAATCATCAGGCTGTTTGAATGAGAGCAAGTGATTCGCTAACAGCATGGCTTCTGTTTCGTCTAACAACACAAACCAATTATAGGAATCAATTATTCTTTGATGTCAAGAACAGTTTATCAAGTCTAAGAATCACAGCTGTAACCACTGGTTCCCCAAGCATTAAAGAGTCCTGCAAATGAAACAAAACAAAACAAAAGAAGTGTTCAGCACAAGAAATCCCACTTTAGGGTTAGCAAAGTTGGCACACATTTTATGAAAAGTTGACTCGGAGTCCCGGATTTTCTGTTGACATCACATTTCAAATGTCTATTGAAGATACTGAGGAGAGGGTTAGAAAGGAGCAAGCAGTGTTGTTTTGTTTGGTTTTTCTGTGTCCTTTGTTTGTGTGTGGACTTGTTAAGTCAGTCCTGTGGAGGCTGGATTAGAGGTGGATGCCCACTGGAGCTTTGTGTGCCTGTCTTGCAGATGCTGAAAGAAGCCCACATAGAACTGCTTAGGGACAGCACCACTGACTCCAAAGAAAATCCCAGCAGAAAGAGAAATGGAATGTGCACGGATACACATTCACTGCTCAGTAAGAGGCTCAAGACATGACTGATTTGCATTTTAAAGCAAGATGCGATGTCCAGAGTTACAGAGAATGAGTAGATGTGTCTCATCGGTTAATAGCTCTATTATACCTCTAAAGGTGGAATTGTCAGTTTAGATTCATAAATGAAAAGGTAAATGAGTAATCAGAATAAACCAAGTGATAATCAAACCATGTCAAGATTATTAGTTCAGACTCTAGCCTGTTAATTTTCTTAGTTGATTTCTGAAGCTACCTGATTTATTCTATTAAATTGTAAGCTTGCAAACTCAAAATAAATTGGCAGATTTACCTCTCATGTTTTAATGTGTCAAATTAGAGAGCAAAGTATAACAGGTGCCTTCACTTTTGAGACTTAGTGCCTTAAAATATGTATTCTATAATGATTTCATATATAAAAGTATATTTATTGACTGTAATAAAATAAAATATGATGTAAACAAAAAAAATTACTAGAAAAGTGTTTACCTACCCTTTGCAGGGAATATTAAGGGTTGGGATGGTAAAAGCAAAGTCATTCAGAAAAAAATCACAAACAGCAAATATTAAAAAGTGATAGAATAATTCAGGCCTCTAGCAAGGAACTTGGTTAATCACCATCCCGTGGGGATTGAGAAGGGAACAAGGAATATACACAGAAATACACGCATAAAGACGTTTCTGGAACAGCAGCAGTAGCTGAAGCAGGGCATTCAGAGTCAGGAGACTTCTGCTTTGTCTATTCACGGATTGTATCACCCAAACCAAGTCATTTACCTGTCAGGTAAGAAATTATCTTTTGAGACAGGGTAGTTGCCCAGGCTGGAGTGCAGTGGCACTATCCTGGCTCACTGCAGCCTCGACCTCCCAAGCTGAAGCAATCCTTCCACCTCAGCCTCCTGAGTAGCTGGGATTGCAGGTGCACACCACTGCGCCTGGCTAATTTTTGTATTTTCTGTAAAGACAGGGTTTCATCATGTTGCCCAGGAGGCTGGTCTTGAACTCCTGGGCTCAGGCAATCCGTCCGCCTCAGCCTCCTAGTGCTGGGATTACAGGCATGAGCCACTGCACCTGGCCAAGAAATCTTCTTTTAACCAATCATCTTCCTCTTACCATCAAGTTTATCATCACTTATGCCCACCCCCTGCATGTACTCAAGCAGGAGCACATGAGTGCACGTGCACGCGTGCGCGCGCGCGCGCGCGCACACACACACACACACACACACACACAATCTCTAGCCCGGCACTGGCAAAAGGAAGTTGGAGGAAAGTAGGACATCAAGGATCCCTTAGTTACATGATGCTGCCATGAGAGGTTCATTCGGAGGCTAATAGACCGAACTGGAAGAAATTTGAATTTCAGGGTTGATTTTTCTCATTATCTCTCTATTGCCTTTCTAATAATTATTAAACTTTGTGATTTATTTTTATTTTATTTTATTTTTGAGACGGAGTCTCGCTCTGTTGCCCAGGCTGGAGTGTGGTGGCACAATCTCGGCTCACTGCAACCCGTGCCTCCCAGGTTCAAGGGACTCTCCTGCCTCAGCCTCCCAAGTAGCTGGGATTACAGGCACGCACTACCATGCCTGGCTAACTTTTGTATTTTTAGTAGAGATGGGGGTTTCACCATGTTGGCCAGGCTGGTCTCATACTCCTGACCTCATGTGATCCACCTGCCTCAGCCTCCCAAAGTGCTAGGATTACAGGCGTGAGCCACCATGCCCAGCCTGTGTTTTATTTTTTATTCCATAAAGAAAAGATAATAATTTTGCTACAGCTGTTTAATGATAGCTAAGGAAGAGGTTGAGAGGAAAATTCATTGTAAAAAGCTTCCTTCCTGAGTTCATCATAAAAATGCAGGGTCTTATTGTTAAACACTTTTTGCTCCTAAAACTACACTTGTGACTCTGGATCCCCGTTGGATAATGCTGAGGTTGGTTGCCAGGAACTGGTGAGGAGGAGATGGAAGAGAGGTCTCTATGGTTTGCTCCTAGGGAGCAAGAGCATTTTGAGATAATCAGACCTTTCACAGATTGACACTCCTGTGAGCATATTTTGTTAGCATGCTCAGAGAGTGCCCACCGCCTCTTATCGGAGTTGTTATTATATGCAAGAGAGGGGGAGGAAGGAGAAAGCCTCATACCTGTGTTATGAGTTCTCCAAGTGGAAAATAATTGAAAACTAAGGCTTTACTTTTTGACATACTCCACTCTTCTTTATTACCTATAATTTAGGTTTTTATAATAAGGAAGGAAGATATAGAAAGAAATGACTCCTTCCTGAATACAACAGACATACCACTTGTGAGTGAGGTTTCAGGTAGCTGCCTTGTTTCCATGGTGTCAAAATCAAGGCTGTGTCAGCGTGGTCCTCTCGGACCCCAGACATGCAAATAATCCCAGGGCCACAACTGGACTCATCATGTCCCTTGTCCACGATTGAAATTCCACTCACCCTCAGCTAACAGTTCTGCTCATCTGGACATGCACCAATCTTCATTCCTAAGGAGTCTGAGCCCTGGTGACCATGCCCTTCTTGGGCCAGGGCTGCTATATTTGTCCATTCACAGCTACAATTAGACAAGGGGCACGAAGGACACCAAAAATGTGTCCTCTGGGTTCCACACATATCCTTCCTGCCCCTACTGTGGAACAGCAGCCTTACCTACCTGCTGATCATGGTCAATTAACCCTGCCAACACAGGGGCTCCTGCTGCTCCCTAGACATAAGGAGTCAAAGGTGCTCAGGTGTCAGTCCTAACTTATAGTTTAACAATACACTTGCTTTTTCCTTTGGCAAAAGTGCACCCCCTTACCGGACCAGGGCCTCCAACCCCCCCAAAGTTGCAGGGATGAAGAGAATAAAATTCTCCAGTGAGTCACTGAAGGTAAGTGGGGCCACTGCCAGATTTTGCCTCTTGGATCCAGGATCATATTGGAGACCCAGTGACACATGGAAATCTCTGATTCAGTGCAGCTACTGCATCCTGAAGGATGGCACCCCATGCTTGCAGACAATTGCCCCTGAGCTGGTGCCTCAACTGCACCTCCAGTAGTATACTTCAATTCTACCAACCTGGCTGCCTCTGGAGGGTGAGAGTGTAATACAACCAGTCAATCTCATGGGCACGGGCCCACTCCTGCACATCTTCACTATAGTGTGGCTCTGCTCTTTGGACAATCTGATTTATGGGATTCTGTGCCTGTGCATCAGGCACTCTGTTCCTGTGGGAACAAATCTCTGGCTCCTCCAGGATGAAAGGGGCTCAATAAAGTCAACTTGCCGCCGAGTGGCTGATCGGTTTCCTCAAGGAATAGTGTCATATTGGAGGCTCAGTGTTGTTCTCTGCTGTGAGTAGATTAGCTATGCCAGGGGCCAATATTTAAAACTGTCTTGGTAAGTGGGAGTCCGTGCTGTTGTTCCTTGCATGGCCCCCATCTCTGCCACTGTGTCCACTTTGTTCATGAGTCCATTGTGCCTGTTGTGGGGTGGCTGGTGACAAAAACTGGCTAATGTCAACCAGTCAAGTCATTTTGCCTACTTTGTTGTTCAGTCTCTCTTCCGGGGTGGACACTTCTTAATGGACATTACATGTGATACAAAAATAACAAGTAGTATTTACTCCCTATACCGATTTATATGCCTCTATCCCATATCTCCTTTGTCTCAGGTATTCTAGTACATTCAGAGTCCTGGCTAGCTAGCCAGGCCATTCACCACTGCTCATAACTCCATATATATATGCACCTTACTCCTCCTTCCACACAAGGTGGATGACCAAGTGTGCTACTCAAAGTGCTGCCAATGGGAAGATTTTTCATTGCTGCTCTTTCAAGGCCACCACTGAGTGTGGCTAGAAAGCAGCCACCATCTATTTTACCAAAATGGCAGGACTCTGCATCTTCATAGGGTTTATCTCCCACCCTCTCCAGCATGCTTGTTTTACCCAGGCCTCCAGTGTCTGGGTCATACTGAGGAGCACCTCTTACTCCTCCTGCTGAGTCAGCATGATGTCATCAGCATAATGGATCACTGTGATACTCTGCAGGATGCTCAGATAGTTTGAATCTGTTCAGATTGTTATGACAGAGGGCAGGAGAATTAGCATAGCTCTAAGACAAAAGTGTAAATAATATTGTCCATTCCATAGGAATGCAAATTATTTCTGATTTTCTTTTGTGATTAGCTTAAAAATAAGTAAATTCCCCCCATTTAACAGCCATATATCGTGTAGGTGAGGTCTTACTAATTTGCCCTGGCAACAATACTGCGCCTGGCACTGCAGCTGTAACTGGGGCTACTGCTTGGCTGAATTTGCAATAATATGCAGTCATTCTCCATAACTGTCATCTAGTCTCTGTGCCCTACTGGCTAATGGAGAGATGTGATGAGGAATAGAAACCACCACTCCTGCATCCTTTAGAATTTTAAGAGTGGCACTAGTCTTCCCCATCAACTCCCTAGAATGTGATGTTGTCTTTGATTTATCATCTTGGTTGATGGGGGAACAGGAATGTGGAGAGGTAGCTTCAGGTGCTCCAACCTTGCCTACCCGACCATGATAGCTCTTATTCCACAGGCCAAGGACTTGGGGGTTACTCCAACTGCCAAGTACGGATGCTCCTCAACTTATGATGGTGTGACCTCCCAATAAACACATAGTAAGTTGAAAATATTCTGTCAAAAATGCACTTAATACACCTAACCTACTGAACATCATAGCTTAGTTCAGCCTCCCTTAACCATACTCGGAAGACTTCCATTAGCCTGCAGGTGGGCACAGTCATCAGGCAGCACAATACACTGTAGATCTCACTTG
This sequence comes from Homo sapiens, assembly GCF_000001405.40. Lineage (NCBI taxonomy): Eukaryota > Metazoa > Chordata > Mammalia > Primates > Hominidae > Homo > Homo sapiens. The sequence goes on along the minus strand of NC_000004.12, from coordinate 108,737,688 downwards.
TTTATCCTTGTGATGCCATGGCTGTCTGGGAGCTGCGGCTCGTTGCCACTGCCCAGAATCACAAGAGAGTATCCTATGACATAGCACTAGCCCAGGAAAAGATCAAAATTCAAAATTTGAAGTACAATTTGTACTGAATGAGTATCGCTTTCACACCACTGTAAAGTGAAAGAATTCCAAGCGAACAATGGTATGTTAGGGAGTGTCTGTGTGTCCATCCCAATCATGCATTCAGGGGCTGCGGAAATGACATAGGTGGTCTTGATTAGTGAAGCCGTGAGGAGCAGTGAATTTTCCTGCTCACGTCCTCCAACAAGGCACGCATTCACTTGACTAAGAATATAAGGCTCTCTTTGGGGCAGTACAGGCAAGCACTTAAGCAGGCTTTAAACAGGGCACTTTGTGAAGAGGGTGGAGGGATATTTTTTCAGGGAGAGCAAGAAAAAAAATATTCTCAATATCCAAGATAGGACGTCAAGCTGAAGTAGAGGCAAGGAAAATCCAGGATGCTCTCCAATTTTCTGAAAGAAAGAATCTATGCCTTGATGGGTCTACATTTGGTTAGTTTTATTTAGAGGTACTTGACAGATTATGGTACCATTGCAAATGGTATCCTTTTAAAAATTCCATTTTCTGACTGTTCTTGGTATTTAGAAAGTGATTTTATTTTATTTTATTTATTTTGAGACAGAGTGTCACTCTTGTTGCCCAGGCTGGAGTGCAATGGCGTCATCTTGGCTCACTGCAATCTCCTCCTCCCGGGTTCAAGCGATTTTCCTGCCTCATCCTCCTGAGTAGCTGAGATTACAGGCACATGCCACCACACCAGTCTAATTTTTGTATTTTTGGTAGAGACAGGGTTTCACCATGTTGGTCAGACTGTGAATGATAAATTTTATCAAAGGATGTGTGTATCTATTTAAAGGATGATATGACTTCTTCCTTCTTCTGTACATGTGGTGACTATACTGATTTTCTCTTTCTTCTTTTTAAAGCACGTGATCTTTTTCTGACCATCAATGCTTTCAGTCCTCTTTGAGGAATTCCTTTTCATTGTGCATTCTCTTAAAGTCACTTTACATTATCACCTTATTTTAATTGTTAATTTCCTTCACATCAGTAGCCATTTTACATTTTGTTATTTAAATTTTTCCTTCTCCAGGAAAATCCTTATAAATTTTTTTCTATATATTTTTCTCCAAGTTTTTATGCTAAAAAATTTCAAAGCTTCAGTGAAGTTTCACATCATATCCTTCACCTGAATTCACCAATTGTTCATATTTTGCCCCACTTGCTTTACTATCTATGTACACACACGTGTACGCACACACACACACACACACACACACACAGTTTGGGTTTTGGCTCAGCCATTAGAACCATTTGAGATTTGTTTTTGGCTGAGCTATTTGAGATTTAGTTGCAGACATCAAGGCAATTTATCCCTAAATATTTCTCTTTGGGATCAGGTGTGATGACTCACACCTGTAATCCCAGCACTTTGGAAGGCGAAGGGGAGAGGATTGCTTGAGTCAGGAGTTCAAGGCCAGGCTGGGCAGCATAATGAGACCCTGTCTCTACAAAAGGAGACAGACAGGACAACATGGCAGAGGGGACAGCACAGGGGAGAGCACGGTCTTTGTCTCTCCCCAAAACAAGGAGTATTCCTCTTCGTCTCCCCTAAAAACAAGGGCATTCTCCTACAAATCAATGATCATATTTGGAACATTTAACATTAAGTTATATTATCTAATGTATAATTTATATTAAATTTCCTAAATTGTGTCAATAATGTCCTTTGTAGCCTTTTTTAAAAATTCAGAATCCTCTCTAGGATCCCGCATAGTATTTAGTTGTTGCTTCTGTTCATTCTCCTTTAATCCAGAATATTTTTCTATCTTTTTTTCTTTCATCACATAGAGATTTTTTAGGAGTCTAAGATAGTTGTTTTGAAAAATGCCAGTGTGAATTTAATTTTTCTCATGATTAAATTCAGATTAAACATTTTGGGCAGGAAAATTACATTAATGATGTACACAAATGGATTTTCAAATGCTAAACTAGCCCGAAATTAACCCACTTGGTCATGATGCATTATTACATATACATGTGGTATGCAAGGATTTTGTTTAGGATTTACACATCTGTGCTCCCGAGTGAGACTAGCCTGAAAATTTTCTCTCTGATAATGTCCTTTTCAATTTTTAGTACCAGGGTTAGGCTGGCCTCAAAAAACAAATTCTACTTTTCTAGTCTCTGAAAGTATTTGTGAATATTAGCATTGTTTATTCCTTAGATGTTAGGTGAATTTACTGAGTGGTCATTTGAGGCTGGTATTTTCTTTGTGAGAAGGTCTTAAATTATCAATTTAATTGATTTCTTACTGCATTCTGGTCAGAGAACATACTCTGTGTGCTATCATTCCTTTGAAATTTGTTGAAACTTATTTTGTGACTCAGCATGTGGTCAATTTTGTTAAGTGTGTTATGTGTACTTGAAAAGAGTATGAATTCTCTGTTCTATATGTGTCATTAAGTTTTCGATCATGTGCAAACCTTCTATATATCTTTATTGGAATATTTGTTTGCTTGTCTATAAGTTACAGAGAGATAAGTGTAAAAGTCTCCCATAATACGCATGACTTTTGTATTTCTCTGTAGTACCATCAGTTTTTGCTTTATAGGATTCAGAGTATGTTACTACATGCATACAAATGTATGATTATTAAATATTCCCAAAGAAGAGACTTTTTACTCTTTTATTGCCAACTTTTCTATATCCATGAGTTTAGATAGGCATCTTTTTTTTTTTTTTTTTAGACGGAGTCTCGCTCTGTCACCAGGCTGGAGTGCAGTGGTGCTATCTCAGCTCACTGCAAACTCCGCCTCCCAGTTTCGAGCAATTATCCTGCCTCAGCCTCCTGAGTAGCTGGGATTACAGGCACGTGCCACCAAGCCTGGCTAATTTTTGTATTTTTAGTAGAGATGGTGTTTCACCATGTTGGTCAGGCTGGTCTTGAACTCCTGACCACGTGATCTGCCCGCCTCGGCCTCCCAAAGTGTTGGGATTACAGGCATGAGCCGCCGCACCTGGCCAGATGGGCATCTTACAAATAGCTTATAGAGTTGTATTTTTTTATTCCATCTGACAATCTTTGTCTTTTAATTTGAGCATTTCTATGTAATGTAATTCTGATACATGTGAATTTAAATATATCTTTTTTATTAATGATCATTTGTTCTATTTGTTCCTTTCTCCTTTTTCTCTCCTTTCTTGCTTTCTTTGGAATATATTTGAGTATTTCTTTTACTTATCCAATTTGTCTGGATAAATTGAGCATTTTTTTATCATTCCATTTGTTTCTTACTCATCATGAATCTGGAAGTTATTTGCCATTTTAACATTTTTAAGTGGTTACCCCAGAAATTAGAGCACATACATCCTTGACTCATTAAAATCCAATATTGACTGAGATTTTTGTCCTCTTCCTGATGAATGCAAAGACTTTAGAATGCTTTGACTTCACTCATCACGCCCTAACTGGAATGTTACTTTTGTATCTTTTAAGTTTGTAACTTTGGGCCTAACTACATCTATATTTATAAATCTATAGGTTGATGTAAAAGTAATCATGGTTTTTGCCATATCTGTATTGTATCTCTATCTGTGTTATTTTATATGCTCAGTATTATATTAGATTTACACATATCACAATTGCTTTTTTTTTGGTTGAAGTGCCCCCACAGCCTCAGAGGCAGAGCTGGGACTGGCACCCAGAGGACTGTGACTCCCAGGCCAGTCACATCACTTAAAAATGTTAGTATTAGACACATGAAAGAGTCATCAACTGGCATGGATGGTTGACTCTCCTAATGAAATGCAGTCAAACCAGTTATTTTGATGAATTGATTCTCAATTACTAGCAAGCAAGAAGCAAAACTGTTTATCAATCAGTGACAGACATGAAAATGTTAATTAGGAAAACTCACCTGAGTAACACATAACAAATACACTATAATTTTACCAGGTAATATTGACTTGAACGTAATGAAACATTGGCCACCAAATGCTGACTTATGCATCCTTGCTACTTTTTATATCAATAGCAATATCATCTGTGAACTGAAATAAATAGCTACCACAAGCAAGTAGAAATCCAGAGCTCATTTTCCATCCCCTAGAGAGAAGAAGAGAGCAACAGTAGCACAGGATTTAAAGTGGAAATGGAATTGTGAGAGTAGAAAGTACAGATTTAGAAAGCAAGAAGGGTTTGCAGAGAGCCAAGGTCTTCTAACATTGCTCATTCAGGACACATTGAGGAGTCCCCTGACGTGAACCATGCCCTTATCATGCCTCACACATAGTTCATGTTTTTGGTGTGATCAGAATTTAAAAAGAAGGAAAGGGAGAAGATTAAGGGATAAAACTAATCACTCATTCCTTTCAAATACTCAATAATTTGCTTTTATTTTTCACTGTCTCTTAATATTGCTCTGGGATATAATTGAGATTCCTGACCTAGGATGTCTATCTTAGGATTTTCAATTATTTTTTTCCCTTTCTGAACTGCTGCTTTATTTAATTCCTCCTTTCTAAAGAGTTTTCATTAGCAGATTGCTTTTCTAGAAGCAATCTAGAACCAATTTCCCCATGATGGTCAGAATCAATCACTCAGTCACTCCTATCACTGCCCATCCTATCACTTTGGCTTATGAGGAAATGGGCTTATGGTGGTGGGGATGGAGGTGGGCAAATCACCTGAGGTCAGGAGTTCGAGACCAGCCTGGCTAACATGGTGAACCCCCCATTTCTACCTAAAATACAAAAAATTAGCTGGGCATGGTGGTGCGCACTTGTAATCCAAGCTACTCAGGAGGCTGAGGCAGGAGAACCGCTTGAACCTGGGAGGCAGAGGTTGCAGTGAGCTGAGATCACGCCATTGCACTCCAGCTTGGGCAACAAGGGTGAAACTCTGTCTAAAAAAAAAAAAAGAAAGAAAGAAAAAGGAAGGAAGGAAGGAGAAAAGGAAAAGGAAAGGAAAGGAAAAGAATAGAAGCTGAGACTGCCACCTGACCACTTAGGGCGCTTCATGACATTGAACCAGCACGTATATAAGGTGGTTACTTTATCTCATTGGGGTGATTGATCCTGATCATTAAGGGAGATTGTGGTTACTAGTACACAATTAGGGTAAGGAAAAGTGTGCCTAGAATGCAAGAGAAAAGTAAACATCACCTTTTTTTTAAGGGGCTGTGGGAACTCTGTATCCTGTTCTGGGAAAAGAAATAATGTGTTTTTGGTTGTAGGTGGTATAGATGTATCATGTTAGGTGAAAATATAAAGTTGTTATTGTTTTTATTTGGAGATTAATATGGTTTACAAGCTATGCATAGGTTCTTATTTGAAGTGGGAAGGACTGTGGTGACTTTGTAATGTGTCAACTTCCTTGGACTAAATTCTAGATTCTTGTAATTTCCAAGAATTCCTTTTCCTGCATGTTTTTGGTGGTTAGAGTGGGCCACCAGAGAGGTTCTGATGTAACATTTTGAGGGAGGAAGTGAAGCAGTGACCATTCTGTGGCCTTCACACATTGTCACTGACTTACCTCCATGGTGTGAGGCAGTGACTGAGCCTGCAACTCCTCCACTTCCCATGGCTTCCCCCTTAGCTCCTCCAACTCCCGGACCTGAGGTATGTGTTAAGCTTCATGACAATGGGCCCCAGCCCATGCAGAACACCCATACCACTAGGGTGAGAGGCAACAAAAACTCACCTGGGGTTCAATCTGTCCTCATGGCTCATGTTATGCTTTGGATCCCAGTTTGTTGTCCTATCCACCTTACACTCATCTTCCCTTTCCCAAAGCTTGCCCTGCTTTACAGCGATGGCACCACAATTATTGCATGAAGTCAATTCTCCATAAATCCCTATAAATGTAAATATGTATAAGCATAAATGTGTGTGTCTCATATAGATAGCTACAGATATCCTAGAGGTTCTTCTTTTACTATTGAACTCTGATACATTAATCAAAGTATTTTCTGACCACAATGGAATTAATCTAAAACTCAGTAACAGAATAATAACAGGAAAATGTACGAACACTAGGAAGTTAAGCAACACACTTACAAGTCATGGGTCAAAGAGGCAGTTTCAAGGGACATTAGAAATGGTAAATGTCAAACATTAAATATACCAAGTTTCAATGTTGCCCTATAGCACCTGGAGTGCATTAATACATTCTTTGTTGATTAAAGAGTATCTTCGTTTGGGTTTTCTAGAAGCAAAGCCTAAGACAGGAATTCATGTGTAAGAATTTATTTGGCCTCAGAAGGATCTTTGGAACAAAAATTACATCACACAATTAACCTTCCTTAACAAGGAGCCGAGCCTTTATTGTATTAGGCAGTCGTTGCTGCAAATGAAGGATGAGGCTATTTCCAGACATCTCTGGGAAGCCAGCCCCATTGGGCAGAAGGCCATTCTCCAGAGAAAGGGGCAGCTGTGGGCCATCAGCAGCTTACAGCAAATGGGGACTGAGTGCACCACCTGACAGAAGGGATCTGGGTGGGGCACCAACAGCATCCGTGAAAAAGGGTTTATTCTTTTAAGCACAGAAGAGACTTTAAACATCATTTATTTGTTTTGACATCTCTAACATATTTTCTTATTTTTTGAGACACTAAGGTGTCTGAGCATGTGGAAAACATTTTAAAAACATCCTTTTTTAAAAATCAATGGTGTCCTAGCAGTAGGTCCAGTGTGCCTGGAACAACAAGAAACCCCTCTTTCCATTAGAGACAAATCTACTCATAGGCAGGAAACAGTAAGATGCACTCCACAGTGTCAACTTTCATCTGCATGAGTGAGGCAAGTCCAGAGAATCACAGGCGCAGGGCAGGGCTCAAGGTCCCTGTTCTCAGACCACAAGCACATTAGCTGACAGGTCAGAGGTCACAGCAAGATCTGTTCAACCAGGCAGGAGACCAGAGTTCTCTCCTAGCTCTGCCACTCAACTACTGTGTGACCTCAGTGAGTCACTGCTTTTTGGAATCCATTTCTTCTTCTGTAAAATAAGAATAATAACACATGTGCAAGCTACTGCATAGGTGATTGTGAGAATGAAATAATACATTTGAGAGTGCTTAGAAACCAGGGCTGTACTAATGGAAGCTCTTAGTACCAACTTTGAAAACTCAACACATCTGACCAGGATACTGAACAACTCCTGGTTTCTGCCCCGAAGATTAAGGTAGCAGAAACTACCAAGGGAAAACAGAGGATACTGTCTGACATCCTTGGGTGGGGGTGTTTTAAACTTGGTGTCTGAAAGTTGGGGAAGGGTGCATCTGGGAAAGAGGCAGCCCAGCTTGGTGTTAAGAGAGAACAGGAGGAGCAATTGCTGGCTTCTGCCCTGGTTCCATCCCTGCCATTGCCTTGGGATACAGTGTCTTCAGAACTCAGGTCCAGGTGCTCTCAGGAGTAATATTGTAGTGTAACGTCTGTGGGAGGAATGTGTGTAAGGACTAACTGACCTCAGGTTGTTGCTTTCCCACCCCTCCTGCTCCAAGCCTTCTGGCCAAGAATGGCGATCTAAACTGGGTCTCTCTGTCCTAAGCCTCTTCTCCTAGGTGTAAAGCCTGGAATAGTGGCTGTGTGAGGTGGGGTGTGCTTGACTAGATTTCTGAAGCCCAGTGTTTTCCACCTGCTGCACCCTGGTGCCTGAGCTTGGGGATTCTGGCCTTCCTCCATATGCATTGCCCCACCCAGTAACCAATAACCCACAGGGTGAGCACAGTCACAGGCTAAAAAAGCAAGACATTTGAGAAGCACAAGCATTTCAAAAATGGAAACAAACACAAAAGATTACAAGTAGCAAAATTGGCCAAATTATTAGAAAAAAATAAATCAAGAGTTTTAAATTAGCTTAATAAACATATTAACAGAACTAAGGGAAGATATGACTTGAAGCAAGGACAAGAAGACATTAAAAAACCAGGAATATTTTCATTAAAAAATACAAGAGCAATAGTTCTGAAATTTTTTTTTTTTTTGAGATGTAGTTTCGTTCTTGTTTCCCAGTCTGGAGTACAATGGTGCGATCTCAGCTCACTGCAACCACTGCCTCCTGGGTTCAAGCGATTCTTGTACCTCAGCCTCCCGAATAGCTGGGATTACAGGCATGCTCCACCACGCCCAGCTAAGTTTTGTGTTTTTAGTAGAGACGGGGTTTCACTATGGTGGTCAGGCTGGTCTCGAACTCCTGACCTCAGGTGATCCACCCGCCTTGGCCTCCCAAAGTGCTGGGATTACAGGAGTGAGCCACCTCACCTGGCAATAGTTCTGAAAATTAAGCATGGATCAGAAGAATCCATAGAAGACTTGTTAAAATAAATAGGTGGGCCTTGCCTTTAGAGTTTCTGATTCAGTAGGTGTCACATGAGAACCTGGGATTGTGCATTTCTTTCTTTCTTTTTTTTTTTTTTTTTTGAGACAGAGTCTCATTCTGTCACCCAGGCTGGAGTACAATGGCGTGATCTCAGCTCACTGCAACCTCCACCTCCCGGGTTCAAGCGATTCTTCTCCCTCAACCTCCCGAGTAGCTGGGGTTACAGGTGCATACCACCACCTCACCCACCTAATTTTTTTATATTTTTAGTAGAGACAGGGTTTTGCCGTGTTGGCCAGGCTGGTCTCGAACTCTTGACCTCAAGTGATCCACCCGCCTCGGCCTCCCAAAGCGCTAGAATTACAGGCATTAGCCACTACACCCGGTTTAGGATTTTGCATTTCTAACAAGTTCCCAGGTGATAGTGAGGCTGCTGGTCTACTGAACCCAATTTAAGGTTAAATTAAAGAAGAATGGGACACATAGTTGGGATAATTGAAAGAATATATGCAACTGAGGGGGAAAAGTCAGCAAATTAGAAGACTGAGAAACCCTCCCATAGCAAAGAAGAAAATACAAAAATAAAACAATTGTTCTTAAATTTATTATTATTATTTTTTTTGAGACAGAACCTTCCTCTGTCGCCCAGGCTGGAGTACAAGTGATCTCGGCTCACTGCAACATCCATCTCCCGAGTTCAAGTGATTCTTGTGCCTCAGCCTCCCAAGTAGTTGGGATTATAGGCATATGCCACTGCACCCAGCTAATTTTTGTATTTTTAGTAGAGACGGGGTTTCACCATGTTCTTCAGGCTGGTCTCAAACTCCTAACCTCAAGTGATCCACCAGCCTCACCCTCCCAAAGTGCTAGGATTACAGGCGTGAGCCACCTGACCCTGTTCTTTTTTTTTTTTTTTTTTTTTTTTGAGACAGAGTCTCGCTCTGTCACCTAGGCTGGAGTGCAGAGTCACGATCTCTGCTCACTGCAACCTCCATCTCCCAGATTCAAGTGATTCTCCTGTCTCAGCCTCCCGAGTAGCTGGGATTACAGGCACCTGCCACCACATCCAGCTAACTTTTGTATTTTTAGTAGGGATGGGGTTTCACCATGTCGGCCAGGCTGGTCTCGAACTCCTGACCTCATGTGATCCACCCACCTCAGCCTCTCAAAGTGCTGGGATGGCAGGTGTGAGCCACGGGGCCTGGCTGGGTCCTGTTCTTAAATCTTTTTTTTTCTTTTTGAGATGGAGCCTCGCTCTGTCGCCCAGGCTGGAGTTCAGTGGCGTGATCTCAGCTCACTGCAAGCTCTGCCTCCCAAGTTCACGCCATTCTCCTGCCTCAGCCTCCCGGGTAGCTGGGAGTACAGGCACCTGCCACCATGCCCAGCTAATTTTTTGTGTGTTTTTAGTAGAGACAGGGTTTCACCGTGTTAGTCAGGATGGTCTCGATCTCCTGACCTCGTGATCTGCCCACCTCGGCCTCCCAAAGTGCTGGAATTACAGGCATGAGCCACCACGCCCAGCCTTAAATCTTAACTTATATATAAGAATCACCTGGAGAGATTGATAACCAGTTTCTTGACCCTCAGTCCCAGAGATTCTAATTCATTAGGTGTGGGAAGGGACATGAGTTTTCATTTCTAATAAGCTCACAAGTGGTACCAGTGCTGCTAATCTGAAGACCATGCTTTGAGAACAACTAATATATAAACAAGGATAAATGATAAGACAAAGATGTATGCCAGATAATGGAAGTCCTAAAAAGAAATTAAAATAATATTTAAGTCCAGGCATGGTGGCTCACACCTGTAATCCCAGCTCTTTGAGGGGCCGAGGTGGGTGAATCACCTGAGGTCAGGAGTTTGAGACCAGCCTGGCCAATAAGGTGAAACTTCATCTCTACTAAAATACAAAAATTAGCCAGGTGTGGTGTCACAAGCCTGTAATCCCCATTACTTGGGAGGCTGAGGCAGGACAATTGTTTGAACCCCGGAAGCAGAGGTTGCAGTGAGCTGAGATCACACCACTGCACTCCAGTCTGGGCAACAGAGCGAGACTCTGTCTGAAAAAAAAAATACAGAAAATAATAATAATGATGATAAAAATGTTTAAAAAAATAAAGGAGATAAATTTTCAAAAATAAAGGGGGGAAAACAATAAAAGACCTCAGAATGAAAGGCTTCATAGAGGACTAAACATAGGGAACAAGATAAAAATCCACTCCTAGAATAAGAAGAGAAAATTCTAAAATACACTGTACAGAAAAATAGATCACCAACCAAAATTAAAATTCGAGTAACACCAAGTTTTTTCAACAGCAATATGATAAGCAAGACACATGAGATAATATTTTCAAATTTTGAAAGAAATGCAGTTACAATTTTATACCAAGCCAAACTAACATTCAAATATGAAGGCATCATAAACATTTTCTCAGGCATACACAAACTTTAGCTGGTTTGTGCATACAAAAATCCACTTTGAAGACAGTATTAGATGAAATGTTTAAATAACAGGAAAGAGATGTATAAGATGCTCCAAGAGACATGAAGTGAAGAGGATTAAATTCCTTGGAAAAGTTTGACCTTGTCATAAAAACTAGCTAAGGTAAAAGCAAAACTAGAACTATTTATAACAATAAAGTAAGTAAAATTATATATTTCCCTTTAGGTTTCAAGAGCTGCCTACTCTGTGCTCATCTTATTATCTGAGCAACTCTCTTCCAAATCCTGTCAGGTAGTAGGGACAAATGGCACCTCCTCCCTCCAGAAGAAAATATTCACATGGCTTTTGACAAAAATATACTTTTCAAGATAGGTGCTTGCTTGCTTAATATTTAATCAACCTCTAAATTCATGTTTCCCTATAGCCCTATTTCTCCTAGGAAAGTTACCTAAATCTTTAACCAATAACTTCAACCTGGACAGTCCTACCTCAGGAGTTTAGAAGTGGCCCACACTTATTCAGACAAGCTCTAGCAAAAATCTAACCAAACAATTTCTTTTTTTTTTTTTTTTTTGAGACGGAGTCTCGCTCTGTCGCCCAGGTTGGAGTGCAGTGGCGCGATCTCGGCTCACTGCAAGCTCTGCCTTCTGGGTTCACGCCATTCTCCTGCCTCAGCCTCCAGCTGGGACTACAGGCGCCCGCCACCACGCCCGGCTAATTTTTTTTTGTATTTTTAGTAGAGACGGGGTTTCACTGTGTTAGCCAGGATGGTCTTGATCTCCTGACCTTGTGATCCGCCCGCCTCAGGCTCCCAAAGTGCTGGGATTACAGGCATGAGCCACCGTGCCCGGCCCCAAACAATTTCTTGAAGGGGAATAACTTCTTCAGTTGCAGATAACCTCCTTATCTGCTCCCTCTTCACAGGACTCACACAGCAACGTGCAGTACAAACCTTAACTTTCTAACAGAAGGAAAATGACTTTTGTCTAACTTAAAGGTTATAAAGGTAAAGAGGTATTTTTGGTAAGGAATGTTATAGAGAAAAGAGATTTTGTATATAAACAAAAGACCTTGTATGATAAATTATTGTCCTAAAGTAAAATAGTTGTTAAAAAAAGAGGGATGTTTACTACAAGTCAGAAAGTCCAGGCATGTCATAGATGGTCTGTGTAAGTCTGAAAAATTTATGAAATAAATGTTGTATAGTTTAAAGGTTATTAGGCCTACTAAATGCTTCATAAACTGCTACTATGACTCTTAACTGTACAATTCGCCTTCTTTAAAGCTAGGTAAGGCCAGAGGACACACAGAGTTAGCCATGTCCCCTAGCTATGCTGAGAAGACTCAAACATTATCTGCACTTCTGTCTGGTGTCCTAGGCTCCACACCTAGTACATAATTAGAATTACTTACTTACCAAAAGTAAAAGTTGGTAAGGGTTAGCAGTGTAACATGTACTCGAGACTACTGGAAAAACAGTTTTACATGCAAGGTGTGTAAGGAAAGTAGAATGTGTTTTGGTAAAAGATTATAGGAAGGCATGGCTGGGTGCAGTGGCTCACACCTGTAATCCCAGCACTTTGGGAGGCCAAGGTGGGTGGATCACGATGTCAGGAATTCAAGACCAGCCTGAACAACATGGTGAAACCCCATCTCTACTAAAAATACAAAAAAAAAAAAACTATCCAGGCATGGTGGCGCACACCTGTAGTCCCATAGTCCCAGCTATTTGGGAGGCTGAGGCAGGAGAATTGATTGAACCCAGGAGGTGGAGGCTGCAGTGAGCTGAGATCATGCTACTGCACTCCTGCCTGGGCGACAGAACAAGTCTTGAGTGAAAAAAAAGAAAGTATACTTTACTCAAGTGCTGAAAACTATAAATAGCTTTTTAAAAAAGTGTTATTAACTCTGGAAAACAAAACAAAAAGAATCAGTAATGTTTTAAACAAAAAAATTATTTCAGTCCTCCATCAGTTCAGTCCTATGTAATTAATTGTTATTCTGTCTGATATTAAGTTAGCAGTTTTATGAGTCCAGTTTTTCCCCAATGGTGTTATTGAAATTCCTACCCAGTTCAATTGTATGATCTCAAGGTCATAAGCAAAGGTCTGTATTTCAGATTATCTAGCAGAGTCTTTTTATCCTTTCCCTTAACCTCCTTGAAGACACAAGGCTTTAATATTTCCAAAGAGCTTTTAGAAAAAGATCAGAATAAAGCAATTTACCACATATACCAAGACATATCAGATTTTTAAGATTCTCATATAATTTTGAAACACATATTAATAACACATCCATACAAATGTAACTCAGAGTTAAATATCATTTCTTATTTGACAATGCTTCCTATGTGATTTTAACATAACAAATAAGCCTAATATGTCTGTCTTAGATATCCAGGGGCCCTTTTTGAATGTCCAAAACCAGTTCAAGGTAAAAAAAAAAAAAAGGCTTAATTTAGAACATGAAACTTTGATTTGGGAAGTTTGTTGAATACCTAAGGTTTATTTTGTTATCAAAATATGAAAGATTGAAGACACTTAATCATAGGTCATGAGGATCATAGGTCACTATAAAATAATAGTCACTAATTTAGCCAAAATGATAATTTAAAGATTTCAAAAAGCAAAAATTTTACTCTTTGATAGAGAGGAGACACTATTTTTCAAACAATCAAAACACCTGATACAGACAGCATGAGACTAACAAAGTCTGTCTCTTCGTCTCTTTCTTTTTACGAAGTTTACTCAAAAGGCAAACAAAAATCTTTTACTATCTCTTATTAATAGCAAATGAAAATCTTGTTTAAAAGAGAAAACCAAACTCTACCCTTCTATCAATCAGTGTATTATTAATATTAAACATAATTTTAATAAAACCTTATAAGCAGATCTGTCTAATCTCAATCATGTTTAACCACAAAGATAAGATTTTCATAAATCTTTTATAACCTCTCACAATTTTTCCCATTCTATTTCTTTCCCCAACTTTCTATATTCATTCAGTTTTATCTATTATTCTTACTTTATTCCTCGAATTTAAAACACCTTGTAAACAACCTTTAAACTAGACAAAATTACTTTTTATTTAACAAAACTACATTTTCATGATTTTCTCATAACCTTCCTTTCCAAAACACATCCTACTTTCCTTGATGTCAAGGTCATAAGCAAAGGTCTGTATTTCAGATTACCTAGCAGAGTCTTTTTATCCTTTCCCTTAACCTCCTTGAAGACACAAGACTTTAATATTTGCATATAGAATTATTTTTAATTAGAATTATATATTATAATATTTGTATATAGAATTATTTTTCTTATATCTAGTAGTTTTAATTATACATATTACCTACAATTTTAAACCTGAGTAACTTTAATTCACAGTGACAACCTATGAAGTAAGCAGTTTTTAATTATCAGTCATGTACCAATAATTTATGAATATAGTCCAGGTGTGGTGGTTCACACCTGTAATCCCCACACTTTGAGAGGCCAAGGTGGGCAGTTCATTTGAGCATAGGAGTTTAAGACCAGCCTGGGCAACAAGACAAAAACCTGTCTTCAATTTTAAAAAAATAAAGAAAAAAGACTCCAAAAAGGGGGTGTATAGTGCCTTTTTTGTGTTCTTCAAGGGGTCTCAAGGCTGCTAGAAATTTCTTCTAGGTTTCTTCATGTGCTATCAAAGACGGCAAAAGGAAGGAGGAGAAGAAGTGGAAGGAAATGGAAGAATAAGCCTTAGAGGAAACAATCTGTGGAGATTTTAAGCTTTGTAAAAGGCCAATAAAGCTTTACATTTTTCTAGGCAAAAATCATGCTAAAAAGAAAGAGAGAAAACAGACACCAAACATATTAAAAGAGCTTTCAGTCAATTGAAAAACATTCCCAGAAACAGGATCCAAACGAGAATGCAGAAAGATTAAAAAAAAAAAGCCTGAATATCAGCTTTTAGTTAAGCTGACTTTTGACTATAAAGCTCTTAAGAAATATATACATATTTTTTCAAATCTCTTGTCAGATTTCAGCCAGGAAAAACAGCCATCCTAGCTTGAGCTTTGTTTTGTTAAAACAAAAGTACCTTCCCAAGTCACTCACCGAAACCAGTAAGCCTTCACCAAGTTTATGGCTTAAATAAGGATGCATGAGACCTCCCAAGTGGTTCAAAGTAATCCTCCCAAGACCCAAAACCACCCCCAAAGACAACAACAACAAAAAAAGCTTTGCTAGTTGCAAATGAAGTATAACTTACAATTCTTTCAGCCACATTCTGTAGGGTCTCAGCTTCTCAGCTAACCATCTACACGCAAAGACTTAAAAGCCCAGTGTGCCCATAGATAGAAGAAGACAGGAAATCGAAAGCTCTTCATGGAAGGGAAAAGGGTCAGTAACAAATGGTTATTCCAAAAAGTCAAGAGTCACACAAATACTTTCCAATGGTGTACTTACTCCAATAGCAGCTCAATCCAATAAGCTACTTGATAGAAAGCCCAGGAGGTAATTTTCCAGGTTTAGAGTAAGTTTTTACCATATAAGCAAAGGGCGTTATATGGAGAGGACATAGAAGAGTCAGTCCCCATAATCCCCAAAAATTCATTCCAGGAATAGGCTAAGATAGCAAAAAACTCTTGTTGCCACAGATGGTTAAGGGTGGCGTTTGTGCTTATGTTGTCCTGGTATCCCACAGATTTGGGAGGTGGGGGCAGTCACTAGTCACAAACCCCTGGGTCTGTGATGCCAGGTAGCCCCTCCTGGTATTGGACTTTTCCAGGACTAACCAGCCAAAGACTGTTAAGATGAAAAAAGTCTCTATGGATGGGACCCCTTAAAACAAACTCCCCTGAGAGCTTGACATGTTTGGAACAGAGTGTGCTGCTTAAAATCTTTTGTCTCGGGTTCCCAGCCATTTTCTGACTGGCTACCAGACATGAGCTGAAAATCACATCCCCTGGATGGCAGAGACCAAGAGAAAGTGCTCCCACTCAGTCACAAGTTAAGCTGTCAAGGATGTCAAACAAGATGAGAGGGGAACCTCATCCAGTTTTTACTTCAGGCACCTACAGCAAAGTTTGTCTAAATAGACATTTGTCTCATCAGAACCAAAAAACTGACCAATTGGCAGGACCAGTTCAAACAACGGGCTTTCAGAAGTTTTGGGCCCATGTTCTACCCTGTGGTACCCCTCTTTATGATAGAAAAACACAGAAAAACAAAGACAAAGGGAAAGTCTACTTCTGGGAGGAAAATGATTAGACAATTGTGAATACTCATACCAAAAGTACACCAGAGTTTATACCCCCAAGACTAGTCACATAAGTCCTTTTCTCTCATGAATCAAGATTTTGGAGAGGAAAAGGGGACAAATGGTGATTTTACCATCTGCTTGACCAGATTCCACAGAAAGAGAGGCCAGGAGCCTGGCTGGTAAGAACTTCTTAACCTTCTGCTGGCTTGTCAGGTCCTGAGTTCCCTTGACTATGGTTTCCAGAAGAACAGAGTGGTTTTGGTGTTCTGCTTATAGTTATTGTCAAGGTACTAGCATTTGATTTAGGTGTTGCTTTCTCAGGTATTTATTGCATTAGTTAAAATATCTAATTAAATAATGAATTAAAAAAAGACCATGCATGAACCAATGATGAGGATATAATATGACCAACAATTTTGATGAATTCAATTCTGTGCACATATACAAATAAATTTTTTTAATGGAAGAAAATTGGAAGAAAAGATGGAAAGCTAGATGAAAGGAAGAAATCACTAACATTGGGGAACTTGAAACACAAATCGTTTAACACTTAGACCAGTACTTTATGCATAGTAGGTTGGTTGGGTTTCTATTTCTTCACCTCTCTTAGTTCTTTGCCCCTTCATGCCATTTCAAAATGTTGAGTATCAACCTTCATTAAAAATCTGTAGAACACATGAACTACCCAATATTCCGACCCATTTTTAAGACTACCCAACCTCCAAACTAAGAATGTGGCAGAAAGAGTTTGCTCTTGTTTTATATCCAGGAGCAAGAGAAAAATTTTCATCATAGCAGTTAAAAGAAGTGTTCTCAACTTTTGGTGCTAAATGAATTACCAGGGGACTTTTTTCATATGCAGATTTCTGAGGCCCACCCTTAGAAATTCATTTTCAAGTATCTGGATTTTGAACAATCATTCCAGATAATTCTGACAGCGGCAATTTGAGGACATATTTTGAGAAATACTGGGCTAAAGACTTGAAGCAAGAGAGGTGTTTGAAACTAGAAAGCTCCCATTGGGGTAGTGACTCAGTAATGGAACAATTAAGAGTTCCAACTATCACCCAATTTTATTGTGGGCAGAGTAAACCTTATAAGTTATGAGTTCATTAGGAAAATGATTCTCTTTTTATCAGTTTAGTCTGTTTCTTTTAAGGATTTATATTAGTCCTTTGGAGATAGGAATGAGTGTGTGTGCATTATATGTATGTGTGTATATTTCTTTTCCAACACGTACCTCCTGGACACTTAGAAAAATAAACAAGTATTTCTGCAAACTCACTCAGGCAGGGAGTCTGTGAAAAGGATTGAACTTGGGCAGACCAACATCCACCCAGCGTGGGCCTTCTGGAATGATATGTCAAAGCTCACTGTACACTGTAGTGCAACCAAGTCAGCTACTCATAGTTAAATCTGTTTTTTTTTTTTCTTCAAATAGAATGTTGCAAAGTGACCCTCAAGGTGGAGAGGAAAAACTGACATTTGGATTTCAGATATTATTAAACCACTGCTTAATTTGTTTTTTCTAAATTAACTAAACCCAGTTATTTCAGGTTTTCTACCCCCAACCCCCAATCTCTCATCTTTGGCTAAAGGCTTTCTTCATAGAAACCATTTTCCCAAGCACTGATCTTTTTTAAGTTCAGATTTATTAAAGTATAAAATTATGCACAGTAAATCTGCCCTTCTTAGGTGTACAGATAGATAACAGTATATTTCATATTTGACTATATATATATGAAAAGTCAGGATGCAACCAAACCTCCTTCTTTCCGGTCTACAGTCAATGTGTGATTCTAGGAAATACAGTTATGAGAAGAATTATAGGTTAAATTAAACAGCTCCAAGGGAGAGGCAAGGAGAATATTTGAGTCTTCCATTTACCCGAATGGTGCTTGTAGAGTTTATATACTGTGTTAGTCAGCTCAGGCTGCCGCAACAAAATACCACAGGCTGGGAGACTTCACCAGCCAAAGTTTATTTTCTCACAGTTCTGGAGGCTGGAAGTCCAAGATTGGGGTGCCAAAATGGTCAAGTTCTGCTGAGGGCTCTCTTCCTGACTGCCTTCTCACCCTGTCTTCACATGGCAGAGAGATACAGCAAGCTCTCTGGTGTCTCTTCTTCTAAGAGCGCTGATCTCATCACGAGGGCCCTACCTTCATGATTTCATTTAGACCCAATTATCTTTGAAAGCCCTTGTCCCCAAATACCATTACATTAGGGGTTAGGGCACAACATATAAATTTTGGGAGACACAATTCAGTCCATAGCATACTCATACCCATAGCATTCTCATAGAGCGTATTTCAGGATCAGAGCTCCAGACTTAGACATGCGTAGGAATAAAGAATCTCAACTTCTACAGAAGCACTGAGAGATTCTCCTGTTGTCAAGTCTTAATGGGGAAATGTGAGGGTCAACTGTTTCTGTGGGCAACACAAGAGCTGGGTGTTTTCTTATGCCCTGTTCAGGTCAAAGGATGTCAGGATGAGACTCTAGATTACTACTCCTCAGTGTCATCGCTTGTGACTCAAGAGTTGAAGTTCTGGCTTTCAGGGAAATCAGTGTCTTCCCCAGCTCTTTTTTTTTTTTTTTTTTTCTGAGATGGAGTCTTACTCTGTCTTACTCTGTCTCCCAAGCTGGAATGCAGTGGCGTGATCTTGGCTCACTGCAACCTCCGCCTCCTGGTTTCAGGTGATTCTCCAGCCTCAGCCTCTTGAGTAGCTGGACTTACAGAAGCCCACCACCATACCCGGCTAATTTTTTTTTTTTTTTTGAGATGGAGTCTCACTCTGTCACCCAGGCTGGAGTGCAGTGGCCCAATCTTGGCTCACTGCAGCCTCTGCCTCCTGGGTTCTGGCAATTCTCCTGCCTCAGCCTCCCAGGTAGCTGGGATTATAGGCAGGTACTGCCACACCCAGCTAATTTTTGTATTTTTAGTAGAGATGGGGTTTTACCATGTTGGCCAGGCTGGTCTTGAACTCCTGACCTCAGGTGATCTGCCCACCTCAGCCTCCCAAAGTGCTGGAATTACAGGTGTGAGCCACCTGTGCCTGGCCTCTTCCCAGCTCTTGAAGTCCATAATCAGATGCCTGACAACTTGAGTTTAATTTAATCCTCTTTATCCTAACAAATGAGGCCCTGATTAGTCTGATTTTAAAAGAGAGTCAAGATAATGAATTTTCTCTGATACTTAAAGTTTTAAAAATAAAACTCAGAAAAGTCAAGTTGACTCTGATGGATTAGAATGAAGCCCAAAGATTCTGCAGTTGGTTATTTACATAAGGTTTGGTTTTACATGAAAATGTGAAAAGTTATTGTTGCCAAGAACTGCTTTGGAAATCGTCAAACAAAAGAATTAATTTGTGTATTCAATAGGAAAATCCGTGAAGAATACAAAATTCTAACTGAACTCTCAAACTGGGTCACTTTGTCTCCACCAAAAAGTAATAATTATACAAATAAGACATCTATAGCTTTGAAAATGAAACTGAAGGGTTTCTGCAAAATCCTCTAACATGATGAGATCCAACTATAAAGACAATCTGAATAAATAAACTTTGCACCAAAAAATGCATAAAATCCTTTCATTGCAATTGTTTCCATGTGACTTTTTGAAAGCCTTGCAAGTAAAGTCCAAGACTGATATAAAACAGTCTCTTTTTTTTAATGTCATGTTTGCATTAGATAGTCCCGCATTAGTGTAGTATCTGATCCGGCTTGATTCTGGGTGTTATAATTTGGGAGTGCAGATGGACATGGCCCCTAAAGAGGAAGTTGCTGCCAGTTGAAGGAAAGAGAAGCAGAGTATCCTCTAAGTTACCAGATTATTAGGACTGGTAGCGAGATTTCAAAATAAAAGGTAGAAAAATGTTCTTATCTCCATCCCCATAATTAAGTAAAGGAAGTCTCAACTTTCCCTAATGAGTAGCCATGTAGTTTGAAGTAATGCCTTCCTTTGGGTTTTTCCAAAAGCAGACCCTAAGACAAAGACGTGGAAGCAGATAGCTTGCACTGGAGATAATCCCAGGAAGCAGAAATGAGGAAGTGGGGAACTGACTGGGATGGGAGAAAAGCAGTCACCCATCCCACCCTGGGTGAATCACCACCCTGGGTGAACAGGGCTGTCTAACAAGTTTTGAGGGACACATTTTAGCATTGTCCCACTGCAGGAGGGGAAATGTGGAGGAGCATTTTTCCACTCACTTACTCCCCCATTGGTTGAGGGTTGCCCCAGTGATGTTAATGCCCGCACTGTTCTGGGTTGCATCTGCTTGCATTGAAGCAAATTCCCAAAGCCCACAGATGCCATCCTGGTGAACTCAGTAGTCCAAGAGACTGGACATCAACAGTGTTTGATGAAGTGAGGCCCACTGAAAGTTTTCTGAGGGCCCTGTCTAAACATACAAACAGAATTTTGAAAAGAATGAAATACATACATATATTTATATACATGTATATGTGTATGTATATGTGTATGTATATGTATATGTATATGTATATGTATATGTATATGTATATGTATATGTATATGTATACGTATAGAGAGAGGGTCTCGCTCTGTCACCCAGACTGGAGTGCAATGGCACGATCTCAGCTCACTGCAACGTCCACCACCCAAGTTCAAGTGATTCTCCTGCCTCAGGCTCCCAAGTAGCTGGGATTACAAGTGTGTTCCACCACACCCAGATAATTTTTGTATTTTTAGTAGAGACGGGGTTTCACCATGTTGGCCAGGCTGGTCTCAAACCCCTGACCTCAAGTGAACCACCTACCTCAGTCTCCCAATGTGCTGGGATTATAGGCGTGAGCCACTGTGCCCAGCCAAAAGCTATATTTTTGAGGAAACTGAGCCCTCATCTTTGAGTGAGACTGATGCTGTTGGCACAGCCACCCTGCTTAGATCAAGTCCTGAGACCCAACCAAATCCCTTCAACTTTTCCAGGACACCAGCCTTTGCAGAGTCCTCAACAGCCAATTTATGCTCCAACAAGCATCACTAATGCTATCACTAACAGGAGGCATCAGGCTTCTGCCCTGGGACCAGACAACGAAAATGGAAGGGTATGTGCACCTGTGTCACAAGTGCCATCTGCAGTCTGATCCTTGGCCCTGCAAAGGAGCATCTACTGTAAAATGAAGCTTAAGCTTCAGGGGCCCTCTTGCACAGACCCTTTCCAAGGCCTTAAATGGTTCACTGCCAATAGGTTCACTTGGTCATTTGTTTATATAACATTAGCAGATCAGACGTTTGTATTTTTCTTCAAGAGGGCCAGAGACTGCATAAGTTTTAGGACCCACACAACCTGGATTTGCACCTACATCCATGGTTGTATAATTTGGGACTACATCATGACAATTTCGAAACTTTGATTTAATTATTATTCCTTTTTGATTGTCTGATCTTAATTTTTATCCTCCCTGTTCTTTCTCAATCTTTCCTGCTCTCTCGGGCTCTTTCTATTATTTGCTAGGTCTTCATGGAGGTGGGGACAAAGAAAGGGTGGTAGCGAGGACCACGTTTGTGCCTCAGACTAAAGAACAAAAGGGTCAGAATAAAATGGCAATAGACAAAGTCCTGGGTCTACAAGCTGACAGGCCAAAGCACCTTATTTTCTCTCATTTTTATGTCTTTTTAAAAAGTACTTTAAGGTCATTAATGAAAGGTTAAATGTTAATTTTAACAAACTCCCCATGATTTAGAATTTTTGTATATCTTTCTAAAAATATTACCAAGCTGGGCTTGCTCTTGCTGTATTTGTGCCCCTAAGTACAAGGGTTACGTTCAAGCTGACAGTATCCAATACCCCGACTCTCTAACCCCAGCCTGTGACTGCAGTGTAGACATGTTTAGTAAATGTCAACCCTGAGGAACCATTTTAAAGCCCATCTACACTAAACTAGAGGAGGAAAGGAGAGATGGTATGGTTCACAAGAGACCTGAAGACAAGATGAGGTGACAAAGGCATGATCATCCATGCCTTCGGCAGTTCCTTTTTGGATTTTTCCCATGTTCCTGCCTAGCAGTGTTGGCTTCTACCAGGAGAACAGAGGTAAACAGCACAATGACAGCCCTCCCTTTTACGAGGATTCTTGTGATTACACTAGATCCAGCTGGATAATCCAGAGTAATCTCCCCATCTTGAGATCCTTAACTTGGTCACATCTGCAAAATCTCTTTGCAATATAAGGCAACATTCACAGTTCCAGGGATTCTAATGAGAACATCTCCCAGGACCATTATTCAGCCTGTCACAGTGGTAGCTTCCAAGTGACAAGTCAAATGAAGCCACAAAATACAAGGGAATAGCTTAGAATTAGGGAGCTCTAGGAAGGAAAAATTTAACATTTGATTTTATTTTCCCATATGCAGAATAAGAAACGTGTTACAAATGAGCAGACCATCAACAAATATACTCAGGTGATAGGAATTAGCATTGTGAATGTTGTAGCTTTTTTCTCTTCTTATCCAACGTTTTCACTACAATTTTTGTTTGCTTTAATTACGTAAGTGCTGTAAATCCAGGGTTGCAGTGCCCCACAGAGTCCTGCAAAACATAACAATGCTCTTTCATGAGGCTTTGATTACAATCTCGAAGTTAGCAAATGCTGCAGTGAAAGCACATTGATGTATAGATATTCAGGGAATATATCTTAACTATTTCTCTCTTTGAGGCCCTTGAGAGCAGGAGGTCCTCTGATTCATATTTTTATCTCCCACAGAGTGATACACATTCTACAGTAGACATTTGTTGTCGGGTGTTTCACGCGCGTCTGTGTGAAGAGACCACCAAACAGGCTTTGTGTGAGCAATAAAGCTGTTTATTTCACCTGGGTGCAGGTGGGCTGAGTCCGAAAAGAGAGTCAGCGAAGGGAGATAGGGGTGGGGCCGTTTTATAGGATTTGGGTAGGTAAAGGAAAAAGGGGGGTTGTTCTCTGGCGGGCAGGAGTGGGGGTCACAAGGTACTCAGTGGGGGAGCTTTTGAGCCAGGATGAGCCAGGAGAAGGAATTTCACAAGACGATGTCATCAGTTAAGGCAGAAACAGGCCATTTTCACTTCTTTTGTGGTGGAATGTCATCAGTTAAGGCAGGAACCAGCGATCTGGATGTGTACGTGCAGGTCACAGGGGATATGATGGCTCAGCTTGGGCTCAGAGGCCTGACATTCCTGTCTTCTTATATTAATAAGAAAAATAAAACGAAATAGTGGTAAAGTGTTGAGACAGCGAAAATTTTGGGGGATGGTATGGAGAGATAATGGGCGATGTTTCTCAGGGCTGCTTCGAGCGGGATTAGGGGCGGTGTGGGAAGCTAGAGTGGGAGAGATTAAGCTGAAGGAAGATTTTGTGGTAAGGGGTGATATTGTGGGGTTGTTAGAAGGAACATTTGTAATTTAGAATTATTGGTGATGGCCTGGATACAGTTTTGTATGAATTGAAAAACTAAATGGAATAAGAGAAGGAGAAAAACAGGTATAAAAGGTCTAAGAATTGGGACGACTCAGGACATCTGATTAGAGAGTGCTTAAGGAGATTCAGCATAGTCCTGCCAGCAAAGATTATTTATTTACTTCAAGAGTTAAGAGTGGCAGTTTGGGGATAGCACCAGGAGATATCAGCTGTGATGGCTTGGAGAAACAGTGTAAACCGGCAGTGTAAACAAGAGCAGGGCATGTATGAGTAGTTGAGAACAGTGAATAGGAGTATGACTAGACAGAAGATAGTAGGGATGACAAGTTTTTTTGGGGCACAGACTAAGTTGGTCTGGTGTCTGGAATGAGACTAGGGCCTAATAAAAAGGAACGTCTATACAGGAGCTCAAATGGGCTGTACCTTGTAGCATTCTGAGGACAGGTCTGACTTCTGAGAAGGGAAAGTGGTAAAAGTATTGTCTATTCCTTTTTAAGTGTGTGGCTGAGCTTGGCGAGGTGTGTTTTTAAAAGACCTTTAGTCTGCTCTACTTTTCCTGAAGACTGAGGACTGTAAGGGATATAAAGGTTTCACTGAATACTAAGAGCATGAAAAACTGCTTGGCTGATTTGACTAATAAAGGCTGATCTGTTATCAGACTGTATAGAGGTGGGAAGGCTAAACTGAGGAATTATATCTGACAGAAGGGAAGAAATAACTGCGGTGGCCTTCTCAGACCCTGTGGGAAAGGCCTCTACCTATCTAGTGAAAGTGTCTACTTAGACTAAGAGGTATTTTAGTTTTTGTGACTCGGGGCATGTTGAGTAAAGCTAATTTGCCAGTCCTGGGCGGGGGCAAATCCTTGAGCTTGATGTGTAGGGAAGGGAGGGGGCCTGAATAATCCCTGAGGAGTAGTAGAATAGCAGATGGAACACTGAGAAGTTATTTCCTTGAGGATAGATTTCCACGATGGAAAGGAAATGAGAGGTTCTAAGAGGCGGGCTAGTGGCTTGTACTATAGCATAGCCTGCCTTTGCTGGTGTGTGGCGATTAGGCCTGGTGGAACCGCCATCAATAAATCAAGTGTGATCAGGGTGAGGAACAGGAAGGAAGGCAATATGGGGAAATGGGGTGAATGTCAGGTGGATCAGAGAGATACATTCATAGGGGCCAGGTGTGGTATCAGGAATAATGTGGGAGGCCGGATTGAAGTCCGGGCCAGGAACAATGGTAATTGTGGGACTTAACAAAGAGTGAGTACAGCTGAAGGAGCCGGGGAGCAGAAAGTATATGCATCAGGTATGAGGAAGAAAATAGATTTTGGAAGTTATGAGAAATGTAGAGAGTAAGTTGAGCATAGTTTGTGATTTTGAGGGCCTCTAAAATTATTAGGGCGGCAGCAGCTGCTGCACGGAGACATGATGGCTAGGCTAAAACAGTAAGGTCAAGTTGTTTGGACAGAAAGGCTACAGGGTGTGGTTCTGGCTCTTGTGTAAGAATTCTGACTGCACTAACCATTCCTAGGAAGGAAAGGAGTTGTTGTTTTGTAAGGGATTGAGGTTTGGGAGATTAATTGGACACGATCAGCAGGGAGAGCACGTGTGTTTTTATGAGAATTATGCTGAGATAGGTAACAGATAAGGAAGAAATTTAGGCTGGACTGAAGTAATGGGGGCTGTCTGTGAAGGTTTGCGGCAGTACAGCTCAGGTAATTTGCTGAGCCTGATGGGTGTCAGGGTCAGTCCAAGTGAAAGCGAAGAGAGGCTGGGATGACGGGTGCAAAGGAATAGTAAAGAAAGCATGTTTGAGATCCAGAACAGAATAATGGATTGTGAAGGGAGGTATTGAGGATAGGAGAGTATATGGGTTTGGCACCATGGGGTGGATAGGCAAAACAATTTGGTTGATAAGGCATGGATCCTGAACTAACTTGTAAGGCTTGTCTGGTTTTAGGACAGGTAAAATGGGGGAATTGTAAGGAGAGTTTACAGGCTTTAAAAGGCCATGCTGTAGCAGACGAGTGATAGCAGGCTTTAATCCTTTCAAAGCATGCTGTGGGATGGGATATTGGCATTGAGTGGGGTAAGGGTGATTAGGTTTTAATGAGATGGTAAGTGGTGCATGATCGGTCGCCAAGGAGGGAGTAGAGGTATCTTATAGTTGTCGGTTAAGGTGGGGGGATACAAGAGGAGGACGCAAAGGAGGCTTTGGATTGTGAAGAAGGGCAGCAATGAGATGTAGCTGTAATCCAGGAATAGTCAGGGAAGCAGATAATTTAGTTAAAGTGTCTCAGCCTAATAAGGGAACTGGGCAGGTGGGGATAACTAAAAGGAGTGCTTAAAAGAGTATTGTCTAAGTTGGCAGCAATGAGATGCGGCTGTAGTCCAGGAATAGTCAGGGAAGCAGATAATTTGGTTAAAATATCTTGAGTTAATAAGGGAACTGGGCAGGTGGGGATAACTAAAAAAGAGTGCATAAAAGAGTATTGTCTAAGTTGACACCAGAGTTGGGGAGTTTTAAGAGGTTTAGAAGCCTGGCTGTCAACACCCACAACAGTTATGGAGGCAAGGGAAACAGGCCCTTGAAAAGAAGGTAATGTGGAGTGGGTAGCCTCCGTATTGATTAAGAAGGGGATGGACTTACCCTCCACTGTGAGATTTACCTAAAGCTTGGCATCCGTGATGGTCTACAGGGCTTCTGAGGCGACAGGACAGTGTCAGTCTTCAGCCACTAAGCCAAGAAGGAGTCAGAGAGCCTTGGGCCAGAGTTCCAGGGGCTCTGGGAGTGGCTGCCAGGTGAGTTGAATAGTCCGATTTCCAGTGGGGTCCCACACAGATGGGACATGGCTTAGGAGGAATCCTGGGCTGCAGGCATTCCTTGGCCTGGTGGTCAGATTTCTGGCACTTGTAGCAAGCTCCTGGGGGAGGAGGTTCTGGAGGAACACCTGGCTGCTGCAGTTCAGGCGTTTGGAAGTTCTTGTGTGCTGGAGATGTGGCTGGGGTTTGTCTCACAGTGGAGGCAAGGAATTGCAACTTTTTTCTATTATTGTACACCTTTAAGGCGAGGTTAATTAAATCCTGTTGTGGGGTTTGAGGGCTGGAATTTAATTTTTGGAGTTTTATTTAATGTCGGGAGCAGATTGAGTAATAAAATGTATATTGAGAATAAGACGGCCTTTTGACATTTTAGGGTCTAGGGCTGTAAAGTGTCTCACAGTTGCTGCCAAAGGAGTCATGAACTGGGCTGGATTTTTATATTTGATGAAAAAGAGCCTAAACGCTATCTGATTTGGGATAAAGAAAAAGGAGCATTAACCTTGACTATGCCTTTAGCTCCAGCCACCTTTTAAAGAGTAAATTGCTGGGCAGGTTGGGGAGGGCTAGTCATGGAATGAAACTGTAAGCAGGACCAGGTGTGAGGAGGGGAGGTGATAAAAGGATTATAGGGTGGAGGAGCGGAGGCTGAGGAAGAATTGGGACCGGGCTCGGCCTGGCGAGGAGCAGCCTGGGGAGGAGGGGAGAGGTCAGATTGGTCTGTAGAAAAGGAAGATTAGAAAGACTCAGCGACGCTTGGGGTTGGGACTGAGGGGACAGGTGGGAGGGAAAGAAGGAAGATTTGGGATGAGTTGCATTGGGAACAGAGACTAGAGAGGGACCGATGTGTGAAAGAATGCCTGGACGTCAGGCACCTCAGACCATTTGCCCATTTTACGACAAGAATTATTTAGATCTTGTAGGATGGAAAAATTGAAAGTGCCGTTTTCTGGCTATTTGGAACTACTGTCAAGTTTGTATTGGAGTCAAGCGGCATTGCAGAAGAAAATAAGATGCTTAGATTTTAGGTCAGGTGAGAGTTGAAGAGGTTCTAAGTTCTTAAGAATACAGGCTAAGGGAGAAGAAGGAGGAATGGAAGGTGGAAGCTTGCCCATAGTGAAGGAGGCAAGCCCAGAGAAAAGAGAGAGTAGCAACATGGAGGGAAGGGGTTCAGGGGTTCTTACCTTCCAGAAAAGTGGGAAAGGGGTTGGGGCATGGAAATAAGGGGTTGGGGCACAGAGATATTAGCAAACTGTAGCTAGAGCAATGTAATTTTCATATTAAATATTCTATGTATATGTGTGTGTACATATGGGGGTGTGTGGAATAGTGGGGTCCTCAGACAGGAAAACTGTCTTTCTCAAATCACACTCAAGTCTACGTCCTCACACATTGTAAAACGTCTGATCTCCTTCTCATTCTTGTCTGCACCTAGAGGCTGGAGAGAGCGGCAGTGGCAGAGTAGAAACGAATCCCAGGCTGCCTATTAATGAGGGGGTGGAACCTAGTTGAAAGCTCCTTGCCTGGAGAATCTCCAGCATCGTCAGCCCCATTTGTAGCCACAACCAAACTGCCACCTCCAGGTATCTGAGCCCTCGGACAAGGGTCTTCCTTCCATGAAAGCTCTCCCTCATCTGATAGCGTTGTTTGAGAAAATGGAGAGAAGAAAAGAGTGTGGAAATAGGAGGTACTATATAGGTACGATGTTATTATTCTTGACAACAATAACAATGACAGGAGGCTTGCAAATTGCACCTATGTCCACCCATTCATGCCAGGGTGGATTATCTGGCTGTCCCAGGGTCCAGGGATTCTGAGGAAAATGGCTGAGACACAGCAGTGGTTAACTTTCTGATCTAGAAGGCCAGCAAGTGGTTGTAGTTGCTCAACGAATTCCCCTGGGATGACAGAAGTGGTCGTTAATGGCGGGAGGAGCCTGAGGTGGTGCCCAGAGCCGCGAGTGGGTGGAGTCATGGAGGAGAGCGAGAGGGGCTGCAGTGTCCCACCCACTTCTCGGCCTCTGGCTGAGCAGAGCAATTGCTGGGGAGCTGCACTAGAGTGCGAGCACCCCCAGGCTTGATGCAACTTAGACTTGACCAGTGTGTGAAAACAATCTGATGTATACGAGGGCGTAAAAGTGGATAATGGGCAGGGCTGGGAGGAACTGAGAGAGAGGGTAACTGAGGAAACAGTTATTCACTTTCTTTTTTTTTTTTCTGCCAGTGTTTATTTTATTTTATTTATTTGTTTGTTTGTTTTTTATACTTTAAGTTCCAGGTTACATGTGCAGATCATGCAGTTTTGTTACATAGGTATATACGTGCCCTGGTGGTTTGCTGCACCCATCAACCCGTCACCTACATTAGGTGTTTCTTCTAATGTTATCCCTCACCTAGCCCCCTACCCCGCAACAGGCCCTGGTGTGTGATGTTCCCCTCCCTGTGTCCATGTGTTCTCATTGTTCAACTCCCACTTATGAGAACATGCGGTGTTTGGTTTTCTGATCTTGTGATAGTTTGCTGAGAATGATGGTTTCCAGCTTCATCCATGCCCCTGCAAAGGACATGAACTCAACCTTTTTTAATGGCTGCGTGGTATTCCATAGTGTATATGTGCCATATTTTCTTAATCCAGTCTATCATTGATGGATATTTGGGTTGGTTCCAAGTCTTTGCTATTGTGAATAGTGCCGCAATAAACATACGTGTGCATGTGTCTTTATTGTAGAATGATTTATAATCCTTTGGGTATATATGCCCAGTAATGGGATTGCTGGGTTAAACGGTATGGAAATAGTTATTCGCTTTCTCCCTGTTCCTATTTGCTAGCATTGAGTTCATAGCTAAAGCAAATGAACCATCTACTGTCGTTTGGTAGGCAGATAAGGCAAGTAGCAAGTGGAGGAGAAAGCTAGCCACCAAGTACAGCCTATCCAGCTCTAACCATTGCCTGCCTCCTGCAGGATGTCTGCAAGCTCTAACCATCTGCCTGCTTAGTGCAGGATGTCTGCAATCAGTCCTCTGTGTGGAGGTTGAAAGAGACAGAGGAATTCACACAAGGCTTCCTGACCTGCCTTCTGAGCCACCTATTATACATAGTCTTCTTGATCTGGTCCCAATTTCCAGAAGGAAAATAATTTAGGCCAATTTGAAAGGGAAAGGAGTCTTGGGTAAAACATGGCGGCTCTTCTGTAAAGATGTACCCCGGTAGTTACCAGAAATGATTGGTTGTTGGGCTCTAGAAAATTTCATAGAATGGCTAGGCACGGTGGCTCACGCCTGTAATCCCAGCACTTCGGGAGGCCGAGGCAGGCAGATTACGAGGTCAGGAGTTCGAGACCAGCCTGACAGACATGGTGAAACCCCATCTCTACTAAAAATACAAAAAGAAATTATGCGGGCCTGGTGGCTCATGCCTGTAATCCCAGCTACTCAGGAGGCTGAGGCAAGAGAATCGCTTGAACCTGGGAGGTGGAGGTTGTGGTGAGCCAAGATCGCACCATTGCACTCCAGCCTGGGCAACAAGAGTGAAACTCCATCTCAAAAAAAAAAAAAAAAAAAGAAAAAAAGAGAAAGAAAATTTCATAGAATGAGAAAAGGAGGGGCACTGAGTTTATAAATACAGCAAATTGAAGCTGTAATTGATTACAAAAAAAGATGTTTGATTTCAACCCCTTCTTATTATATAGAAAGAAATAGAGACCTAGGGAGATTAAGTGATGTTCCCAGGGTTGTACAGTGCCCCTCTGAAGTAGACAGCTTTTGGTGGGTCTGCCAAGTCTGTAAGCTAATAACCTCCCCACACCTTCTGTGGGAATTTTCCTTAACACAAGCAGATCCCTAAGAGCCGTGTTTGTGCCCTGTGCACTTAGCCCACTTGCTATAACTGATTGGGCCAGGGATGTATACCCAGCTGTGTCAATCACTTGATTTGCCTCCGTAATTGAACTACCTATGATTAAGACTATGTGGCTAGAAATACAATTTGTAAATTCAAGAAATATCATTTTAAGTATGTTAGACAACCATATTCCCCTGCCTTGTATCTATGTACAAAGGAACAGAGAAACTGGGCAGCATAGTGAAGCAACTGTGCAGAAATTAGAAAAACATGGAGACAGTGAGCCCTAGGCCTTCTCATTCCCCTTTCCAGTCCCTCACTTAGCCCAACTACATTCCTGCTCTTGAGCTCCATGGTGCCTCTTTTCCTCCCTCCCCCTGCCCCTTTCCCCCCTTATATTAATTCAAGTAACTTGCTTCTATTACTTGCAACCAAAGAATACTAATTAATACCTTCCATACTAAGTGCGAGTAGATATTAGTGCTGGGATAACTCTTTCTGCTTGTGCTCTAAACCATCAAGCAGGGAGCCTGTCTGATCCTCTCTTCTCCTGTTGACTGCTGAGGAAACACTGACACAGAGAGACATGGAGAGCTGCTTTACTAGTCCAGAAGGCTAAAGCACGGAAGGGACATTGCTAAGAACACTAGGATGCCCACTTGACGGGGATGCATATAAAAAGCTGGCCACAAGGGCCTAGGCCACAGCTCAGCTTGTCTGATGATCTGGATTACTGCCCTCAAACGCTTCTTTGGACAGCCTAGCAGTGGCTTTCTCCATTTCTCTATCTGCAATCCCATCATGACTACTTGCCGTCACGGTCTCTGTGTGTTCTTGGATCATGTCGTTAGGGCCCTTTCTGCAAGCCTAGCTAATCTGGGTCCCCTCCCAGGAAACAAGCACTGTCTAATGCAGTTCTTCTGCTGTCCCTTCTACCTGACAGACTCAGGACTGTGGACTTGGCATTGTCCAGCAGGAAATAAAATCAAAAGACAAATCACATATGGGGACCCCAGATCCCTGTACGAAGAAGTGACAAGCTCCAGAACCTCGTGACTCATGCTGGTGCTCATCCCTACTCAGCTTCGGCTGTCAGGGAGCAGAATTAGATTCATTTCACCTGATTTTGCACACAGAAGATGCTATTTTGGGGCATTAGTCATGTATGTGTAAAGATGATGGTGTTTGTTGTTAAGAAATAGCGTTACTTCCAAGGCTCTTCCAAGATTTTTTAATCCAGTCTCTCTTTGTCTTTTTTCTTTCATAAATATAAATGCAGCATCAAGAAATCCACAGGACAGAGATATTTGTCCCTCTGTTAAAATGTGTCATAATCAAAAGAGCATGGACTTTGACCCAATCAATTATAGACTTAACTCTAATTCTGCTTTTGTGGCTTAAAAAATCCTTCCAAACCCTGAAGTCATGAAAACATATTCCAATATATTTTCTAAAAGCTTTATAGCTTTAACATTTCAGTATTTAATCATTCTAGCATTGACTTTTGTATTTGGGGATTTTCCTCCATATGGTTACCCAATTGTCCCAACAACGTTTATCAAAAAGACCACCTTTTTCCCACTGGTCTGCAATGTCACCTTCTTACATATCAAGTATCTACATGAATATGAGTTTGATTCAGGCTCTTTTCTGTCCCATTGGTCTATGTGTCCATTCTTGGGGCAACACCACCCTGTCTTCCTCAGTATGGCTTGTAAGTTTTTCTATTTGGTAGAACAGGTTTTCCTACTTTATTATTTTACTTCTAGACTGCTTCACCAATTCTTGGCCTTTTAAATTTCTGTATATATTTTACAATCAACTTGTAACAATAATTATTGGGATTTTGATTGTGATTGTTGAGTCTATAAATCAATTTTGGGAGAATTGACATATTTACAGTATGATTCAATTTTTATAAAATTAAACACCAGTGGTTCTTAGGGGTTGATAAGTTTTAAATATAGCAAGGAATTGATTACTACACAAGTCAGTAGAGTGGTTACCTGTAGGGAGATGTAAGGATCATCATTTGGGAAGGATACATAAGGAGTTTTATTTCTTGACTTGATTATAGTTATATATCTGCTTTATAATTATTTATTAAAATATGTATGTTTTTTGTTTAACTTTTGTGTGTATATTTCATAATGAAATACTTTTAAATTTCCAACTCCACTTCTTAGCTAGTTGTTACATTAGTCCTTGTTCCATTAGTGTCTTTCTCTCCTCAGCTTTCCCATTTGTCAAATGGAGCTAATAACTGCATCACAAATTTGTCTCCTCATACAATACAGTAGTCCCCCCTTATCTGCCCTTGCACTTTCTACAGTCAACTGAGGTTTGAAAGTAGGTGAATACAGTAAAATTATGTAAATATATATAAAACAGCATGACGGTAACCACCCCGTGATTCAATTACTTCCCACTGGGTCCCTCCCATGACATGTGGGGATTATGGGAACTACAATTCCAGAAGAAATTTGTATGAGGACACAGCCAAACCATATCACTGGGATTGCAGACATTCACCACCATGCCCAGCTAATTTTTGTTCTTTTAGTAGAGACAGGGTTTGCTATGTTGGTCAGGCTGATCTCAAACTCCTGGCATCATGTGATCCACTCGCCTCAGCCTCCCAAAGTGCCAGGATTACAGGCATGAGCCACTCAGCCCGGCCATTATATTTTGAGACAGAAAGAGAGAGAGAGAAAGGCCATAGTCACATAACTTTTATTACAGTATATTGGGGGATTTTTTGTTTGTTTTTAAAGTGGAAACGAGTTTATTAAGAAAGTAAAAGAATAAAAGAATGACTACTCCATAGGCAGGGCAGCCCTTTATTACAGTATATTGTTATAATTGTTCTATTTTATTGTTAATTATTGCTGCTAATCTCTTACTGTGCCTAATTTATAGATTAAACTTTATCATAGGTATGTATATATAGAAAAAAGCATAATATACATATATAGGATTCCATACTATCCAAAATTTCACACATCCATTAGGGGTCTCAGAACATAACCCCTGGATAAGAGTGGACTACTGTATTACAAATAGCACATAGTACAGTACTTAGCACATGATAAATAATTTTTTAAAATGCTGATTTCATTCCCCCGCCCCAAAAATCTCTAGTAAGATCAGAGCCAGAGATGAGAGGACAACTTCTACAGGGGTTACATATTCAGGAGTGCCCTACATGCTGTCTTGGACTTACATTCTGTCCTGTACAAAAGCAATGTTGACTGGACAGTGAGGTTACCTCTTGCTCTTTCTGAAAGTCATGACGTCTATCAGTTTTATCACCTTAGGTGTAGGGCAAAGTGAAGCTCGTTCAATAATGCTTATCTCTAAACAAGCCTTCTGCCAAAGCCACCAACTGGCAGAGGGTTTTCTCCCCACCCCTTTTACTCTGCCCTTGAGTCTAGAGAAAGTGAACCTGTAGAATTTGATCCCTATTGGTAAGCACTGCCAGATTGTAACAAATGGAGGTAGAATTTTTTTTTTTTAAGAATTCATCATGAATTGAGATCCCTTTAAAATAATGTCATAAAGCACCTATAAAGACATATATTTAGGTTTTATATATATGTCCTTTGCAGATTTCGTGAGTTAGGGACGAAGATTGGTCTCTTAATAATAAAAACTAAAACAGTAATTGTTAAGATATCTTGAGTGATTATTAAATGTGCCAAGTGTTTTGCTAAGCATTTTAGGTGTATTATTGTGTTTAACCCTCACATGATAATAAGTATTATTTTTCTTCCTCATCTGACAAATAAGTCAACTGGGCCTTAGAGGAGGTATAATTTACTCAATGTCCCACAACTAGTAAACTGGAAACATTTACTCAATATCTAAATTTGTGTAAGGACAAGTTATGGATTGAAATGGTAGATATACACACACACTCATGCATACAATCCAGCTCACATGCCATGTGTTCTATTTCTACAATGAATGACTGTCACAATAATAGTACATTCCCCAACATGTGTCATTTATCTACAGCTGATGGCCACATATCAGTAACTGATTCATCTGATTAGATAAACAGTGAAAAACAGAGAGAGAGAGAATTGGCAAATAACCATGATGTTATTGATGGATGAGTTCTCATTTATCATGGTAAAAATGAGATCATGGAGGAGGAAGAGCACACACCTTATAATCCCAGTTACAAGTACATTTTATAGTCGAATTGTTCCACCATCTGAAGGAAATGAAATTACCAACTGCACACAAAATTAGCTGCTGGTTGGCCTTAGAGAAATTATCTGTGTAGTCACAAGTTATGCCTGACCCAAGACCATTAGGATCCTCTGCTACAAAATCTGAAACTAGAACAAAGAGTGGTTTGAATCTGTTTGTTTAGCCAGAAATGTAGCACATAAACTCAGGAAGTGTGAGGAAACCACATACCCTGTGCCTAGAGGAGCAGAGAAATCTGTTCACCAGAGAAAGAGCAGTAAAACCGTTGTACAAAAAGAAGCAGAAAAGCAGGGTTAGGAGAAGGAACTCTGAGAGTTTGGGGTTTTTCATTCCAGCGGCCCTGGAATCTCCATCCCATCCTATCATCCTTTTCACTTGTATCCGTGTTGGTTGGTTGTGTGTGTGTGTGTGTGTGTTATTTTTTGTAGAGATGGAGTCTCACTATGTTGCTCAGGCTGGTCTCGATCTCCTAAGCTCAAGCAATCCTCCCACCTAGGCCTCCCAAAGTGTTGGGATTACAGGCATGAGCTACCACACCCAGCCAGTTGGTTGGTTTTTGTCTTACACTAGTTTGAATGTAACCAGGAGGTCAAAAAGAAATTTCCTCCTTTTTTCCACAGCAGAGCTTAGAAAATATTTATTTGCCAATCCTTCCAGCAGAGCTCCCTAGCTTTCCTTCATGTCTGTCTTCACTGGGGCTTTTCACTCCTAGTCCAAGCTTCCCTCTCAAGCTCCTCATGTGCGCTTTGAAGGTCATTTAATAACACACCTTACCAGCATTGTCATTTAGCCTTAATTCCAGACTTATATGGTGAGTCCATTTTCACAATAAACAAGATGGACACCAGAACCTGTCCCTTTTAAAAACAATCAAAAAGTACAATTCTCTAATTGGCTAGAGGTGGGCATGGCATAACCCCAGGCTATTTTCCAAAACAAAATTGGAGGCTCAAGCCTGCTATTGGACAGAAAGAAAAGACAGAAAATGAAGGGAATGTAGACAGACGCATGTTGGACTCACCTGGGGAATTTTTAAAAATCATGATGCCATGGTCTCACCCCCAGAGATTCTGATAGAATTAATCTGGGAACCCAGCATCAGAATTTTTAAAACACCCCAACTCATGAGATGATTCTAATGAGCAGCCAAGACTGAGAACCACTGATGTAGAGGGGAGTTGGACAGGTTTTAGGAAAAAAGAAAGTTGATGACAATTACATTGTCTAAATCTCTTACCCTCCACAGCATCTAGTTTCAAGTAATGACTCTCTATGGAGCACATGCTGTATGCCAGAAACTATGCTTTACATTTCTCCTCTCCATTCCTCAGAGGGACCCTGGAGGTTTTTCAGCTAAGGAAGCTGAAACTCAGTGAAGTCAAGTAACTCCACTAAGGACAAACAACTTCTAAGTTGCAGAGTTTGTATCTTTCCTGATTCAGTGTTGTTCTCAGCCTTCTGTGTGCATGAGAATCACGAGGGGTGTGAGCTAACAATGCATTTCTTGGCCCTATCATGCTGGGAGTATATTTGGTAAGTTTAGAGGGGTTCAAGAGTCTTCCTCCCCAGCACCTCAGGTTAATCTGATGCAGGTGGTTTACAGACAACTTTTTGAGAAACTTTTTTTTCTTGACTCTACTGTTTCCTTTAGCAGAGTGTCCCAAATATAGTAGATACTAAAGAAAAAGGAGGAAGGGGGCCAGCTGCGGTGGCTCACACCTGTAATCCTAGCACTTTGGGAGGCCAAGGCAAGCTAATCACCTGAGGTCAGGAGTTCGAGACCAGCCTGGCCAACATGTGGAAATTCCATCTCTACTAAAAATACAAAAAATTAGCTGGGCAAGGTGGGGCACACCTGTAGTCCCAGCTACTCGGGAGGTTAAGGCAGGAGAATTGCTTGAAGCTGGGAGGCGGAGGTTGCAGTGAGCTGAGATCGTGCCACTGCACTCCAGCCTGGGTGACAGAGTGAAACTCTGTCTCAAAAAAAAAAAAGAAAAAAAGAAAAAGGAGGAAGAGAAGAAGGGAGAGGAGGTAGGTGATGGACTTGGGACTTGGCTACAGGAATAACTGAGACAGCGGTGACACAATAGTTAGAAATATTAAACGGTACACTTCACATATCTGTGAGGCTTATTTGTCAGTCTTTCTTTTCATTTGATGTCAAAGATGTAAAATAAGGAATCCTGAAGGTCTGGTGCTTAGAGGCAGAGAAGGGGCCAAGCCAGCAGTTGGAAGCAGATGAGGTGGATATGTCCTTCTGCAGAGCCATCAGCGTGGATTAGATAACAGCAACAGACACATCCTGTTCCAAAGACAGGTCTCTTGAGCACAAAGGTGCTTTCTTGTCCACATACCTACTCTACGTAGCTTGGCTTTGACACTTGTGAATAAAAACATCCATTAACACACATAGGATCTCAGAGAGTGAAGCCTACAATTCTAGCTAGCATTTTAGCTCTGCATAGTAAATAGTACCATCCAGCAAGAAGAATCTCATACTTGAAGAAAAGATTATAGGCAAAGTGGCAAAAACAAACTAGATTTGGAGATTAAATAAGTCTTCCTGCATAAGCAGGAGAGAATCACTCCAAGTTAGATGCCATTGCCTCCAAAATTTCTGTATTGAAAAAAGAATAATTTCCAAGCTCCAGTGGCACACAATATTTCATCCAACCACATTTGTGGCCAATAAAGGAATCTGGAAAGTCCCTCAGAGTCTGTTCTCTGCCAAGGGCAGAATTATATTATAATGTTGACAAAGGGCCAAGCCACATCTCTTCC
The DNA here is from genome assembly GCF_000001405.40 of Homo sapiens. NCBI lineage: Eukaryota > Metazoa > Chordata > Mammalia > Primates > Hominidae > Homo > Homo sapiens. The sequence goes on along the minus strand of NC_000004.12, from coordinate 108,700,553 downwards.
TGCATCTCCCTTCTCCCCAGTTCTCTACCATCACCATAAATTACCTGTCAAACTGAGTGAAAACAGCTGAGCAGGGACCCAGAGATATAACTTCAGTGAACATTTCCCCTTATAACCAAACATGTGGACACGACTGGTCTATCATGGACTTTCAATATGTGTTTGTTGAGTGAATGAACAAACTAATGAATGAATACATGAAAGAATGCATTAACCATGAGACAGCCCAGGAATCAATGTTAACAATGTTATATAGCAGGAGAAAAAGTCAAATGCTTGGCATTGACTCAGAAATACTGTAGTAGTTGCTCAATAAATGACTGTTAAATGACAAGGGGTAAGTACTTATGAGACACTGACACATAAGAAGCATATTTATTCAAAATCCCAGGGCAATGTTCCATAATTTGCCTACTACTAAAAAGTATCTAGTGTTCTTATTAAAAATACTAATCTGCAAACTCTATTTCTTCAGATCTGTGGCAAAGTCTGAAAATCTATATTTGCAAAATACCTAAGTACCCTAGGGCCACAGTGATAAGGCAGTTTGCTATTTTTCTTCAATCTACTAGAGTTTGACCAATTTATTCATTCATTAAACAAACATTTATTGAATTTTTACTCTATACCAGGCACAGAGTTAGGCACTAGGTATACGGTATGATGAAAAAAATATATAAGGTTTTCTTCCTGATAGGACTTATCCTGGGGGAGATTTGAAAGTCATTAGTAGGAACAAGATAACACTCATCAGCCTCTGAAACCAACACAAACAAAAACCACCTATATAAAGTCCCTGGACTGGTGAATGAGAAAGGGTAGAGGATACACACACACACACACACACACACACACCTCTCTAAAAATGATTAAAATTCAAAGTTTAGGCAGGTGCTAGAATTTGTACTGACTGCCTCTTTTAGGCAGGTGCTAGAATTTGTACCGACTGCCTCTTTTCTTATCATTCCCCATACCTTGGCTGGTGTGGCCTAAGAAGGGAAGCATTCAGGGTCACTTCAGTGACAAAAGGTGACAGTGGGGCCAGGGCTAATGCTCCCCCATGACTTCCAGAACAGGAATGCATCTCTCCCTGGGACCTATGGGACTTGACTAAGAAGAGGTTCCAGAAAATAAATGTTATAATTACTGCAACAGATGAGTGAAGCTTTCATTGCAAGCGGAAGAGCATCTGTTGTGAATGTCTCCTTAGGGAGGTGATTGTGAGCCTGGGGCCCTAGTGTTTCTATCTTTATTTCCAGTAGAAAGTAGGCAGGGCTGAAGTGCAAAATAAGCACCAGTTTTGGGGTTAGGGAGAATTGGAATCCTGATTTCTCCACTTATTTATTGGGTTAGTCAAGGTAATACCTTGAGCCTCAGTTTTCTTGTCCCTCGGTGTCACTGGGGTCATTAAATGACAAAATACATACAAAGTGCTTAGCAGAATTACTGGACCATAATAAGCAATTCACAAATCTTTGCTATTATTTTCATAGGTGTGCAAAAAAGGGTAGCAAGGATCTCCGTCTATATTTACCTATATCTGTGCATATTAATTTTGTAGCTGTCATCTTGACAAGTTTCCTACTTATAGAAGCTTGGAGTTTTCACACTTGCCTTCCAGATTTTCTGTATATGAGATATTCATGAATTGGGGAAGGTTATGAAAGTCGAAAAATAAAGATATTCATGAAAAACTTTCCTTATTCAAAGGTGTAAAAGTGAGGACCTAGTGGGTTTAACACCATCGAAGGAGGATCCTGGAAAGACATGGCTGAAGACATGTTTCTGGGGAGTTCATTTTCACCTGTAATCCCTGCCCAGTGAGAATTTTTTCTGGTATGTAAATCATTAATAGTATTGATTCTTTGGCTAAAGAGAGGGTGGAAAGAGGGCTGAGGGTGTTGGTGGATCACAGAACTTAAACTTTGAGGAAAAGATGGTTTCAATGGTGAGGGGAAGCACCCAAAGTGTTGGGTACCGGAGGCAAGCAGTAAGGATGTGGGGTAAGGGGAGTCCCAAAGGAAGAGAAGATGATGAAAGAGAGGGCAGGACACCTCTCTTAGGTCCTTGGGTACTTTGAGCATTGCCTGGGTCTCACCCTGGCATTGAACCCTGCCAGGTCATTTATTTATGGGTTCATTTGTTTGTTGATTCAACAGATATTTATTATGCACCTATTGTGTAGCTGCTCCTCATTGCAGGTGTATAATAAATGATTGGACTGGATTATCAGGTTGCTCCATGTAATGACTGCCTTTGGGCAGGTTACTTTACCTCCATTCCTAAATTGACTAATTGGTAAAGTGAGTATGATAGTAGTATTTACTTCATAGATATGTGGTGAGGATTAAATTAACACTGTATATGTACAGGGCTAAGAAGAGTGCCTGGCAAATGGTAAATTCTCAATAAATGTTAGCTACTGCTTACTGTTAACACAAGGCCATTTGGGTGTCAAGCTAGGAATGCTATTTTTAGGAGATTATCAGTTCTTTTTTTTTTTTTTTTTTCTTTTGAGACAGTTTCACTCTTGTTGCCCAGGTTGGAGTGCAATGGTGCAATCTCAGCTCACTGCAACCTCTGCCTTCCAGGTTCAAGTGATTCTTCTGTCTCAGCCTCCCAAGTGGCTGGGATTACAGGCACTGGACACGACACCCAGCTAATTTTTGTATTTTTAGTAGAGACGGGTTTTCACCATGTTGGTCAGGCTGGTCTCAAACTCCCGACCTCAGGTGATCCACCCGCCTCGGCCTCCCACAATGTTGGGATTACAGGCGTGAGCCACCACACCTGGCCGAGATTATCAGTTCTTTCCACTATGCTTCCCCTCACAAAACATACTCCAGTTCAAGAATACATGATTTATACAGTTATTTTAGCTTTCCCAGACTTCAAAATTTCAGAGATTTTTCCTTTTCATTCCCCTATATACCTGACATAAGATTCTCCTGTTTGGCCTCATTTTTATTCCTTTATTTAATTTTAGCAGCTTTAGAATTCCTGTTTTTGTTTAGAGTATTCATTTTTTTCTCAAACTTCTTGCCCTCTGCACAGGAATGAGTCCTTACTTCTCTGACACCTATGATTGGAGACAGTTTAAAGAGTTCAAATAGAAAGCGCTCGCTAGATTTTTTTTTCTCTTTCCTCTCATCATTTCTTCTAACATGACTTTTTGTTCTTAAAATCTATGATACAGGTTAAAAATGGCTGGTTCATCTCAAGGTGATTGATAGACTTTAATTCATTCATATACCTCCAAACTGATGACCCTCACGGGATTCAACACAAGATTTACTTATATTTGAGCTATGTCTACAGTTTTCTTCAAATCTCCCTGTCTCCATTTCCCCACTAGGGAGAATGGAAATCTCGTCAAATTCCTGCCGACCTCACAAGGGTGTTATAAAGGTTAATGAGGCAATTTCCCAGCAGTTTTTTGAGTGCCGAGAGTGTATGAATTTTATTATTGCAAGATTATTGAGGCTTTCCGTGCTTATGAAATAGCAGACATTCCCCTCAAACTATTAGATAAGAGTTCTTACTTTTGATTTTTCATATTTGGTAAACTCAGCTTCTTTCATCTTTAGAGTTTTGTTAAGCATTTTGTTAATATTTTGATGAGATGGAATTCTGAAAGTATTATATAAATCAGAATATATAAATACAAATATTTATATACATTTATGTGTGTGTAAATACTTGTGTACCACATCAGTGATTTTACATATAATACTAAAAACATTTTCCAGATAAAATTTTCTCAAAGAATAAATATTAAAGATTTGAGAAAGGAACACTTAACTCTCACTAAACCCTCCATCCAATACCTGAATTCCCCCCAAGACATCCCAACAGTTGTTGTCCTATCTCTGCATGCATCTCTCCATTGACAATGTGTTCCATTCTGTAAACTTCTTATCATGTAGAGATTCCCTCCTTTTGCTAGGAAAGGGCTGTGTCATGTTGTCTTCTCTCCCCTGAAATGTCCAACTCTTCCTCCATCCTCACTAAGTGAACAGTCTTCTTCCTGCTCTGCTGAGGAAACTGAAGCAATCAGAAGAGAACTTCCACAGTCTCCATCATGCTATATTCTGCTTTCACTCCTCTTTCTATGGTTGAATAAACTTTCTGTGCTCCTAGCTAAGGCCTTTCTCTCTCATCTACTTTAGGACATTGCACAAGCATTCTCCTTGCTGTCACTTGCGTCATCCATTTTTCTTTCTCTACTGAATTACTCCTATCAGCATGCAAATGTATTGTTAATTTGCTCGTCTAAAAATAACTTTTTAAATCTCACTTGTCCCACCAGCTAACATTCATTTCTCTTCATCCCTTTTCAGTAAAAGTTCTTATAAGTATTGCGTATACCCACTGATCTGATCTCTCTCCTTCCATTCCATCACAAACACATCATTCAAGTTTCCGCCTCCACTGCTCCCCTGAAACTACTCTTTTTAAGGTCACCAGTGAACTTTGCATTGCTAAACCTGACGATGATTTCCCAGTCCTCACCTTACTTGACCTAGCAGGGTCACTCTTTCCTGCTTAAATACCTTCTTTGCTTGCCTTCCAGGACTTCACATTTGCCTTGTTTTCTTCTGACTTTTCTAGCTGCTCATTCTCAATCTCCCTTGCTTGTTCAGCTTCAAAACATATCACTTCTAGCCCCACCCTGCCTGTCCCTACCCTTATATAAGCTCCTATTATCTGTCACCTACATTATTGCAATTAGCCTCATAATTGATCTTTCAGCTACTGCCCTTACTGCTTTAACAGTAGCCAATTGATGCTGTTAAAATATAAGTCAAGGCCAGGCGCGGTGGCTCATGCCTGTAATCCCAGTACTTTGGGAGGCTGAGGCAGGTGGATCACCTGAGGTCAGGAGTTTGAGACCAGCCTGGCCAACATGGTGAAACCCCATCTCTACTAAAAATACTAAATTAGCCAGGTGTGGTGGCACATGTCTGTAGTTCTAGCTACTTAGGAGGCTGAGACAGGAGAATTGCTTGAACCTGGGAGGTGGAGGCTGCAGTGAGACAAGATCACACCACTGCACTCCAGCCTGGGCAAGACAGTGTGAGACTCCATCTCAAAAAAAAATAAAATATATATATATATATATTCATATTATATGTCAAGCTGAGTTATTCTTCTGTTCAAAACACTCCAGTGGCATCCCATCCCATTTGAAGTAAAAGCCAAAGTCATTATCACGTCCCACCAGGCCCAATGTGATGTGACCCTGTGTTATCTTTCTAACCTCTTCTCTCCTGCTACTCTCCCCTTGTTCACTCAACTCCACCACACCAGCTTGCTCACTGATCCTTGACTCACCAGGTCCACTTCAACCTCAGGACCTTGGTACTTGCTCCTTTTTCTACCCTTCCCTAAAGGACTGCATGATGAGCTCCCTCACTTCTTTCATTTCTTTACTCAAGAGTTACCTTCTTAGTAAGGCCCTCACTGGCCATCATATCAAACACTGTGAACCTTCCCACTCCCCTAGCTCATATTCCCCTTCTCTACCTTTTTCTTCCTTATCAATTCTCATCTACCCACAGTTTACTCATTTGTTTATTATCTGTCTTCCACAAAAGAATATAATCTCCATGAAGACAAGAATTTTGTTGATTTATTTACTGTTTTATCCAGTGCCTAGAATTATGTCTGGAAAACAATAATCACTCATTATAAATATTTGCTAAACAAATGAATGAATAAAGTAAATAAATAAAACCATTTATTAAATCTAGCATATTGTTAAGAAGATAAAATCCAAATATTGATAATCCATATTTGGATTATCCTAATCCATAGATGGATTAGGCCATCTATGTGCCCTGTAGGCTCTGGTGTTACTGAAGCACCTGGCTGAATGACCTTCACCCCAATTCCACAGCATCACTTTCTGGCGACATGCTTCCCTGCAGTAGCTTGGTATGTGCCCAGAGAATACTGGCTCTTTCCCAGGAGTTTGCCAATCTCATCACTGTTAACTAATCGACAGAGGCAAATAGGATTTTGTCCTTTTTCAATATTCAACTATGTTATCAGGTCTCAATCTTATTAGCTTTTGCTTCTTAGTCTTGTTCCCAAATCCAACCGGTGATGATTTCTATTCAGACTTAATTTAACTCTTAGGGAACTGGCTGCATTATAATTTTCTGCTTCTCTAGTTTGCCTAAGTAAGATATCATTCATCAGTCAACAAACACTTATAGAGCTATCAGGTTACAGGCATTGTATAATGGATGCAAAAATAAATAAGGCCCAGTTCTTGCCTTTGAGGAGATCAAAGTCTAGAAGACGAGGGAGACTTGTAGACGGACTCGGTACGTTAGAAGCTCAGTGATAAACAAAGCGTTATGGAAACACTGAGCAGAGAGCAATTAAGTCTGCAGAAGTGAGTTTTGAAGGATGGCAAGATGCTTTCTGAAAAGGTAAAGTGCATTGTAGTCAAAATAACTGCACAAGATTCAACCCACCCTCAATGTCTCCAGCTTTGCACAATACCACATGAGTCACTTTCTGCTTGCCTTGAGGTTGAACAGTGTTCCAGAGCTCCAGTTTAAAATAACTTGAATTTTTACTAAATTGTATATATTTCATATTCATAGCATTTGATCCATCCCTAGGAATTCTCCTCTCTGGAGATCATCAGCCTGGATAAAGTAATCCAAGGTGCCTACTTGGTACATTTTTCACTGTGAACTCACCGACTATTACAGCTGTGAGTTTGGAGACCAACTTTGCCCAAACTTGACCCTCTTCACTGTGGAGAAAGCCAAGGCCCTGAGAAGGTGACAGCCTCCCCAAGTGTGCATGGTGATTTAGGTCACCTCATCTCTCAAAAGAACCTAATCTGAAGATGTATCAATTCATGCAACACATGTCCAGCATCAAGCCTGTTTTACTTCCCTCCAGACTTGAAATAGGCAACATTGCTCTGTTCTACTGCCCTCTCCCGTCTTGGCAATTTGATTGCCAGGGGTCTATGTAGCCAGGAGAAGCCAGTGTCAGCAGTCTGACCTAACCACTTTCCCACATCTTAACACAGTCCTTGAGTCGCCCCAAGCTTTGCTTTTAAAAAGGTTCCAGTGTGTCTTGAAGGTCTATGAGTCAAACTTCATACCTAGGTCTTTGTCGGGTGTTAAAGCCTATCACATCTCAGCATTGCAGACTTTTTCAGATTCTCCAGGGTGTTCCTCACTGACTCAGATTCTCCAGAGCTTGCCTAGATATAGAACAAGAAAAGGAATGACATGTTCCCTGCTCAGTACTTATCTTCCCTACCTGTCTGTAGCTCTGTAAAGTAAATGTATGTAGCCCAGCATCATCTAATGTGAATGTTTGGCTCTTTCAGTTTCCATGCTCAAGTTGCCTCAGTTAATGAGGACTTATTTAAAGTACCAAAGGGAAATAAGAACAGGAAACCCTCTTAGCAGTCAAATCATTGGCCTGTGCAGTCACTCAGGATACCATGGTAGACTGGTAGTCCACCAGTCTGAGTCTGGGCCATCCAGTCATCTCTGCTCTGTTGCCTCCCCTATTCCCCTCCCCTCTGCCTACTTTTTCATCCTTTATTATTGCTTGGTCTACCTCTTCTGCTGCCACCAGTTACCATTTAAAAATATATGATTAAATCATTTTTCACAGTTTAATGCATTTCATTTCTGTTAGTCTTGGTATAGGCCACTAGTTGGTCTCTCTCTCACTGCCTTGGCCTCAGGGAGCATCTGTGGATAGGGTGAGATCAAGGCCGCCAAGCTGCAGCACATGGAGATCTGGACATAAAGAACTACCTGTAATCAATCATCTCAGAAGGGGGCAGGGTAAATGCAGGCCAAATGGCAGGTCTACCCCAAATGGCCTATTCCATACACACAGTTTCAAACTCTGTGGTTTCTTTGAACTCTTCCCTGAAAAACAGCATCTGTGAGAAATGTCATGTAGAGAGGAAAGTATAAGAGCCATATACATGCATGAAGTAGGCAAAATTCCTTATCTTTTTCAGTTTCATCTTCTTAAAACTTGGGCTTAAAATACCCAACTTACAGTACTGTTTGAAGGACTTAAAGTGCTGCACACAAGGCCACACACTGCAATACGAATGTTCATTCCCTTCCTCTAAAGCATACAATTACGCATGTCAAATGTTTAAACAAGATCTGCTCCTCCCTAGCTAAGCCATGGTCTGGCTACTCCTTTGGATCCAGACGAGGGAGAGCAATAGTAACACCTCATGTCTGCTGACAGCTTTACCTATGTTAACTCCTTTATATATAAAACCCCTTTATATATATAACTCCTTTATATATAATATATGTGTATATATGTATATATTGTGCATATATATGTGAATTGTATACCCTGATTCATTTATATATAAAACATGTGTGTGTGTATATATATATGTGCATATATATATTGGTGAAAATAAATATATAATGTCAGGGAGACAAGTGTTATGAAGGAAAATGAATGAAGGTAAGGACATGATGATATATATGTATATATATTTTATATATACACATATATATGTGTGTATATATATTTTATACACATATATGTGTGTATATATATTTTATATACACACATATATGTGTGTATATATATTTTATATACACACATATATGTGTGTATATATATTTTATATACACACATATATGTGTGTATATATATTTTATATATATGTGTATATATATTTTATATATATGTGTATATATATATGTGTATATATATAGATGTGTGTATATATTTTATACACACATCTAGATGTGTGTATATATATATTTTATATACACATATATATGTGTATATATTTTATATATATACACATATATATGTGTGTGTGTATATACATACATATATACATATATACACACACATATGTGTATATGTATATATATACATATGTATATACACACACACACACACATATATATATATATATATATAATCTTGAATGTAATCTCCAAGAGTTTAAGAACCTATGGTTGCTCACTGTTATATTGCCAGGGCCTGCAAGTATACTTGACAATTAGCAGCATCCTTTAAATGTTTGTTGAATAAATAAATTTAACCCACCAATGACCTATGATCCAGGTATTATGATTACCCCTTATTTCAGGAAAGGAAATTTAGCACTGACTAGTCAAGCAAATAGCCCAATTCACATAGCAAATAGGTGATGGAGGGCAAATTAAAACCCAGATTGACCCTGGAATCCCCATGCTTCACCGTTGTCCTCCATGGCCTCTTGGCATATGGGACTGCCCAGGTGCACTGAGAAGAAAGCTTTTCTTTCACTCTGCTTATTCGAATCAGAAGCAGACCTAGTTCAAAAAAACAGAAACAATTGTTATTTTATGAACTAATGCTATTTATGATCACCAGCAGCACAATTTTTACCCGCCCCCCCGACTACAAAAGGAAGCAGCATGGCAATCACTATATCCAAAAACATACCTGGTAAGGGGCCATTGTCAGTTCCAGAGAACCAAACCACCTGGAACCTCAGCAAAAGTGATGAAATACCAGCATCTCAGAAAGTTAAAGTGGATGATCCTTCACAGGGGTTGCCCAATGGTGCTGTAATCTGAACTATTGCACAAATAAAGGCCTTTTGACAGCTGGTTTGTGTTTTTCCAAAAGATGAACCATCAGTTCTTCACAAACAATAAAGAACATGTCCCACATTGATGTGTCCTGAGAGAGGAGTGTCAGGGTCACTTCATTTACAGCCTGTTGAAACTGTCACATCAAGATTGTCACAGAGGAAAAATTTTCAGCTATGTCTAAGGCAACAAAAAACCTTCAAAAACAGAAGTGGCTGGCTAAAGTTGGGTAGTAATACTTTTTTCTCACAAGTAAACATGTCAAGAGAAGAATAATAATGTAATTTAAATGGGATCAGAATTATAGTATTTGAGCTAGACTTAAATGACTTCCCTTTCATATCAATTTATCAAACGTGACTGGTATTTATGGAATACTGTAATTTTGGCCTAATAGCTATATTCTAAGAAATATAATTATTCAAAAATATATATTTCTTTACAGATAAATACATATCTTATCATCTGGGATTTACTTCAAATCAACCTGGGTTGGGAGCGGAGGAATGAGGGTATACATTGATTAAACAAGACTGGCCATACGTTGATAACAGGAGAAGTTAGGCAATGGGTAAGGAGAGGTTTATTAGTACTATTAACTTTGCTTTTACTTATGTTTAAAATGTCCACAATAAAAGTAAAAAGATAAGCAAATAATACAAACAACCTTTAAACAAGACTTACTTAACCCCTACAATGTGCACACTCTGCTCTGTACAATGGGTTGTGCAAAACCAGGTTCTGTCCTCAAGGAGCTTAACAGCCTCATAAAGGAAAGACAGCAAGCACGAACTCACTCAACAAACTGAAATCCAAAGTAAGTGTCAGTACCGAGAGAGAGAGAGAGAGAGAGAGAGAGAGAGAGAGAGAGAGAGAGAGAGAATGCAAGGGGCTCAAGTTCCAGTTGCCCGGTTAGGCTGTGCTAATTGAAACAGCTCTTTCATTAAGAGCTGCAATGCTATTCCTACCTAACTTGCAGTGGCCATGATACTAGTCATATAGAATAAACATCTGACATCTTGCATGTTGTGGGATATGGAGGAAAAGTAGAGAAATTAATTTTCTTCTTGACCAGGATATAGCTACACTCAAGTATAATATTTTAAATAAGATACAAATACTTGGCTAGGAAAAAAGCTGGGGGTTGTAATGACGGACATAGTAAGTGTTGTAGGGATAGTCTCAGATAGAGATTTTATAAGAATTACATAAACTACCTGAGACTAAAAAAGAGTTTAAAATGTTGGGACAAAGTTCGGTTATTTGCAGAAACTCAACAACTTTTATAAGGCTTCAAACAGATGTACTGTGATGCTTCATAACTATATATTACTGACTGTTACTAAAGGCTAATGCCATTACCTGGATTTTTAAAACAGTTTGCATGGCAATGAATATAGCAAGAAAATAAAAAATAAACATATAGGTAGGTACAGCCATTTGATATAAATCTGAACTCATTTCAGTAAATGAAATGGCAAAAGACATGGCACTATCTAAGAAGCTGAACTAATTCATTTCACATATCAAAAAATAATACTAAACGATAAAGTATATAATGAAACTGTGTGCACAATGTCAGTAAAGTAATACATAGCATTAAAAGTGATCCACTTAATTATGCCAACCTTGAAATGCTTTACCAACTAAGTATACGTTGAGAAAGGCAATCCACCATGGGCCCTGAGCATCCTCACAACTTCTTGCTGGGTATGTAAAGCATGCAAGGCCGTGACTGATCTTTACCCAGACCATTGCTCAGGATCATGCTTGCAGCAAGCAACCTTGAGGAATAAGATAATGTCTCCCTCCAGACAGACAGCAGGTTTGCTTACTATAAAAGCAGCATATTCCCTAAGCTTAGTGCTCCCTGGCTGCCACACGAACCAGCTATGTGTAAACATCAACATAGGCCTTTCTGCATTGCCCCTGTGGGACTTGAAGTGTGTTGGAAAACCAAAGCCAACATAAAACTCATTTTACTTGCTCCATTGTGAGTAATAAAGTCCTTTCTCTCTGATCCAGAAGTCTCATGTCTTCTGCCAGTATCCATGAAATAGTAATAGGCTAGCTTACTAGCTTGCAAACGGAATAAAATTCCAGATCCTGACACTGCATTAGCTTTGGAAAAACATAACCAGATTATAAAATACACCAAAGCACGAACTGTAACACAAGTCAGCAGCTCTAGCAATTTACTAAATGTTCATTGGCTCAAGTGGCATAGATGGCAGACAAATTAGTTGAGAATTTATTTTACTTGTAACATCTCACATGATCTAAACATTTTAGATGAAGAAGTCGTTTCCTAACAAGGTGTGGGCTATGTGACTGGTTTTTATGTAGCTTGAATGTATGTACAGTCCTGACCTCTATTGTCAATTATTTGTTAAGTATTCATTAATCAACTATATGTCAAATGTGGCAGCTCATGTCTGAAAATGACTCAAACCTGATTACTTCTTACATTGATTAGTGAATTAGCCAAAGATGCCCCAAAGATGGCTGAACAGAGACAGCTAACGTGAAGTTTTGGAGTTTTACTGACAGATCGTCAGGCGGGCCTCAGGGGCTCCAACTGATAAAATTGCCTCTATGGTTCTAGAAGTTCCTCAGCTTTACACGATCAGAAATGCAGTTTTGCATGCACTTTGAATTATTCAGTCTCAAGAACATGACCATATTTATGAGATTTAATTTGTAAATTCCAATCCCAATTTCTTACGTGAGTGTCTAACATGATGTTTGTCACAACCAAAGCCCTGTCTGAGGTGGCCTTGTGAAAACACACCTCTAGGTATAACTGCCTGGATCAGAAGTGGGCTTCCAATGTGTGGATAACCAAAGCATGAGGCCTGGCTCAGAACGATAAACTAGACGAATTATAATTATCAGTAGAATGAGTCTGCTGCAAATGAAGCTGAAGCTGAAAATATACATAGAGAGAGACTACAAAAAAATCAGGGGACTTAATGTGTAGAGATGAAGTTAGGGATATAAAGAGTTAAGATTAGTTCAAGTTGGCTGGGCAAGGTGGCTCATGCCTGTAATCCCAGCACTTTGGGAGTCCGAGGAGGGCAGATCACGAGGTCAAGAAATCGAGACCATCCTGGCCAATATGGTGAAGCCCCGTCTCTACTAAAAATACAAAATTTAGCTGGGCGTGGTGGCATGCCTCCTGTAGTCCCAGCTACTCGGGAGGCTGAGGCAGGAGAATTGCTTGAACCCAGGAGATGGAGGTTGCAGTGAGCCGAGATTGCGCCACTCCACTCTAGCCTGGCGACAAAGCGAGACTCCGTCTCAAAAAAAAAAGATTAGTTCAAGTTATAAAGAGGAATAGACAATGAGTAAGAAAGTTGTCAGGGAAGATATTTGGCAGAAAAAATTAACTCCAATTGTCCTGAGATGCTTAGATGCTTATAGCAAATCAGCCAATTCTTATATTTTCCTGAAGGGTTACATTGAGCAATTCATTGAATATTTATTGAGCATGTATTATGTCCAGGCACTGATCTATGTCTTGCCTTCATGTAGCTTATATTCTAATCTAGATAAATAAAATGAACAAGGCAATTATATAGTATGATAAACAGCACTGAGTGCTATGGAAAAGAAATTAGAAAGGTAGAAGCTGTAATTTTTAAACAGAGAAGGAAAGCTTCATTGAGAAATGACCTTTGAACAAAGACTTGAAGGAAATGAGGGAATGAGCCATCTGGGTAGAGGGAGAGGAAAGGCCATGAGGCAGGGTGTGATTGGTGTGTTTGAGGAACAGTAAGGAAGGCAGTATGGACAGAATGAACTGGAGGACTAGGAGATGAGATCAAAGGATGGAGAGGGGGAAGAGGCGATGTACAGGGCCTTTGGGGCCACTATTAGGAGTTGGGCTTTTATCATGAAGATTTTATCTGAAAGATTTTAATCAGAGGAATAAAACTTTAGCCAATCAAATCAGGAAGTGGCTTTGGTGAGTAGAGCCAAAACAGTGGGAAATGAGTGAACCTAAAACGTCTCTTAAAGAAGAGTTTGAGGCACTTCTTTCCTTTACTGAAATAATCTTGCAAAGGCTCCTTCTAATCTGGACAGTGCAGGAGAAACCTTGGTTTGGGGGATTTTCTTTTTATGGTCTGGCCTGATCCTCCTGCTTCTATCTCCTGTCTATCTGCAGACCCACCACAGCACAAGTGAACAGATCCCGGGGATCAAACGTAGCTCACCTTGATTGGAGTTGGGTGTTCCCCAAATTTTCAGTTCCACATTATTATGATTTCTCAGCTTATAATCCAAGATAGCGAATCACCTCTATTTTAGGAACATTTTACCAGCTTCATAAAGGGGTTCTCGTTTCTCATTTTTCTAAGTTTATAGTATAGCTTACCTCATTACTGAAGCCATGAACCACCTATATGAGTAAATTTCCTTGATTTATCCTCTTCTCATGCCTGAATTTAGTAAAATGAAATATAAAAGCTGCATTATCAAAAGAAACATATGTACATATAATCTTGCACATACAGTTTGGGTAGAATTAAACTAACATGCTTCCAAAGGGAAGTTATATGAAAAAATACTTTTCTAAATTTCAAATAAATGAGGCCATGTTAAATATCTATAATTAGTCATAGGTAAAGCAATGAACATACCCTTTGTAAACTTTAAAGCATTCTCCAAAAGTTATTTCTATATAAGTCCCCAAACATATGTCAAGATAGATATAAGATATATGTAATATATAATATTATATATTTTTTGGCCATGGTGGCTCACACCTGTAATCCCAGCACTTTGGGAGGCTGAGGTGGGCGATCACTTGAGGTCAGGAGTTCCAGATCAGCCTGGCCAATGTGGTGAAACCCCATCTCTACTAAAAATACAAAAATTAGCTGGGCATGGCGGTGCGTGCCTGTAGTCCCAGCTACTCGGGAGGCTGAGGCATGAGAATCACTTGAACCTGGGAGGAGGAGGTTGCAATGAGCAGGGATTGCACCACTGTACTCCAGCCTGGGTGACAGAGTGAGACTCTGTCTTAATAATAATAATAATAATAATAATAGATACTAACCATTGTGCATATTGCTCAGATGCAAAGGCAAGTGAGACTAAACTGATAAAACTTCTAAGTGCTACGACAAGTGGGTATGAATATATAGCTAGAGGTATGGTGCAGAAAATTTTGTAAAGTAACTAAGAAATAGAATCAGACCCTGAACTTAGGCACTTTCCAATCTAGTCAACTCTTTTTTAAAAAATATTAAAAGATTATTATTCCTTTGAGGCCAAATAAGGACACGTTCCTAGAAGACCCCGTTGTGGTTAGGAGCAGAGGCTATGGATCTCTACTGCAGGCTTGCCACCTAGGACCTGTGCAATCTTTGGCAAGTGACTTAATCTCTCTGAACCTCAGTTTTCTCATCTATGAAATGGCCTTAGTTGTACTATCTCATAGCATTTTATGAGGATGCAGTGAGTTAATATGAAAAGTGCTTGGAACAATATCTGGCATACAGTATTCTCTTAATAAATGTTATGCTCTTAATAAATGTTAGCTATTTTTATTACCCATATTTCCTTGAACAACAAAGCTTTTCACAATCAAAGAATAGCTTCTCAAGGAGAAGAATTAGGGGTTAAAAGGGTTAAAAGTTCTGAAGAATGAATCAGCATTTTTCTCTCCCTTGTCTTTCCCTGTCTGTTTAGCAACACTGATTAACAGCTCAGAGGAAGAGGTCCAGAATGAACTTGAATGACAAGGAAAACAACTAATCTTCCCTAGGCAATATCCTTATTAAAGTTTCACTTTAGTAACAACCAGGTTTTCACTGAGACAGGTTGGTTGGGGTGGGGTGGGTAGAAAAGGAAAAAGTAGGCCAGGCACGGTGGCTCACGCCTGTAATCCCAGGACTTTGGGAGGCTGAGGCAGGCGGATCACCTGAGGTCAGTAGTGCGAGACCAGCCTGGCCAACATGGTGAAACCATGTCTCTACTAAAAATACAAAAATTAGCCAGGTGTGGTGGCAGGCGCCTGTAGTCCCAGCTACTCGGGAGGCTGAGGCAGAGAATTGCTTGAACCAGGGAGGCAGAGGTTGCAGTGAGCCGAGATCGCGCCACTGCACTCAGCCTAGGCAATGAATGAGACTCCATCTCAAAAAAAAAAAAAAAAAAAAAAGGGAAGAGAAAAGAAAAAATAGATCTGCCTCGACATGCGAGACCTGAAAGACCCAGAGATACAGATTCCTTTTCTGGGCCACTTGTCTGCACTTCTGAAAATGCTGACCAGGTGTGGCACACAGGCTATGGGACACCAAACCACATGGTCCAGACAGATGATGAGCGTGCTGTGATTACCTGCACAGTTGACTCATCCTCCGGGTACCTCCATGAAAAAGCATGTACACCAAGGGGGAATATGCCTTTTCCAAAGGGACACATGTCCAGGTTTACTAAATGGAAAAGCTAGTAATTTGTCCTGGCTTCTCTCTGAGAGGTTATCTAAGTGTTTGATGAATCTTATTTGATTGTTCGAGCAGTTTTAAGTGGTATTGCCAGCTTAAGTTCAGCCCCTGTCTTGGGACATCTATAACTTAGAAATGTTAAATACACCTAACTACTACTCTACAATTGAGTGTGGCCTTTTATAAAATAATAACCAATACTGGACAACTATAAGAGAGTTTTGAGAGAGGCAAAGAGAAAAAAAATTTCAGAAACATCTGGATTTTTCTACTCCCTGTTTTGAAGCATCACTTAATTGGTACCTAGGGTAAAAAGATGTTACCTATTTATAGATAAAATATATTAATAATTAAAAATTTATGTATAATTTGAAAATGTTATCAAACTTCTCATGACTTCTGTACCCTATTTATGATCACAATTGCTTTTAAAAATACATTTTCCAGCTACTGATCTCCTGGGAAGTATTTGGAGACCACAGAAAATGAGACATATCAGCTTCTTCACAAAAGAGTCCTGGACTGCTAAGGTCACTTAACCCCAGGCCTCAAATCATGGCAGCTAGCACTGGGAAACATCTCAGAAATCACCTAATCCAGTCTTCTACAGGGAGAAGTTTCTTCTTAATAAAATGGTAAGTGGTCCTTTGAAAACTTTACCACACGTAAAAATAATTTGAGATAGGCCTAAGAACATTATTACGTAAATCTAAAGCAGCAGCAGGATTATGCTTAGGCCAATGCCTGGCACATTATGGTAGGCGCTCAATAAAGGCTTCCTACGACTAATAAATGATGACTGAGCCAGCAAGTAAACTTACGTACTATTCAGGTATCAAAAGCCCCATCTGCTGGTCAAAAAGAATTAATCTGTAGCCCTGCAGATAGTGATAAGAAAACTCATGTTTCAGAAAATTATAAAATATTAAAAGGAATATCAAATAGGAAAGGGGTATTAGGGATCATCTGCTGAACCCACTTACTTTACAAAT
Source organism: Homo sapiens (assembly GCF_000001405.40). Taxonomy (NCBI): domain Eukaryota; kingdom Metazoa; phylum Chordata; class Mammalia; order Primates; family Hominidae; genus Homo; species Homo sapiens. The sequence goes on along the minus strand of NC_000004.12, from coordinate 108,683,492 downwards.
GAAGACACTTTTTACAACACTGATAAGTTCCCAACCAGAAGCGGAAAAAGTCAAATACTGTAGTTTATCAAAATCATAGTTCACACAGAGTAACTCTGAAAAACATTGACTGTCATACAATGAGTATGAAATTTTGTGAGGTGAAAATAATCTACATATTGAAGATGCTTTCTGGTTTAAAATTGCTTCCTGCTCTTCTCAGGAAAAAAGGTGATTATGAGAGTTTGGACTTGTAGTTAAACTAATGTCCAAATGGAGTTTCCACCATTGCTAGCTATTTCTTGGTTGAAGTATCTCTGTCTTAATATCCTTCATCCTTAATGTGTGAGTCATAATATTCTACCATGAGGATACAAGATCACCTATTTAATGTATAATGGTGGGCACATAGTAGGAATCCCAAAATTGGAGAAAAAGAAAGGGTGGCTGTGGGTGTTGCTACTATTAATACTGTGGACTAAAAATAACTTTCCTACATGCCTCACACCGGGATTGTCAGGAGAATTGAGATAATGTATGTAAAAGTTCTTTGTAAACTGAAAAAGCGCAATACAACTAGAAGTTATTGTGCTTAGACAGAGATAGTGATGTACCAAAGATACAATTTTAATCATCAATTTAACAACAAAATCTTTAAAAAAAAAAAAAAAAAAAAAAAGAATAAGGCTGTGCACGGTGGCTCACGCTGGTAATCCCAGCAGTTTGGGAGGCCGAGGTGGGCAGATCACCTGAGGTCAGGAGTTCGAGACCAGCCTGGGCCAACATGGCAAAACCCTATTTCTACTAAAAATACAAAAATTAGCCGGGCCTTGTGGTGTGTGCCTGTAATCTCAGCTACTTGGGAGGCTGAGGTAGGAGAATCACTTGAACCCGGGAGGCGGAGGTTGCAGTAAGCCGAGATCACACCACTGCACTCCAGCCTGGGTAACAGAGCGAGACTCCATCTCAAAAAAAAAAAAAAAAAAAAAAATAATAATAATAAATAAGTAGCATTTCTTGGATAAGCTGTTTTAAAAACACAAGCTTTCATTTGCTGCCTGGAAAGATTGTTCTGGGCTCTGTTTCCTCTAAATTCAGCTTAGAAACAGAACAAACCTTAGTTCATCTGTCTCTTCTTATATTTCACAATATACAGTACAAGACAGTTGACTTGGCACTTTCTACTTCCTCCCTAGCTGGATCAATGAGTTCATTAGGTGCCCTTTCTATGCCCTCCCACCACCCCTGCCTCACATGGTTAGAGCATTAGCAAATTTCGCCTTTACCTAACAAAGGTCCCTTCTCTTCAGCCTCTAAGGTCATTGACCTCACTGTCTTGAAGCATCAACAGCTCCACTTTCTTTTTTTTTTTTTTTGAGACGGAGTCTCGCTCTGTCGCCCAGGCTGGAGTGCAGTGGCGCGATCTCGGCTCACTGCAAGCTCCGCCTCCCAGGTTCACGCCATTCTCCTGCCTCAGCCTCCCAAGTAGCCGGGACTACAGGCGTCCGCCACCGTGCCCAGCTAATTTTTTGTATTTTTAGTAGAGACGGGGTTTCACCGTGTTAGCCAGGATGGTCTCGATCTCCTGACCTCTATCCGCCTGCCTCGGCCTCCCAAAGAGCTGGGATTACAGGCGTGAGCCACCGTGCCCGGCCAACAGCTCCACTTTCATTGTCTTCTCCAGGCCTTTCTGGCTTTTATTTTTCATCTCTTCAAGACCCTGGAAGTTTCAATCCACTGTTTGGTCCTAAAGCCACACATTCATCCCAGTTCTTGATTGCTCATTAAAAGCAAGCCGAACATTTAGTGGCTGAAAACAGTTTATTCCTATTTCCCAAGGTCCTGCAGGCTGACTGGACTCAGCTGAGTAGTTCTCCCTTGGGGTATCTCACACAGTTGTAGTCAGATGGCAGCTGGGCTAATGTCCATGAAGGCTCCTTTGCAGGACTGGCAGTTGATTGTAGCAGCCAGCTCCGAGCTCAGCTGATGTTGACAGGATTGGCGACATGTGGTTTTTCCATGTGTTTTGGGGTGCTCATGATCCTGCAGCTGGGTTCCAAGAGGGTGCATCCCAAGAACCAGCATTCTCAGACGCAGGAAGCAGAAGCTGCCAAGCTGTTTAAAAACTATGCCCAGCACTGGCAGTCACTTTTGCCATCTTTAACCAGGAAAAGCGATGACAAGGCTGGCCACATTCCACGAACAAGAGAAATCATCTTCTCTTAATAAGGAGCAGCAAGGTCACTTTGTATAAAACATATGAGTTAGGAGTTACTGCTGCAGTCACTTTTGGAAATGACAATCTGCCATTTATAGATGTTTTTAAAAATTCCTATCAACTCAAAAATAATTAGAAGGGGAAATAAACCTTGAAAAGTTAGACAAATAGAATAAAGTGAAGAGGAGATATAGAAAAGTCCAAATATATAATACAGACAGTCCCCGACTTACATTAGTTAAATTTATGACAACTTTATGACAGTGTGAAAGTGTGAAAGTGATAGACATTCAGTAGAAATCATACTTCTAGTACCCATACAACCATTCTGTTTTTCATTTTCAGTAGCATTTTCAATAAATTACGTGAGATATTCAACACTTTATTATAAGATAAACTTTGTGTTAGATGACTTTTCCTAACTAGGGGCTATGTAAGTGTTCCGATCATATTTAAGTTAGACTAGGTTAAACTATGATGTTCAATAGATTAAGTATATTAAATGCATTTTTAACTTTCTATATTTCCAACTAGTAATGGGTTTATTCGGACATGACTCCATCGTAAATTGAGGAGCATCTGTAATCATAATTCCTGAAAGTAGACTGAACTCACTCATTAAAAGACAAGATTGACAGAATAAAACAAAAATAAATCTATATGATATTCATAAGTGATACCCCTAAAATATAAGAACGAAAAAAGTTTCAAAGAAAGTTATAGAAAACAATACATGGCAAAACAACATCTGCAAAGGGTTGAGTCAGCTATATGAACATGAGAGTCCATCAACTTTGAGACAAAAAATTACTATGCTATGAGGAGAGTCACTACACAATGATGAAAACTTGAATTCACCAGAAAGATATGACAATCAGATTTTGTAAAACTGACAATATATTTAAAAATTACAATCATGGTAGAAGATACAACACACAACTTTATTATTATTATTATTATTATTTTTCTTTTTTGAGACGGAGTCTCGCTCTGTCACCCAGGCTGAGAGTGCAGTGGTACGATCTCGGCTCACTACAAGCTCCGCCTCCCGAGTTCAAGCGATTCCCCTGCCTCAGCCTCCCGAGTAGCTGGGACTACAGGCACACACCACCATGCTCGGCTAATTTTTGTGTTTTTAGTAGAGATGGGGTTTCACCGTGTTGGCCAGGCTGGTCTCGAACTCCTGACCACAGGTGATCCACCCGCCTCGGCCTTCCACAGTACTGAGATTACAGGCGTGAGGCACCGTGCCTGGCCCACAACTTTAAATTATTGATGTGTCAAGCAATAACTCAATTGATGTGTCAAGCAAAACAAAATGATATTTAGGTATTCATATATATGTGTTAACACTATTCTTTAAAAAGCAAAGAAGTGCTTTTATATGCATTGAAATACAAAGATAAAAAAGCAAAGATGTGATAAACACCAATTCAGGGCAGTAGATGCTTCTAGAAGGAAGGGAGGGAAGTGGATAAGGATAGAATACAAAGATAGTATTAAGAGTATTGGCAATATTTTAATTCTTATATTGGGTTATAGGTTCACAGGACTTTATGCATTTTATTATGCTTTATAATGTATGACTGCTTCATATATGTTTGAGTATATTAAATATTATAAAGTAAAATGTATGTAAAAGGAGGCCATGTGCTGTGGCTCACACCTATAATCCCACACTTTGGGAGGCTGAGATGAGAGGATTGCTTGAGCCCAGGAGTTCAAGACCAGCCTGAGCAATATAGTGAGACCTCATCTCTACAAAACAAAACAAACAAACAAAATTTAAAAACTAGCCAGGTGTGGTGGCACATGACTTTAGTCCCAGCTACTCGGGAGGCTGAGGCAGAAGGATTGCTTGGGCTCGGAGGTCAAGGCTGCAGTGAGCCAAGATTGTGCCATTGCACTCCAGCCTGAGAGACAGAGCAAGACTGTCTCAAAAAAAAAAAGAAAAGAAAAATTACATGACATCAAGCTTTATAGGAGAAACAAAAGAATGTAAAATGACAAACTACAACTTAATTGAATTAACAATCTGAGTCCTTTTCCATAATCCATTGCTTTAAAAATTTTTTTCTTCTGTCATTTTTTTTCAACCTGATAGGGGCTCTTAAGCTGTGTCTCCGGATAATGTACCTTAGGACATTCATGAGCTCCCTGAAATAACAGGGAAAACTCTGTGTGTGCGAGCGTGTGTGTGTGTGTGAGAGAGAGAGTGTGTGTGTGTGTGGTAGAGGGGTAACAAGGAAATAATAGCATCCACCTCTCAGTGTTATGATACAGCTGAAAGAAGCTAATATATATAAAGAGTTTGGCACCGTTCGTGATACAGAATGTACGTGCTTTGATTATTTCTCTTTTTATTGTAACTTTAATCAAATCTTCAATTCATCCATGACCCAAAAGATTAAGCATCACTCTTAGAAGAAGCAACTCCTTCCCTTGATTCTGTGTATTTGGATCTCATTTATCCATTGTAAATAAGCAAAATGATCATGAGCTCACTTTTTCCACTGCAACATACAGGCACATAAAGAGTTAGATTTTGGAGACAAGTAAGTAAAAAGCTTACACCTTCAAAAGAAAAACTAGCTTTAAAATGTTTCCTATTGAAATATTTCTTACAAACATACATAAAGTGCACAAATCCTAAGTGTACAACTCAGTGGGCTTTCCCAAAGGGTACACGCTCATCTAAGTAGTATCCAAATGAAAAAACAACATTACCAGCAACCCCCTTTACATCCCTTTCTGGTCACTACCCCCACCTCTCAAAGTAACCATTATCCATAGGAAAGATTGACTTTTAATAATGAATTAGAACATAGGATAAGTGTATGATGACCCAGTTGAAAGTACAAGGGTTTTAGAGCTAGACACACTTCAGTTCAATCCCAGCTGGGCCCTATTACAAGGAGACAATAATATCTACCAGAATGGATCGTTGTCAGCGCTGGAAGTCATATGTATAAAGCACCCAGCATGGTACCTTCCCTTGTTGACTTAGTCAGCTCTTTCTGGTTATGATATTAAAAGATCCGGGAGGTGGGTGGGGTCCTTGTTAGAGTAAAATGAGATGATAGATGTGAGGCCACTTTTGAAAGTTGAAATATGTTATTATACAAGTGTAAAGTGTATGTGAAGATATCAGTACAGCAGTTGCCATGGGGGGTTAAACTTGTTACCTATTTTCCTATCATCTCAGTTAAAATAGTGCAGACAGTGCTGGGGACTCTGATTTATAGCTGTTCCTACCTATTAACCTGGTTAGACCTTGAGTGCTCTGTGTGCTCACACTCCACTGTCAAGAGAAAACTTTTTTTCTGAGATGGAGCAGTTGACAACATAAGCACTTAATGACATATGCAAAGGTTCATCCACCACAGGAGGCATCTGAAGAAATGGACTTTATGAAGAGGAGGTGCCATCCATTACCCAAAGGCAGCTCCTTGGCCTTCAGTCGAGCGGTGGCATCATGCTGCTTTGAAACTATTTCCCCCCTGCAACAGATACAACATAAATCATAAAAACACTGTTTTCAATGAACATAGAAATAAAAGCAGACATTCCATGATCCAACTATATTTATCATACCTGCCAATGTATGCACATTTATACCACTTCCATCTCCAGAGGAGAATGTACAATCATGCATTGAAAAAAGTATGGGGTGTGAGTGGGAAAATAACTACAGATAAGTGGAGCACCTCATATGTTCCAGAGGCTGTGCATTATCTCATTTAATTATCAGAACATCCCTATGGGGTAGGTATTGTTATCTTCATTTTACCAAGAGGAAAGTGAGGCTTGGAGAATATTTAACTTGCTAAAGGTGAAACAGCTGGTAACTGGCAAAGGTGGCATACGAATCCAAATCTAATTGGTTAACATAGCTTAGGAGACGTATTTAGCCACCAAAACGGCTATATTGGTCTAATATGCTTTCTAAGAGCAGTACATATTCTTTTGGGGACTTTATTTTCAAATTAACATAGAGAACCTAGACTGCAGTTAGACAAGAGTGATCATAAAGGAACCAGACCTCATGTTTCTGAGCCTGAGAAACTATAAATAGCTAACCTGAGAAAAATGGAGGCACATGACAGGCTTTTAATATTTGAAACGCTGGCTATCATTATGGTGTGCAGCTAAGTATGTTCTGTATAGGCACAAGGATGGAACCAAAACCAATTAACTAAAACAAAAAAAAAGCTTTCCAAAAGAAAAGTGATCTGAAGATGGAATGGATTACCTTGAGAGGTAAGGAAGTTCCCATCACTGATAATGTCAACAGTAGTTAGAACACACCTCATTTTGGCTAATGAAATTATAATTTGAATTTTCTTGTATATTTTATAACAAATTACCTAAACTAAATTCCATAAACTTGATAACAAGTGGACTTCGGGTAATCTTGTAAAGAGGTAGCTAGACCACTGGGTGCAGCAGGACTGAGGGATGGGCAAAGAGGAAGGAAGAAGTAGAAGTTTATAGTCAAGGGTGTGGCCTATTAAAAACTTGACTTTTTAGGCTGGGTACATGGCTCATGCCTGTAATCCCAGCAGTTTGGGAGGCCGAGGCAGGCGGATCACGAGATCAGGAGATTGAGACCATCCTGGCTAACATGGTGAAACCCCGTCTCTACTGGAAAAAAAAAAAAACAAAATTAGCTGGGCGTGGTGGTGTGTGCCTGTAGTCCCAGCTACTCAGGAGGCTGAGGCAGGAGAATGGCGTGAACCCGGGAGGTGGAGCTTGCAGTGAGCCGAGATTGCGCCACTGCACTCCAGCCTAGGCGACAGAGCCAGACTCCGTCTCAAAAACAAACCAAAAAACAAAAAAATTTAAAAAAAACTTGACTTTTTAAAAACAGCTTAAAGATATAATTGACATTTTTTAAAAACTACACATATTTGGGCCAGGCCGGGTGACCCACGACCTGTAATCCCAGCACTTTGGGAGGTTGAGGTGGGAGGATCACTTGAGGCTTGGAGGCCCAGTCCAGCCTGGGCAACACAGGGAGACCTCATCTCTACTAAAAAATGCAAAAAATCAGCCAGGTGTAGTGGTGCGCACCTACAGTCCCAGCTACTTGGGAGGCTGAGGTGGGAGGATCACTTGAGCCCAGAAGATGGAGGCTGCAGTGAGAGCCGTGAACACACCACCGCACCCCAGCTTGGGTGACAGAGTGAGACCTTGTCTCAAAAAAATAATAAACTACATGTATTTAAGATGTGCAATCTGATAAGTTTGACCTCTGTCCTGGAAACCATGCCACAATTAAGATAATGAACATATAATGTGGAATCTAGAAAAGTTGAACAGTAAAATCGTGGTTACTAGAGGCTAGAGAGTAGGAGAATTGGGGAGATGTTGGTCAAGGAGCACAAAATTTCAGTTAGGTGGGAGGAATTAGTTCAAGAGATCTATTGAACATCGTGGTGAATATAGTTAATAACAATATATTGTATACTTGAAAATTACTGAGAGAGTAGATTTTAAGTATTTTCACCAAAACAAAAGGTAAATATGTGAGGTAATTCACACATTAATTAGCTTGCATAGCCATTCCACAATGTGTGTGTGTGTGTGTGTGTGTGTATATATATATATATATATATGCACATCATGTTGTACACTGTAAATGTATACAATATACAATTTTTGCCAATTAATTAAATTTAAAAATATAAACTTAAAATACCGTCAAACATGTTGTATAGATTAATCTTGAATATGACTGACTTATTTTCTTCAAGTCAGACATTTTAAAAGGCCAGAATTATGAAACATTAAATAGAAAAATATTACCCTCACTTCCTTGCTAGGTATGTCCTTGGTGATGTAGGGCTGGACTCACAAAAGAGCACTTCCAACACTACTGTTAATAAAGTCAGGAAAAGATGCCATGTGGCATCCTATTTTTAAAATCTATATTCACTAATGAGTATATATGCGAAGTTATAGCTGGTCTTCACTTGAAATGGTACTTCATAGGCACGTTCCTCAACTTTACTTAGATAACTAAATTTATAGAGTACTATACTTTCTGAATAGAGCCCAGAGTTTTGCTCTTTGATAAGCTGTGTCAAGACAAGACCGTTTTTTATCTCCCCAGAATTCCCTTGGCTATTTTCAAGTCCCACAGACTGGTAGACTATGTGAATTAAAAAGAATTTTTGTCATCTAGAAAGCCAGCTGAGGGGAACTGATCAGCCCAGTAATGTTTTCAGTGCCTCCTCACAGATAGAACCCAACCTCTCTCGGTTAAAAGGCAGCTGGGCCTGTGTCCATTCAGGAGAGGATCCTAGTACTATACTTGTAACCTTTAGTCAAGTTAATGAAAAGCTTGGCATATGGGGGGATAATCTTTGGCGTATGTTTATAATATCCCCTGTATTTTAAAATTTTAAATAATTTTATTAAGATATATCTTGGAGTCCATCGTTTTCGGTCAGTTTTTCCGGTTACTACATGATCTTTCAAAATAGTTTCAAATCTCTTATTTCAGGAAAAATAATTTGTAAGTATAATTTAAGTATTATAATCCTTCCTTCCTTCCTTCCTTCTTTCCCTCCCTCCCTCCCTTCCCTCCCCTCCTTCCCTCCCTCCCTCCCTTTCCTTCCTTCCTTCCTTCCTTCCTTCCTTCCTTCCTTCCTTCCTTCCTTCTTCTATCTTTTTCTTTGCATTTTTAGCTACTGGAAGGGGCTGGGGCCCTGGTGATGCCCTGAGGCATCCTGTTCAATTGATCTTAATGAGCAGCTTCCCATTCTCTTCATCCATGGGTTTCTGATGGTATCCATTTTTTACATCCAATTTTTAATACTATTGATTTCCTTCATAAACTACCAAGGTAGCCTACATTTTTTTTAAAAAAAAAAAAGTAAAATAAAATGAAAATATCCATCACCCAAAAAAGTTTCCTTATGACCTTTTGTCACTCCTCCCTCTCATACCTCCCACTCTTCTCCCCAGACCTCACCCCCACAACCATATACAACTAGATAGAAGTCATTCGTCAGATATATATTTTGCAAGTATCTTCCAACAGCCTGAGGCTTGCCTTTTAATTTTCTTAACAGTATCTTTTGAAAAGAAAAAGTTTTTAATTTTAATCCAGTCTAGTTGATTGATGTTCTTTTCATTTATAGCTTATGCTTTTGTGTATCATATTTAAAAATCTTTGCCAAGCCCAAGGTCACTACATTTTTCATCCATGTTTTCTTCTAGAAGTATTATGATTCAGGCTCTTATATTAAAGTCTGTGATCCATGTCATTCATGAAGTTTTGTAAATGGTGAGGTAAGCGTTGAAGTTTTTTTTTTTTTTTTTTTTTTTTTTGCATATGGTTATCCAATTGCCCCAGCACCATTTGTTAAAAAGGCTATTCTTGCCGGGAGCGGTGACTCACACCTGTAATCCCAGCAATTTGGGAGGCCAAGGTGGGCAGGTCACCTGAGGTCAGGAGTTCGAAAACAGCCTGGCCAACATGGCAAAACCCCATCTCTACTAAAAATTAGCTGGGCATGGTAGCAGGCACCTGTAATCCCAGCTACTCAGGAGGCTGAGGCAGGAGAATCACTTGAACCCAGGAGGTAGAGGTTGCAGTGAGCTGAGATCATGCCACTGCACTCCAGCCTGGGCAACAGAGAGAGACTCTGTCTCAAAAAAAAAAAAAAAAAAAGCTATTTGTTCCTCATTGAATTGCCTTGGAACTTTTACCAAGTCAATGGGTCATATATGTGTGCATCAATTTTTGGACTCTTCTCTGTTTTACTGACCTATTTGTCTATCCTCAGGTAGATTAACTTTTTTCAATCATTTCAAATGTATTACAGCTGCTTTAAGGCCAATCTTACGGACTATCATGGTAAACATATGATGTGCACACCCATTGTTGGGTGTAGAGTTTTGAAAAGGTAAGTTGAATCAAGGTGGTCGATAGTGTGATTCAGGTCTTCTAGGTTCCTGTTAATGACTTGTCTTGTTGTTCTATCAATTTCTAAATAGAAAATGTAAAAATATTCAACTCTGAAACTGCTTCACTCTCCAATTTTGTCAATTTTTGCTTTGTATATGGTGAAGGTCTGTTATTAGCTGCATACAAATCTATTATTGTAATGTCTTACTGCTAAATTCACTCTTTTGACATTATGAAATTGAAATATACATTTTATCTCTGGGGATACTTTTTGTTTTGAAATCTATTTTAGTAGACATTAGTATAGTCAGTCCAAACTTCTAGTGCTACGGTTTGCATAGTGTATCTCTTTTCCCATTTATTTTGAGCTGTGTCTTTATATGAAAAGTAAGTCTCTCATAAACAGCATACAATTATGTATATGTGTGTTTATCCATCCTGACAATCTTAACCTTTCAGTTAAAGTGTTTAATCCCCTAACATTTAATATAATTACGGATATGGTTGTTTGAGCCCACCATTTTATTGTTTTCTATTTGTCTCCTCTGTTTTTTGTTTTTATTCCTCCTTTCCTGCCTCTTCTCAATTTTGTATTATGTGAGGCTGGGCACAGTGTAATTCCATCACTTTGGGAGGCCAAGGCAGGCAGATCACTCGAGGTCAGGAGTTCAAGACCAGCCTGGCCAACACGGCAAAACCTAGTCTCTACTAAAAATGCAAAAATTAGCTGGGTATGGCAGTGTGCACCTCTAATCCCAGTTACTCAGGAGGTTGAGGCATGAGAATCATCTGAACCCAGGAGACAAAGATTGCAGTGAGCCGAGATCATGCCAGTGTACTCCAGCCTAGATGACAGAGACTCTGTCTCAAATATATATATATATTTATATATAATAATAACATATATTATGTACTATAATACAACCTTGCAACTGTAGGCCCAAATCCCATTTCTAATCATTATGCTATCATGTTTATATGTATTACATCTATGTACATTATAAACCCAACAAGATACAGTTGTTATTCTTACTATAAAGTTGTATGTATTAAAAAGAAATCAGGAAAAAAATTAAAAAGCCTTTTGCATTGACCCATATATCTACCATTTCTGACACCCTCCATTGTTTTATAAGGATCTAAATCTCCATTTGCATTATTTCCTTTCAATCTGAAAAGCTTCTTTTAGTGCAGGTCTTTGGACAACGAATTTTTTGTTTTCTTTCATTTGAAAATTGTATTTCATCTTCAGTCTTAAAGAAAATTTTCATTGGTTATAGAATTCTGGGTTAAGCGACTTCCCCACCCTCACCTCTACCCCAAGCCTAAAACACTTACTATCTGGCCCTACTTAGGGCCTGGTCTAAAGCAGTGGTTCTTAAAATGTGGTCATTGGATCAGCAGCATCCAGTACCACCTGGGAACCTGTCAGAAATTCAAACTCTCAGACCTCATACAGACCTACTGAATCAGAAAGTTACTTCACACTTCACAATTCAAATAAACATTAACAAATACAGTATAATCTTTCTAAGCAAAATATAAAGGTACTTAACTAGGAACTAAATTTTTAGGGCCCAGCAATCTGTGTGTTCATAAACTCTCTGCTCTGTTTGAGACCCGCTGGTCTACAGTAGTGTTGTCCAACAGAAATAAGCAAGCTGCATGTTAATTTTCAACTTTTCCAGTAGCTACATTTAAAAAGATAAAAAGATGAAATTAATTTTGAGATTTAACTCAATATACACAAAAATTTCAACTTGTAATCTACATACAAATATTGAGATATTTTACTTTTTGATATGAAGTCTTTAAAATCCAATGTGCATTTCATACTTACAGCACATCTTAATTCAGACTAGCTCCCTTTCCAATACTCAATAGCCATACATAGCCAGCAGCTACTCTATTAGACAGCTACCACATAATGCAATTAATTTGCTCTTTGAGATGGTAGCATTGTTTACTTTAAATTTACTTAATTCTAATTATTGGAATTAATCATTCCAATTTGAATTACTTAAAATTCTAATGATTTGACTGTGTGTGGTGGCTCACGCCTTTGGGAGGCCAAGGCGGGTGGATCACTTGAGGTCAGAAGTTCGAGACCAGCCTGGCCAATGTGGTGAAACCCCATCTCTACAAAAAATACAAAAATTAGCGGGGTGTGATGCCATGTGCCTGTAATCCAGCTACTTGGGAGGCTGAGGCAGGCAAATCACTTGAACCTGGGAGGTGGAGGTTGCAGTGAGCTGAGGGCGCGCCACTGAACTCCAGCCTGGGAGGCAAGTGAGACTCCATCTCAAAAAAAAAAAAAATCCTAATAATCTTAAAGTGACACCTTTTTCAATTAATATGTTGTTAGATAAAAGGATGGCTCTAGTGTTCTGTAGCACAATAGGGTGACTATAGTGAAAAATAATTTATCGTATATTTCAAAGTAACTAAGAGTGGAATTGGAATGTTCCTAACGCAAAGCAATGATAAATGCATGAGGTAATGGATACCCCAATTACCCTGGTTTGATCATTACACATTGTATGCTTGTATCAAAATATCACATGGACCCCATAAATATGTACAATCTTTATGTATCCATGATAATTAAAAATAAGACAAAACCCAAAGACACACATGGTGTATGAAAGCATCTTAGCAAATTTACCAGTGTTATAAGAAATAAAAAATATGGTGAAAAGCCAGTACTATCATCCCTTGGTGCATATTAATGCTTCTACTGTTCAGACCCTGAAGCACAAGCCAACAACCTAACCCAACTCTTTGAATGTATTTTCCAACATGAAAGAACACTCCAGGTAAATACATCAACCAAACTGGTCAACTAGTCTTTTCTCTGGCACTTCTGGACTTTGAATCTGTTATGGAATCAAAGAAATGTCCCCTGTGGTGGCTGAAGGCGTCAAGCATAATAATGAAGATAGGTTAGCAGTCATGATTCTCACCACTCTGAACTGGAAGTGACCAGTTTTATAGAGAGGAAAGCATTACACAGACCCATACAATATATCAGAAATGAACAAGAGTCCTTCCAGTACCACATTCCCCGTTCTAGTACTCCCTGCTGCACTCGTCTTTAGTATCATGTTTCTCCAGAGGATAACATATTATCCTCTTTAAGATAGCCTGAGTTTCTCTTCCTTGCAATTAAGTCTTAGTATGTAAGAAAAACGAGTAAAAGATTTGGACAAACATGTATTAGTGCTCGAAACTTTTAAGCAGATTAGTAACCCATTGTTCCAAAAACAAATTACAGCCTTCCCTTACCTCAAATCTGGGTTTAGGTGTTGCTCCTACAGCAAAGAGAATTTACCTATTTGTGTGTATTCACCAGACTGTAAGTTCCACCTGGACAGATGCTGTATTTTTCTTGCTCATTCTGATGTAATCCAGCATCTGGCACATGCCTTCCTTTGAATAAATAAATGTATATTTCTTATTACTATGTTCAAAGACTGATCTTCTGCACCAGCAAATAGCACATAATGAGAACAACTGCTCTGCTATTCAGAGCAAAATTCAAGCAAAAATAATAATCTTTTTCTTCCAACTTTACCCTTCAGAAATGTACCATTTACTGAGCACCTAAGTTACTTCTAACTTTGCAGTTCAAGTAATCACAGTATAATCATTCTAAGCAAATTATATAGGACTTCTTCATTTTAATTCTATAAATAGGATGTTTTCTTTATAAATTTTGGCAGAGATGTGATGCTCAGATCTCCCCTCAAGAAAGGACGTGCTACCAGCTGCAAGACTTGCTACCCAGCTGTGGCTAGCTGATAGCCTCGTTATTGGCTTTGTCAGAGTTTACCTCAACTTTCTGGCCAGGTGAGGTGATCCCCAGCCAATTACCTGACAATGCAGTGGGACAGTGGTCTAGCCATTTCTGCCTAACATACCACTCTATCAGGGAGTCTCTGCTCCGAAGCTCCCACTAGGCTGACAGCAACTTTGTCAACTCTGCATCACTGTCTGACAGTTTCCCCTAATTCTGCACCCTTCCTTCTCCTTTCGCTGGAGTTAAGCTCTACTAAAACATTTTGCACTTCTAGCTACATTTTAGTATCCTCTCCCTGGGGGGATCTTTCCTGTGACAAAAACAAAGATTCATTTATTTCCAATTTAATCTGTAAACTTAATCTCTCACCTATTTAACCTCTTTTATGTTAATAATGCTTGGCACGCTTTCCCTCAGACTGTGACATTTTGGTTTCATGTTCCCAAAACATTTTAAACCTAGTACAATGAGTTTGTTTCTTCCCATAATCATTGTGCTTTTACCAGCAAAACATTTTACACATTGATTTAAAAGTTTGTATTATTGATATTCTAAAATATAATTATTTTAAATATATTTCACTTTATTTGGTAAAGATACGTGTATTATTCCCCCCAAAAGCCTTAAGAGCTTTGAAACAGAAAAAAAACAACAAACCTTAACAGCACCATCTTATGGTACTTAACTAGGAACTGTTCACTGCTCAATCAATATGACAAAAAGCAGACTTTTGAAGCCATAATCACCCATGAGTTACTTCCTGTCCACCTAGTTTGAACGAGGTTTTAAAATACAGCAAATGACCAAAAAAAAAAAAAAAAAAAAACCAAAAAACAAAAAACAAACCAAAAAGTTCTTACTATTGAATCAAGTCTTTTAAGTTGATAAGTGCATATAGGTCCTGTTTTCCTTTCTCAAGGCTTTGGAAATACTGCAACCCTTTTTCTCCATCTCTCCCATTATTCTCTATAATACAGACCTTCACTTGCCTTGCTTTTTTTCCCCTTTGTTGAATTTACTAGTATCTGACAGTTTAAAACATTTTAAGTCTGCTGATTCCCCACAAGAATGTAAGCTCTATAAGGGCACAGCCTTTATTCATTTTACTCACCATGACATTCTCAGTGCTGCCTAGCATGAAAAAGGTACTCAGAATTTTTGAATAAATAAGTCCTTTTTTACTTAAAGAATGGTTATAATTAAATCAGCCTTGGAATAAGCAGGAAAAAAGCTCACTTGAGAGAAAATTTCACTATAAACTTGAAGATCTTAGGAAAGAATGAA
This sequence comes from Homo sapiens, assembly GCF_000001405.40. Classification (NCBI taxonomy): domain Eukaryota; kingdom Metazoa; phylum Chordata; class Mammalia; order Primates; family Hominidae; genus Homo; species Homo sapiens. The sequence goes on along the minus strand of NC_000004.12, from coordinate 108,668,294 downwards.
TTGAGCCATCAGAGAAGTGAAGCCCATGGCCAGCCAGGGAGAACCAAAAGGCCTGGATAGAAGAAATTAAGACCAGATTGGTCCAGAGATGTTTTTGTTTGTTCGTATTTTTAGTAGAGACAGGGTTTCACCGTGTTGGCCAGGATGGTCTCGATCTCCTGACCTCATGATCCGCCCGCCTCGGCCTCCCAAAGTGCTGGGATTACAGGTGTGAGCCACCACGCCCGGCCCCAGAGATGTTTCTACATGTGCTCATCTAGCACATTCACATTGACAACTCTGACATAGATATGCAGCCTGTGCTTGAATATTTACAAGGATATAAAGATGCTAACTCTCAAGGCATCCTGCCAACCATATTTTGAAATCTTAGGCTACCAAAAGTAGCTAAAGAAAGTCATAAGATGGGTGGGAATGAATGATTAATAGACCAAAAACTTAACACTGTCAGTTAAAAAACAAATATAAAAGGTATTAATTAGAAAAAGTATTTATTTCTGCTCCGTTCATACATCTTATTGTTCAGGAAACAGTTTTACATACATATCTGAAATAATCTACCATCACACACTCTAGTTAAAGGCAAAGCACCATAGGTAAAGCTGATCAACTGTCCAGAGTTCTCAGCTTACGGAATCTTGCTTCTGGATTTTATGTTAATTTCTGAAAATCAGAAATGTCATCTCCAAAAAATGTTAAGAGGGTTGTAAAAAATAATCACTTTATTTGATATTATAGTTGTAGATATGGAATATATTTTAATGAAAAACTAAAAAGAAAATGCCACTCAACATCATTGGTATAGCAATAGGCCAGCAGGAAAAAAAATTCTGTGATAAACTTGTCTCTTTAATACCAAGAAGAAATTCTAGTCCAAGCTTCAATACGCTTCCTGTTTTTTCACTAGATATTTCTTTTACTGCTGCTCTTCATTCTTTTCCACATTTCATATTAGAGGATTGGTACAGCCTTTAAAACTTCATTGACAGGAGCAAATCCAGTATCCACTGATTTCTTCTCAAAGGCACTCTAACCCATCAGATAGCCCCTGCAGAAATATAATTATAAGCACAAAAAGTGAAAAGAATTGTTTTTATATTCTCTTATTATCATAGTATTTCAAAATGCCAAAACAAATTTTATGATATATCAAATAACAATCCAAAAATATAATTGCGTGATTCTTTATTATGGTCCTTATTTCATATTTTGCCCCCCTCACCCCAATATACAAATAAATTACTGAGCCTCAGTTCTACTATCCTTCCCTCTTTTTCCTTTTTTTTTTTGAGATGGAGTTTTGCTCTTGTCACCCAGGCTGGAGTGCAATGGTGTGATCTCAGCTCACTGCAACCTCCGCCTCCCGGGTTCAAGTGGTTCTCCTGCCTCAGCCTCCCAAGTAGCTGGGATTACAGGCGCGTGCCACCACACCTGGCTAACTTTTGTATTTTTATAGAGACAGGTTTTCACCATGTTGGCCAGGTTGGTCTGGAACTCCTGACTTCAGGTGATCCGCCTGCCTTGGCCTTCCAAAGTGCTGGGATTACACGCGTGAAGCCCGGCAAAGTTTTTTTTTTTTTTTTGAGATGGAGTTTTGCTCTTGTTGCCCAGGCTGGAGTGCAATGGTGCAATCTCGGCTCACTGCAACCTCTGCCTCCTGGGTTCAAGCGATTCTCCTGCCTCAGCCTCCCAAGTAGCTGGGATTACAGGTGACCGCCACCACGCCCAGCTAACTTTTTCTATTTTTAGTAGAGACGGGGTTTCACCATCTTGGCCAGGCTGGTCTCAAATGCCCGACCTCAGTTAATCCATCCACCTCGGCCTCCCAAAGTGCTGGGATTACAGGTGTGAGCCACCGCGCCTGGCCCTTCCCTCTTAAAGTTACAAAGCAGTATGCCAAACAACACAGAATAAGAAAAGGAAGTAAAGAAAAGAAAATGATATCTAAAAGTTAAAGTTAAGAGTCAGAATCAATCTATTTTAGGCTCTCAGAAGTGCAACAAAATCAAAATTTTTTTTATGTAAAGAAACTGGTTTGGATTTCTAAAAACTCTAATATTACCAGAAGAGAAGTGGGAGAATCAGAAGCTATTCAGGACTGGGAGGTGAGCCTCTGAGACTTCAAAAAAGTGTGCACAAACATCTGCCCCTGAACCTCTAATACTTCAGGAAATGTCTGGATAACAGTTAGGAGCTTTAGCTGTACCTGCTGGTAAGGTCAAACTTCATGCTGGTCAAACAGGAGATCCTTTTATTAAATGTGCAAGTTAGGCCCTGAAATCCCCTTTAAATTAAAGCATTAAATCTGGTGTTATAAAAGTTCCAAACCTTTCCTTTGGCAATAAACCCTTAAAGTCTATTATTAATTAAGAATCTACAGGATCAGGAAAAAAAAATGGAAAAATTATGTACAAGTATCCACATTAAGAAAGGGTTGGGCTGGGCATGGTAGCTCATGCCTATAATCCCAGCACTTTGGGAAGCCGAGGTAGGTGGAGCACCAGGTCAGGAGTTCGAGACCAGCCTAGCCAACATGGTGAAAACCCACCTCTACTAAAACTACAAAAATTAGCTGGGCGTGGTGACAGACGCCTGTAATCTCAGCTACTTAGGAGGCTGAGGCAGGAGAATTGCTTGAACCCAGGAGGTGGAGGTTGCAGTGAGCCAAGATTGTGCCATTGCACTCCAGCCTGGGCAAACAGAGTGAAACTCCATCTCAAAAAAAAAAAAAAGAAAAAACAAAACAAAACAAAACAAAACACAAAACATCCTGGCTAACATGGTGAAACCCCGTGCTCCAGCCTGGGCAACAGTGCAAGAATCCGTCTCAAAAAAAAAAAAAAAAAAAAGGTTTACAACACCTTATACTCACTGACGGCTTCAGAACGCCTCTTCTTTTGACCCTGCTTCTACCACTTACTGCATGAGCCTGGCAAACCTCACTCAGTTTCCTCATCTGTAAAATGGAGTTACCTCAAAGGGTTTTAAGGATTATAAGAGAATCTACTCATATAGTAATTGCTACTCGTAGTTACATGCACTTCACAAATGTTAGCTGCTATTTTTAGAGTCCCAAGTTTCTTCACTGGTAACGTAAGATTTAAAAACTACTTGACAATACTGAGGTCTCCTCCAGTGCTTGGCACACAGCAAACACTCAAAAATGTGACTTCCCTCCCTTTCAGCTTCTGAACTCACTTGACTCCCTGTATGATTAGACTTATGTTCAGCCAATGCAATCAACCTAGAACTCACACACTCTTCTTTCTGCTGTATCAGCCTGGCCAATCCACACACTCTGAGTAAAGAGAACTTTCATCTAACACAACCACCTTGACAACCAGATACTTCTCACCTCCTCCCAAATCCAAAACTGAACAAAAATTTAAAAATAAAAAGGTTTGGCTGGGCACAGTGGCTCACGCCTGTAATCCCAGCACTTTGGGAGGCTGAGGCAGGCGGATCACGAGGTCAAGAGATTGAAACCATCCTGGCCAACACAGTGAAACCCCGTCTCTACTAAAAATACAAAAATTACCTGGGTGTGGTAGTGCATGCCTGTAGTCCCAGCTACTCAGGACGCCGAGGCAGGAGAATCACTTGAACCTGGGAGGCGGAGATTGCAGTGAACCGAGATCATGCCACCGCACTCCAGCCTGGCAACAGAGCCAGACTCCGTCCCCCACAAAAAAAAAAAAATTAAAAATTAAAAGGTTCTTTGGATATATACATTGAATTTAAAGACCTCACATAAATTTGCTACTATAATGCCTGATGTGTCACAAAAAGGATACTTTAAAACATAAGCTTCACAAGAAAAAAAAAAAAGGTTCAAGAAGATTTTAAGCAAGCATCCACTAATATCTGCACTCTGTAGTAGAAGTTACCCAACAGCTAGCTTACACTATGAAACAAGAGTACTAAAGACTCATTAGGAGTAACTTCTTGTAATTTGCATATACCTATATGTGAATATACACTTTGTACTCTATCTCTTAATATAGCTATATATTATGGTATCCTTCCTTGTAACTAGTGGGTGACCCATGCTTGTCAACCTATATTTAGATAGAAAAGAATATTTAAATAGACATGTCCTGTTCAAAGCTGCCAAACTTAAAATAGTTTTACCTTAAGGACAATTTGGGAGATACTAAGAAATATTATAATGTTATAACGATACCATGTTAGAAAAAAGAAAAGAAGAACAAATACATTACTATACTTCTTGATAAGAAATAAAAATAAAATTGTTGAAATACACTTACTATAATATATACTCAATCATTTAGCCCCCTCTCTTGACCCAGAAAATTTCATAATCTTATATTCAGGCCTGTGAGAATTTTACATAAGTAAAACCGTAGATAAATACAATAAAAAGTAAATCAAGAACTCAAAAACCAACTAGAGACAGGAGAAGCCACCATGAAGGACCTTCTATTTAATCTTTAAGGCCATTCTTTCAATAATCACTCAGTGCCTCTGTATATTAAGGCAAGCTCTGTGCTAGGTTAGCACTAATAGAAGCTTCTCAAAACACTACCACATTCATTATTGCATTTAACCCTTGCAACAATCTTAAAAAGGTGTGTGAAACAAGGATTAGTCTCATTTTACAGATGAAGAGTGTGACAGCAATTAAGTCGTTTGCTCAAAAATCACAAGGCCAGAAAAGAACAAAACCAGCATTAAAACACAAGTCTCCTCACTCCTGGTCTACTACCCACTCCAATGGTCCTAGAAATGGAAACCTCACTTTCTTCTTTTAGAAACAGTAATGGTTTATTCAGGCTGGGCACCTTGGCTCACGCCTGTAATCCTAGCACTTTGGGAGGCCGTGGCAGGCGGATCACGAGGTTAGGAGATCACTGGCTAACACGGTGAAACCCCATCTCTACTAAAAATACAAAAAATGAGCTGGGCATGGTGGTGGGCGCCTGTAGTCCCAGCTACTAGGGAGGCTGAGGCAGGAGAATGGTATGTACCTGGGAGGCAGAGTTTGTAGTGAGCCGAGATCACGCCACTGCACTCCAGCCTGGGCAACAGAGCGAGACTCCGTCTCAATACGAAACAAAACAAAAACAGTAATGGTTTATTCATTTATTTTTGAAACTGTGGCCATAATCTAACTTGAAACAGAACTTTTAGGACTCTATCTTTAGAATGAAAACACTGACATTGATTAACACTTACATTATGATTGAGAGCACACCTTCTCATTTAATGTTGACAACTGTAACTCCCCAAGGTACATTAATACTTCATTTAACAGGTTTGGAACCTGAGGCCAAGAGAGTTCACAGAACTAATCCAAAGTCTCAGAGCTATTAAGTGGCAGGCCAAAACTGGACTCCAAATTCCTCACCCTCTCTACTACACATTGTCCTCAGCAGCTGTACAAATGTTTTGTTTCTTTAGAATGAATTACGTCCCTTATTTGCTAAAAATGAACCTCGGATATCAGCTTTTTAGTCGCTGAAACAATCCAGCTGCTAGTTTCTCTACAGCCTTAACTCTCTAAAATATAGCTCCAAATCTGGAAGGAAATGAAAGAGATTCTCAAACATCTGAAAGTATGGTTACAAAGCCAAGCCATTAAGCTCTCCTTCAGCCAGAACTGATTTAAAAGGTAATTAATAGCTAGGTTATCTATTCCCTCAAGTCATAGAATAACCAGCAAACTGAAAAGAAGAAGAGGGAAAGGATGAAATTACAATAGGTATATACTGATCACCATGACAAGTGACAAGCCAGTGAAATCAACAAAACTGAAAAGTAGTACTATGCATAACAGAAATGTAAAATGACCTCAGTGGAGAAGGTTAAATTATGTTTAATCTCAGTGTCCAGCAAGTAACAGTTATCAAATAAATATTTGCTACATACAAATATGAGTGTTAACGTGTAATACAACACAACAAACGCTTTAGAAAGAGGGTCTGTCGAAAATGAATACAATGTTTTAGTATTTATGTATTTTCAATTACATGGAATCACATATATGCAGCATATCATTCCCTAAATGATGTTAGTTTAAATATTATTACATTCATATTTTTTATTCCTTTCTCCCTTTAAGAGAACTTGTTTTCTGAACTGATCCCATGATCTCAGGATTTATCCAGAAGATCCTTAGCTTTTCTTCTCAAGCTTAATAAACACTAGGTGAAATTGCTAAAAAGCCATTTTTGCCAGCTGAAATAAGGCAGACCTTTTGTCCTCAATTATCTGATAGTATCTATTTCAAGTAGTTTTATACAGCTTTATAACAGACTTGCCTGAATGTAGGAACCCATCCCTCCATCTCCAATTGAACACCTCACCTGACTTTAGGGCATTACCACGCCACCACAGGCCACCTTTTATTTTTATTTTTTTTAAGATTCTGCTTTTGGCCAGGCATGGTGGCTCACGCCTGTAATCCCAGCACTTTGGGAGGCTGAGGCAGGCAGATCACTTGAGGTCAGGAGTTCGAGACCAGCCTCTGCCAAAATGGCAAAACCTCATCTCTACTAAAAATACAAAAATTAGCCTGGCATGGTGGCACATGCCTGTAATCCCAGCTACTCGGGAGGCTGAGGCAGGAGAATGGCTTGAACCTGGGAGGCGGAGGTAGCAGTGAGCCGAGACCGCGCCATTGCACTCTAGCCTGGGTGATAAAGCAAGACTGTCTCAAAAAAGGAAAAAAGAAAAGAAAAGAAAAAGATTCTGCTTTTAAGTTAAAGCTGCCCTAAGAGTGGAGGCTAAAGACAATCTAATGAAGATTCATTATTTTTTCAGAAGAATCAAGTTCAAACGTGTACCAGTCTTCTACTCAGTAACCGAACATTATTTCCTTTGAGTCTATGTATATTTAAAATGCAGTGAACATACAGACGCATACATACATGATTTCACATACATTATCTCATAAATTATATTAGAATATTTTCATTTTCACAATGAAAATTACTCCTTTGAGACTGTACTAATAAAAATATTAGGGACTACGTTTAATTTTTTCCTTTTAAATGTACTGCTATGTGTGCAAAGCTAATAAACAATCATTCTTTATTCTTTTTTTTTTTTTTTTTTGAGATGGAGTCCCACTCTGTCACCAAGCCTGGAATGCAGTGGCACAATTTCGACTCACTGCAACCTCTGCCTCCTGGGTTCATGCAATTCTCGTGCCTCAGCCTCCCAAATAGCTGGGATTACAGGCGTGCACTACCACGCCCAGCTAATTTTTTTATTTTTTAGTAGAGACTGGTTTTCACCACGTTGACCAGGCTGGTCTTGAACTCCTGACCTCAAGTGATCTGCACACCTCGGCCTCCCAAAATGCTGGGATTACAGGCCTGAGCCACTGTGCCCAGCCAACAGTCATTCATTTTCGACGTTTCTTCAAAACTCAAGACATCAAATAAAACATGTTTTAATTAGTAAAATTATATCAATAGGGGAAACATCAGGTCTTTCAAAAAAGCATAAATCAGAAAACAGAACCAGTAATACTGTTTCAGTGCTACTGTTTTCTCCTTTTCAAAGGCATCTCTTGCTAAAGGTAACATCTTTGTAAAAAAGAATTCCACCCTGGAGGTTATCATGGTGCATCTTATGATACAGCCATCCTTTATCTCAGATGCTAGAAACATAGTTGATTTGGAAAAACCAGTGGCTATTGGTGTTTTTTTGACATCTTTTTTATTGTTGTGGTTAGTCCACTCACTATAATCAAACTGTTAGGTCATCATAGATAATTTGCATGAAAGAAGAAAGATACACCCTTTCCTTGCTGGGATAGTAACTACAACCCTGTTGTGTGTAATACAGGCCAACAGTCCTTGCTCATCATCTCCTCTGGGGCCTGCAAATATTCCAGGAAAGATAGTATCATTACTTCCATTTCTTATATAAAACTGTCCATTGTCTCTCCTCACTCCATACCCAAGGTACCAGGCATTAGGAGCTGCAGATGAGAAATGATATCAGAAAGGGAACCATAAATTCATCTTAAAAACTCAAATCCTAGATTTACAAGATACAGAAAATAGCAATTTTCTGTTTGGACCACTGTCCTGTTTTGATTAGATCTAAACATAATCTACAACCGAAACCCAGAAAGTATACCCTTTTTCCCTAGCCTAAAGTTTGGATTTAGTCAACGGTGTTACATACTAGCCTATAGAATGTGGACAGGAAGACAAATGTTCACATAAATGATTGCAAAAGTAAGATGAAGGTAATCCAGAGTATTAAACACTTGTCAAAGCTTTTCTGTCAGTAGCAGATAGCTCTATTATCCTGAAAGTCAAATGCCAAAGCTAAAAGATAACACCTATTTTCTTAATAGACTCATTCCTAGGAAGAGGACGTAAAACTATAAAGAAGGAAAACACTATGTAGAATGAAAACAGTAGGTAGAATGAGAACATATTTGATTCTATAAGCAAAACCAGGACACTTTCTCTGTTCTGACACATGCCTCCAAAGGTTTCTTTTGTTTTGGTTGTAAATTTTCTTTTCTTTTCTTTTCTTTTTTTTGAGATGGAGTCTTACTCTGTCGCCCAGGCTGGAGTGCAGTGGCACGATCTTGGCTCACTGCAAGCTCTGCCTCCTGGGTTCACGCCATTCTCCTGCCTCAGCCTCCCGAGTAGCTGGGACTACAGGCACCCGACACCATGCCTGGCTCATTTTTTGTATTTTTAGTAAGAGATGGGGTTTCACCATGTTAGCCAGGATGGTTTTGATCTCCTGACCTTGTGATCCGCCCGCTTCAGCCTCCCAAAGTGCTGGGATTACAGGCATGAGCCTTTCAGTAACCTCTTTATTCTATCTGGGAGTCTCCTCTTTTCTTGCTCTGCTAATGAAAACTTCAGTCTTTTCTATACAAGTACACCTTACCAGGCTATGGTGACTTACTTCCACTAGGAGCAGAAAAACAAGGAACAATAAGAGGCTGGAGTACCTTAGTCTTCACACAACTTAGCCAATGGCCAGAAATGCCTTCCCCAAATGAAAATAAGAGCTGCTGGCCGGGCACAGTGGCTCACACCTATAATCCCAGCACTTTGGGAGGCTGAGGCGGGTCGATCATGAAGTCAAGCGTTCCAGAACAGCCTGGCCAACATAGTGAAAACTTGTCTCTACTAAAAATACAAAAAAAATTAGCTGGGTGTGGTGGCGGGCGCCTGTAATCCCAGCTACTTGGGAGGCTGAGGCAGGAAAATCTCTTGAACCTGGGAGGCGGAGGTTGCAGTGAGCCGAGATTGCACCACTGCACTCCAGCCTGGGCAATAATGTGAGACTCCATCTCAAAAAAAAAAAAAAAAAAAAAAAAAGAGCTGCTGCCAGAGGAAACTGAGCAGCTATATGGCCACACAGATATTCAGCTGACAAAGAACTCCATGCTTTCCCTCCCATCCTGCCAGGACTAAAATGGGAACATGATGATTGTGGGATCATCATGTACTTTTGCCCATTCTACCCCAGGTGTGTTACAGACAATGGACAGGTTAAGTCACAGAACAAGTGAATTTGTAAAATTCAAACACACTAAGAAATCAGTATAGTTGACACTTGATGTTTAACACAGTCCCTAAAAAATAAAATACTAAAAATAAAATACTAAGAGCTAATATTTGTGGTATGCTTGCCCAAATTTCCTGTCGTTACTGTAGTTACTAATGCATCCATGAATTAAATTAGAATATATGGAAATGTGATTGTATTTGTTCACATTTCAAGTAAATAATCTTAAACAGAATTATGAAAGATGCCATAAACGATCTTATTTTTCCTCTAAAGATATTGAAAAGTTTTCTGAATCAAAATAATCTTTAAATACACATTAAACACGCACACATACACACACACACACACACACAAATATATAAATATCCTTTTCCTATCTTTTTGAAGGGCAATAACTCTCTTTTCCCTTACAAGGCATAATGGGTTTTCTTCCTACCAATATTCAAAGAGCAGCAACAGTGAGTGATCTGAAGCTATTCCCTACCATTAATACTACTGGAATTCTGTGTTACAGATTAGCCAAAAGGCATTTTAAAGTAACAGTGACAGCTGGGCGCCGTAGCTCATGCCTATAATCCCAGCACTTTGGAAGGCCGAGGCAGGAGGATCACCTGAGGTCAGGAGTTCAAGATCAGCCTGGTCAACATTGTGAAACCCCACCTCTACTAAAAATACAAAAAATAGCTGAGTGCTGTGGTGCATGCCTGTAATCCTGGCTACTCAGAAGGCTGAGGCAGGAGCATCACTTGAGCCCGGGAGGCAGAGGTTGCAGTGAGCCAAGATTGTGCCATTGCATTTCCAGCCTGGGCAACAAGAGCGAAACTCCGTCTCAAAAAAAAAAAAAAAAAAAAAAAAAAAAAAGAAACAATGACTATCTTCAGTCATTGATGCCAGGACAAAGTAACTAAATTTTCTCTCATGAACATTCATGGGGATAACAACTAAGAAGATCTATTAGTTTCAATTTTTATTAACTATAGCTGTAACCTGACCAAGTTACAAATATATTTGGTTTCTGGATTTTTCACCCATGTAAATGAAAGTTAAATTAAATGTCCTATGACTTTACATTTTCCAGGTAATCATTTTACCAATTTGCAACATAAGGTGCTGATTACACAAATAACTTACGGCAGTTTCATTCTCATGAATACTCTAGCCATGAAAAAACTCAATAGGACACAGACGAATCCAATGAACAGAAGAAGGAATCTATTGAGTTTTGGGATATTTGGTGCATTCGATCGGTCCAGGATTATGAAACCTAAACCTCCCATTGTAAATAGGAAGCTGGATGCAAGTCCTTCCATAATATATTGTCCATTTACTCTGGAAAAGAAAAGAATGACCATAGAAAGATAACAAATAGAAATGTTTCCCTTAAATTGAAATTCCTATTTCCGTTTTTGTGCCAAAACATTTTTGTGCTATATTTCTTATTCTTAGCCTTACAACTATTTTACTATACCTCTGGATATTCATCTGTCCATTCAACAGATATTTATTGAGTCTATTAGGTAGCAAGCACTGTTTTAGGTTCTGGGGGATATACAACAATGAATAAAACAGACAAAAATCTTTGTCTTCATGGAGTTCACATTCAAAAAATGTCGTAAAACCTCAACTAACACAACTGTTTATGTAAAATAAATACTCATATTTTATGTATACGAACGCTTTACCCAGAACTTTAGCTTAGCTTTTTTTTTTTTTTGAGATTGAGTCTTGCTGTCGCCCAGGCTGGAGTGCTGTGGCACGATCTCGGCTCACTGCAACCTCCACCTCCCAGATCGCTGGGACTACAGGCGCGTGCCACCACGCCTGGCTAATTTTTTGTATTTTTAGGGGAGACAGGGTTTCACCGGGTTAGCCAGGATAGTCCCAATCTCCTGACCTCGTGATCCGCCCATCTCGGCCTCCCAAAGTGCTGGGATTACAGGCGTGAGCCACTGCGCCCGGTCTAGGTTAGCTTTTTTTAAAAAGTTATGCTATTTAAATTTCTACTATCAATTCAAACTAATTTTGAATTGGTTAGATGTGTTTCTTGAAGTTTTATGTTAATAATAATAAACTTCTTGTTTCAAATGGAAATATTTTAAAAAGAAACTGTTCTTAAATAAGGCTCCATGGGTCCCATAAGAACTTCAGTGAACTACAAACCCCTCTAATTATATGTAAAAGTGTGTGTGTGTGTGATTTTTCTAGGGATACAGAGCTTTTATCAAATTCTCATAGTTCAAGGACCTCAAGAAGAAAATTTCTCGTTAAAGGGATGATTATACATAGGCATATGTAAACAGGGTATTTTTTTTTTTTTTTGGTCAATTGTTTTCATTGAAAACACAATATATGTACCAAGTTCAAAATTCAAACAGTGTGAAAGAGGGCACTATGAAGAGCCACCCTACCATCAACCTGTCATTAACTCCCCTCCACAGAGAATACTAATAAATCTTTCCAGAAATATTCTATGCATAAATAGCATTACTGCAAATATAAACATATAGCTATGTTTTGGTAGATATTAAGTAAATTTTAGAAAGCAATATAAGCATTGTTCAGGTGAACAAAACCACACTGGAACGGGGTTTCACTGATGAAACAGAACCCTCAAAGTCTCAAAAATACTTTTGTTATTTAATGGTATAGACCAGGGTATAGTCCAAAAATATTTTCTTAAATACCCATATAGTAAATATCTTAGGCTTGTGGGGTATATGGTTTGTGTCATACTTATTCAGCTCAGCCACTCTAGCTTAAAAGCAGCCATAGATCATATAAAACACATGGGCATACTTACTTCCAATAAAACTTTTTTGGGGAAAAGAAAAAAAAAGCAGCTATAGTTCACTGACCCCCAGAACAATCTATAAATGTAGTTTAAACTGACACCCTACTGTAAATTGGTGATACATCATTATGAAATACTTTATTTCTTAATAAATAAATAATATACTCTTGTTTTTGACTCACTTTCTGCCATTTCAGAATCCAGCATTTTAAAACAGCTGTTGTCTAAATACACATGGATCCCATAGGTTTTACTCTATTTTTAAATAAGTGGGCATACCACAGCAACCTTCTTTCCCACCACCAAATCATTCAAAAAGGTATCTTTTACCTGTAGGCCAAGAAAGCTACTGGCCTCTGATGCCCATGTTCATCAGTCATAGAACCGACACTTGGAGGTTCAACAATAACATCATAAATTATTCCTATAAGAAAGACAACAGAACAGATTAGATTGTATTACTAATTTTTGAAAACAGGATTATAGTTTTCATTGTCTCTTAAGGTTCATTTACTTTTTTTGAGACAGAGTCTCACTCTGTCGCCCAGGTTGAGAGTGCAGTGGCGCCACTTGGCTTACTGCCAAACTCCGCCACCCAAGTTGAAGCAATTCTCCTGCCTCAGCCTCCCAAGTAGCTGGGACTACAGGCGCCCACCACCATGCCCAGCTAATTTTTGTATTTTTAGTAGAGACGGGATTTCACCATATTGGTCAGGCTGGTCTCGAACTCCTGACCTCAGGTGATCCACCTGCCTCAGTCTCCCAAAGTGCTGGGATTACAGGTGTGAGCCACTGCACCCGGCCAAGTTTCATTTACTTTTAAATAGGAATGCTTTGATTGTATTATTATAACCAAATGTGGCCCAACTCATCTAAAGTTCTGATAAATCATTCAGACATTCAACTCAATGTTTTAGAATTACTTTGAAAACTGTATGATATCTAAATGAAGTACAAATTTCATAAAGGAAATTCATCCAATAAGAGTTGCTAATACTCAGGAATGACTTTAGTATAAAGGGGATTTAAAACTAAAGGCTCTACTTCGGTTCACAAAAATTGTCTCAGATATGCTTAGATTTGTTTCTATAAATTGAAAAATAACTAGAGAAATTGCTTAAATGTAAAACAAGGAGACATTTTAAAACCACGCCATCAGGCAGAATGGCAATACTAGAGATTCATAATCATTAACATTAATGTCCACCATTATGTCATAATGTCATCGTGATCATTAACATTAATGTTCATCAGCACTAATAGTTTTCTCAATCTCCCACTGTCAACATCTACTCTACCTTCTCCACTGTTCTCAAACATCTTCATCTCCAGCTTTTCTTAAGCATAACAAGCCTATCTCCCTTATCCTAGCCTGACAAAACAATCCTATAGGAATTCCCTTGTCTTTTCCCCACCAAATCTACAAATACCTGGTACCTGCATCCATCCTCACCTCCTTCTTTCCAGCTACAAAGAGGAAGATTCCCACCTCCTATAATGTGGGATCCCTTTTGCAATTACCAGGAGTCCATTCCCACTTGGACTCTCAGGGACTTTATTCCTTTGGATATCTCTCCTCTCTCCTGTATTTTCAAGCTCTCCTTCCCTACATCAACCCTCCTTGACTTCAGATCCTCTTAGCTAACATCCTATTTCTATCTTTGCTTTCTGAAAGGGAGTCAGACTTTCTTCTGGAAGACTTAGGCAAACTTGCCATCTCCCCTTTCTTACTTACCCTTCATTCTTCAACTCAATCCAATCTGGCTTCTGCAACCATTGATACTGCTCTTTCTAAGGTCACCAATGATCTCCATGTTGTCAAATTCAATAGACACTTTTCAGTTCTCATCTTAGGGGACTTCTCAGAAGCACTCAATCCAGTTTACTAAACCAATTTCTTGAAAAACACCTCTTCTTATGGCTTTTGTGATACTCCTCTTCATGTTTTCTTGCTACCTCTCTATTGGGCCTCTTCTTTTATAAAAGAACTAAATGTTGGAGGCCCTCAGGGATTGGTCCACTGTCCTCTTCTACTTTTCTCCAAAATGAACTCCCAGGGCTTTCAATTTCATGTGCTAAAGACTCTCAATGTGATGTGCCAAGGCCTCTCAAATAATGCCAGTACCATTAGAATTACATGTAAGCTCCTCAAGAACAGAGACTTTGGACTTTGCCTATACTCTTCAATGTCTCATGGGAGTTCCAGAAATGTCTGTTAGTTGACCAACTTCAACACAGGCCTCTTTTCTCAGGTCTAGACTCCCATCTGCACATGTGACATATCCAACTAATTTTACCCCAAAACAACCTCTGGTGCACCATTTTCCACCAAAAACTTTGTTTTCTCAATCTCAGGAAATGATACTTCCATCTATTCAGGAGCTCAAACCAGAAACCTGTAAGATTCCTTCCCACTTCATTCTTCCCCTACACCCAGTGAATTCAAGACCTACTGAATCTACTTCCAACATATCTTTCATTATATTATCCTAATCTCCACTACCATAAACCTTGTATAGTCTAAGTCAACTACAAAGGCCACCTAATTGGTCTTTTGGTCTCACATTTGCCCTACGTTTCCCTCTGCCTAGCATATCCTTTCCCCGAACTCTTCAGATTTTGGCTTACATATCATTTCCTCAGGAATCATATCGAATCCAATCCAGATGATGCTTCCAACTCCCTTTAGTTTCTCAAAAACCTCTTGTTCTTTTCTTTCACTGTATTTATAACCATTGTTTGTTTGTTTTTATTTTTTGAGAGAGGGTCGGGTCTTGCTCTGTCACCCTGGCTGGAGTGCAGTGGTGCCATCACAGCTTACTGCAGCCTCAGCTTCCCAGGCTCAGGCGATCCTCCCACTTCAAACTCCTGCACCATAGTCCCAGCTACTTGGGACTACAGGCGTGCGCCACCAGGCTCAGCTAATTTTGGGGTTTGTTTTTTGTTTCTGAAACAGGGCCTTGCTCTGTTGCCCAGGCTGGAGTGCAGTGGCACCATCTCGGCTCACTGCAACCTTCACCTCCCGGGTACAAGCAATTCTCCTGCCTCAGCCTCACAAGTAGCTGGGACTACAGGCGTGTACCACCACGCCTGGTTAATTTTTTGTATTTTCAGTAGAGACAGGGTTTCGCCATGTTGCCCAGGCTGGCCTCGAACTCCTGGGCTCAAATGATCCAACTGGCTCAGGCTCCCAAAGTGTTGGATTACAGGCGTGAGCCACTGCGCCTGGCCTGTTTTTGTGAACATTTTTAACGGACAAAAAAATTAAGTGACATTTAATATGTCTCATCTATGACATTATAAGCTTCAGGAGGTCAGGGTCCTTATGTTTTGTTCTATTATCTCCAGTACCTAGTGCCTGAAACTTAACGGGACTCAGTATCTATTTGCTGACTATTTGTCAGCAACAAATAGTTTATTTATAAAGGTGCACTCAGTTTTTAGAAGAGACTTCTTCCCTTCCAGTGGCAAAACCAATTCATCATACAAGATACCTCATAGACCTGGCCACTAAAAAGCAACCTTTCCACTTTCCCCCAATGGTTGGGACAAAGAATCTCCCCATTACAATAATCAACAGGAGAAAAAAGAGGGCCACAAAGAAAACTGAGGCTTCTCGCAAAGAATCCGACTCCAAGGGAAGTAAGGGTTACAGGAAAGAAACTAGCATTATTCATTATTATTATTGAATAATGACTTTTTTTTTGTCCAACGACCTTCGTGAACTGTGCAAAAATATGGAACGCTTCACGAATTTGCGAGTCATTCTTGCACAGGGGCCATGGTAATCTTCTCCCTATCATTCCAATTTTAGTATATGTGCTGCCGAAGCGAGCACTCAATAATAATACTGAATTATTCTATATTATTTATTTTTAAAAGTCTATTATTTTTAAAAGCCACATGCATTTTAAATTTTGTTTATTCAGTACAGTAGCTATTAACTTGATGAGCAAATGTTAATGGTTAATGCTAATGCAATGCTAGATAGTATCTTGTTACCAAATAAGTATTTAAATGTAACTCAAATATTTAAATGTAATTTATTTAAATGAACGTAAGTTAATTCTCACTATTCTAGATTGGGGGAAGGAGGTAAATTCAAAGGTGCTTTCTAGAACTCAGCTCTCTCAGTTTGAATCCTCCCCCTTCAGTGCCAACTATTCTCACAAAACATCTATGAAAATAACAATTATATGGCCACTCCCTTAAAAGTAGAACTACTTTTGCTATCCCAAATCCGTAGCTTTAATTTTATAATTTCCAGGTTAAGTACACCACTTCCCAAAATCTAAATTAATTTTATAATTTCCAAGTTAAGTACACCACTTCCCCAAATCTAAATGTACACAGTAGCACAGTTCTAAGTAAATCTTGGAACTGTGGCCTGAAAGGGTAGTGGCTCTGAAAAGACTAGCCGGATTGCCAACTCACCAGTACATAAGGCAACGCCCCTTTGCAATTTTCTATTTGAAAAGGACAGAATAAGATGATAGACAATTCAGAAGCGTTTAATAGTAATGCTATTTATCTTATTTTTTTAATTCTCAACTTCTGCCCACTGAAATACAGTATCGTCTGCAAATCTCATCTCCAATCTCAAATATTTATCAAACCTGTGATTTCAGAAAATTCCATTGATATTTATTGTAGGTCATGCAAAAGGCAACACAGAACCCTAGGTTTGAGCCAACAAAACTAAAGATTGTCAAGTCTCTTCCAAGATTCCAGGACAAAGATAAGTTTAAAAGTCCCACAAGCTCTTGACCAACCATGGAAGCGGAGTTGGCCAAATTAGACCTTCCCAGGACCTTTATCAAACAACCAACCATGGAAACGGAGTTTGCCAAATTAGGCTTTCCCAGGACATTTATCAAACAACGTATGGCAAGCAACAAAAAGAGCAACAATTTGGCCTTGAAAAATATATTTGACTCGGATCCCTGGGATGGGAGGGCTAGAAGGAGAAGAAAGGCAATGGGAGTGAGAACACGAATTCTCTTAAGACAGGGCGTGAAGGCGAATAAACTTGGACGTTAACACTTCGGACCCCAGAACTCCCCTCCACCCTCAGAAAAGATCCAAAGCAGAGCTATGCTTCCCCCGGGGCTGAGAGTCAGCGGAACAGACGCGCCTCCCGGGGCGGGTCAGTTCTCCGCTCCTCAGCCTCTCGGGCCCGACAGCCCGAGTTACCTCCGGTGATGAGGAAGTAAGACACCACCACCAGAGCATACACAGTCATGGCCGACGGCATGTGCAACCAGGGCGGCTTCTTCAGCTTCAGGTTGGGACATTCGAGCACTAAGAACGGGACACGGTACAAAGTCTCCATGTTGGTGGCAGCAAGGGCCGTTCTCGGCCTCAAGCCCCACGCGCCTCCCGGAAACAGGCCCGCCCTCCCTAACAAGTGCGCGTGCGCGAGGAAAGGACCCGCAGATCCGTAAAGCTCGGAGGTGGTTACTATACTCATAGAAGAAAATAAGAAACTAAATAAAACAAATAAATGATATGAATAAAGTGTTGTAAATTATTTAATCTAATTAAACTTACATTGTGATAATGTACTCTACATTTTTCTAATGGATATATAGGTGATTTGTGTACCTTCAAGGACCTGCGGGACTTCTAACGTGGCCAAGCCGGAGAAGCGGAGGCCAAGGAATCTAGGTGAGCCCCGCCCACTCGCTGACGCAGGGGATTTGAAAGCTGATTGGACAGGGGGCGCTCCCGGTTCCCAGAGCGGGAGATGAATGGGAACTTTTGGATATAAATGCCTTTTATATTAGAGGTTTTTTCAAGGGTTAGGAAAAGCCGGAGGCTGCTGAGCTTTTACTTCCCGATGTAGTCGTGGTAATAATAAGAATTAATAATAGTTGCTAAAGTAATATGTTACCAATTTTTTTTAAACATCCAGCCTGGATCACAAATGTCAACAGGACATCTCTACAGGGATGCCTTAATGCTGATAGCTTGGCGTGACCATAATACTATTTTGAATAACTCATCCTCTCAACTTTGCTCTTCCCTTGGTCATCTGTATGTCGCTAAAAGGTAAAATCCCTCTGGCCAAAAATCTTAAAGTCGTCTGGATTTCTCTCCTTACTAACCTTCTGCATCCAAAATATTAGTAGGTCTCTTTGGCTGTACTACCAAAATATCTCCAATTCATCTGCCCCTCACCATTCCACCACTGACACCCTAGTGTGAACCACCGCCATCTCTGGTCTGGGCAACATTTACAATCCAAATAGATGAAAATATATGATGGAGAATTAGTCATTAGGGATGGACTAGAAGGTCTAAAAGATTTTTTGTTTTCTGTTTTGCTTTTCTTTTTTATATAATCTTTTAAGACTCTACAAATGTTAACTTCCTTTTGGAGCAAGAGTTAAGAGTCACTGATTACATAAGTCCAGAGCATATTGACACATTATAGAGCCAATGTTTTTATATTTTTTTATTTGCTTGTTACTAAGCCCGTGGTTATTTTTACAGGATGCCATGTATTGGTTCTGCACTTCTAATTAGCTAACAACTCAATTGTTAAGAAATTGCTTGAAGACGGTAATGAAAATACTATCAAAACATTGTAGTATCCAATTCTAAGTACAGTTGAGGCTTGCTGCCCTTACTGTTCATTAGTGAGAGTCTCTCCCAGAGTCATATTGCCTATGTCTTAACGGAGCCACACGAATCTTAGGTTATGTAAAGGCCAATGATAACACCAATAATGAATGCATTTACACCAAAACCAGCGTTTATATGTAGGAAGTTTCTCTGGGCACTGTAAAGCAGAATGTTTCTGAAATTCCCACAGTTTTATAAGTAAGGAACACTTTGGAACAATTAAAATATTTTGCTTTGGTATGAAGAAAAAAATAAAAATAAAACATTTTGCTTTGGAAAAACATAGGGATTAAAGGTTTTTAAATTTCCTTTATAGCTTAAAAAGGAATCTAACATTAATTAACCACTGCTTGGCAGGTACTATGTTAAGTGATTTACATTTGTGCTTATATACTCTTCATGACAATTCTGTTAGGTAAATACTAGTATAACTGCTTTACATATGACAAAAGTGGCTCCTGGGAAGGGAAATAAACTCAAAAAGTGTAGTATAGTCTGTGACTGGATGAGACCTAAAAGGCAATTGCTGTAGAAGTAAATAGATTTAAGACGTTTAAAATGGTATACGTTTATATACTTATCCTTCTTCCTGTGTATACTAGGGACACATAATTTCTACCTACATTGTGGAAAACATATAAATTATTAATATATAATTTTTAAATGAAAAATTAATTTCATAAATAATAAAACTGCCAAGTCAGAACACACTGCATTCATCTATATGTTAAATTATTACTATCACTTTCCAAAAAGTAAGTTTGCTCCAGGAACCAATTCATTATTATTTTTTAACCTCTTAAGCTTTGAAATATTTTTCAACATGAGTTTGTAATATTCTATAAGCCACGTATAAAAGAGACCTTTCATGAGTAAGATATGCATATCTGTTATCATCCATGTCCTAACCCACAATTCCTACAGAAAAATGTTCTATTTAAACATAACATAAACTCTGTAACTGAAAACCAAAGAAATAATGAATATAGCAGTGGGCATTAGAGCATGCCCTTAAATAAACATATAATCAATCATTCAGTGGTTTTCTATTTATAGATGAAGAAGGAAAAATGTTGAGAGAAACACAGTTTACAATATAATATGCAGTAGAGCTGTCATCTTAAGCTACATATAAAAGCAAATGTTAATAATTCTTACTGTGCACAAGCAAATATATATTCAAAGAAGAAAAAAGTGTAAAGATGGTATCTACCAAGCTTTCTGTGTTCATTGTAGAATATTTTAATAAAAAGCCTTGAAGTCAGAAATGGTTCTGCCAGCCAAAAGAGAGGGAGAGCTCCACAAATAAGTTTTTAACTAAATTCTAAACAAACTAGAATTACAAAGGCTACAAATATTGTTGATTTCTGTTTATTTAAATATGTGTTGGAGAGGAAATTAGTAGCTTTGTTTTTTGTAGGATAATAATACTAATATTAACCTGGATTTTTATTTATGAAGACATTTTGCAGTTTGGTTGACAGTGTCTTGAATTATGTTCTTTCGCGCTAGGTTCTGTATAAGCATGAGTACGAAGCACTATTATGTCTCATGATCTAAATAAAAACTCTTTCTAATGCAATATTGTGGGGTTTGGTGTTATTGTTGTAGTTATTTTACATTTTGAAGGTTGTTTTTAAAATTATATGCAAGTAATGGCTGGGCACGGTGGCTCATGCCTGTAATCCCAGCACTTTGGGAGGCCTCCTCACCTGAGGTCAGCAGTTCGAACCCAGCCTGACTAACATGATGAAACCCCATCTTTACTAAAAAATACAAAATTAGCTGGGCATGGTGGTGTATGCCTCTAATCCCAGCTACTTGCAAGGCTGAGGCAGGAGAATGGCTTGAACCCGAGTGGCGGACGTTGCAGTGAGCCGAGATCGTGCCATTGCACTCCAGCCTGGGCAACAAGAGAGAAACTCCATCTCTAAAAATAAATGAATAAACAAATAAATAATGAAAATAAGAAATAAAATTATGCAAGTAAAACATAGGAACCTGCCCAATGTAAAATAATTAATTTATTCAAATATTAGAGACACATATGGAACGAGTTTCCCATTATCACTATTCTAATTTTAGTTCTCCTTCCAGAGGTAGTGAGATCACTGAGTTCTAGAATGTACAATTGGGATAAATGTACTCAGCAAATGGAAAAATCACCATATTGGTTTCCTGAC
The DNA here is from genome assembly GCF_000001405.40 of Homo sapiens. Taxonomy (NCBI): domain Eukaryota; kingdom Metazoa; phylum Chordata; class Mammalia; order Primates; family Hominidae; genus Homo; species Homo sapiens. The sequence continues at coordinate 108,647,177 of NC_000004.12, read as the reverse complement.
CCATATTATGAGGGCTTTTATGGCAGGAAAGTCTAAGTGTAACCAGTAGAACTGCTTTTACCTACAGAAATAATAAATCTAAAGTGACTTCAGTGGCTGATGTGCTATCAAAGACTTGAAAGATGCTGAGTAGTGATTTCTGCCACATTTCGCTCAATTAACTTGGCCCTTGCAAAAGAAAGATGGACCTTGGAGAACAACAGTGGATTATTGTAAATTTAATCATGTGGTGACTCCAACTGCTGCTGCTATTCCACTTGTGGTTTTGTCGCTGGAGCACATCAACACATCTCGTGGCACCTGTTAGCTGTTCTGGCAAATGCTGTTTCTACTTATGCCTATGGTAAAGATCATCAGAAGAAGTTTGCTTTCAACTGGCAGAGTCAGCAACACACCTCCATTTCAGAATTATATCAATTCCCCAGCTCTATGTCATAATCTGATTTGCAGGAACTTTGATTGCCTTCTCATTCACAGAATATCACACTATGACATTGCATTGATAATATGCTCATTAGACAGTGATCTAAGTAGCAACTACAGTAGATATATTGTTAGGACAAATGCATGCCAGAGGATGGAAAAATAAGCACAATAAAATGTCAGGGTCTCCTCAGGGAAATGTCTAGGGGTTAAGTGATCTGTAATACATAGAAAGCTCTTTCAAAATAAAGGATATTTGCTGCACAATGCTCAATGGATGGACCACTTGCAACATATACTTCATTTGGTCATACCATTTTGATGTATTTGCTGAGCAATCCAATAAGCTGCTAGTTTTGATTGGGATCCTGAATAAGCAAAGGTTCTTCAATAGCAAACTGCTCTGCCACTTGGGCCATACAACTTAGTAGATCCAGTATTACTTGTAACGTCTGTGGTAGATAGGCATGCTTTATGAAGCTTTTGACAAGCCACTGTAGCACAGAGCCTTAGAGCTTTGGCGCAAACCTATGTCATCCTCTGTCAAGAAATAATCTCCAGGCTTGCCACTGAGATTATTTCACAGGCAGTCATTGACAAATGACTCTAGGCTTGCCACTGAACCTTAGTAGAGATGAAACTATTGACCGTGGGCAACAAGCTACCATGAAACTTGAACTACCCATCATTTGACAATTTGGCATTGTCTAATCTATCATCCAATAAACGTGGGTGTCTACAGCAGCATTCTATCATCAAATGAAAGCGTTGTGCATAAGATCAAGCTCAAGTAGATCTTGAAGGTACAAGTAAGTTGTACAAAAAATAGTTTCAAATGCATATGGCCCACATTCCTGCCACATTGTCTCTTTTCTCTCAACCTATATCTATGGCATTATACCTTCAGGCAACCTATGACCAGTTGACTGAAGAAGAAAGCCTGATTTACAGATAGTTCCACACAATGTGCTGGCACTCTCTGAAAGTAGATGGCTTTGCACAACAGCCTCACTATGAAGGAGAGTGGTAGGCCTGAAGGAAAGTGGTGAGGAAAAATCTTCCCATTGGGCAGAACTTTAGCAGTGTACCTGGTTGTTCATTTTGCCTGGAAGGAGCAACAGCAAGAATTGCAGATCAATCATTTAGTTAGATTGATGGGCAGTTCAATCATTTAGTCAGATGGTTGAAAAATGGGAAGGAACACAATAGGAAAATTACTGAGGAGGTCTGGAGGAGAGGCATGTGGATAGACCTTCCTGTAGGGGTCTATCCCTACAGGATATCTATGTAAAGATATTTGTGCCTTATGTGAGTGCTTACCAAAGAGCAATCTCTGCATAGGAAGATCTTTATAATTAGGTGGACAAGATGGCCCATTCTGTGGACATCAGTCAGCCTCTTTCCATATCCATTTGTGACCTTGCCCAAAGGACCTACAGATGAAGTGGCCATGGCAGGAGGGATGGAAGCTATGCATGGCCTTTCATTCACTAAGGCTGATCTGGCTAGAACCACTGCTGAGTGCCCAGCCTGCCACAGGAGAAACCAACAATGAGCCCACAATATGGCACTATTCTACAGGAGGATGAGCCAGACCTGGTGGCAAGTTAATTATATAGGACCAGGTCCAGTAGGCACTTGGTTTTTACTGAAGTAAACACACTAGAACAAAGTTTCCTTCCTTACGCATGATGCTGCTACCAAAATCACTATTCTGTAGGCCTAGGGAATGCCATAATCATCACCATGGTTTACTATACAGCATTGCTTCTGGCCAAGGAACTCATTTAACAGCAAATGAGTTGTGGCCATTGGCTCATGTTCATGAAACTTACTAGTCTTAGTATGTGAAATGGTGGAATGGTCTTTTGAAAACTCAGTTATGATGGCAACCCCTTTGGGAGCAGGTCCGTGTTTTCTAAGATACATATATGCAGTAAATCAGTAAGCAACATATTTCTCTCACAGTTAGAATTCACAAGTCCAGAAATCATGTGTAGGGAATGGGAATGGCTCCTCTTGCTTTTACTCAACTTAGGGCTCTACTGATCTAGAAGTATTAGTACCAAAGAAGAATACTTCCACCAAGGAACACATTAATGGTTCCATTAATTTGAGAGATGAGACTGTCAGCTAGCCACTTCACAAGTCCTCGTGCCAATGAATCAAGAAACAGATAAAAGAATACTTTATGGGCTAGGCAGATTTATCTTGACAATCAAGAGGAAATTAGATTGTCATCACAAAATAGTAGTAAGGAGGAGTATGTCTGGAATGCAGTAGATCCCCTGAGATGCCTTAGTAATCCCATATCCTGTGATAAACTTCAATGGAAAATTACAACAACCCAATAGAGCCAGGACTGTTAGTGGCTTAGACCTTTCAGGGATTAAGGTTTAGGTCACTCCAACAGGCAAGAAACCACAACCAGCTGAGATTTTTGCTGAGGGCAAAGACAATATGAAATGGGTAGTGGAAGAATGTAGTTATAAATACCAGCTATGACCATGTAAGCAGTTTTAGAAATAAGCACTGTAATAGTTAGGAGTATTTTATTTTGATACAAATATATTTTTGTGTATATTAACCAATTTTTTTCAGGCTCCCATTCTCCTAGTCAAATGTGATATACAATTTGTTGATAATATTTAAGCTCTCAGTGTTTAAGTAACCGGATATCAAAGAGGGAATATTGAATCACCTAGAAGAGAGATGATTATCACCCAAAAATGGATAAAAGGAGTTTGTTTCCTGTTTTGGGGAGACAGCATGTTTCAATTGTATGAGGGATAGTTACATTGCTAGGTGGAAGCATAATGTCGTTATTGCTCTTATTTAAAAATTAAGCAGGCCAGGCACAGTGGCTCATGCCTGTAATCCCAGCACGTTGGGAGGCCGAGGTGGGCAGATCATTTGACGTTAGGAGTTCAAGAGCAGCCTGACCAACATGGAGAAACCCTGTTTCTACTTAAAATACAAAATTAGCTGGGTGTAGCCCGGTGTGGTGGCACATGCCTGTAATCCCAGCTACTTGGGAGGCTGAGGCAGGAGAATCGCTTGAACCCGGGAGTCAGAGGTTGTGGTGAGCTGAGATCACACCATTGCACTCCAGCCTGGGCAACAAGAGAGAAACTCCATTTCAAAAAAAAAAAAAAAAAAAAAAAAAAATTAAGCTAGGCTGAGTGCGGTGGCTCATGCCTGTAATCCCAGCACTTTGGGAGGCCAAGGTGGGCAGATCATTTGAGGTCAGGAGTTCAAGACCAGCCTGGCCAACAAAGTGAAATCCCGTCTCTACTAAAAATACAAAAATTAGCTGGGCATGGTGGCCCACACCCGTAATCCCAGCTACTCGGGAGGCTGAGGCAGAAGAACTGCTTGAACCCAGGAGATGGAGGTTGCAGTGAGCCAAGATTGTTCCACTGCACTCCAGCCTATGCAACAGAGTGAGCTCCTTCTCAAAAAAAAAAAAAAAAAAATCAAGCCAAATGTGGTTCAGAAAGGTATATATAGATATTTAGTTGACAAGGAATCAACTGTGGTGGATTTGTATTGTGTTAACTTAGCTAAGCTGAACTACATCTCCCAGAATCCCTTCATTGCAGAGCTCTAAATTAGTATGGGCCATAAGAGACATCATTATTTTTAAGAAACATATTGTCTAACTAGTGAAGTAACTTTCCAACTGATCTTCAGTTATTTCTGAAACATTAAAAATACCCAATTAAAAATAGTGGACTAATTAAAAAAAATTGTAAAGCATTCATACCATGTAATATTATACAGCTATTAAAAAGCACACTGTGGAAATTTATTTTCTGGAATGGACAGATGTCCAAAATAGCTGTTTTTTTCTGAGACAGAGTCTCACTCTGTCACTCAGGGTAGAGCGCAGTGGTGCAGTCATGGCTCACTGCATTCTTGACCTCCTGGGCTCAAGCAATCCTCCTGCCTCAGCCTCCCGAGTAGCTGCGACTACAGGCACACGCCACCTTACCTGGCTAATTTTTGTGTTTTTTTATTGTAGAGATAGGGTTTCACTATGCTGCTTAGGCTGGTCTCGAACTCCTGGGCTCAAGAAATCCACCCACCTTGGTCTCCCAAAGTGCTGGGATTACAGGCATGAGCCACCATGCCCGGCCTCCACAATAGGCTTAAAATGAAGAAAATCAGACCATAAAATTGTATGTAGAGTACTGGCTTATTTGTTATTGTATGTATTTTCCACTGGAAAAAAGTCTGAAGGAACATAAAGATGACTGTGTCTATGTGATGTGATTATAGATTATTTTTCCCTTCTTTGAAACTACTTGTATTTCCTAATTTTTCTGTAATAAGCATATATTACTTTTGTAATTAAAATAAACTTTTATAATAGTACTTTGTAAGAACACAAAGTACTTTCTGGTCTTACATCAGCACATCTGTCTCTCTACCCAGGTGTCCACTGCTGTATTCTGTAAGAGATGCATAATAATGCTTCTCATATTTGCTTACATTCAAGTAGGAGTGATTGGATGTTTATTACTATGTACCATTACACAGCCAATTGTAATATCAGAAACTCAGTGTCTCAAATTCAGGGACAAAATATTTTTCACCATGGAATTCCTACCACCTCTCACAGTGCTGGCACATAGTAGGACTCATTAAATAAGTTGAATGAATCAATAAATGAACCCGATTCTTCCATTTCCTTTGATCCTTCAAGGTGTCATCTTAGCAATTGTACTTCCTTAATGTTTATTTAGTTTGTTCCCTCCTTTCTACCTCCACCACCACTTATTAATTCAGATCCACATGATGTCCTGCCTCTATTTCTCTCTACATTGCAGCCAGGGTGCATTGTTTAAGAAACTGAACAAATCTCATTATGCCAATCAAGATGCTGTCTTTACTGCTAGCTAGAGAGAAGTAAGTAGCTAAACAGGAAGTAAAATTTGGTTCTTTTTATTCACTACTGCCTTCTTTGCTATGTTACAACTCCTTTCCATATTTTAATACTTGTTTTGTGGAAATACGCCTAATCTCACACACTTCCCTCCGTTTCCTTGCCAAGATGGGAATCAATGACAGCAGGCAGGGCCGGGCACGGTGGCTCATGCCTGTAATCCCAGCACATTGGGTGGTGGAGGCCAGTGGATAACCTGAGGTCAAGACTTCGAGACCAGCCTGGCCAACATGGCAAAACTCCATCTCACTAAAAATACAAAATTAGCTGAGCGTCGTAGTAGGCATCTGTAATCCAAGCTACTCGGGAAGCTGAGGCACGAGAATCACTTGAACCCAGGAGGTGCAGGCTGCCGTGAACTGAGATTTCGCCACTGCATTCCAGCCTGGGCAACAGAGACTCTGTCTCAAAAACAAACAAACAAAAAGACAGTAGGCAGTAGTGTTGTTGATGACAACGTTCATCACTCATTCATTCATTCATCAAGCATTTATGGATCATGTAGCAGAAACAAGCTGTCTTAAATGCTGTCAGTGCCAAGATAACCAGTGCATAACTCTTATCCCCAAGAAACTGTTATCCTAGTCTGAGGAGAATACACGCTATGGCAGAACTGCCTGAGAAGCACATGCCTATTGGAGGTTTGGGCCAATTGGGCTTTGAGAGACCTGAGGAAATAGTGATTAATTATCACAGGTAGGCAGTGCACAGTGGCTCACGCCTGTAATCACAGCATTTTGAGAGGCCGAGGCAGGTGGATCACTTGAGGTCAGGAATAGGAGGTCAGGAACGGCCTGGCCAACATAGTGAAACCCCGCCTCTACTAAAAATACAAAAATTAGCTGGGCATGCTGGCGCATGTGTGTAATCCCAGTTACTTGGAGGCTGAGGCAGGAGAATCGCTTGAACCCAGGAGGCAGAGGTTGCAGTGAGCCGAGATCGCACCATTGCACTCCAGCCTGGACGACACAGCAAGACTCTCTCTCAAAAAAAAAAAAAAAAAATTCTCAAACAGGTAGGGAAAAGGCAGGCTTACAGAAGTGCTCACATTTGAGCAGGAGCATTGATAGAAGAGCTGGATTCCTCGGTTGGGAAAAGGCTTTCAGGCATTCGGACAAGGCTGAGCAAAGGCAGAGAGATGGGAAAGCCCCAAAGGTGGTAACAGAGTGATGGTGATCATGGAGGAGTAAAAGTGGAGATGCGACCTAAAAAAGAAGAAGCCTGACTAGACAGGGTCTTTCAAAGTCATGATGCTTTTAGATTTCATTATATAGGCATAAAGAAGTATTGAAGGATTTTAAAACTTGAAATGATTAGTATTGTGTTTGGAAGAATAGATGGGATGACAGAAAGACTTGAGGCAGAGAAACCTTTTAGGACCTTAGTGTGGAAGTCCAGATGAGAGACAGCGAGGGGCTGAGACAGACTGTGAGTGAGGAGAGCAGGGAAGGTGGTGGTAAAGCAAAAGCTATAAAATACCTTTTTTTTTTTTTCTTTTCTGTGAGCCTGTGTCTCACTCTGTCGCCAGGCTGGAGTGCAGTGGCTCGATCTCGGCTCACTGCAACCTCTGACTCCCTGGTTCAAGCGATTCTCCTGCCTTAGCCTCCTGAGTAGCTGGGATTACAGGTACCTCCCACCACACCCAGCTAATACTTTTATTTTTAGTAGAGACGGGGTTTCACCATGTTGGCCAGGATGGCCTCGATCTCCTGACCTTGTGATCCGCCCCCCTTGGCCTCCCAAAGTGCTGGGATTACAGGTGTGAGCCACTGCACCCCACCATAAGATCTTTCTGTGCAGATAGAAATATGAGAATTTGATTAAAAATAAATATAGGGCTTGAACACTCTGGAAAGAGAGGGCTCTGATGAAAGTGAATTGTGTAACAATGGCTCCAGGCTACACTACAGCTGTGTCCAAGAGCTGGACCAGGGAAGGCTTTTCCTGGAACCAGAGAAAGAGAATGGGAAAATGGCCAGGATAGAGCAGTAATTCCATGGATAGCAAGAGGCAAGGTCAGAACAGAGCTTCTGCACCCCAGGGACTCTGATTATACACGCACCCCTCCCATCACCCCCAACCCACCCAAGCCTCACAGAGGGGCATGCAAGGAGTGGGAGACAGAGGTTCTGCCACCTGCCTGATGAGAACTATTATTCTAGAAGGACCCTCCAGGAGGGACCTAGGCAGAGTTGGGAAGATGGTCGCTGGAGCATGGGAAAGAGGTTTAGGGTTGGAGATCCAGGAATCAGCAGCATGTGGAGGATAATGGAAGTCATCACAGTGGAAGAATGTGTCTACACGTGAGGTGGAACTGGTCAGGGTTGTTATTGGGAGGGTCATAGACCTCCTTGCAGAGCTGATAAAAGCTATGAACTCCTTCCTAGAAAAATGCACGTGCACACAGACACACACACACACACACCAAATGTAGTGTATAATTACAGGAAATTCACAGAGTAAAGTTAAAAGAGTGAGAGAGAAGAAAGCTGAAGATGGATGCCTAGGGAATCACCCCCATAATTAGGAGGATACTACAAAGTAAATACAGCAAGATCAAAGGAACAGAAGAGCCAAGGGAGCGATAGCAAAGAAGCCTTGGAAAGGGAAGTTTCCAGCATGTCAGATAGATTGAAATTGAAAGAAGACATTTAGCTTGACAATTAGACATTGGTGATTTTTGGCCAGTAAGTACAACATATTGTCAAGCACACAGTATTATAATGACTTGAGTTACTGAGCACAGTGCCTGGGACATAGTATCATGATAAATGCTTGTAAATATTTGATGAATTAATTCATTAATTTCAGTAGCATGTTGGCAGGAGAAGCCAGATTGCAGAGGGGAGAAGTAGTGATAGGAATTTTAAAAATAATAGTAGTGAATGATTCATGGCACCCAACACAGCTGGGTATGAACAGAAGAAGAGAGCTGAAGTGGTAATGACAGAGGTTTTTATGGATGATGAGACTTGGGCATGTTTGTGTAAGACGAGAGAATAAAACTGTGGAGAGGAAGGGACCAAGGATGTCAGAGGGAAGGGAAGGAGTTAAGTAACTGAACAAAATTAGGGCCATGGCAAGAGAGTATGGGATAGAGTTCAACAGAGGTAAAATTTACCTTGGAAAAGATGCATGCCATCTTCTAAAGAAAAGAGAGCAGAAAGAAGATTAGAGGTATAAGGCAACCAACAGTTAGGATTTACTATGCACAGCAATTATATTAGGTTGTCTTACTTAATCCATCCAACAATTCTTTGGAGTAGGCATTATTAGTTTCATTTTTTAGATAAGAAAACTGAGGCTCATAGAAATTGGGCAACATGCTCAAGTTGACACAGCCAGAGATTGATAGAGCTCCAGTTTACCAATTTCAAAGCCCATGCTTTTACATACATTAAAGTTTTGAGGTGCCAAAGATGAAAAGGGAGTTACAGAAGTTCATAACTGATAGTTTCTACATTTACAGATATTATAAGGCTGCTGAGAGTGAGAGTGAGTGTTGCATTAGGAAGAGAGGTAAAGAGTTGGGAGCTGTCCTCTGTGAAGAATAAATTGTTTTGCAACATTAGGGACCCAGGTTAAAACAAAAAAACACTCACACAGGCACATAGATATTAAAATGTGTTAAAGAAAAATAACTGTAGATCTACACGTTTTTTACCTCACTTGCAAAGCTGTTGCAATTCAACTAAATAACAACAGCATTTTTCTCACAGCTGCCCACATGTAATTCTTTTCTGTGGCCAGAGTAGGGCAGGAGTTCTCTTTCATAGGAATCATAGTCCTGCATAATTTTATCCTCATCAAAGTGCATTCTTGATACTTTGAGATTAACAAACTATAGTCGCAAGCATTATGAAAAGGCAAACTTATTTTAAAGAAACTTGCCTCAATGCTGTGATCAAGTAAATGCAATTAAACATTACATAAATGGGAAAAGCTGCATCCCACAGCATTCGAGCATATCTTTAAAATGCAAATGATTTACTTCTTTAATGATGAAAGAAAAAATCTTGTGAAAGCATCATTTTCAGATGAATAAAATATCAAACCCAGGGTATTTTTTATATCTAGTTGTCTTACAAATATTTTACATACAGGCTTGTAAACTAAAAAAGAAAAAAGTATATTTGGCACGTTTTGGTAATTGAATCTTAAAAATAAATAATTTCTAGCTAAGCTTTCAAAAGTATACTTACTAGATTTCATTTTTCAATTCAGAAATTTAAAGAGAATTAATAACCAAAATGGTCTACAACACCATTATACAGACGATTCCTTTTTTTAAAAAATAAGATGACATGTTTGGAGTTATAAATTCAAAGAGTACAAATAATTTTAAAAATGCAAAGCAAATGTCACCTTCCCCTTATCATCTTCTCCCCTCCCCTATTCCTTCTCCCTGAAAGTAACCACTGTTAGATTCTTGGATTGAAGAACACTTTCCCAAGGAATGTTTTACCCTAAGATTAGGAATGGCATTTAAAACAACAGGCTTTAATCACTTCAAAAGAATTTGAACCAGAACCCAGGTTGCAATTTGATTGCACATGTGAAATGTGGCAATGGTGGCTGGGCGCGGTGGCTCAAGCCTGTAATCCCAGCACTTTGGGAGGCTGAGGCGGGTGGATCACGAGGTCAGGAGATCGAGACCATCCTGGCTAACACGGTGAAACCTCGTCTCTACTAAAAATACAACAAATTAGCTGGGCGCAGTGGCGGGCGCCTGTAGTCCCAGCTACTCGGGAGGCTGAGGCAGGAGAATGGCGTGAACCCGGGAAGCGGAGCTTGCAGTGAGCCGAGATCGCGCCACTGCACTCCAGCCTGTGTGATAGAGCGAGACTCCGTTTTAAAAAAAAAAAAAAAAAAATGTGGCAATGGCCTCAGAACCAAAGCCCCGAGTAAATGGCCAGCTATTCCCCCACCATTCCCACCGACACCTTTCAGAGGGAATGAGAAATCAAAGTGCCTGCTCACCTCCAGAAATGATCTTTCCAGAGGTAAAATATTTGGGGTATGCTTAAGCAGCAGCTGTTCCTGCTGTCTGCCAGAAGCCCAGAAAAAAGACTGTCGCCAGGGCTGTCAATATGGTCCTTTCTTACACACTGAGATCAATTTAACAAAACAACACAAAAATACGCTGGCTTAGAAATGACAAGGAATTTAGCCATACACGTTGAAGAGAAAAGTGTGTTTTACATATATCCTGAATAAAGTATCTAACTTTTAAAGAATGTTGTAAAATATTTCCATATGTACATTATATCAAAGTACTTTCCCCAAGTTCAGTTGAAAGGAAATACCCAGAGCATTAGGCCCATCAGAAATGATGTCTCCAGTTGTGGTTTTCAGATGCCCTGCCATGCATTTGCCCAGAGCTAATCAAAGACAGCTTGATACTATCAGCCAGTGTGTGTGTATGGGGGTGTGTGTGTGTAATTCCTTAAAAAGAGAAAAAAAAAAATCATTTTGGGTAAAACATGATACAGGAGGATATCAGTTGGCTTTTTGGTTTATTTCCAATATTATCACTGCTCTTCAATCACTCTAAATGAGAAGACTTCATCCTGGCCATCTTGATGCATTTTCTGTGTTTCTCTGTAAGTAGGTAAGAAGGCAGCTCTTGTACTGCAAGCAGGAAAGAGGCTTACTGAGCATCATTACCATGAACCATGTGCTCTGCGATGTGGACAACACAAGGTATTTCAGCAACCCTCAGAACCTCTGAAATTATGATTATTTATCTTCATTTTTACAGGTGAGGTGACTAAGATGGACAGAAGGTAAGAAAATTGCTCAGTCACCTAACTGGTTAATGGTAGACCTATGATTTAAACCCATGTTTGTCTAATGCCCAACCGTACACAGTTTGTACCACATCGTTGTGAAAGGGCAGTTCAAGATCCATCTGGGTGAAAATCAGCTAGGAGATCTGTTACCATGAAAGTTCTTGGCCTGACTTTCAGAGGTTCTGATTGGGGACATCTTTGATGGAGCTTGGGTATCTGAATTTTAACAAGTTTCCCAGAAGAATCCTAAGTGAATCTAAAGTGTGAGAACCACTGACAATATTGTTAAGCTCAGATTTTTGAAACAGAAAAGGAAATTTCAGAAGACAAACCTCATGGGAGCTTCTGATGTCGATTTCTGAAGACATGGCAATCCCGTGTTTTCTTCACTGCCGATCCTGTCCTTTGCATTACCTCTTAGCTTTGTGTTACATTGAGTAGAGTGATCCTTGACTCCAAACAGATTGAGTTACCAGCTTCCTCTGCTTAAAATTCCCTCAGCAGAAGTCAGTCTTTCAACTCACCATCAGCAATTACAAAACCAAAAATATAAATACTCCTTGAGGAGGGAACATGTTGACTCACATGAAATGAGCATGTGCGTGGGTTTGGGTGCCTCGGGCAGGGATTCTGGGATTATGTCCAGAAAGAGAGCATACATTTAGGGTTAGCATGCCCCTTGGTCCCCTGAACTCTTTGCTTTTGGGGTGGGATATTGGCAGGTGAAAGCCAGAGCAGCGCCCTCTAAAGCATGGGACCCAGAGGAGAGGCCCCTTGTCTGAGGGCCGCACTGGTCCTAGAGATGAATGGCAAGGACCCACACAACCTGGTGTCTGGAGAACTCCCTAACCTCATTTCTGTTGCGCTTTCCCTCAGCTTCAGGACCTCCTCCTGCCTCCGGACTATTCTCTGCTGGAAAGCTCTTTCCCACATATCCTTATGGCCACCCTCCTCACTGCCTTCAGGTCTTTGCTTCGATGTCCCCTTCTTGGGGAAGTCTCCCCTCACCAGGATATTCAAACTGCAACCCTCTACTTCCACCCTGCATTCTATCCCCTTTATCTGCTATATATATATATACTTTTTTTTTTTTTTTTTTTTGATATGGAGTCTCGCTCTGTCCCCCAGGCTGGAGTGCAGTGGCGCGATCTCGGCTCACTGCAACCTCCGCCTCCTGGGTTCACGCCGTTCTCCTGCCTCAGCCTCCTGAGTAGCTGGGACTACAGGCGCCTGCCACCATGTCTGGCTTATTTTTTTGTATTTTTTAGTAGAGGCGGGGTTTCACCGTGTTAGCCAGGATGGTCTCGATCTCCTGACCTCGTGATCCGCCCGCCTCGGCCTCCCAAAGTGCTGGGATTACAGGCATGAGCCCCCGTGCCCGGCATCTGCTTTATATTTTGTATAGCATTTATTGTTCATATCGTGTTTTTTACTTACTTACCTATTGACATATTACTTATTCCTTCATTCATTTATTGTCTGTCAGCCCTCACTGGAAGGTAATCTCCAGTAAGGCAGGGATTTTTGTCTATTTTGTTCATCTTAGTGCCTATACTAGCATTTTGTACATAGTCAACAAATTGTAAATAATACCTGACTGATTGTGAAGAAATTTTAAAAACCAGGGGCTTGGTGTCTTTCCCATCTTACACTGGAGCAGGATATCCTGGCTGTCACTGGGGGACGGCGTGAACTCAGAGATAATGTCGAATGGAGTGAAGGAGAATGATGACGATTTTCATTTAGCAACCTTATCCTCTTTCATCTCCCCCAAATTGTCAAAAAAATGAATCTTCCTGAGGGAATCCCTTGAGAATGAAGCAGAGAGCATGGTTGAAGAGGCAGCAATCAACGCCTTATTTTATCCATGGGATAAACAAGTGGCAAGACTCCATGACTCTCTCTTTTGCTTGTTCTCTCTTAAAAATAGAATTGTAGGGCCGGGCGCGGTGGCTCATGTCTGTAATCCCAGCAATTTGGGAGGCCAAGGCGGGTGGATCACCTGAGGTCAGGAGTTCGAGACCAGCCTGACCAACAAGGCGAAACCCCGTATCTACTAAAAATACAAAAATTAGCTGACCGTGGTGGTGGGTGCCTGTAATCCCAACTACTTGGGAGGGTGAGGCAGGAGAATCACTTGAACCCAGGAGGTGGAGGTTGCAGTGAGCTGAGATTGTGATTGCGCCATTGCATTCCAGCCTGGGCAACAGAGTGAGACTCTTGTCTCAAAAAAAGAAAAAAAAGAAAAAAAAGAGAGAGAATTGTGGGAATTACCAATCAGGAAAATATTTCAACATAAAAATATATTAGCTTAAAATTCTATGGAGGAAATGGAATGGTAATATATGTCAAAAAGAAAAAGGGGTGACACAGTGGCTCACATCTATAATTCCATTGCTTTGGGAGGCCGAGGCAGGAGAATCGCTTTGAGGCCAGGAGTTTGAGACCAGCCTAAGCAACGTAGCAAGACTCCATCTTTTTTTTCTTTTTTAAAACAAAAACCATTTTACAAATTAGCCACGTGTGGTGGTACATGCCTGTAGTCCCAGCTGCTTGGAAGGCTGAGGCAGAGGATTGCTTGACCCCAAAAGTTTGATGTTGCAGTGAGCCAGGATGGTACCATTAAACTCCAGCCCAGTCAATAGAGCAAGACCCTGTCTCTAAAAAAACAAAACAAAATGGAAGAAAAAAGAACGAATATAAAACTTCCAAATGTTAGAAAAGCTTGTTCCTGTCTTTTTGAAAATGGCTACTATACCATAAAAAAGAACAATATCATGTCCTTTGCAGGAACATGGATGGAGCTGGAGGCCATTATCCTTAGCAAACTAATGCAGGAACGGAAAACCAAATTCTGCATGTTCTCACTTATAAAGTGGGAGCTAAATGATGAGGACACATGGACACATAGAGGGAAACACACACTGGGGCCTATTGCAGGGTAGAGGGTGGGAGGAGGGAGAGGACCAGGAAAAATAACTAATGGGTACTAGGCTTAATACCTGCGTGATAAAATAATCTATACAACAAACTCCCATGACATAAGTTTACCTATATAACAAATCTGCACATATACCACTGAACTTAAAAGTTAAAAATAAATAAATAAATACATATACAAAAACTCAAAAAAATGGCTATGGAGATTTTGATATGCTTAAAAATTGATAAAACAGTTCTCTTTAAAATTATTAAAATGTTCACTCTGTTGGAAATGATATCCTTTGCAAGGATTTACATTTTGAATGAAAAGTTTTAGATGACAATCTGAAAATGTGCCAGAGTCTACATAACTTTCCAAAATGTTAAGGGGTACTCAAGTAAAAAGAAATATTTAAAGATCATTGCACTGTACCATTGTCTTAGTGGTATATTGCTATGTAACAAATCACCTCAAAATTGAATGGAATTTAAAAAGCAGCCATTTTATTTTTTCCCACCATCCATTGGGCTGATTAGACTTAACAAGGCAGTTTTCTACTGGTCTTGCTTAAGGTCTCTCATGCAATTGCAATCAGATGGCAGCTTTGGCTAGAAGCAGAGTTGTCTAGAGCAGGGTCCCAAACTATGAGCTAAGAGACCAAATCTGACCTGACATCAGTTTTTGTAAATAAAATTTTATTGGAACATAGCCATGACCATTTGTTTATGTATCGTCTATGGCTACTGACACTCTACAATGGCAGAATTGAGTAGTTGTGAAAGAGAGACCCTATGGCCTGTGACATCTTTTATGACTTACACTAAGATGCAATAAACACGTGAATTTTCTTCAAGACCATTTGTTCTTTAGGCAAGTCAAGCTGTAAGCTTATTTTCAACCCTAGAATGAGAGAGAGTTGAGAGAGTAAAGTCTTCAGGCTATTTGCACAGGCCAAGGAATATAGAAGCTGAATGAATATCAAGGGAATTTGGTCAGTAAATTTGATCCTTTTCCTCCTTAATGGTAGGTGGTTGGTGCCTAAATTATCTAGGGGATTGCATAATTTAAATATCCCCTAATGTAGAGGAGGATTTATTTGCTCCTAACTAAAACAGTTTAGGAAAGCTTTTCTTTTGCTGGTGTCCCTTAGGATGAAAAGTAGCCCTGGGGCCACACAGGTATAGTAAATCTATGTGCTGACAGGGATGTTCCTTCTTAGTGATTAACAATTAGTTCACACTTTTCAGGTTTATTGGCCTTTAAATATTGAGAGTGAATTGGATTGCCTGAATTGATTTTGTTTTTCATAAAAACGATTTCTTGACTTACGGCATTTGCACATGTTGGTTTCTATGTCCAGAGTATTCTCCCTTTTTGTCACCCAGACAACACCTACTTATCTTTGTTGTGGGCTTAAACATCACTTTCTCAGAAAAAGCCTCCCTTAACTCCCCCATGAGGTTCCCTTTCCACATCGTTTCACAGCACTGTGGACTTTCTTTTTGTGAGTCTAATCCCAGTGTGTACAACAACAAATGTATTTATATGTTCCCCATTTAACATTGTCTCTCCTGTGTGCCATGAGGCCAAGGGAAGAGTCTCATCTGCTTTGTTGACTACTGTATTAACAATTATCCAGCATCATAGTTTCTGGTACATGGTAGTTTCTAATAAATATTTATCGAGTAAATGAATGAAAGCTAAAGCAATTATAAAAGAATGTAAATGTTTGGCAAAAATACTTACATAATCCTTCAGGTTAACCAGAAACATTTAAGATTTATTAAAAATTATTGAATAGCTAATATTTTGGAAACCCAAAAGCATCTTTTCATCCAGAATTATTGCGGATCTTATCCTTTAATTTAGAAAATGTTAGGGACTGAATGTTTGCATCCCCCTCAAAATTTATATGTTGGAGTACTAACTTCCAATGGGATGGTGAGGCTTTGGGGAGGTATATATTATTAGATTTTGAGGATGGAGCCCTGATGACGAGATAAGTGCCCTTCTAAGAAAAGACATGAGACAGGTGATCTCTCCACCACATGTGGATACAGCAAGGAGATGGCCATCTGCAAACAGGAAGAGACATGGAATCTGCCAGTGCCTTGATCTTGGACTTAGCTTCCAGAACAGTGAGAAATAAATGTTGTTCAAGCCACTCAGTCCGTGGTAGTTACAGTAGCATGAACTAGCTGAGATAGAAATGAGATTCATAAAGACAATGTTAACTTCTTTTCTTTTTTTTTTTTGAGACGGAGTCTCGCTCTGTAGCCCAGGCTGGAGTGCAGTGGCGCAATCTCGGCTCACTGCAAGCTCCACCTCCCAGGTTCACGCCATTCTTCTGCCTCAGCCTCCGGGTAGCTGTGACTACAGGCGCCTGCCACCATGCCCGGCTAATTTTTTGTATTTTTAGTAGAGACGGGGTTTCACTGTGTTAGCTAGGATGGTCTCCATCTCCTGACCTCATGATCCACCCACCTTGGCCTCCCAAAGTGCTGGGATTACAGGTGTGAGCCACCGTGTCCAGCCAGATAGTGTTAGCTTTTCTACTCCTGGTTTAGAATAGTTGTTTACCACATCTAGTTTTTAAGAAGATGGAACTTTCCCCTTTGCAAGATTTTTAATTCTTTTCCCTTCCATTCATACAGAGAACTGGTCACATAGAGAACTGGATTCAATAAAAGGCTCATTTTGGATTTTATAAAATCAAACCCTAAACTCTTTACAGAATCGAAGTATTAATAAGTACTTATAATAACAATCAAGTCATTATCAAACATGTACCAGATATATATCAGAGCTCCTGGTACCAAGAGCATACTATATTAGTGATCATATACTGTAACTTGAGTAGTATCTAGGGATGTGCTGGTAGTATTTAACCTCCAGCTCTCTGGGGGAAAACAGGATTTTGCAGCATTTGCTGAGGTGTAAATACTCTCACCATAACAATCTCAAGATGCCAAGCAGACGTCACTGGATGCAAAACTGGAAAGAGATGCACACAACTGGCTCTCTCAAGCTGAGGTGAGGTAGCTCCAGCACACCAACTTTTTCTATTGGACCTAATAATGGCAGAATAATTATTACCGGCAATAAATAATATACTTTAGGGAAAAATCATAACATTCAGAACTGCTTCACAATCTTACTCTGTGAGGATTATATGTGATTTTAGTTGGTTTGATAAGATGCATAGTTTACAGTGAAAGTTGGACATAGCCCTGACTATCAAAATTCTGGAAGCCCAAGCTCTTAATCACTGGGGTAAAGATTATAGGATGTTATTAAGTTGCTAAAACAAACTTGATTTGCTTACTTAAACATTTGGAGATTTTATATTTTTAAGGGTAAAAGAACCCTTTCAACCTTCTAACAGAATTTATAAGCAATTCAACGGAAGGAGAAATATTAGACTTTAAAAAGAAAACCACTGACTACATTCACATGTCTTTTTAGGAACCTGTCAAGAATACTTTGTCACACACATAGAACTGGATTCAATAAGAGCTTCATTTTGTTTTTTACAAAAATCAAAACCCAGAAGAGTTATAGAATCCATTTGGGTCACTTGGACAGAGTCGTTACTATGTTCACACCCGTCAATGCTCTTTGTCTTCTAAATACTGAACTTCAACACCAACTTGTGAATATTAAAAAACAATTCAGCATAAGTGAAATAATCAGATATATAAGAAGGCTCATGTTTTAAAATAGAGAAAAACTGGAAATAGCCCAAATGTTCAAAATAAAGGGAATGTCTAAATTATAGCATGTAAATTTCATACTGCAGGCAGCTACTAAAATATTCTTTGAAAAGAAATATCACAGGGGTTATGTGGGAGAAAAAAAGGAGTTAAAAGTTTATATATGCAGTGGGCTTCCAGTTTTGACTTAAAATGTCTATTTTATTCATGGAAAACAAGATGGGAGGAAAAACATTCAACTATTAAAAATGACTGAGTAGTGGCCCAGCGTGGTGGCTCAAGCCTGTCATCCCAACACTTTAGCAGGCCGAGGCGGGCGGACATTCTGAGGTCAGGAGTTCGAGACCAGCCTGGCCAACATGGCGAACCCGTCTCTACTAAAAATACAAAAATTAGCCAGATGTGGTGGCAGGCGCCTGTAATCCCAGCTACTCGGGAGGCTGAGGCAGAATGGCTTAAACCCAGGAGGTGGAGGTTGCAGTAAGCTGAGATCGCGTCACTGCACTCCAGCCTGGGTGATAGAGTGAGACTCTGTCTCCAAAATAATAATAATAATAGTAAGTAGTGAAATTGAGATTTTTTATCATTCTATTTTTCCAAACTTTCCAAATAGTCTACAAAGCTGTTTGTTAAGTAAAACCATTTAACATACCAAGAATTCTTGGAAAAGAATGTACACCTCAATTCTTTAACTTCCTTACATTTCTCAAAGGTCACCCATTTCATATTTTGCTGAAACTTGCTAGTTCCCACCAGCTAGAGCCTGTGTCCAGTCATGTTGTTCTACCTAACTTGGAGCAGCAAGGAGAGGGAGGAGCCTCCTTCCACCAGCAAGAACTCAGGTTGGGGTGGCAAATAGGCTTTCTCTTCCACAGCAATTTTTTCAGAAATTACATCTCAAACCTTTCAAAAACTAGACTGGCCTACAGAGCAGCCAATTAGTTTAAGTTTTAAGCCACATTATTGTCTGAGTATATTATTAAAAGTGCCAATTTTTAGATGGTTATATCAAATACAATAAAACACAGTCACAGAACTGCTTGGTGCAGTATATATAAGCCTGAATCATGAGAAAGTGATGTAAATCTGCCTTAGAATTCAAGCTTTTCAATTCTATCCCCGTTTTATATTTTCAATACTGTGATTAAACATTATACAAGATAATTAATTCTATTATCCTGGTTGCTTAACAATCTTTGGGATTGGCAGGTGTTTGGAGAAAGCTAATGTATCTCAATCGTTTGAGACTATGAATGTTGACAACAGGGATCCCAGCTATCATTGATTATGCTAGCATTTATTAGGGTGCCCGGTCATTACACTTATTCACTAACACAGCTGCAAAAATCCTACCAACAATACAAATGGCTCTGGGTTTTCTATAACCTGTGTCTGTTCTCTCATCAGTAAAATGGGAATAAAGCTGTTGGAGTTGCTGGGAGGACTAAAACAAATTTGGTGGAGTCAGGCACACAGCCAATCAAGTGTACTGTGGTTAAAATTAAATTTTTTTTTTTTTTTTGAGGAGTCTCACTGTCACTCAGGCTGGAGTGCAGTGGTGCAATCTCGGCTCAGTGCAACCTCTGCCTCACAGGTTCAAGCGATTCTTCTGCCTCATTCTCCTGATAGCTGGGATTACAGGTGCATGCCACCACTTCTGGCTAATTTTTGTTATTTTTAGTAGAGACGGGGTTTCACCATACTGGTCAGGCTGGTCTCGAACTCCTGACCTCCGGTGATCCACCTGCCTCAGCCTCCCAAAGTGCTGGGATTACAGGCGTGAGCCACCGCGCCTGGCGGTTAAATTCTTAAAAGGGAGTTCAACTGCCAGCTTTGCCACTTACTAGTTCTGTGACTCCTCTTCTGCAAAACACTAATTAAAAATTTTTTATACCAAGAACAAGTTAACTGGCAGTGGGGTACAGTAAAGGTGTTATGAAATCCCATTTTTTTTGCCTTTTACCTTAAGGGGTATTCTTATTTTTTAATTATTTTTTAGGCAGGGTCTTGCCAAGCTGCCCAGGGTGGTCTCCAACTCCTGTCCTCAAGTGATCCTCCTGCCTCAGCATCCCAAGTGTTGAGACTGGGACTATAGGGGTGAGCCACTGGGTCTGGCCTAAGAAAAGGTGTTTTTTTTTTGGAGACCGAGTCTCGCTCTGTCGCACAGGCGAGAGTACAGTGGCGCGATCTTGGCTTACTGCAACCTCTGCCTCCCGGGTTCAAGCAATCCTCTTGCCTCAGCCTCCCGAGTAACTGGGATTACAGACGCATACCACCACGCCCAGCTAGTTTTTTGTATTTTTAGTACAGACGGGGTTTCACCGTGCTAGACAGGATGGTCTCGATCTCCTGACCTCATGATCCGCCCGCCTTGGCCTCCCAAAGTACTGGGATTACAGGCATGAACCACGGCGTCCAGCCAGAAAAGCATGTTCTTATGTATAGCTAAGCGGTAACTCTCCTCTGCTTAAGTAGTTACATCATGCCAGTTAGTAGGTAAATTTTCCTCAACTGAGGAAAATAGTCAAAATTTACTGAACTCCCCAGGTACTTTCAGCTTCTGCATTCCATGATGGCTCAAGGTCTCTGCTCTCTACTCAGATTGGAATAAAGCTTGTTATGGCTTTAAGAGATGGTGTTGGCCGGGTGCAAGGGCTCACGCCTGTAATCTCAGCACTTTGGGAGGCCAAGGTGGGCGGATCACTTGAGATCAAGAGTTCAAGATGAACCTGGCCAATATGGCAAAACCCCATCTCTACTAAAAATACAAAAATTAGCCGGGTGTGGTGGTGGGCGCCTGTAATCCTCAGGAGGCTGAGGCAGAATTGCTTGAACCCAGGAGGTGGAGGTTGCAGTGAGCCGAAATCGAGCCAGTACGCTCCAGCCTGGGCAAGAGCAAGGCTCCATTTCAAAAAAAAAAAAAAAAAAAAAGGTTGTCAGCCAACAGGTTGGGCAGAAGAATGGCTCATGCCTGTAATCCTGGCACGCTGGGAGGCTGAGGCAGGCAGACTGCTTGAGCCCAGGAGTTTTGAGACCAGCCTAGGAACATGGTGAAACTGTTTCTCAAAAAACCAAAAATGAGCCAGGCATGGTGGTGCCTACCTGTAGTCCCAGCTACTTGGGAGGCTGAGGCAGAGAATCACTTGAGTCCAGGAGGTGGAGGTTGCAGCAAGCCAAGATTGCACTCCAGGCTGGGCAGCAGGAGTGAAACCTTGTCTGAGCTGGCAGAAACACTACATAGTTCCCAAGAAAAATGAGGTCTGTATTTTAACATTCTGGCCTGGATAATAAATCCAATGTAGATCAGAAACTATACCCTTGACCCAAGGTTTTATATATAGTAGCTCACTCATTTGTTAAATAAGGAGTTCTGAGCTCTCCAAGATACCATTTTTGAACTGAAGTGACCTAAAAGAACAGAGGGTTTAAAAACAATCTTAAAAAGGTTCCATTCCAAGGAACTAGAATACCAAGGTTTCTATCCTATGAAACTTGCTGACGTAAAGGAGATACCATAGTAAGGATCAAAGGGATATTAAAGTTTCAAATAGAAGGGCCATTCCTCCCAAACCACCCTGAAGTCTCAGCCCACAAAGAGAAGGACATTATGCTCCAATGCAGCGGTAGAGCTGTCACCAAAAAAATTCTGGCCATCAGTGACCACCAACTGTTTCTTCAGAAAAAGTAACCCACTGGCTGGGTGCTGCGGCTCGCACCTTAACACCAGCACTTTGGGAGGCCGAGGTGGGCAGATCACCTGAGGTCGGGAGTTTGAGACCAGCCTGACCAACATGGAGAAACCTCGTCTCTACTAAAATATACAAAATTAGCCAGGCATGGTGGCACATGCCTATAATCCCAGCTACTTGGGAGGCTGAGGCAGGAGAATCACTTGAACCTGGAAGGCAGAGGGTGCGGTGAGCCGAGATCCTGCCATTGTACTCCAGCCTAGGCAACAAGAGAGAAACTCCGTCTCAAAAAAACCAAACCAAACCAAAAACAAACAAACAACAAACAAAACAAGAAAAAGTAATCTGCTAAAAACTATAGGGTCCCCAAATACCATACAGAAACAAAATCTGTATACTAACACATTACAACAGAAAAAAAAAAAGTCATACATACAGCGTCTTTTCATTTTTATTACTCAAAAAAGTTTCATTTTTTTATTTAGCTTTCTGACTCTGTGCTTGTGCCTTCAACACTTTCACAACGATTTTCTGCTCCTCGATAAGGAAAGCACGCTTGATCCTAGAAAGGAAAATACCAAATTAATCATTTCTTTAAAATGAACTTCATTTTTTATTTAGCACAGAGAAGGCAAACATGGTAAAGAACCAAGCAAAGCAATCAGGGAACCCAGGAAACTACAGGATACACAAATACAGAGTAAAACTTAAAAGGTGAAATTCATTTAAAGCAGGATAATCCTTCAATTTCATGCCAGTAGTTATCTGTCCTCCTTCTGAGTCAAGATAAACTATGAAGTCATCCCCACAGGAGACCACTTATGAGAGCTCTAATTTATTGTTAGGATCCAGGAATAGTGGTATTTCTTGATTTGCAAAATGTCTTAGAATATTTTAACCATATTTTTGAAAATTCCCAGTAAAAAACAACACATAAGGGGCTATGTGTTAAGAACTAAAATTAAAAGGTAAAGGGATATTAGCAAGAGACACCTCACCAAGAGCAAGGATTTTAGAACCTGTTTACGGCCAACTCCACCACACACTAGCTGCACACTGGACAAGTTACCTTCTCTATATTAAGGCACAAAATAGTTTCACACGTATTTAACAGGGAGTTTATGAGGATTAAATTTGGAAAGATTTTCTAGACTTTGAGCCTCCATCTAGGAGTGCATTTTATGGATCACTATCATTACAGTGTTGCACAGGACCTAGCAAAAAGCAGGTCTTCCTAGCATTTGTTAAATCAGAGTTACCACCAGAGTTTAAAGCACTCCTCTTGCTTCAACTTAAACCTTCCCCCACCCCATTTCCCATTGGTAAACCTGGTTATCAAACCCTACCCTCAAAACTCTGGGTTTTCTAATTTCTTCAAATCTCCCCCATGTGATCCTATCAGAGACACATACAACTGAATCACTTAAAAATTCCCTTAACTTACTCAAAGCACAGACCACATGCAGACCTGCTCAGCATCACAGCTAACAATGCTAATTTCTAGGCTATCCTGTAAACCTAAATTCAAATCTTCAGGAGATAAGGCCCGAGAATTTGTATTTTTAATAAATGTGCCCATCTGATTTTGTGTTCAGCAAAGTTTTAGAACCAAAGACTGGGGGAAAAAAAGCCAAACTTCTTCAGCTTAAAACTCATGACTTATCTCCAATGTACACTTCCATTTCTCACCCACAATGTGCCAGATCAGTCCGTACTTTCCTTGCCTGGAATGCCCTTTCTGCCTTTTGTCCAAAATTTGCCCATCATTTAGGTTCCAACTCAAATGCCATTCCTAGTTATTTGCAAGTAATTTCTCCTTTAAACTTCAATCATAGTTAAGCTTTGCTGTGTATCACAGAAGCTATATTTATCCCCTATTTGTATTAATGTAGTATCTCCTACTGTTCTCTTACAATCTACCTCCTAAAATGCAGAATGAAGCCTGCATTTGGTGTCAAAAGGTTTGGTTTAAAAACTCAGCTAGGACTGGGTGCGGTGGCTTATACCTGTATTCCCAGCACTTTGGGAGGTCGAGGCTGACAGATCATGAGGTCAGATAGAGACCATCCTGGCTAACACAGTGAAACCTTGTCTCTACTAAAAATACAAAAAATCAGTCAAGTGTGGTGGCATGTGCCTGCAGTCCCAGCTATTCAGGAGGCTGAGGCAGAAGAATTGCTTGAACCCGGGAGGCGGAGGTTACAGTGAGCCAAGATCACACCACTGGACTCCAGCCTGGGCTACAGAGCGAGACTCCATCTCAAAATCAATCAATCAATAAAAGAATTAAGCTAATCTACCTTTTATTCTGTAAAGCCCCTCATAATCTGGCTTTTCTTTCTTTCCCTTTTTTTTTTGAGACAGAGTTTCGCTCCTGTTGCCCAGGCTGGAGTGCAATAGCGCAATCGCAGCTCACCACAACCTCTGCCTCCCAGCTTCCAGCAATTCTCCTGCCTCAGTCTCTGAGTAGCTGGGATCACAGGCATGCGCCACCACGCCCAGCTACCTTTTTGTATTTTTAGTAGAGACGGTGTTTCTCCATGTTGGTCAGCCTGGTCTCAAACTCCCAACCTCAGGTATCTGCCTGCCTCCGCCTCCCAAAGTGTTGGGATTTCAGGCATAAGCCACCACACCTGGCCATAATCTGGCTTTTCTACCTTTGTTGTCCATCATCTCCTGCAACCCTATGCTCATGAGAATACACAACTCTTCTGTTCCTACACTTTTAACACCTTCCGCACATGAGAATACACAACTCTTCTGTTCCTACACTTTTAACACCTTCCACACTCCATCTATCTTTGTCCAAACCACTAACAGAGACTTTCTTACCCACCTCCTGAACAAAACCAAGTTCCTTTTAATCTCCACATCTAGCATAAATATGCCCCCAAATTATTACTTTGAATATCATTTCCTGCTTTGTGCAGCATCAATTATCCATAGCAAAGAAAGGGTTCTAAAGCATGCAACTGGTTTAAAATGAGTTGCTTCACCATTGTACTGATCAGCAGACAGTATAACACACACAATAATTTGCTAAGGAAAGCCCATTTAAGCATTTAACTTACCTGTCACGAACACATTTAGCACACATGGAACCACCATAGGCCCTGCTGACATGTTTCTTTGTTTTGGACAATCTCATAAGAACTTTAGGTCTTACAGCACGAACCTGCATAAGAAAAATATTAAGATTTTTGTGATGCTTTAACAGAAATTTCCCTAAATTTTGTTAAGTGTTAAGGGCAAGTTTAAAGTAGGTTACAAAGGGAAATGGTGTACTCATTTATCTGAAAGGCATTTCACTGCATTTCTCAGATTGGTTTAAAAAGTCTATGTTCGTGGCAGATTTGGCTCATGAATGTTTAGTAATTCTGAACCCTCTTAGTGGTAACCTCTCCTTGATTCATTCCATCGTCAAGGGATGAAAGCTCAGTAAGTTCAAGACTTGTTAGGCTGCACACAGTAAAAGGTACACTTACCCCTCGAAGTCTGCCTGGGCACACACCACATGCAGATTTTGGTGCTTTCCCAACCTTCTTGGTATAAAGGTAAACAATTCTATTACCAGGGGTTCGGGACCTAGAAAGTGAAACAGTCAGTAGGTCAGCATTTTGTAGAGTAAATGACAATATATACTTAAAATTTTCAGAAATACTTACAGCCTAGTTTTGTTAGAGGCTGTATTGTAGGAAAGCCTACGTCGGTATGTCAAACGCTGGACCATTCTGAGTGCCTAAATTAAGAATAGAGTAACATCAAATCTTTCCATTGTAAAAGTAAATAAAATCTCAAAACAGTATCATGTGGTCTATTTCATTCACATACATATCCTTGTATGTAACACCCTTAAATTAAGATGTATTATTCCACATTTTAAAACTACTTGTATTTAAAGGTGACTGATAAACAAGAGGCCAAGAATGTTAGCTTTCCTGATGGTAATCAAACGTGGCACTTCCTTAACGTTCTGATGACCAGGCTCCTTACTCAGAGTCTAATTTTGTTTGGAGTGGTGTCCAGAAAAGTGCCACGAGCCCAGTTGGAGAAACACCGCTTTAAACAAAGAGCACAAAAAGTGAGCTCTGAAGTCGAATCCTTAGCTATGCCATTTACTGGGAATATAAAGGGCAAGGAGCTAGCCTCCTTATCTCTAACATGGGAATTCTGTCTACTTTATACAGCTGTCATTAGGATTAAACGACGTGGGCTATCCGTCCCAACACAATGCCTGGCACATATCAGGGTTCAATGTCTTGCCCTAAAGCACCACCTGCGTAAAGGCATACCCTTTAATACTAATTTTGATATTACACAAGTTTCTTTGGGTTATGGCACCTGCTTTCTTCCCACTTCTGGAAACATCGTGATGTTATTTAGCAAATCGGTTATACAGATATGCATACGAGCAACTTCGTTAAGGGAACTACCCAACGTAAAACATAATCAATACTTGAACTAATTTAATCTTCCCATTCCACCCCTTGTAACCACCTCATTTGTTGTCACAAGCCTCTCACTAAAATTAAACTAAAACAGAATTACCAGACACCAAAACTTGACACGTAAAACCAGTGCGAGTGATTTATGAAGCCATTATTCTGTTTGCATCTCCAAAAGCAAGACAGAAACTTCTAACACATTTTTCTCTTCCTTGACATGGGCCTTGGACGCAGAAGCCAAATAGCGAAACCACCCGAACTCGCCGGACCCTGCCCTCCCAAAGACTAAGGACACGTACAGGCGTGCTGTGAAAACGTGGGTGTAAAATATGAAAACGTTTGGCGATTTTCCAGACTCAAACCGCCAAACCACAACTCGTTAGTCTCCAAACGCTACACTTGGAATGCAGCAAAGTCCCGGGTGGTGAGCTGTGGCTACTCACGGCTTTGGAGGTGCCACCAGGAACAAGGGATTTCCAAAGATCAAAGTAAGGAACTTCCTCACCACCAACCTCCCTGTTGTGCCCCTTACCCCTACACCAGCTCAAAGGACTGCTTCTGAGAGCTCTAGGCTTCCTCAGCTCCTCGGATGGCAGCCGATTGGTAAGGAAATAAAGACAGGGAAAAGAGAACAACATCCATACCTGCAGACAACGTCCCCGGAAGAGGAAGAAAAAAGCCTTTGCCAGTTCAAAGGTCAAATAGAATTGCGCAGGACAGGAAGTTGCGTCAGAGAGAGAGTATCCGTGTTGTACGGAAGCCGACGCACCTCTCCGACGTGGGCAGAGATGCAGGGAACCACCACGTTGTACGGCAACCAACGTGCCGCCCCTCTGTGGGCGGGGATTCACACTAGCTGTCTGTGTCAAGGCCACGCAGAAATCTATTGGAAATCGCTGTGGAAACAAACGCAAATGAAAAGCCGCAAAGAGCAAAGGTGGGACAAAATCAACTTCTTTCGTTGTCATGGACACTGCACTTTTAATCTAAAGGGCGCCAGCTCTGGCGTTAGACCTGGGTTTAAATCCCAACTCTTGACATTTATGGTTAAGGGACCTTCAAGGACCAGGGACCTTCAAGAACCTTCCCTTCTTCAACCTTCCCTTCTCTTTCCTTGTCATTTATTCAGAGCACAAGCTTTACAAACAAATTGGGATTTTAATCCAGTGTCTGCTAATTATTAGCTATGTTACTTTGAGCAAGCCCTTAAATCTCTAAAAGGAAGATATTAGGAACTACCGTGCCATGTTATGTCATGATCAAAGGCATTATGAAGTTAAAGCACTTAGCACAGGGTCTTATAGAGAGGAAGTGCTCAGTAAATGGTTGCTAATCTTATGATTATGTACAAAGAACTACTTGAGGCTTTTCATGGGTGGTAAAGTTTAACCTTTAAAACAGTATGTAAAATTTTACATTAAGCGCACGTGTGTATTTTTCTGAGAAGAGGGTCCCTGGCTTTCATCACCTTGTCAAAGGGATTCATGACCTCTAAAAAAGTAAAGAACTCTTTGCCTGGGCTGTAAAAGACAATTCTAAAAGGGGCCTTTAAGTTTTTAATCTTAGATCAGGCTCCCTGGAAACACACCTCGAAGAGACTTGAGTGTTGGCTTATGGGGAGCGCTCTTAGAATGCACCTCCAGGAAGCTGAGAAAGGCGGGGTCAGGTGATCCACAACGTGGTTGCTGTGAGGCAGCTGCATTGCCCCAGAAGAGAGGATTTGGATAGGATATCCCAGTACCCACTCAACTTTCCTTCTAGTATTTCTAATCCATCTAGCAAACCAAGAAAGCAGGCAAGTGACTGAGGGCATGTAGTCTGTCTTGAACTGTGAGGCCTATTGATTCTATCAAGCCTCACATCACTGCCATCTTTGTCACAACACCAGATGGAAGGCTCTGGTTATATCCTTCCCTCTGCTCACTCTCAAATAGCTGCTTCTCCCCCGACCTTGTCATCAGCTACTTCCCTCCTTTCCAGTCCTTTGATTTTTGTCCTCTGAAATCCTTTTCGTCTCTGTGCCAGGCATTGAGATGGAAGCTTGCATAGAGAGACAAATGTGGTTTTTGAATAAATGCACTAATGAATGTATTTACTTGCAATATGTTCTCTATATTTTAAGAGAGACTTTGCAGAGCAGAAGAGAACAGGAGATGGGAGCCCTTGGCACACTATGCTGTTGTTTACGTCTCTGTCCGTGCCTTCCCCCACCCAAGTAGATAAGAATAGTGGTCTCATTGTTGTAGTTTTCCCTTAAGGTACTTAACCCAGTTCCATAATACTATTTTTCCCTCTCTTTAAATTTGTATTTGCATTTTTTCTTGATCAGTCTTGAGAGAGATATGGCAATCTTATTAAAAACTTCAAAGACAGCCAGGTACAGTGGCCCATGCCTGTTAATCCTAGCACTTCGGGAGGCTGATACAGAAAGATCACTGAGACCTGTAGTTAAAGATCAGCCTGGGCAACATAGCGAGACGCCCATCTCTACAAATTTTTTTTTTTTAATTAGCCAGGTGTTGTAGCACACACCTTTAGTCCCACCTACTCAGGAGGCTGAGGCTGGAGGATCACTTGAGCCTAGAAGTTTGAGGCTGCAGTGAACCATGATTGTGCCACCATACTCCAGCCTGGGCAACAGAATGAGATCCTATCTCAATAATAATAATAATAATAATAAATGTATGAAACTTTGGTATATGACAAAGGTAATATATCAGATTGGTGGGGAAAGATTGGTGACTATTCAGTAAATGAAGTTGGGAAAAATGGTTATACATATGGAAAGAAAAAATTGTATCCTTAAGTCACTCTACACTGAAAAAAAAAACCTTAAATGAGTCAATAATAAGGCTTTAATTTATTAGGAAATATAGGTGACTATCTTATAGACGTTGGAGTAGAAGAGGATTTTTTAAACAAGGCACAAAAAGCACAAACTCAGAAAAGACCAATAAATCTGACCACATTACAATTAATAGCTTTTATCAAAAAACCCTTAAATAAAAAAATGTTAAACCTCAAAGTTTCCCAGTCCAAGCCAAAAAAAGTATGATAGGTTCACCTTATTTTAATTTCACAAAAATTTGTAAAATATTTATTAAGTGCACACAGAAATTAATGAACAGAGAACAAAGACAGATTAAAAAAACAAATGAGATTCTTTAGGCCGGGTGTGGTGGCTCATCCCTGTAATCCCAGCACTTTGGGAGGCCAAGGCAGGTGGATCGCTTGATGCCAGGAGTTCAAGACCAGCCTGGCCAACATGGCGAAACCCCGTCTCTACTAAAAATACAAAAATTATCTGGGCGTGGTGACAGGTGCCTGTAATCCCAGATACTCAGGAGGCTGAGGCACGAGAATCACTTGTGCCTGGGAGGTGGAGGTTGCAGGGAGCCAAGATTGCACCACTGCACTTCCACTGAAGTTGCCAGCCTGAGCAACATAGAGAGATCCTGTCTCTAAAAAAAAAATTTTAAGGGGTTTTGTACATGTGATTATGATTACTAATCAGTAGACTACAAAGGAAGCCAAAATTAGAAGTGGAATGAAGGAATGTGTTGCAAGACACCAACAGCTTTTGTTATGCTAAAAATAGAACTCGTTATTGGCAGTTGTTTTTTCTTGATTTTCTTGCTTTCAGTACTTTATGCCACTAAGCATAAAATAATCATTTTAGTATGCTCATGGATTCTATGGATCAGGAATTTCTACATGGTATAATGAGAATAGTTTGCCTTTACTATGTAATGATTGGAGCCTCAACTGGGGGGTAACTTGAACAGCTAAGGTGTGCATGGGTTCTCTAGAGAAACAGAACTGATAGGGTATACATTTATTTGTTTATTTATTATAGGAATTGGCTCATGTGATTAAGGCAGAGAGGCCCTGCAATCTGCCATCTGCAAGCTGGAAAACCAGGACAGCTGGTCGTATAAGCCCTAGTCTGAGTCCAGAGTCCCAAGAACCAGGAGTGCTGATATTCAAGAACAGAGACCATGAATGTCCCAGCTTAAGCAGAGAGAAAATTCACTCTCCTCCGCATGTTTTTCTATTCAGACCCTCAACAAATTGGATGATACTCACCTACATTGTGAAGGCAATCTTCGTTACTTAGTGTACTGATTCCAATGCTAATCTTTTCTGAAGCCACCTTCACAGACCCACAGAAATAATGTTACCAGCTATCTGGGCATCTCTTAGCCCAGTCAAGTTGACACATGAAATTAATCATCAGGCTGGGCGTGGTGGCTCACACCTGTAATCCCAGTGCTTTGGGAGGCCAGGGTGGACAGATTGCTTGAGTTCAGCCTGGGCAACATGGCAAAACCCCATCTCTACCAAAAATACAAAAAAGTTAGCCAGGTGTGGTGGTGCATACCTGTGGTCTCAGCTACTCAGGAGGCTGAGGTGGGAGGATTACTTGAGCCTGGGAGGCAGAGGTTGCAGTAAGCTGAGATGGCACCACTGCACTCCAACCTGAGTGACAGAGTGAGACCCCATCTGAAAAAAAAAAAAAAGAAATTAATCATCATGGGGTGGGGGTAGAAGGTAGAATTATCTGAACACTTTTTAGTTTAATGCCTGGACTGGGCTGCTTCAAAGGCTGGGCTCTCATATGGAACTGTCAACCAGAGCAACTACATATAGCCTTTCTATAAGGCTTAGAATTCTCACAAATGGCAATTTGGTTCTGGGAGGTAGGTTCTCAAGAGAAAGCATCTAGGAAAAAAGCATTGTAAGAGAAACAACAGAAGATGCATGGCCTTGGAAGTCACATAGCATCACTTCAATCATACTCTATTGGTTAAGGGTGTCAGAAACCTAAAAAGATTCAAAGGCAGTAGACATATATCCTCATTCTTTTTTTTTTTTTTTTTTTTTTTGAGACAGAGTCTTGCTCTGTTGCCCAGGCTGGTGTGCAGTGGTGCAATCTCGGCTCACTGCAAGCTCTGCCTCCTGGGTTCATACCATTCTCCTGACTAAGCCTCCTGAGTAGCTGGGACTACAGGTGCACACCACCATGCCTGGCTTTTCTTTTTTTTTTTTTTTTTTTTTTTTTTTTAGTACAGACGGGGTTTCACCATGTTAGCCAGGATGGTCTCGATCTCCTGATCTCGTGATCCACCTGCCTCGGCCTCCCAAAGTGCTGGGATTACAGGCGTGAGCCACTGTGCCCAGCCTATATATCCTCATTCTTGATGGAAAGATTATCAGTGATTTTAGGATTATATGTTAAAACCACCATAGTTTCTTTCCCGCTCTTTAATATTTAAACCTTTTTGTTCTTAACATGCTTCTGACCTGTCTCCCAGTCCAGCAATGTCTAATGTGCTGTTAAACCCATCCCTCGAGTTTGTAATTTCAGTTATTACATTTTTCTATTCTAAACTTTCAATTTGTTTTTCTGTTTATGTTTCCCATTCTAGGCTGAAATTTTCAGTCTTGACTTTTTTCTTTGAATGCTTAAACACACTTAGCATAATTATTTCAATGTTTCATTATCTGGGTTTTCTTAGGATCTGTTTGTACGGTCTGATGTTTCTCTTGGTTTTATGAAAAATTGATTTTAGGTCCTAGATATCTACTCATTTTCTAAGACCACTTTGTTTTAATTCAAGATGCTTTGTATAATAAATGATATAATATCTAGTAAGACTGACCCCTCCCAATGTTGTTCTACTTTTTCAGGGTTTTCTTGACAATTCTTACTGATTATTACATACAAATTTTTAGCATCAACTTGTTTAACTCCAAACAAAAGTTGACATTTTTATGTGTCAAGTTTGTGTATTAGCTTAGGGATACTTGACATCTTTATGATCCTGAGTCATCTTATCTAAGAACATGGAATATCTGTTTGCTGTGTCCTTAAAGTTTTATCCCTAAAAGCTCTGTACATTTCTTATTAAGTTTATCTCTAGGTATTTTATCTGTTTTGCTGTTAACATAAGTGGTATACTCTTACCCACTACTCCATTTAATTGTTTTCTTTTAAATTGAAGGCTATGGATTTTTGTTTATTCATGTATGCCCTGCTACCTTACTGAATTATCTTATGATTGGTATTAACTTTTTATTGATTTTATTTTTTTCAGATATTACCTCCTCCTTTCTAATTCTTATGCCTATTATTCAATCCCATTGGCTTATATCTCAAATGCAATACTAAATATAAATAGTAGATAGATTAATGGCATTTTTGTCTAATTCCTGAATGCAGGAAAACATCCATGTTTCTCCACTATGTCATATGTTAAGAAAATAGCCACTGATTACTATTTATTTATTTTTTTTACCATGTCAGGAAGGGATATTAATTTATGAATTGCCTTCTTACTATCTATTAAGATGAGAGTTTAAATTTTCTCTTTAGATCAACTAATGTAGTGAATCATATTGGAGGAGGGTGATGGGGCGCCTTTTCTAATTTGCGTAAGACATCATGGTTTTCATGTCTCACTGGCTGTTCTTCTGCCTGGAATGCTGTTCCCCACGTATCTGCATGGCTTGCTCCCATTTCCTTTATGCCTTTGCTCAAGGTCACTTTTGAAATGAGGCCCATCCTAATCATCTCATTTAAATTGCACTTTTTGCTGTCCTCCATTGGCATTTTTAGTTCCTCCCACCAGGTTCTTTTTTTCCTCACACTTATCACTTTCTAACATACTATATATTTATTTATTGTGCTTATTGTGTGTCGTCTGTCTCCACTACAAGTGTACTCTGTCTCCACTACAAGTATACTCCATGAGGCTAGGAAGTTTGGTCCTTTTTTTCTTTTTTCCTTTTTTTGACTTACATGTTTCCAATACCTAGAGCAGTGCTTGGCAAACAGTAAGCATTCAAAAATATTTTTTAAATGAATGAATAAGTAGAGATTAGCGCCTACCAAGGAATTATTCAAGAAGAATATCAAATAATAAAATTTAGTATTCTAGCGAAGGTTAGACTTAACAGCTATGGAGATAAAGTAAAGAGATTAAAAGCATTTTCATTGTAGAACTTTTACACGTTTTTCCATTATTGGGCCTCATAGCCTATATTGCACCATGAATCAATGCCTTTTATTAATCTCGTGATTATTTGTGAATGGCCCAATTATAGTCATATGTTGCTTAATGACAGATACATTCTGAGAAATATGTTAGGTGATTTCGTCTTTGTGTGAACATCATAGAGTGTACTTACACAAACCTAGATGGTAGAGTCTACTGCACACCTAGGCTTTATAGTATAGCCTTCTGCTTCTAGTCTACAAACCTGTACAGTATGTTACTGCAGTGAATAGTGTAGGCAATTGTAACACAATGGTAAGTATTTGTGTATCTAAACATATCTAAACATAGAAAAGGTAGAAGAAAAATATGATATAAAAGATAATGGTACACCTGTATAGGGCACTGACTATAAAGGGAGCTTGCAGGACTGGAAGTTGCTCTGGGTGAGTCAGTGAGTGAGTGGTGAGTGAATGGGAAGGCCTAGGACATTACTATACACTATGGTAGACTTTATAAACACTATACACTTTGTATACACTATATATATATTTATATATAAAAAGATAAATATATATACTCTATATACACACTATATATATGTTTTATATACACTAAATTTATAAAAAGTTTTTTCTTCAATAATAGACTAACCTTAATAAGCTTACTGTTACTTTTTTACTTTATAAAGTTTAAAAAAAATTTAACTTTTTGACTTTTTGGTAATAACACTTAGCTTAAAACACAAACACATTGTACAAGTTTTGCTACAAAGAGTTAAAATATCAGAGCCACTCTAAATAACCACTGTAAATTTTAGAAATAGGAGTTTGAAACAAATTAGATTTTTCTAATAGAAATGTTCTGAGCCTAAAGCCCTAAAGGGGAGTAAGGAAACCAATTAACTTTAATTTAAATAATCATGTCTTAAGTAGCAAATGAGCGAAGTTCTATTGTTAAAGAACAACTGTACTAAATCCCCGAAAGGTTAGATTCAAAATGGTATAAATACAGTGGTTTCACATCTTACTAATGAAATAAATTTCTATTGGTCATTGTAACCTCTGCTTCTTGTCTTACTGGACATTGTTACTGAGGGTGGAGGAAGGGAATGATTGAGATTAAGGGCAGAATAATTATGTGCAATTCCCATTGATGTTCCTATTGTTAGTAACTTTTTTAAAAGCAACCAATGAAACAGCTAATAATTTTATTCCTGGGAAAAAATAAGAAAATCTGAGCAAAGCTTATTTTCTTCTTTTAAGCTTGTATATATAGTATATGATTTTCTGTTTGTACTTGCTATTTAAAAACAATGTATTTATAATGATTGAGGTCACCATGGTGTTTTATATACAAACATGCCCCCTATTTACATCCACAATGACTGAATTTCTGCCAATGTCTATAAGCATTAAAGCAACCATCAAAAATGTATTAATAAGGCATATATTATTAATAAGGTATAATACAGTAGATACTAAACTCATGCCTGGAGTTTTATTCTGGATGAGTTAATGTAGTAAAGTAGGAAGAGAGTGAGTTTAGCAAGCAGTTTGAAGCCAGACGATGGAAAGTTTTAAATGCTATGCTTAAAGGCTTAAATTGTTTCTCTCGTGCCTTGTCTTTTGATTTCTTTCTCCTCACGTGCTACCTTTGTGAACTTCAGAAAGCAAGTTAACCTCACTGAGACTGTCTCTTTATCTGTAACATGGAAGTGGGAATCCCATATTGTGGGTGTGCTGCGGGAATTAACGGAGATAAAGCACGTAGCTGAGGCTGGCACACCATGGCTGCTCAATAGATAAATGGTCTTAGTATTGTTTTCTAGAAATGAAATGCTGCCTTCTGCTCTTCCTTATAACCAGTTTTGCACATCACTGTTACACCTTATACCTTACTAATGTTTGGTGTGTTCTTAGGAGAACATTTTTATTTCCTTGTGTTATTTTGGGGAACTCTAGAAAAACCACTATAGAATTTATCAAAATGGAAACATAGCATGGATTGACAGAAAAGGGCAAAAGAGTTAAAAGGGTTAGTGTGTCAACTCCTTGACTTTCTGGAGATCCTTTTTTTTTTTTTTTTCCCAAAACGTAGCCACTGCCTTTGTGTCTTGTTCCACGTCCTGTGTCTTGTTCCAATTATTTATGCAAATGAAGACAATTGTTTTCCTATGAAAGCTTGGTGAAAAGATGCTATAGAAAAATCCAGTGCATTTTCATTATTGCTTGCTCAACAGCAATACTCTTTTGTAGCAAGAAGAAAATAATTTTGCAAAATGCTCCCCCACCCCCACATGAAAAGTAAAAAGTACATAATATCATGTTTGTGTTGAAACTTTTTCTTCCAAAATGTCATAACCCCATACGAAAGAGAATTAAAATCCCATTATTTTAATTTACATCTAGCCACAAGATAAGTAAAGTTATCATTGAAATTCTAATTAAATGGGATGATTGACTAAGGTAGCACATCAAAGAAGAGAAGTGAATATGATAAGTCGAAGACTTATTAATTAGTCTGCGTGGTAGAAATTCCAGGGATGTCAAGCTGAGCCTGCTTCAAGGAGAAAAAAAGCAGACAAGAAAACGTTCGTTTCTTTGAAGTTAGGAACTGAGATAGTGATGGAGGTAATTGCGTCTGACTGGATCCAGTAATGAAGAGCTGTAAATCAGACTGCAGAATCGAAAGGAAGATTCAAGTAACGAATGTGGCTGCCTCCCCCTGCTGTGAAGAAACAGAATGCAGAGCGCACTAATTGACCCAGCCTATTTCCCAGTAGTTCTCTGTTATTATTTATTAATTTTTAATTTCTGAATTATTTACGTCCTGGGAAATTATTCTTGACAGGCTGTTAGGCGTGCCAAAGTTAATGGAGGAGGAAAGGACTGGTACCAGAATTAGCAGGGATGTAGTCACAGGCTACTGGATTTAATGATTTTGGAAAGAAAAATTGATTTCACACAGTGCGTCACTTTATACTACTTTAGGGATACACCAGCTATTTGATTAATTGAGGAATAACCAATTCAAAGTATATTTGAAGTGTAAATGAGTCACAGTGCTCAGCTGTTTACTTTTCTCTCTTTCTGAGAGATCTGAATTTTCTTCAAGCTGATGATTAAAAGCCAATGAAGACACACTTGCATGCTTTGAATGCACACCTGTTTGATTCATATTAAACTCAGAAGGGAGGAAAACCCTGAAGTACATGAGAAGGTAGTTTCACTTATTTTTTTTCTCCTTTCTAATCGCTTTATGTGATTTCTTTCCTCCAGCGTATAGCACAGCAGTAGTTGCAATCTGCATCCCTTAAGAACGAGGCTCAAGAAAATTTCTCATTTGCTTTATGACCTATGAGCACAGTCAGAAAGAAGCAGTGCTTGCTAATGAATAGAAGAACCAAGTAGAAAAAATGTATTAACAGAAAACAATGACTTTAATGAATAAGGGAAGAGGATTAACCTATTAGGAAAATGAGTGAGGCAGAAATATGCCATCGCCATCCAGGCTAAAAGCCCTGTGTCATTTCTGTCTTCTCCCTTTCCGGGCTCCCTCATTAGCCACCCTCTTTGTTCAGCTATCTTTGGCCTAGTCCTCTAACTGGTTTTCTTAGGTCAAGTCTTCCTCTTCAATTATATTCTATACCGGTGGTTCTCAAATTTTAATGTGCAAACAAATTGCTTGGGGCTCTTGCTACTGTACAGGTTTAGATTCTGTGGGTCTGGGATGGGGACCTGAGATTCTGCATTGCTAGTAGGCTCCCAGGTAAAGCCCATGCTTCTGGTCCTTGACCACTCTTTGAGCAGCAAGATTCTACAAAACTCTGACAGGCACATTTTCTTTAAAACACTGATTTTAACCATGTAACTTTCTCATTCAGACACTTTAAGTGATTTTCAGTGCTTACAGTTAAATACAGATTCCTTGGCATGGCATTCAAGGTCTTCCTAATATGACCACAACCTGCCCTTCTAGGCATATCCTATACTTTCCCATCTCCAGGGTTTTGTTTTTGTTTTTTCTTCTTTGTGAAACACCTTTGTCTTTGGAAATTCTAACAGTGCCTCAAGGCGTATTTCAAATTCCACATCCTCAATGTTGGCCCACTCAATAAGACATGAGCTGTCCTTCAAACTCTTCCTCTCATATCTTTTTACTTTTTTTTTTTTTAAACTGGTTTCTTGAGAAAGGACAGATGTTTTACCTCTTTCTTGCTATGTAGTATCTTCAGTCTCATATAATTGCTATTAATATTGCGATTTCTCCCTGTTCACATACAGAATTGTGAGTTATGTAGGAGTAGGGACTGTTCCTTGTCTTTGTATTTTCCCGAAGTGCAGGTGCAGAGCACAGAGTATGTATCTCACAAATATTTCAGTTAAACTGAACTATGTAAGAACATTCTCTCCATGGTCATTCCTACTCTTGCAAATTTGCAGCATCTCTGAAATCCTTCAGAATAGCTCACGGATCCTGATTTTTTGCTACTTTATTCATTCATCAACTTACCGATTTACTCATAAGCGTTTGAGGGTTCTTTTTGTGTCAGTGCAGTGCCAGGGACTGGAAATATTGAAGTAAAACTACAGTCTTTCACTCCTAAGCTCCGATGATTCCCCCTCCCCACATTTATGTCCTGCTCCCCCACTTCTATATTTACTAATGTCAACCCCAAAATATAAATTATATAAGCGATAATTCTGGCCGGGCACAGTGGCTCACGCCTGTAATCCCAGCACTTTGGGAGGCCAAGGCAGGCGGATCACTTGAGGTCAGGAGTTCAAGAACAGCCTGGCCAACATGGTAAAAGCCCATCTCTACTAAAAATGCAAAAATTAGCCAAGCATGGTGGCAGGCACCTGTAATCCCAGCTACTTGGGAGACTGAGGCACAAGAATCGCCTGAACCCAGGAGGCAGAGGCTGCAGTGAGCTGGAATCACGCCACTGCACTCCAGCCTGGGTGACAGAGTGAGACTCCATATAAAATAAAAATAAAAATAAATTATATAAGCAATAATTCATATATTTTTTAAAAAACCAAAACTCTTCTTGAAAATTCTTATAACTGTTATAGGCTCAAGCACCATTACCTCAGAATATGGACTTCCATGAATCCTGAGAGACTTTCTGCTGAATCTGGGCCTTGCATTCATTTTCCTCTCCAAAGGATTTAAAAATTCTTAAAGCCTTGGCCATTCACTACATTTCTCACCTCACTCCCACCCCCCAGTACCCATTTTTCAGCCTTGCATCAGTTCTCAAACTGTTGCTTCTACCTGATCTAATCTCTCTGAGGGGAGGGCACTTCAACATATTTTAAAAACTTACCCCTTCGTTTATTCTGTTCTCTTCCTCTGTCTTTTCTATTTGTGTTTTGTGCCCCTTACCCTACCCTGATTTCCAGCCTTAATCCCTATACCCTACCAAATGCAGACGGAAAAAACATTTTTTAAAAACTTCTAATTTTGTGTCTTTCATAAAGATTCAGTCAAGAATAAACCACAACAAGCAAGTGTGACAGAAATGTGCAGGAGTCTAATTGTCTAAACTAATTAAAAGAGACCAAAAAATTATATCATGGTTCTTTAGTTGCAGGCAACAGAAGCCAACTCTGGGTAACAAGCAAAAAGGGAAGGAGAAGGATGCAAGGGCTGCTCAGAGAATAGATAATATAATAAATATTAATGACAATAATATGAGACTGAAGACACCACATGGTAAGAAAGAGGTAAAACATCTGTCCTTTCTCAAGAAACCATTTTTTTGTTGTTGTTTGTTTGTTTTTTGTTTTAGAAAAAGGTAAAACAGGTATGAGAGAAAGAGTTTGAAGGACAGCTCATGTCTTATTGAGTGGGAGAAGGTTAGATAGCCAACATTGAGGATGTGGCATTTGAAATACGCCTTAAGACACTGGTAGAATTTCCAAAGGCAAAGGTGTTTCACAAAGAAGAAATAACACAACAAAAGCCTGAAGATGGGAAAGTATAGGATATGCCTACAAGGGCAAGTTGTGGTCATATTAGGAAGACCTTGAATGCCACGCTAAGGAATCTGTATTTAATTTGTAGACACTGAAAGTTGCTTAAAGTGTCTGAATGAGAGAGTTACATGGTTAAAATGTAATTGAATTTTGGAAAACAACGATGGCACCAAATAAGAGAGTGATCCTTTAGTGCCCATGCTAGGGGAACCTGCTTTGGTCTAAATCTTATTCCATCTCCTAAAAACTGATTTATAAGTGGAATGATGCAAAGAAGGGAAATGATTACAGCTGATCCATTTCCCTTGGAAACACTAGCTATCGATTCCTTTATCCCCAGAGCTGTCTGTCTGGTATAATAAATATTAATAACAATAATATGAGACTGAAGATACCACGTGGTTAGGAAAGAGGTAAAACATCTGTCCTTTCTCTTTTTTTTTTTTTCTCAAGAAACCAGTTTAAAAAAAAAAAAAGTAAACAGGTATGAGAGGAAGAGTTTGAAGAACTCATGTCTTATTGAGTAAGAGAAGGTTAGAGTAGCCAACATTGATTCTTGTTCTTCTTGAATCCTGGCTGTTCAGCTTTTCCTCCACTGATTTTTATCAGTGGAAGCCAAAGAACTCTAACTGATGCAAGAGACAGTTGCAATAGCAGGTGCTCACTAGAGGTTTGCTCATCATCCATGTGGTTTATCAGATATGAGCAGATGAGTTTTTAACTCTATCACAGCTCTAAAAGATCTACTGAGAAAAACATCCTTAAAGAAAAGGCAGTCAAAGAAAGTTCTAATGGCAATATTTATTAATATTACTTAAAAGGCCAAACTCTATAGCCGATAAGATAAAGCAAAGGGAAAGTAAAGAAACTTTTGTTGGGATGTTTTAGGCTGATATATTTATATCAGCATACGAATGAGTGATTCAACCTACTAGTTATTGAGGAATATTACAAAGCAAAAGCAGTGTGGTTCTGGTGTAGGAACAGATGAACGGAACAGAGGGAGAGTTCAGAAATAGATCTGTGTGCATATGGGAATTTGATATACAATAAATGTGGTAAAAATGGAAAAGAATGCCTTGTTTAGAATATAGTATTGGGAAAACTGGCTCATCATCTGGAGAAAAAGCTGGACTTTTACGTTACACTATAGAAAGATGGACTCTAAATGAATTAAAGACCTAAATGAGACAGGTGAGTATTCAGAACCAGAAGAAGAAAATAAAGAATTATCTTTGTGGAGTTTATTAAACCATTGAAGTACAAACAATAAGTGGAAAATTGATGACTTAGCTACATTAATGTTACAGCATTTTTTTCAGCAAAGGTTACCAAAAACAAAGTTAATAGACAAGGAGAAGATAGTTGCAGCATCAAAAACAAAGGATAATATTTACATCAGTGCTGTCCACTAGAAATGAAATGTGAGTCACATATGTAATTTAAAATTTTTAGTCACATTAAAAACTAAAACCATTCTGGCCAGG
The DNA here is from genome assembly GCF_000001405.40 of Homo sapiens. NCBI lineage: Eukaryota > Metazoa > Chordata > Mammalia > Primates > Hominidae > Homo > Homo sapiens. The sequence goes on along the minus strand of NC_000004.12, from coordinate 108,606,772 downwards.
CATAGTGGCTCACGCCTGTAATCCCAGCACTTTAGGAGGGTGAGGTGGGTGGATTGCTTGAGCTCAGTTCAATACCAGCCTGGGCAACACGGTGAAACCCTGTCTCTACAAAAAATACAAAAAAAATTAGTCAGGCATGCTGGCTCGCACCTGTAGTCCCAGCTACTTGAGGGTCTGAGGCTGGAGGATCACTTGAGCCCAGGAGGCAGAGATTGAAGTGAGCTGAGATTGCACCACTGTACTCCAGCCTGGGCAACAGAGTGAGAACCTGTCTCAAAAAAAAAAAAAATGTATAAAGTCATTGTTTCTGATTTTTATTATGAAGAGTTTCAATTTCAACATAAATTGTTGTTCCTGTCTGGCTAAATCACTAATAAGCTCTTCCTTTCTTTTGGAGTTTAAAATTTAGCTCTTTCATATGTAGTGTGATATCTGTGAGAAAACATAAATCATATTGTCATTTTGTCTTTGATTATTGAATATTCCTTCCAATTCAGGAACATATTAAATTGGAGTTAAAAGTACTTTCTAAAAATTCTTGGCCGGGCGCAGTGGCTCACGCCTGTAATCCCAGCAATTTGGGAGGCCGAGGCGGGTGGATCACGAGGTCAGGAGATTGAGACCATCCTGGCTAACATGGTGAAACTCCATCTCTACTAAAAAAAAAAAAAAAAAAAAAAAAATTAGCCGGGCTTGGTGGCGGGCACCTGTAGTCCCAGCTACTTGAGAGGCTGAGGCTGGAGAATGGCGTGAACCCAGGAGGCAGAGCTTGTAGTGGGCTGAGATTGTGCCACTGCACTCCAGCCTGGGTGACAGAGCGAGACTCCATCTCAAAAAAAAAATAAAAATAAAATAAAATAAAAATTCTTCCACAACTATTATCAATGAGCACAGGCAGAGAACACAAGATTAAGAAAATCAGTCTTAATTCTATCAGTCTATTTCTTTCAAAAGTTCCATAACTTGGCAATGATTTATAGCATTAGTGTATAGATACTAAATGACATTTATTTATTTATTTAGAGGCAGTCTTGCTGTGTCACCCAGATTGGAGTGAAGTGATGCGATCTCGGCTCACTGAAACCTCTGCCTCCTGGGCTCAAGCGATTCTCCTGCCTTAGCCTCCCGAATAGCTGGGATTACAGGCACCCGCCACCATGCCGAGCTAATTTTTGTATTTTTAGTAGAGACTGGGTTTCACCATGTTGGCCAGGCTGATCTTGAACACCTGACTTCAGGTGATCTGCCTGCCTTGGCCTCCCAAAGTGCTGGGATTACAGGTGTGAGGCACCACGCCTGGCCCTAAATGACTTTAAAGTAATTGTACTCCATAACAGTTTTCATATGGTGTGCTTTAAAAAACTGAGCACAAAGATTTTCAATACATATCATACAGTGGAACAAAGCAATAAATGAAATAGAAATCTCTTGTCTTACCATTCCAACAAATCTGGATTTTTACCTAACATATATGGGCCACCATCTGTCATTATAGGCACAAATTCTTCTTTGATGGTTATAAAAGATGAAAAACTGCTCCAGAAATTTAGGTGTTTTTAATTCAAATTTAATAAAACTTCATAGTTTTGGAAGTCCTTTGAGACACAAATATACCCAAAGTATTAATAGACATTGTCATTTTTTTGAGATAGAGTCTCACTCTGTAGCCCAGGCTGGAGTGCAATGGTACGATCTTGGCTCACTGTAACCTCCACCTCCCAGGTTCAAGTGATTCTCCTGCCTCAGCCTCCCGAGTAGCTGGGTTTCCAGGTGCCTGCCACCACGCCTGGCTAATTTTTTTTTTTTTTAATAGAGGCGGGGTTTCACCATGTTAGCCAGGCTGGTCTTGAACTTGTGACCTAAGGTAATCCACCCGCCTTGGCCTCCCAAAGTGCTGGGAATGCAGATGTGAGCCACCATGCCCGGCTGACATTGTCTCTTATATCACATCATCCATTTTAAAGCTAAAGAAAAGTACTTGTAATTTTTTAAATTGTTAATCAATTGATCTTTGATACTGTATCGTTGGAAAGTTCTTGTAATCTATGGGCCATTTTTTAATGGCTTAGTTGAAGGTCTTTCACTTTTTGTAAAATATCTTCTTTAGTCTTTTTCTCATAATTTTCTAGCAAAATTTCCACAACTGAAATAATTTGTTTTACTATCTGACTTAAAATGACTTTCATTTTTCATCCCTCCCTTTCCCCTCCCTCCCTCCCTCCCTCCCTCCCTTCCTTCCTTCCTTCCTTCCTTCCTTTTCTGTTTCCTTCCTCCCCTCCCTCCTTTCTTTCTGTAAGAATCCAACACATCTTTTAGCTGTCTAAAATTACAAGCTCAGGGGCCAGGTGCGGTGGCTTATGCCTGTAATCCCAGCATTTTGGGAGGCTGAGGTGGGCAAATCAACTGAGGTCAGGAGTTTGAAACCAGCCTGACCAACATGGCAAAATCTCATCTCTACCAAAAAATACAAAAAAATTAACCAGGCCTGGTGGCGTGCACCTGTAGTCCCAGCTACTTGGGAGGCTGAGGAATGAGAATCGCTTGAACCTGGGAGGCAGAGGTTGCAGTGAGCCAAGATCGTGCCACTGCACTCCAGCCTGGGCAACACAGCAAGACTCTGTCTTAAAAACATAAATAAAATAAAATTATAATCTCAGATCCTGTTAAGAAGCATTAAGGATTTTTTGGTCGTATATTCAACTCCTATTTTGAACTACAATTTTGATTTCTTTTTTGACTTCCAAGGGGAAATGTCTTACCAAATTCATTATGTATTTACTTAAAATGTCTCTTAATATTGTCTAATTTATTGCTTAAAATATTTTTTACACACAAATAGCTTTTTTCATTTTGCTGTGTTACAGCAAATTGCAATTTCCATTCATCGTAGAATTTGTGACATGCTTTCTTTCAGTCCTTTTCTTTTTTTTTTTTTCTTTTTTGAGACGGAGTCTTGCTCTGTCCCCCAGGCTGGAGTGTAGTGGTGCGATCTTGGCTCACTGCAAGCTCTGCCTCCCGGGTTCACGCCATTCTCCTGCCTCAGCCTCCCGAGTAGCTGGGACTACAGGCGCCCGCCACCACACCTGGGTAATTTTTTGTATTTTTAGTAGAGACGGGGTTTCACTGTGTTAGCCAGGATGGTCTCGATCTCCTGACCTCATGATCCACCCGTCTCGGCCTCCCAAAGTGCTGGGATTACAGGCGTGAGCCACTGCGCCCGGCATTTTTTTTTTTTTTTTTGAGACGGAGTCTTGCTCTGTCCCCCAGGCTGGGGTGCAATGGCACGATCTTGGCTCACTGCAACCTCTGCCTCCTGGGTTCAAGCGATTCTCCTGCCTCAGCCTCCTGAGTAGCTGAGATTACAGGCACCCGCTACCATGCCCGGTTAATTTTTGTGTTTTTAGTAGAGATGGGGTTTCACCATATTGGTCAGGCAGCTCTCGAACTCCTGACCTCAGGTGATCTGCCCGCCTCGGCCTCCCAAAGTGCTAAGATTACAGGCGTGAGCCACTGCACCCGGCCAGTCCTTTTCTTTTAATAGCCCAGTTGTAGTACTAGTTTCTGTATCTCCACTTTATTCTGCATTAGTGGTATGCATTCATTTTATATTTAAATTTGGTTCATTTTTAAGCTACACAGGAAGGGGAACATCACACTCTGGGGACTGTTGTGAGGTGGGGGGAGGGGGGAGGGTTAGCACGAGATATACCTAATGCTAAATGACGAGTTAATGGGTGCAGCACACCAGCATGGCACATGTATACATATGTAACTAACCCGCACATTGTGCACATGTACCCTGAAACTTAAAGTATAATAATAGTAATAATAATAATAATAAAAACAAAGAAAAAAATTAAAAAAATAAAATAAAAATGATTTTATTATGGTTACAATACTGGGTATTTAAATTTAATTTCTTCTCAGACGAAGGAAACTAAGAGAATTACCAGTTGACCTACCTTTAAAGAATGACTAAGGATATTCTTCAAAGGAAATGATAGCAGCAGGCATAGAACTTTAGAAAGAAAGAAAGAACAACGGAATGAGAAAAAATAGGGTAACTATAATAGAATATTTTTTATCTCTTATGTTTTAAAAATTATGTTTAATGGTTTAAATTTGTTTCCTATTGCAGCTCTAACAAGTCACTGCAAACACAAGGGCTTAAACAATACAAATGTATTATCTGATAGTTCTAGAGAGCAGAAGCACAAAATGAGTCTCACTAGGCTAAAATCAAGGTGTCAGCAGGGCTGCATTCCTTCTGGAGACTAGGGGAGACTGCATTTCCTTGTCTCTCCCATTTTCTAGAGGACAGCTGCTTTTGTTGGCTCATGGCACCTTTTTTCCACGTTCAAAGACAGCAGTGTTGGTTGAGTCCGTCTCACACTCACACTGCTACCTCTCTGGTTTTCTTTTTTGTCTCTCTCTCCCACACTTATGTCTGTCTGTCTGTCTGTCTGTCTGTCCGTCTGTACATTTGTGTGAGATGGGGTCTTGCTATATTGCCCAGAGTGGCCTGGAACTCCTTGGCTCAAGCAATCCTCTCACCTCATCCTCCCCAGTAGCTGGGACTCTGGGCATAGAACTGACTGCTCTTCCACTTTTATGAATCCTTACGACTATATTGGGCTCCCCTTGATAGTATAGAATAATCTCTCTTTTTAAAGTCAGCTGATTAGCAGCCTTAATTCCATCTGCTCCCTTACTTCTCCTTTGCCACATAACCTATTAACTGTTTTGGGTTATTAGGATGTGGACATCTTTGAGAGTGGGCATTATTCTGCCCATCACAGGATTAAAAAATTATAATACCAATTGGATGTGATATTCAATGTATGTGGAGGAAATACTTAAGACATTATGTTTAAGAGGTGGGGAGGGATAAATTGCTAGGGAATTATGCTGAATTAAAAAAAAGCCACCTATAGGTTGTATACTGTGTGATTTCATCTTTCTAACATTTTGAAATGACGAAATTTTAGAAATGGATATATATTGCCAGGATAAATGGTTGCCAGAGGGTGGGGGCAGGGGAAGGTAGGAGGATGTGGTTATGAGAGCAACACAGAGGATCTTTGTGTTTTGGAACAGTTGAATATCTTGATTGTAGTAGTGGGTACATGACCTACATAGGTGATAACATTGTATAAAACAATATATAAACACATAATAAAAATAAAGACAAAAACAGAAAACAATATATAAACACACACACACACACAAATGAATACCAGTAAAATTAGAACATCTGAATATAATCAGTAGATTGCATCAATTTCAATATCCTGCCTTTTTATGATTATTTGATAATTTCTGAAGGGATGAGAAGTAATGGATTTAATTTGTACATTATTCCAAGTTTCTCTGCAGAATGCAGGATATTTTAGGATATTAGTCATCTTGTTAGTCTAGAATCTTAAAAAGTGGTTGGCAGAGGTGGGAGGGAGGTGGATGTGGGTGTAAAAGGCATCAGGTGGGCTCCCTGTCGTGTTGGAACTGTTTAGCATCTTGACTGTGGCAGTAGATACACAAACCTGCACAGAAGATAAAAATATATGGAACTTGGCCGGGTGTGGTGGCTCATGCTTGTAATCCCAGGACTTTGAGAGGCCAAGGTGGGTGGATCACCTGAGGTCAGGAGATCGAGAACAGCCTGGCCAACATGGTGAAACCTGTCTCTACTAAAAATACAAAAATTAGCCGGGTGTGGTGGTGGGAGCCTGTAATCCCAGCTGCTTGAGAGGCTGAGGCAGGGGAATGGCTTGAACCCGGGAGGCAGAGGTTGTAGTGACCCGAGATTGTGCCACAGCACTCCAGCCTGGGCAACAGAGGGAGACTCTATCTCAAAAAAAAAAAAAATATATATATATATATATACACACACACACACACACACACACGTATATATACACATATACATATATATAATATATATATGGAACTTAATACATCACACACATGCAAATGATTCCAATGGGAAATCTGAATATGATCTGTGGATTGTATCAATGTCAGTATCCTAGTTATACTGTTATGATACAGTTTTTTAAAGTTTTACCATTGAGGAAAACTGGAATCAGCATATAAGGAATCTATCTCTGTTATTTCTTACAACTGCATGTGAATCTACAATTAGCAGAACAAACATTTCAATTTAAAAAAGTGAAAGAGTGAAAGGACCTAATGGAAGTAAGGTTTCTACACTCAAAGTGGTAAAATGTCAACGCTGTTAGACTGTGATAAATTATGCAAGTATATTGTAATACCTAGGGAAACCATTAAGAAAACTATTCAAAGAAATATACTCAAAAAACTATAAAGTCAAAATGTAATTCTAAAACATTTTCAAGTGACCCACAGAAAGGTGAGAAAGGGGAAACAGAGGAATGAAAAACAGAGGGAACAAACAGTAAACAATTAATAAAATAGCCAACTTAAGCCCAGCACACCAATCATTACTTTCAATATAACTAATCTAAATACGCCAATTAAAAGGCAGAGATTGGCAGGATGGATAAGTTTAATTATGAAGGATGGTTTAAGTAGGTATCACTATAACTCTTGTTGTTTGCACAAAATATTCAAATAAACACATTGCAGTGTTACATAGTTCACAGAAAAAAATCATTCAAACCAAATCAGTCCATTGGTACTGGCTACATTGGTGATGTTTTTATGTATAATACATAAGAAATAATACATAAGAATATGTTATGTATAATACATAAGAATATTATGTATAACACATAAGAAATAATGTATGTATAATATATATAATGTATAAGAAAAATGTGTACTATAATAAAACAATAACAATATCTTAACATAAGTTAAAGTAAAACGTACATTTACCAAAATGCTGCTTCAGTTTTAAATTTAAATTAAATGGAGTGAAATGAAATGAAAAATTCATTTCTAGCTGCATTTCAAGTGCTCAATTGTCACAGACCCAGCGTAGACATAGAAATCCTATATAGCAAAAACAACCCAAAATTTAAAAAAAATAAAAATGTGTAAAGCATATTAATAGGTAATTCAGTGACAAAGACATTCACTAGTAATCTGAAAGTTAATTAAAATTCTACATGGGTTCTGAGAGCTTTTACCCTTAAGTAATACATATCAGTTAAATTCACATTTCCTCCACCAAAGTAGTCTCTTCGTCACACTTATCATCAAGGGGAAAATAAGTAGCTAGGAAGTGCAGTCCTACTCTGTGCTGAGTAAAAGGTCTGGAAATATTTGCAGAATAGCATTATTATCTACATAAGCCACATATGAATTTTTTTTTAAATATTTGTGAAGTGGAGAATTGAAAGCAATCTAGCTGTCTCTCACCAGGTGGATGGCACTTTTTTTTTTTTTTTGAGATGGAGTTTTGCTTTTATTGCCCAGGCTGCAGCGCAATGGTGCAATCTCAGCTAGCTCACTGCAACCTCTACCTCCCGGGTTCCAGCGATTCTCCTGCCTCAGCCTCCTGAGTAGCTGGGATTACAGGCATGCACCACCACACCTGGCTAATTTTGTATTTTTAGTGGAGACAGGATTTATCCATGTTGGTCAGGCTGGTCTTGAACTCCTGAACTCAGGTGATCCGCCCGCCTCGTCCTTCCAAAGTGCTGGGATTGCAGGCATTAGCCACTGTGCCTGGCCGGCACTTTTAATTTATGTTAATTATTGCTACCATTCATTGAGAGTTTAATTTGTGACTCACTGTCCTAAGATTTTACATTTAATTTTTTTTATTTTTTGAGATGGAGATTCACTCTGGTTGCCCAGGCTGGAGTGCAGTGGTGCAATCTCGGCTCACTGCAACCTCCGCCTCCCAGTTTCAAGCCTCGGCCTCCCAAAGTGCCGGGATTACAGGCGTGAGCCACCGCACCTGGCCAAGATTTTGCATTTATTAATCGTATTTAACCACCCTATACATCCATGAGGTGGATATACTGATAATTTTCCTTGTATTACATTAGGAGTAACTTGCCCAGGATCACCCCTCTGTTAAGTGGCAGAGCTGGAACTTGAACTCACTATTTTCTGACTTTATAACCCATGCCCTTTTATCCTTTAGGCTGTACTGCCTCTTTTGATCAATTTGCCCCATTCATGGTTATGCATGCTGATGGAGACTGCTTTTGAAGCTTCTTTATTGAAGGAGCGGGAGAAGAGTAAGAAAGTTGGAGCAGACTAAGAAGACAGGAAAGAAAGAAAAGCAAAAGTAAGATAGAGGTCAGTGAGAAATGAGTGACAAAATGGGTGTTGGTTACCTCACAGGTTTTTTAAATTTCACAAGGCCCTACTCTGTCTTTGTCATTCTGTCCTCCAGATTTCTTGCTGGTGGCTCTCCTTGTCTGAACACAACCACAGGGCACGTGAATCTGTAATACAATCCATAATGGTCAACTTCCCATGACACAGATTAGAGTGCAGAAAAACCTCCAGCATACCATGTTTTCTTCTTTTTTAATTCTTTTTTTCCATTCATTTTGGTGGGAGCATATCCTTAATAGCTTCTTGAGAAAGAGTACATGGGAATTAAGTTTTTGAGACCTTGATTGTCTGAAAATGTTTTTGTTGTTGTTGTTTTAAGACAGAGCCAAGGGCTGGGTGCAGTGGCTCGTGCCTTTAGTCCCATCACTTTGGGAGGCTGAGGTGGGCGGATCACCTGAGATCAGGAGTTTGAGACCAGCTTGATCAACATGGAGAAACCCCATCTCTACTAAAAAAATACAAAATTAGTGGAGCATGGTGGTGCATGCCTCTAATCCCAGCTACTTGGGAGGCTGAGGCAGGAAAATTGTTTGGACCTGGGAGGCGGAGGTTGTGGTTAGCCGAGATTGCGCCATTGCACTCCAGCATGGGCAACAAGAGTGAAACTCTGTCTCAAAAAAAAAAAAAAAACAACCCAAGCCAATCTGGGTGCAGTGGCTCACGTCTGTAATCCCAGCATTTTGGGAGGCCGAGGTGGGTGGATCACTTGAGGTCAGGAGTTCGAGACCAGCCTGGCCAGCATGGTGAAACCCTGTCTCTAGTAAAATACAAAAATTAGCTGAACGTGGTGGCGCGCCCTGTAATCCCCACCTACTCAGGAGGCTGAGGTGAGAGAATCACTTGAACCTGGGAGGCAGAGGTTGCAGTGAGCCTAGATCACACTACTGCACTCCAGCCTAGGCGACAGAGTGAGACTGAGCCAGACGCCTTGGCTCACGCCTGTAATCCCAGCACTTTGGGAGGCCGAGGCGGGTGGATCACCTGAGGTCAGGTGTTCAAGACTAGCATGGCCAACATGGTGAAACACCGTCTCTACTAAAAATACAAATTTTAGCTGGGCATGGTGTGGCATGCACCTGTAATCCCAGCTACTCAGGAGGCTGAGGCGATAGAATCGCTCAAATCTGGAAGATGGAGGTTGCAATGAGCTGAGATCCGGCCACTGCACTCCAGCCTGGGCGACAGAGCGAGACTCCAACTCAAAAAACAAACAAACAACAACAACAAAAAAAAAAACAAGACAGAGTCTCCCTCTGTCGCCCAGGCTGGAGTACAGTGGCACGATCTTGGCTCACTGCAACCTCTGCCCTCCAGGTTCCAGCGATTCTCCCGCCTCAGCCTCCCGAGTAGCTGGGATTACAAGTGCGTGCCACCACGCCCATCTAATTTTTGTATTTTTAGTAGAGATGGGTTTTCACCCTGTTTTGGCCAGGCTGGTCTTGAACTCCTGGCCTCAGGTGATCCTCCCACTTCGGCCTCCCAAAGTGCTGGGATTATAGGTGTGAGCCATGGTGGATGGCCTGAAAATGTTTTTCTTCTTCTCTCCTGTGTATTTGATGGTTTGGCTGAATCTAGAATTGCAGTAGGAATGCTTTAACTCAAGAATTTTTGTTGTTTTTGTAAAGACAGTGTATAATTGCCAAACAGATTATTCCTGTCCACTGCACAGACAAAATCAATTCACTGAGATCACAGCATTGCAGTATAATTTAATTGACATGAGGCTGGCCCATGCAGGAGAAATAGAGTGATCATTCAAATCAGCTACCCTGAAGGCTTGAAGGCTATGGTTTTTATGGTCAATTTGGTGGGTAGGGGTCTAGGGAATGGGTGCTGCTGATTTGTTGGGGATGAAATCACAGGAGTGTGGAGAATGGTCCTTGTGTGCTGAGTCAGCTTCTGGGTGAGAATATCAGGATTAGTTGAGTCCTGAGTCATGAGCGTGGGTGGGATCAGTCTGAAAACTATTGCAAAAAATAATATAATAATTTTAGGTTTTACAATAGTGATGTTATCTGGAAGAGCAATTGGAGAAGTCACAAATCTTGTGACCTCTGGGCACATGATCCCTGAGCAGTAAGGGATTATGGAAACTACTCCTATATTTTAGTAGAGTTCAGGTCCCTCCCATAAGCCTAATCTTGTGGTTTTACAAAGGCGGTTTTCAGTCCCTGAGCAAGGAAAGGCTTAGTTTTTATTTATCTATTTAGAGACGGAGTTTCGCTCTTGTTGCCCAGGCTAGAGTGCAATGGCGACATCTCGGCTCACTGCAACCTCTGCCTCCTTGTTCAAGCAATTCTCTTGCCTCAGCCTCACGAGTAGCTAGGATTACAGGCATCCACCGTTACCCCTGGCTATTTTTTTGTATTTTTAGTAGAGATGGGGTTTCACCATGTTGGTCAGGCTAGTCTCGAACTCTTCACCTCAGGTGATCCACCCACCTCGACTTCCCCAAATGTTGGGATTACAGGCATGAGCCACCACACCCGGCTGGAAGGGCTTAGTTTTAGGGAGGGACTATTATCATCCTTGTTTTAAAGTTAAAATACAAACTAAATTTCTCCCAAAGTTAGCTTGGACTACACCCGGGAATGACCAAGGACAGTTTGAAGGTTAGAAGCAAAATGGAGTCAACTGAGGTGGATTTCTATTACTGTTATAATTTAGCAAAGACATTTTCAGGGTCTTGCTCTATTGCCCAGGCTGAAATACAATGGCATGATGATAGCTCACTGCACCCTTAAACTCTTGGGCTCAAGTGATCTTCCCATATTTGTGTTTCAAAGTGCTGGGATTACAGGTGTGAGCCACTGTGCCTGGACTCTGAAAAATTTTGAAGGTCGGCTGGGCATGGTGGCTGACACCTGTAATCCCAGCATTTTGGGAGGCCAAGGCTGGTGGATCACGAGGTCAGGAGATCAAGACCATCCTGGCCAACATGGTGAAACCCTGTCTCTACTAAAAATACAAAAATTAGCTGGGCGTGGAGATGGGCATCTGTAATCCCAGCTACTCGAGAGGCTGAGGCAGGAGAAACGCTTGAACCTGGGAGGTGGAGATTGCATTGAGCCAAGATCACGCCATTGCACTCCAGCCTGGGCAACAGAGTGAGACTCCATCTCAAAAAAAAAAATTTTTTTTGAAGGTCTTTCTCTTGTCTTATTGTAGCTGAGAAGTGTGAAGGCATTCTGATTCCTAGTCCTTTCTAAGTAGTCTATTTTTCTCTCTGCAAGTTTATAGGATCTCTGTCCCCAGTGTTCTGAAACTTCACAGTGATGTTGCTCAATGTAGCTCTACTAGAATCTATTTTGCAGGAGCACTTGGTGGGCCCTTTTCATCTAGCAATTCATGTCTTCAGTTGTGAAAAATTTTTGTTAAATTATTTTACTAATGATTTTTCTGCTTCATTTTCTCCTTGCTCTCTTCCTGGAACCCTTATTACTCATATGTGAGACCTTCAGGTGTGCTCCCTTTATTTTTCTTATATCTTCTCTTCTATTTTCCGTCTGTCTTTTTGCTGTTTTCTTAACACTTTCTTGAACTTTATCTTCAACTCTTCTGTTGAATTTTTCATTTCAGCTATTAGCTGCTCTTTTAATTCTCTGAATTTTCTTTTGACATAGCATCATTTTCTATTTTCACAAAGGAAATATTTTCTCTCAGAATTTTTTTTTTTTTTTTTAGACAGAGTCTCGCTCCATCACCCAGGCTGGAGTGCAGTGTCAAGATCTCGGCTCACTGCAACCTCTGCCACCTGGATTCAAGCGATTCTCCTGCCTCAGCCTCCCGAGTAGCTGGGACTACAGGCATATGCCACCACGACCCGGTAATTTTTTCTATTTTTAGTAGAGATGGGGTTTCACTATGTTGGCCAGGCTGATCTTGAGCTCCGGACCTCAGGTGATCTGTGATTGGACTCCAGTGAAGACTCCAAGATGGCGATCGCCACCTCGGATACCCTGATTCAGCATTTCCGGGTTCACCTTTCCTGTTCCCGCCACCCTGACTAACGCGCATGCCCACTAGGGCGTGTCACACTCAGAAGCGCGAAACTCAACCGACCCCGCCCCTACCCCGCCCACTCTTCACCCAGCATCCATAAAAGCGCGCTGCACCTTTGGCACAGTGCGACTTCCCTGGCCCTCCCCCTGCGGACCAGTGAACCTCGCCTGAGAGCTCAAGAAAGAAGATTTTTGCCCTCTTAGTCTCGCCTCTCCGCCTTATTGTTCCACGGTGCCCTTCCATTGCCTTTCAATCTGCCCACCTTGGCCTCCCAAAGCGCTAGAATTACAGGCGGGAGCCACTGCACCCAGTCTCTCTGAGGTTATTAAGAATAGCTTTGTTTGGGCTGGGTGCAGTGGCTCACACCTGTAATCCCAGCACTTTGGGAGGCTGAGGCAGGTGGATCACCTGAAGTCAGGAGTTCAAGATCAGCCTGGCCAACATGGTGAAACCCTGTCTCTACCAAAAATACAAAATTAGCTGGGTATGGTGGCGCATGCCTGTAATCCCAGCTACTTGGGAGGTTAAGGCAGGAAAATTGCTTGAACCCGGGAGGCGGAAGTTGTGGTGAGCCGAGATTGTGCCATTGCACTCCAGCCTGGGCAACAAGAGTGAAACTCCGTCTCGAAAAAAAAAAAGAATAGCTTTGTTTGGCCAGGCACGGTGGCCCACTTTGGGAGCCGAGGTGCGTGGATTGCTTGAGCTCAGGAGTTCGACAGCAGCCTCGGCAACATGATGAGACCCTGTCTCCTCTAAAAATACAAAAGTTGGAGGTCGGGGGAAAGGGGACAGAGAGCATTAAGACAAATACCTAATGCATGCAGGGCTTAAAACCTAGATTACAGGTTGATAGGTGCAGGAAACCACCATGGCACATGTATACCTATGTAACAAGCCTGCACATTCAGCACATGTATCCCAGAACTTAAAGTAAAATTAAAAAAAAAAAAAAATACAAAAATTAGCTGGTGGCCGGGCACAGTGGCTCACGCCTGTAATCCCAGCACTTTGGGAGGCCGAGGTGGGCAGATCACTTGACGTCAGGAGTTCAAGACCAACTTGGCCAACATGGTGAAACCCCGTCTCTACTAAAAAAATATAAAAATTAGCTGGATGTGGTTGCATGCGCCTGTAATCCCACTTACTTGAGAGGGTGAGGCAGGAGAATTGCTTGAGCCTGGGAGGCGGAGGTTGCAGTGAGCTGCGGTCACGCCACTACACTCCAGCCTGGGCGGCAGAGCTAGACTCTACCTCAAATAAATAAATATATAAATTAATTAAATTAAATAAAAAAAAATTAGCTGGTCATATTGGTGCATGCCTGTGGTCCTGGCTAATCAGGAGGATTAGTTGGGAGAATTGCTTGAGCCCAGGAGATCGAAGCTACAGTGAGCCAAGATAGAGCCACTAAACTCCAGCCTGGGCAACAGAATGAGACCCTGTCTCAAAAAAAAAAAAAAAAAAAAAAAGAATAGCTTTGTTGGAGTTTCCCCCCGCCCCACCCCCCACCGTATAGTCTCTATTTCCTTCAAGTTGCTTTCTTTTGTTTATTGGTTTGGTCTTTATCTTCCATATCTTGTCATCCTTCCTTTATAATTAAGAACAAGGGATTTAAATCATAATTGGTTGCTCTGGGTGCTTCTGTGGAGCTTGTTTACTTTGGATGTCACTGTCAAGTGGTCTGGATAGGCTCTTTGTACTTCCAATGTCAATATTTAAAAAATCTTTCCTCCTGGCAGGGCATGGTGGCTCATGCGTGTAATCCCAGCACTTTGGGAGGCCCAGGTGGGCAGATCACTTGAGGCCAGGAGTTCAAGACCAGCCTGGCCAACATGATGAAACCCCATCTCTACTAAAAATACAAAAATTAGCTGGGTGTCGTGGTACATGCCTGTAATCCCAGCTATTTGGGAGGCTGAGGCAGAGAATTGCTTGAACCTGGGAGCCAGAGGCTTCAGTGAGCGGAGATCGCGCCACTGCACTCCAGCCTGGGCAACAGAGCAAGACTCCATCTCAAAAAAAAAAAAAAAAAAAACCCAAAAAACAAAAAACTTTCCTCCTATGTTGAGATTTTTAGCAGAAAACATTCTTCCGATCTCCTTACTAAAGGGAAATGACCAGGCTTCTGGCATTCTGGAAGCCAAGTGGAGGAAGTGATGAAAGGTTTTAGCATTCCATATGCATTCAGTCATGCAATCTGTCTGTGTTTGGTATGATGATAGATCTTTAATTGTATCTCGTGTCCTGCATTTCAAAGGCCTTCTGCTGCGCTTACTCCTCAGAATAAATCAGGTGAGGAAAGGGCAATGTGAGTTAAGGTATAGAGATTTAACCCAATGGAACAGCTTTCATTCAATCCTCATTTTACCCTCTTCATTATTTTGGCCTCCCCTCTACACCAGTGGTAGGGGTATATGGCACTGCCAGTTGTCAGTCTGCTTTTCAGATTCCAAAATTTTCCTGCCCTTGTATTCTCTTGTGCTTGCTTGCTTGCTTTTCTCTTCCTTCCTTCCTTCCTTCCTTCCTTCCTTCCTTCCTTTCTTTTTCTTTCTTTCTTTCTTTCTTTCTTTCTTTCTTTCTTTCTTTCTTTCTTTCTTTTTCTTTCTTTCTCTTTCTTTCTTTCCTTCTCTCTCTCTCTTTCTTTCTTTCTCTTTCTTTCTTTCTTTCTTTCTTTCTTTCTTTCCTTCTCTCTCTTTTCTTTCTTTCTTTCCTTCTCTCTCTCTCTTTTTCTTTCTTTCTTTCTTCCTTCCTTCCTTCTTTCCTCCCTCCCTCTCTCTCTTTCTTTCTTTCTCTCTCTTTCTCTCTTTCTTTCTTTCTTCTTCTTTTTTTTTTTTTCCAGAGTCTCACTCTGTCACCTAGGCTGGAGTGCAGTGGTGTGATCTTAACTCACTGCAACCTCCGCCTTCCAGGTTCAAGTGATTCTCCTGCCTCAGCCTCCCAAGCAGCTGGGATTACAGGCGCCCACCACCATGCCTGGCTAATTTATGTATTTTTAGTAGAAACGGGGTTTCACCATGTTGGCCAGCACCTGATCTCAAGTGATCTGCCCTCCTCAGCCTCCCGAAGTGCTGGGATTAGAGGCGTGAGCCACCGTGCCCGGCCTTTTTTTTTTTTTTTCCAGTTTTTTCTTTGTTTTTTAGTTTCTCCTTTTTTTTGTTTTTGTGTTTTTTTCATGTGAGTTGTACCTTTTCAAGAAAATCACTTTACTCAAGTTTTATGGAATTTTGTAGAGCAGCAAAATTAGATGTGTGGTTTAGTCTACCATCTTAACCCAGAAAACCATTTAGATCTACTTTTGCTCCTTTTTTAAAAATGAATGAAGTAGAAGTTTCAGGATACTGAGATAAAGACCAAAGCGTTCTTCTGTCTCCTTTATTTTCTCTCCATGACAATGTGAAACCATATTTAGATCAAACAAGTGTTCATTTAAGCCCTGTGCTTTTGAGAAAAATAGTTTTGAAAGTTTGAGCAATCTGAGCAAACTTGGCCCTTGGA
The DNA here is from genome assembly GCF_000001405.40 of Homo sapiens. Taxonomy (NCBI): domain Eukaryota; kingdom Metazoa; phylum Chordata; class Mammalia; order Primates; family Hominidae; genus Homo; species Homo sapiens. The sequence continues at coordinate 108,590,998 of NC_000004.12, read as the reverse complement.
GCTGACCCAAAGGAGTTTTCTACAAACCATGACCAAACTTTGTGGACACAGAGGCTGGTTGCTTAAAGAACAGACCTCTCCTAGGTCAGAAATGATAGGTTCCACTGAGAGCAAATTCAAACAACACTGTTTCATTTGAAGGAATTTCAATATCTAGGTTTTTCTCTAATAAATACATTAAACAACAAGCTTAATTTTTCTTGTGTTACTTATTACACAATTACAGATGTTACTTACTGAAATATGGATAAATTGTCTTTTAGGAAATGTTGACTGAGGACTAAGTATGAAGTACAATAAATAGAAAGTCAGAAAATACTAATCCCATTCATTTCCTATTTAAAAATGAGAAAAATGAATTATTAATTGTATTGTAAGAGTTATGGATACTTCAGGACTATAAACTGGGAATTTTGCCAAGTGTTGCTCAGACCAACCTTGATTAACATTCATTCACCATTCATTCATTTATTCATTCATTCACTCAAACATGTTTCTTGATCCCCCATATATGCAAGGCTCTGAACTAGTTACTGGACCTCTACCCGTGAACAAGGCAGACCCTGCCTTCTTGGAACTTGTGCTCTGGCAGAACGGACAAGCATGAAACAAGTAATTGCAACATGATTTACTGTGGTAAGAATATAAGAGAGGAGTGCTTGCCTTAATCTCAGGTGTAATGTTTGAGTTGAGATCTGAGAGAGGAGTAGATGTTAATTAGGCAAAGAGCAGGCATAGAATAGGGGGCCTGGAAATCTACCAGATCTAAGTCACAGAACAGTCAGTGTAAATACCCAGAGACATTCCTTGAGACACAGAGGGGCACAGACACAGCAAGAGAACTGGGCAGGAGGCAAAGTCCACATCATGATTAGCTGTAATGCTTCCTCAGGAAGACAAGAACTCCTCACAGCAGAAACACAGGGCAGAGAAATTTTTCTGCCCAACAGTTTGAACGGTCACCCTGCTTCAACATGACAAAACAAGCCAACGAAAATATTTTACTCAGGACAAGTTTTCAAAAAGCATAAATGCATTTTTTAATGGTTTAGACTTTTATTTGAATACAAAATGAAGTCTCTTACTGGTGAATAAGAACAGCATCTATTAAGAGTACCCAAATACCATCTATTATGTTATTTGCTAATGTATTTATACCACTCCCGCAAGCTGGTGTTTCTGTTTTGTTTTGTTTTAATCACAATTCAGTGTTAAAAAGATAAAGCTTTTTAAACATTCACTGTTGCTCAAAAGCTGAGTGCATGTGCTGTCTCAGATCATGAGGTTAGTGGTGCTTATTTCAATATTAAATAAAAGGATTCATTTTCATTGAAGCAAGCAGGGAATTAAGCTTACAACTTCAATTACCAATAATTAATTCTCCACACTGCAAGCCATGCAGTTTGCGTTTAAACTCCCAATGCCCCAAGGATAACAAAAATCTATTTTGATCACTTTTTATTTTCATCATTTAAAGAGTACATCTTATTTTAATTAGGCACATACATTTCCAGATTATAAGAGAGAACAAATATCCCTTCTAAAAAAAAAAACAGGGAATTGTGGGGAGTGGGGGACAGAGGACTTTTAAGCATGACAAAGAAATTTCTGAGATATTTTCTTTCTCTTGCTTTTATTGAAAGAGCACCTAATATTGTCGAGAATTAGCTACCTCATATCCATGAAGCTATTATTTACAGGCAGATGAATAATTTCTCTAAATTCATTTTTCCTTATGCATTAAGCTATTCTTTGCTGGCTTTTCATTATTTAAGAGAAAGAAAGCAATTGAGCACATGATTTTAAATGAGGCAAAATTAAGTCCTGCTCCAAAGCCAACCCCACCAACTCTGGAAGCAGGCATAAGGATGAGAAGGACTCTTCAGAGAGGGAGGCTTGACCTAGTGGTGGGTAAGGGAGACTGAGCTCATCAGGATCTTCCTTATTCTTTTGACAAATTCTGAGCAACAGAAAGGAACCGCCAGGGTGTCACCAAAGCAAAGACACAATCAGAGCTGGAGTTCTTAGAGATAAAAAGTGATGCTTGGAATTAGGTTTCATCAGAAAGAGGCAGACCTGTGTGGCATCCAGAAAATAAGTTCTAAGAAGACTCTTCTTTCAAGTTTTAAAGACATTAGGTTTCTTCCAGCCTGTAAGTGCTAACTTTGCCCCAAATAAATCTCATAATTCATAATACAATTGACCATGTTACAGTAAAATCTCATTTAAGTGGAACTTAATTAAATGAAACCATAAATTAACTAGAATTAGCTTCTATACTTGGCTTTCAGGAAAAATAGGGGAATCATAAAAAAAATGCAGTATAAGTCATTTAATAAAAAGTAATAGTTACAAAGGCAAGTTCTAAGGTCAGTGCACCTTCATCCCAGTCTTCAACCCACAGCTGAACAATGTCCAAACATATCCAGAATCTTGATCTTAGTACCCTACAAGATCTTTAATATAGGCAATAATATACTTTCTTTGTTTGTTTGTTTTTGATGTTTTTTTGAGATGGAGTCTCCCTCTGTTCCCCAGGCTGGAATGCAGTGGTGCGATCTCAGCTAACTGGAGCCTCTGCCTTTTGGGTTCAAGCGATTCTTGTGCCTCAGCCTCCTGAGAGCTGGGATTACAGGCCTGTGCCCTGGCTAATTTTTGTATTTTTAGTAGAAACGGGGTTTCACCATATTGGCCAGGCTGGTCTCAAACTCCTAGCTTCACGTGAGCCACCCGCTTCAGCCTCCCAAAAGTGCTGGAATTACAAGCGTGATGCACCATGCCCAGCCGATATAGTTTTAAAGATTCTATTAAAAAGATTTGAGGGCTGGGTGTGGTGGCTCATGCCTGTAATCCCAGCACTTTGGGAGGCCGAAGTGGGTGGATCACTTGAGGCCAGGAGCTCAAGACTAGCCTGGCCAACATGGTGAAACCCCATCTCTACTAAAAATACAAAATTAGCCAGTCGTGGTGGCAGGCACCTGTAATCCCAGCTGCTCGGGAGGCTGAGACAGGAGAATCACTTGAACCGGGGAGGCAGAGGTTGCAGTGAGCCAAGATCGCGCCACTGCACTCCAGTCTGGATGACAGAACAAGACTGTCTCAAAAAAAAAAAAAAAAAAAAAAGGATACAGGCAGAAAGTATCTTCTGGCTAAGTGAATCTTAATGATTACAAATTTTAATAGCTGTTTAACCTGTTATTCAAGCATTCTGATTAATTAACTTTTTCCAACATTACTCAAAAACTTATACATTAAAAGAGAGCCGCCTGCCTAATGAAATTCAACCAAAAGTTTCCAAATGCAAAGAGAAAAGGGAAGCCTTTGCTGATATTAGTATACAAAACAGAAACAAAAACAGATTTTATGTCCTGAAGGCCAAGAGCCACATCTACTAAAATCATTTGTTTAAGGAGCCCGGCCACTGGCTCTGCGTCTGTATGCTTGATGCATTGTTGTCAGCACAAGCAAATATTTCCACCCCAGGAAATCAAATTTAAATAGTATAGTAAGCAATGTCTTTTCACAAGACAGACTTTAAAGAAATCATTTCTTTTTTTAATGGAGAGTTTTTGTTTACAAATCACTCTGACAGAAAAATCAGGAGATTTATTTTGCTGGGGAATTAAAAGTGACAATATGACATTCATTTCTTGGTTTCTGTCTTTAAATCTTTCAAGATCATGCCTTCAGCAACAAAAGTAAGTAAGTCCTGCATTTAGACACTTTATTACTCCTGTCCCATCCCATCTATAAGACACATCCTCTCTTGTCATTGAAGGCTTTGGCTCCTGTCAATGGTCTACTGAAGTTTTTAGCACAGACAAGCAAATTCTACTCAGGAACTTTATTGTGGTACCATACAAATGTTTCCAAGCACAATGGGTGTTATTAGCCCAAAATATCCCTGATGGACCACTCAGCTCTAAGATCCAGCCCCTTGTCATAGATAGCCAAGGGGGACAAAGAGAATAGAGAAGCCTCAAATTGGCTTGGAAAGATAGGCCAACCACAGGAGGTCTGGGACAAGAAGCCACTGAATGCCTGACGGGTTTCCCATGACATAGCTGTTCCTGCCTGGGAAGAGGGCAGGGAACACTGGTACCCACTTTATAAGATTCTGTAAATGACAAACTCCTGAAGGCAATAGCCTACCACCAGCTAAAAACATCTGTGGGAACTGAAAACGGGCTAGATTGGAATGCCACTGAGATCTGCGTTGCTTTCTGTTTGGAACCGGAGGCTGTCCCCAGGGTTTGATAGTCAGCCAAAGCATGGAGAAGTGCTATTTTCCACAAGGAAAAGAGATACCGTTTATGGCTGTTGTCTGTCACTCAAGCATGTTTGAGTTGTTTTTCCACTAGAGATGATGGTCTCATACTCCCCTGCTCTATGCTCTGTGTTACCAGACTAAGGTGTTTGAGGCGACTACCTAGTTAGGGTACAAATTTCGGTAGCGCCAAGAGGGAGAATGTTGATTGCTTTTTGAGGAAATAAACCTCTGCTTGGGCCCTCAATAGTGTCAAGCTCAATTGAACTAACTCAATATTTAGCATTGTCTTCATTTGTTTCATAGAAATTTGAAAATGAAAACAAGTTTGATTATGAAATTAAAAAAATAGATATTCACTTGGTTTCAAAAAAGTAACAAATTTTACAAACTTTTTTTGTTTTCTTTTCATCATCACAATTTTCTAAGCTGCTGGCATTCCTGGGTAGGTTGACAGAATAAATCAAATAGCTGGGCCATCCGATTCTCTGTTGAGGGAATTTTGTTTAAATTAGTGGTATTTGAAATTCAACATTCCTTAAAACGGTTTACAGGTTTCTTTTTAATATGTCTTCGCTATCCTGTCACGTTTTCTTTGTTACTCTTTGTTGGACCCAATTATTCTCTTGCAGTCCAGTGAATGAACGCTATGAAATGAAAGTTTAGAGAGGTCAAGTGACTTGTCCATGGTCACACAGCTAGTTAATGACATAACTGAGGCTTGAATTTATATTACTTATTTGTTAGTTCAAGCAGGATTATTTTCTGTTACCAAGCTACTTCTGAGACTATAAATAGTTGTGGTAGTTAAGATGGATTTTTTTTTCTCCTTAAAAATGAATTTCAAAAATGAAGAAATATCTCTTTTATCTCTTTCTCCAGGATCTTCAGTACAAGGATAAGCTCTATTAACGTGCTTAGCGTAATAGATGACAGGTTTTCTTGGCTTTATATCTGCCCTTATGCCTCTATTTTCATTAACAACAGCCCCTCTCAAAGTGTTAAAAGTAGTCTCTTAAATTTGCAACAAATATGATTAAAGGATTGAAAAGTAATGCTTATGGAGGAGAACAAGGGATGATCTAGTGGTCTTCAAGGATTCAGAAAGTCATGCGAAGGATAATGTATTCCTCTGCATTTTCAAAAAGAAGAACTTTCAAGTAAATGGTTTCTAATTATAGCTGCAATAAAATCAGATTTTATTTTAAAATATTACTTGTGTCCACCTATACGAATAGAGGAAATTAGGTTTAAGAAAGAACACCACAGGAATGATTTCTCCCATGTTGGAGCGAATGTTGGTATGCACTGATAAAACAGTTCATACATCTTGCCTCAAAAATATTGCACCATGGCCGGGTGCGGTGGCTCACTCCTGTAATCCCAGCACTTTGGGAGGCTGAAGTGGGAGGATCATGAGGTCAGGAGTTCGGGACCAGCCTGACCAACATGGTGAAACCCCGTCTCTACTGAAAATACAAAAATTAGCTGGATGTGGTGGCATGCGCCTATAATCCCAGCTACTCAGGAGGCTGAGGCAGGAAAATCGCTTGAACCCAGGAGGCAGAGGTTGCAGTGAGCCAAGATGGCGCCACTGCACTCCAGCTTGGGCAACAGAGCGAGTATCTATCTAACAAAAAAACAAAACAAAACAAAAAAACAAAAAACTGCACCTCTCCCAATGCCCAGAAGTTGTGATGATGCATGGTTTTTACACTGTGAAAGGGGGAAATTTCAGAACCAAGAAGGCAGGTAAAGGTAGACTCATTTAAAAACTAAATTTAGAGCTGTCCTCTGCAGAAGAATATCTCAATGCCTTGTTGTATAATCCAATGACTTTAGCCCTTTATTTTTAATTTGACAGAGTCATAGGTCATATAACATCAACTCTTATTGCATAGAAGTCCAAAGAGATAAAGTGACTTAAAATTTCTCGAGATCATAAAACTAGCTAATAACCAAACACAGGCTTGAACTCAGACCTCTTGTTTGCTTACTCCAAAACTCTTCTCACTTTACCATGCAGACTATATTAATCATTCCAGTTTCTAAGATAGATGTTATTCCCCTCTGCGGCAGGCAGAACAATGGCCCCCCAAAATGTCTATGCCCTAATCCCTGGAACCTGTGAATATGTTTCATTACATGGCAAAGAGGAATTAGGCTTGCAGATGAATTAAGTTCGCTAATCAGCTGATCTTAAAATAGGGAGACTATCCTGGATATCGGGGTGGGTCCAAAGAAATCACAGGGGTGTCGACGTGTGGGAGAAGGAGGTAGAAGATTTGGCATCAGAGTGATGTAAGAAATCTTGACTGGCCATTGCTGGCTTTGACAATGGCATGGCACTAGCAGCAAAGGAATGTGGGCAGCCTCTAGAAGCCAGAAAGGCAAGAAAATGGATTTTCCCTGAAAGGTCCTGAAAGGAGGTGCCCTGCCAACACCTTGATATTAGCCCAGTGAAACCCAGTTTAGACTTCTAATCTCCAGTACTGGAAGAGAATATATTTGTGTTGTTTAAGCCACTGGATTTATGGTACTGCATGAACCAATATTATGGAAATATGTTACAGCAACAATAAAGAACCAATACACTTTCAAAAAAGTATTTTAAAAAAACACAAGATAACAAAACTCAATAATACGTCCCACTATTTTTTTTCCCTAATAGGCCATTTTTTTAATAGGTTTTTTGGGGAACAGCTGGTATTCAGTTACATGAGTAAATTCTTTAGTGGTGATTTATGAGATTTTGGTGCACCCATCACCTGAGCAGTAAACACTGAACCCAATTTGTAGCCTTATATCCCTTATCTCCCTTCCCACCCTTTCCCCGAAAGTCCCCAAAGTCCATTGCATCATTCTTATACCTTTGCATCCTCAGAGCTTAGCTCCCACTTATGAGTGAGAACATACAATGTTTGATTTTCCATCCCTGAGTTACTTCACTTAGAATAATAGTCTCCCATCCCATCCAGGTTGCCATGAATGCCATTAACTCATTCCTTTTTATGGCTGAGTTGTATTCCATCTTATTTATATACCACATTTTCTTTATCCACTCCTGGATTGATGGGCACCTGATAGGCCATTTTAAGGACTTTACATTATATATGTATGTATGTATGTATGTATGTATGTATGTATGTATTTATTTATATTTTTTGGAGACAGGGTCTGGCTCTGTCACCGAGGCTGGAGTGCAGTGGCATGATCATGACTCACTGCAACTTCCACCTCAGCCTCCCAAGTAGTTGGGACTACAGGCATGCGCCACCATACCTGGCTAATTTTTGTATCTTTGTAGAGATGGGGTGTTTCCATGTTGCCCTAGATGGTCTTGAACTCCTGAGCTCAAACAATCCACCCACCTCAGCCTCCCAGAGTGCTGGGATTAGAGGCATGAGCCACCATGCTTGGCCTATCTACTATTTTTAAAAAGTAGCTATTATTCCTTTGAGGTCTGATCTTTACCAAGTTGTAGCAAATAACAACAAATATCCAAGGAGAAAATCTAGTATGTATCAAGAACTAGTCTAGATGTTAGATATATTAACTCATTTAGCCCTTGTCAGAATGTTATGAGGTGGGCTCTATTATCATCCTAACTTTATGGAGAAGATGACCAAGGCACAGAGAAGTCGTGCAGCTTGCCCAAGCTCACAAAACTGAAAAGTTCCAGAACTGGGATTGAACCCAGACAGTCTGGCTCTAGAGTCTGAACACTGCTATGCTCTTCTGCTTCTCTCAAATGGTAGTGGCCAAATACATAGCATCTTTACCAAGCATAGACAGAGATGATCTTGTCTTTTACCCAGGAGATAAACAAAATTGCTTATGGAAGTATATATTTTTTTCTAATTCACAGATTTTCCTTTGAAATATTTTTAGCTTTTTCCTGTAAGCTTCTCATACTGCTACTTAAACTTTTTTCTCTCCCTAGCACTGAGACTGTTTTCATATGTAAATCACCAACAATTTTATAACCTTGCAGATATTTATTATTCAAGAGCTGATCAACATGTCTGTGGTTTTCCAGCTCAGTTGTCTGTGTACATTTTTGTGTCTTGCCCACTGCAGATCCCATGAACCCATCTATCCGTCTACATGCAGTGAAGGGTAGAGAAGGTGAAAATAAAATCTGCAGACTTAGTTACTTGTTAATAACAGCTCTGACAAAAGAGGAGGTTTGTCTATGGTTGCCTACCATTGATTTTTTTTTCCATTTTATTTTTAAATGAAATGTAAGCTCTTTGTAGTCCTCTGATTTTTATATTTAGACATTTATGTCTCATTTCTAACATACATTTATTAATTTGATTCATTCATGCTAAACCACACTCTCCAATATCACAGATGATCAAGAACTGGCTTTAGTCATTTTGTTTTTTTCAGTTTCTAGACACAGAAAACCAAAACAAATAGTTAAAATCAGTTTGTTCTTCTTCAAGGTTTTCTTCCCGTTTTAAATTTGCTTCCCTTTATGCTATAGCCCAAGAATGGAAATAGATTAGTGGTGGCTGATGGATCAGCAGAGATTGTCCAAAGTATTTTTGAAAAGGATTTTGTGGAAAAATATAGACTCTATGGAAAAGAGTTTGGTGACCTATTCGCTGATGTAGATGTTTATTAGCAGACATAGATGTATGTTTTGGAGGTGAGCTGGGTATTGCAACTGCCACATACTTGCCATCCCTGCTGCAGCAAGTCAAGCACTACCTCACCGTCAATCCCCACTGAGCACCTGTGCGGAGGAACTCGGGTATGGGTGGCACCGTCTGTTTCAACATTACCATTTTTCTGAGTCTTCGGAGTTTTCAAGAACAAATAATGGAAACCATATATAACCACATAGAAGATATTATGTGATTCTCTAAAATATAGCCAAAATGAATTGAATTAGGATTAAATTAAATACAGAGAGTTTTGCGCTTCAAATAATATTTTACCAACTCGAAGAATTGTTAGATAATGCAGAAAGTCGTCGGGAGCTGGTTTAACCTTTATTTTTTAAGATAACAGTAGCTGGTTGAGCTCTTTTTATTTGTACAGCCCTCTGTTAAGTGACTTTAAATAATTTATTTAACCCTCATCCAAACCTGGGAGGTGGGTATTTTTAACTCCCAGTTTGCAGAAGAGAAACTGAGGCCAGTGAGGTTAAGTAACTTTAATTTGGGTTTGTGGAAACACAGGCAGGATGTCAATTGAGGACTCTGCCTGAAATGGGTCTCAGAGGAGTCTCTCAGGAAGGCCTCAGTGGAAGATTGCCTTCGAGAAAGGAAATGGACTCGATAGATGCCTTGTGAATGTCACCTTCAGCCCAGAGAGGAAATTTAACCCATTTTATATTATCCTCATTCGAAAGAGGAAGAGCCACTAAAATAGAAATGTTTGAAGTCACTGAGGGATTAGACAGAGCCAGATCTCTGAAACATCTACCTCCCAGGATTGCGTGAAGATGGAGCAACCGGGCTCTCTCAGTTCCTTTTATCTCTCTTTCTAGGTCAGTCCCTGCAGGGTTTCAATCCTATCAGTTACTCTTCTCAACATCGCCTATCAATTATTTGCTGTTTTGCTCTAGGGTTCTGATATTTAAAAGAAGATACAAGTCAAGCTGTGAGATTTTGCCTGAGTTTTCTGGATACTTGCCTCAATTTTATGCTGAATGTCTGCTTCGGATACCAGCTATACAATGGGTGGATAGCCTTTTGCATTAGAGGTCCTTGTAGGAAATTTGGAAAGCTTGGTAATTAACAAGGGTTCATAAAATCAGACCTCTGCCAGGAACTTAAACTGAATGAAATAGCAATCCAGAGACTATTGGATGTTCTGTTGAGGCATTCTCTGGGTTTAAGTGTTCAAAAATTCATAGCTAAAAAAAAAACAAAAAAAAAAAACAAAAAAAAACACCTCGTAGCTTCAGCTTTAAATTGGTTCATGCAGTACGCATTTGAAAACACTGGTTTGGGTCACACAGGCCAGGAAGAAAAGAACAAAAAAACATTTGGGTTATGTTTAATATGATTCACTCCAGCTTTCAGGATTAAAGTTAAGTTAAAGTTACTGTGTCTGCCATTTTTGATAGACAAGTGAGTGGAAAAGAAAAGCGCTTTCAGAGATTCAGATAATTGGATGGGAAAAACTGAATCTGTGTGCCTTGAAGAGGCACCTGAGACACAGATGATGAAACATGTGACATAGATGGTTACTGATTTCTAAATACCTTTTAGTTAGAATAGTACCATTATTTTATAGACTTTATATTTATTATTCCACCTAAAAACCAAATGATAATATCTCTAGTTATAGGAGCAACTGTGAGATTATATTCTTTGTTGCAAGTCCCTGCTGAGGCTATAGGGATTTTTGTGGCAAGATTGCTATGTGTACACCAAAACCCATTTTCTTTTTTGTTGGTTTGTTTTTGTTTGTTTGTTTGTTTGTTTGTTTGAAACAGGGTCTCGCTCTGTTGCCTAGGCTGGAGTGCAGTGGTGCGATCTCGGCTCACTGCAAGCTCCGCCTCCCGGGTTCACGCCATTCTCCTGCCTCAGCCTCCTGAGTAGCTGGGACTGCAGGCACCCGCCACCACGTCAGGCTAATTTTTTTTTTTTTTTTTTTGTATTTTTAGTAGAGGCGGGGTTTCACTGCGTTAGACAGGATAGTCTCGATCTCCTGACCTCGTGATCCGCCCGCCTCGGCCTCCCAAAGTGCTGGGATTATAGGCGTGAACCACCGCGTCCGGCTAAAACCCATTTTCTTACTCCCTGGGCAGACAGACTACATTTCCCAGCCTCCACTGTACTTAGTTGTGACCATGTAACTGAATTTGGGCCACTGGAATGTGGGTAGAACTGATGTACAATACTTCTGAGCCCAGTTCCCATTCTTCCCCCACACCCCAACAAACCCAAAAGACAAAGCCAAAAGACTTTTGCAGTGTTCTTTCTACACTCTCTGATGTCCATCCCCTGGCTATAGGATCCAAGAGAGGCGTCTGAGACCCCAGTTATTTTGAAGTCACAAGATGGAATGACCACATTGGACATTGTTTCAGAGAGAGAAATAAACTTTTATTGTGTTAAGCCATTTTAGACCTTGGGATTTGTTATAGCAGTTAGCATTACTTACCCTAAATAATAAAAAAATGGTTTTTGCAATCAAGGTAAAAGATAGTGGTGTTATTAGCATGCCTAAATGCATAAAACTCTCTTTTGTACTAGTTCAGTTGGATTTGAATTGCTATAGCATACAATAGCCAAAAAAACTAGCTGGTATCCAGTCAGCTGTTCATTGTGCTATTTTATCATGTTCAACAACTGGTTTGTCTGATATTTAAGTTAAATTAACAGGTATTTAAATTCAAGAGACTATTTGGTAACATAAAATAAATTTTCAAGTGCCTCACTTCTTACTTATGTTAGGCATATGAGAAATTTATTTTTAAATCTCTTTTCTTTTTTATTTTTGAGATGAAGTCTTTCTCTGTCACCCAGGCTGGAGTACAGTGTTGCGATCTCAGCTCACTGCAACCTCTGCTTCCCTGGTTCAAGCCATTCTCCCGCCTCAGCCTCCCGAGTAGCTGGGATTACAGGCGCTCACCACCAAACCTGGCTAATTTTTGTATTTTTAGTAGAGATGGGGTTTCACCATGTTGGCCAGACTGGTCTCAAACTCCTGACCTCAGGTGATCTGCCTGCCTTGGCCTCTCAAAGTGCTGGGATTACAGAGTGAGCCACTGAGTCCAGCATCTATTTTCAACTATAGTAAAATTAATAGAATTTATCTTTTTGAACCTTTAGCTTATGTGAAGGGATTTAAATATTCGAGTTAAAGTAACAATATATAATTTATCTTCAGAGTATCTCAATGATCCTTTCACCAATTTTGTTTATTTATTTATTGAGACGGAGTCTTGCTCCTGTCACCCAGGCTGGAATGCAATGGCCCTATCTCAGCTCACTGCAACCTCCGTCTCCTGAGTTCAAGCAATTCTTCTGCCTCAAACCTCCCAAGTAGCTGGGATTATAGGTGTGTGCCACCATAACTGGCAATTTTTTGTATTTTTAGTAGAGATGAGGTTTCACCGTGTCGGACAGGCTGGTCTTGAACTCCTGACCTCAGGTGATCTGCCCACCTCGTCCTCCCAAAGTGCTGAGATTACAGTCATGAGTCACTGTGCTCGGCCAATTTATGTAGTTAGGTTTTTGTTTTCCAGAGAAATGAGCAAGTGAGTCTAGACTGTTTTGAGGAAAAAATGATAGGGAATATGATGCAAAATAGTAAATTTTAACATTATAATATTCATCATAAGATTATTCTGTGAAAAACAAAGACTTAACAGAATGAGATTTTTTTTCTTTTTTTTTTTTTTGAGACGGAGTCTCTCTCTGTCACCCAGACTGGAGTCACTGGAGTGCAGTGGCATGATATCAGCTCACTTCAACCTCCGCCTCCCAGATTCAAGCGATTCTCCTGCCTCAGTGTCCCAAGTAGCTGGGATTATAGGCACGCACCACCACACCCAGCTAATTTTTGTATTTTTAGTAGAGGTGGGGTTTCTCCATGTTGGCCAGGCTGATCTCGAACTCCTGACCTCAGGTGATCCGCCTGCCTCGGCATCCCAAACTGCTAGGATTACAGGCTTAAGCCACCGCTGCTGGCCCAGAATGAGAATTTTATGAATGAATGTGCTTTCAAATCTTATAATATGAGAAAAATGGAGCTTTAAAAAATAAACCTCATTGGTAGAATTCAGATGACTTTTGGAACACAAACTGAAAGCTACTTATTAAATAAGGGTAATTTGTTCTGGGTCCACACCATAAAATGGCTTCAAACATTTTTAAAATAGGTCATTTGAATACTCTAAAATGTCTGGTGTATGGTAACATTCTTAAGCAAGTTCATATGAGAGTTAGAGAGTATCCCAAAAGCATCCTTGGGATTTCTGACCATATCAAAGCAAATGGAACTACATTATCAAGGAGCTCTAATGAGACAGTTTGTTTAATTGAAATGCTTTAAATTACCATGTAGTACAGCATGAAAAAATCATTATTTTCATTAGCTGAACTATTTCTGTTAGCCCCAAACTAAAGGTTCTAATATTGAAGCATGATAAATGCACTGTAAAGCCAGTAGATCACAAGGAGAAATTTAAATGAAAGAATTCATCTAAAATACCAACATTTTGCCTTAAACATTACACGTAGGTGTCAATATCCTATCACTGACTCTCCCAAGCCAGAGGAAGTATTAACTAGAAATAAGCCCCATCTATACAAATAAAAAACTAATAATTGTGGCATCACCATTTAGTTACTTTGTCTTAATAGGCAACACAGCTCTTCTATCAACACATGGGTATAGTGGGTTGCTTTAGACACAGTCCACTTAAGAGTTTTCCTTTGACTTTTTTTTTTTTTTTTTGAGATGGAGTCTTGCTCTTATCATCCAGGCTGGAGTTCAATGCGCGAGCTTGGCTCACTGCAACCTCTGCCTCCTGGTTCAAGTGATTCTCCTGCCCCAGCCCCCTGAGTAGCTGGGATTACAGGTGCCTGCCACCATGCCTGGCTAATTTTTTGCATTTTTAGTAGAGGTGGGGTTTCACCATGTTGGTCAGGCTGGTCTCAAACTCCTGACCTCAGGTGATCCACCCGCTTTGGACTCCCAAAGTGCTGGGATTACAGGCGTCAGCCACCGCACCTGGCCCCTTTGACGATTTTATTATGGACGATAAATTTGTTTTATTTTGTTTTGTTTTTTTCTTGAGATGAAGTCTAGCTTTGTTGCCCAGGCTGGAGTGCAGTGGTGTAATCTTGGCTCACTGCAACCTCCTCTTCCCAGGCTCAAGCGATTCTCCTGCCTCAGCCTCCCAAGTAGCTGGAATTACAGGCGTGCACCACCACACCTGGCTAATTTTTGTATTTTTATTAGAGACAGGGTTTAGCCATGTTGGCCAGGCTGGTCTTGAACTCCTGACCCCAAGTGATCCACCCTCCTTGGCCTCCCAAAGTGTTGGGATTACAGGTGTGAGCCACCGTACCTGGCCATAAATTTGTTTTGACTTAAGAAGAACCCACCTATAGTAAAGAGGAGAATATTCATATAGCATTTGCCTTGATCACCTTTCTATGGAGAAAAACTGGCTAACAGTGAAATTCCAGAATTAAATCTCCCATTCAGTTAAAATATGATCTATCTCAACAGGAACCACAGAGAGTGCCCCTCACTCATCTGATATCTGATATTCTGTAGCATAAGTTAGATCAAGAAGGCTTCCTGGGAATGGGTAGGATGTGAAAGAAGATGCAGAACAGAGAGGGCCTGAATCTCCTTGGTAGGCAAACCTGATGTCACTTAAGGGTACAGTTTCCATTAATAGTAGATTAGCTCAATCTTAAGAAGAAAAAGAATAAGGTTCAACTTGGATGACTGTGAAGTGATTTAAGATAGTTTTTTTTTTTTTTTCTTTTTGAGACAGAGTCTCACTCCATCGCCCAGGCTGGAGTGCAGTGGCATGATCTTGGCTCACTGCAACCTCCACCTCCCCGGTTCAAGCCATTCTTCTGCCTCAGCCTCTGGAGTAGCTGGGACTACAGATGCACACTACCATGACCGGCTAATTTTTGTATTTTTAGTAGAGATGAGTTTTCACCATGTTGCCCAGGCTGGTCTCGAACTCCTGTTCTCAAGTGATCCGTCTGCCTTGGCCTCCTAAAGTGCTGGGATCACAGGCATGAGCCACCGCACCCAGCCTAAGATGGGTATTTAAAATGTTGACTATTAGCAATAGAAAATACTCTTTGCTTTTTGAATGATAAGGAGGTTTGAATTATTTGCTTTTGTTTTGTGCAAAGAAATAATTATAATGAGAAAATTTCCTTTTTCATGGGTTAGGTATATGGAGGCATATGGAGGCAGTAAATCTTGAAGATTTTTTCTTTTATTTTTCTGTAATTTTTGTGTCATGTAAATTTTGCTGATCTCTTGTGATTCATAATTAAATGGGTTAGATGCCATTCCACTAATAATCATTACCAATAAAGAAGTTCAAGAGTTTCTCCAGTTTCATACAAGGAGTAGCTATGGACAAGGAGAATTGGATCCAGGAACTTTGTTTCATTAGTTTTCTTACACCTCTGACATATTTTGTACTCTCTCTCTCTCTCTCTCTCTCTATATATATATATGTATAAAACATATATATAAATATATAACATATATGTGTATATATGTTATATACATATATATATATATAAAGTGTTCTCTTTTAGGAATCCTGGAAGATTCCTAAAATCCTAAAATCTCTTTTAGGCATCCTGGAAGATTTCATATATATATATATAAAGGGTTCTCTTTTAGGAATCCTGGAAGAACTCCTCCCAGATAAAAAGCATTACTGTATTAATAGATGATGTAAACTTTTTTTCTGAGGTGTCATAAAGTAGAAAGTTGAATATTCCAGCTTTTTTTTTTTTTTTTTAAAAAGGGAAACTTGAATGCTTTGATCATTAGTCCCTTGAGTCTCATTCTTGTTTGGAGTTTTATTTTCCCATTCCTGATCCAGTCTGATGTTCTTTGTCTGCAATTCAATCTCTATTGCTTTAATCATTTTGGATTGTACCAATGCCTTCTCAGTAATAAAAGAAATGGGGAGCCAGGCTTGGCATGGGACAAGTCTCTTCAGCTGCAGTAAGACATTACGTATGAGTTGTCTACCCACAAAAGGGCCCACTGTCAGGTTAAATTAATGAGCTGCATGTTTTAATCATTAAGGTAATAGCAATATGTGGATTATTTGCCTAAGTTTTAATCATTTCTGTTTTCACCAACTAGGTCATCAAACGCTTTCTTTTAAGAAATCTTTCTATTTCATAGCAGAGAATAGCTTCTATGTGGGACAGAAATAAATGCTTCAGAGTCCTAAAACACTAAACAGCTCCAGGGTTTGGTAAAATTTAGTTATGCCTTTGTCCGTCAACACAGGAATTTGGAGGGACTGGCCGTGGTCACCATTAGCAAATGGAACCAGCATGAGTTCCAATTTGCAAAGAGTTGAAGTAGAATAGGGGAATTTTAGGTCTCAGCAGCTGAGGTGGAAATGAATTATTTTGTGGACCATGGGCAGCACTGAGACCGGGTGAGTTGAAAGAGATACTGCTGACTATGCCTGCAGGGGATCTGATGGCTTTGCTTCCACTGGAAATTGCTTTGTACAGACTTTCAACTCACAGTCTGGTATCTGCATGGCAAATGTTGGCAAGAGGACTTGCTGTTCTCAGGAAAGTCCACAGTAAGTAGATCAAGACACAACTTCTACAGCTGATTTTTCTAATAAAGCCATGCTTCCGAAAAGGAGGGATGAGTTTTAGCACCATTTTCATTTCTTCTTAGATATTTAGGCTATACCCAAGTGAAACCTAGAGCATAGGGTCAAAAAGAGAAAAATCCAACTTATTACTTATATCGTTGGGGTAATGCCAAGCACACGACTCAATTGATTTTTGATCGAATTTGCTAAATTAAAACAATCATTTTATGAACTCTGTGATAGTACTGTCCAATGTGTTACCACAGCATTTGTTCGTAACTCAAACATAGCTCTTCCTATACGTGTTATAGTGAATTACACCATTTAGCTATGTGCTTCCAGAGGTCAGGGACAGTAACATATTCATCTGTGTGTCCTCACGTCTTTATACAGAGTTGATGATCATAGAACATAATTGACAGTGTAGGAATCAATGGAGAGTTTCTGCTTTCCTTTCTGGAAACTGTGGTGTGGTGGGAAACCAAAGGATATAGGGGGTGGGTTTAGAAATATAGAATTACAGATGAGAAGGGCTCTCAGAGATCACATAATTCAACACTTTCATTTTACGGATGAAGAAAGTGAGGTCCAGAGAGTTTAATGACTTTTCAAGGTCAATTAGTTGGTGGCAGAGCCAGAATGGAGGTGACACTGGAACTAGCATTTACCAGAAGCTGCTATAGACTGGGCATTGTGCTTAACCTGTGCTGTCTGATTCATCCATTCTTCTGTCCTTTTTTTTTTTTTCTTGAGACGGTGTCTTGCTCTGTCACCCAGGCTGGAGTGCAGTGGCGCCATCTCGGCTCACTGCAACCTCCACCTTCTGAGTTCAAGCGATTCTCCTGTCTCAGCCTCCCAAGTAGCTGGGATTACAGGTGCCCACCACCACACCTGGCTAATTTTTGTATTTTTAGTAGACATGGGCTTTCACCTTTTGGCCCAGGCTGGTCTCAAACTCCTTGACTTCAAGTGATCCGCCTGCCTCGGCCTCCCAAAGTACTGGGATTACAAGAGTGAGCCACCGCGCCCAGCCTCTTCTATTCTTTTTTACTGATTTATCCATTTTCCATGTGTTTGGAAAAGGACTAACATTATTTATTTTGAAACTAAATCATTTGGAAAAAATATTAAAGTACATATTGTATTTAAATATTTGCTTCGTCCTTGTTTCTAGTATAGATCTAATATTTTGTCCAGGTGAGAAAAATAAAAGACAATCTGGCAGCTCTGTGTGGAGTGTATTTCCCATACAGGCAGCCTAAGGATGATTCTTGCTGAGAGTTGAGACAAAGATATTTTACCATAATTTTGCTCTGAGTTCTAACATTGGCCAGATACAGTTGCCTAAAAATGTGGCAAAAAAAGTTTAGGTCCCAGCTACTCGGGAGGCTGAGGCAGGAGAATCAATTGAACCTGGGAGGTGGAGGTTGCAGTGAACCGAGATCGCGCCACTGCACTCCAGCCTGGCGATAGAGCGAGACTCCGTCTCAACACACACACACACACGCACACACACACACACACACACACACACACAAAATTTAGACACACGAACCCATGTTTTTGATGAAAGAGGAGTCAGATTTTCCCAAAGACTGAATTCACCGTGAATCTGTTTGAAGAAGAACCCACCTCATAGATTTCCTAGCTGTAGAAGGTGTTGGTATAATTTTACCGCAATTGAGTTTATTGTCAATAGAGGGCGCCAAAGGATGGAAAAGTAATTACTGATGACTGGTTTGTTTCTCCAACTCAATTCGCCAGTACATATTTTTTTGAAAATAAACCTTTGAAAAGTCATCTTTCCATCTTTTTTTTTGTTTGTTTGTTTTGAGACGGAGTCTCCCTCTGTCACTCAGGTTGGAGTGCAGTGGCGTGATCTTGGCTCACCGAAACCTCCACCACCTGGGTGCAAGCGATTCTCCTGCCTCAGCTTCCTGAGTAGCTGGGATTACAGGCACCCGCCACCACACCCAGCTAATTTTTGTATTTTTAGTAGAGATGGGGTTTCACCATGTTGCCCAGGCTGGTCTTGAACTCCTGACCTCAAGTGATCTGCCCGCCTCAGCCATCCACAGTGTTGGGATTACAGGCATGAGCTACTGTGCCTGGCCGTCTTTCCATCTTGAAAAGGGAGAATCAGTACCTCTGTCCACATGTGTACTGTCATTTCTGCCCATCCAGGCAAAGCCAAGCTGAACAGAGCACAGCCTGAAGCTGGGCTTTTGTATATGGGTAGTCTCTGAAGTTGAGAAGAAGTTTCTACTCCTGCTTTTTTTTTTTTTTTTTTTAAACCAGAAGATCCAACAGCTTTACGTGCACCAGTCCTTTAATTGTTAGCAATTCACATTCCAATTCCTGCCATATGGCAGGCACATTGTTAGTTTCTGGGGAAACCAGGTACTAAAACAGAACCACCTGCATGCAGCCTACAGTATAGTGGGCAACAGAGACATTAATGAAACAGTCACACAGGCATACCATCAAAAATTATCTTGACAAAGTGGTGTTTGAGTTGAAATCTGAAAACTGAATAGGTGCTAACTAGGCAAAGTAGGGAGGGTGGAGGAAAAATACTCCAGCCACAGAGAACAACAGGGTCCACACGTCTGAGCCAGGAGGGAACATGGGCACTCCAGGAGTAGAAAGCCAGAGTGACTAGAGCCTGGGAAATGAGAGTGAGTGGCTGAGGCTGGACGGGGGGCAGAGTCATATCATACAGGGACTTAAGGCAGTGGCATGGAGTTTGGATTTTGTTGTCTGTGCCAGGCAAAGTTCTTGATAAGTGGTGATATGGATAGATTTATTTTTTAAAAAAGATTTCTCTAGCTATTTTGTGGAGAATGGATTAGAAGAGGGCATGATCATGAGGAGGCTACTGCCACAGTTCAGATGGGAGAGTGGCAGAATGTGGTGGCTTGGACCACCATGGTGATCATGAAAATGAAGAGACATGAATAAAGAGGGAGATAAAATTGGCTGAACTTTATTGTGGATCAAACATGGTGGTGAGGGAGGGGGTGGATGACCTCTAGGTTTCTGACTTGCAAAGTGCACATAGGTTAGAGTTTTCAAACTTGGAAAATACAGCTGGTGGTGTTTAGGAAGTGTTGTCATTACTGATGTGAGGTGGAAATCAGGAACGTAAACACTCGACAGTAGCTCATTGGGCAACCCGAGTTCTGGCTGTTGGTCTTTGCACCAAATCTCTAAACTTCTGTCATTCAGTGGACATTTCAAGCAGAGCTAGGAATGAGCAACAGCATTGTAATGTGATATTTAAATACGTAGCCTATACCAGCATGTACATATGTATATACATAGAAAAATTCTGGAATATAATTAAACCATTAACTGTCATGTTTGAGAAGTGAGAGGGAGTTCCAATTTGAAGTCCAGATGTTACTGTGTTGTTTGAAAAAAATTAAAGTAAGGCTTAATTGGTCTTCTAATTAGCAAAACTCATAAAATCCTGTCATTTGCAATAAAAAGCTTTTCAGTTGAGAAATTCGAAGCCCTTGTGGAGCCCCAATAATCTCTCACCTCCATTAAATTTCTCTACAGGAATTTAGAGAATCTTTCTATTTTGGGACCTTCTAGCCCCAGACAGCATAGATTTTTCTCACTGCAGCTCATTAGAGATGCTCAGAAAATCAACTTGAGGACAAGCTACAGAAGCCCTCCTGGTACCCTTTGATCTTTTGAGTAGCAAATGTGTCATTTGTAGCATGATGGTCCAGTTCTTATGTGAGGCTAAAACAGAGCCATTTCAAGATGCTCCTGAGACTCCCTGAACTCCTACTAACTACTAGACTTTCTGCCAATTGATGTATCAGTTCTGCCATCTCCCCCGGGACATCATTTCCACTTGCTTGGTAAATAATTAGCCCGGCTGCCTTTGGCTATAGCAAGGATTATAAATATTTTAAACACTGCAAGTGATTGAAACTGTTTCTATTTGATTTTGTCTATTCCTCTGATGCTTTGGGTAAAAACTTAACTCTAAGTAGGAAACATCTTTGGGAAGAACAATGTTCTAGGTACGAGAGGATGAGGTGTTGTATAGGCTGCTAAGGTCATCGGGCATTCAGAAACATGCTATAAGCCAGTAGTTTGAACCTGTCCAGTTTTAGCTCATACTAACCAATTTTTCTCACGTGAGAGAGATAAAAGACCCCATGTCCTAAGAACATTTCTATGCTTATAGGAGTTTTTAAAAAATAGACCCTATTTTTTTTTTTTGAGACAGAGTCTTGGTCTGTTGCCCAGGCTGTAGTGCAGTGGCGCGATCTTGGCTCACTGCAACCTGTGCCTCCTGGGTTCAAGCGATTCTCCTGCCTCAGCCTCCCAAGTAGCAGCCTCTCCTGCACCACCATGCCCGGCTAAGTTTTTATATTTTTAGTAGAGACAGGGTTTCATCGTGTTGGCCAGGCTGGTCTCAAACTCCTGACTTGTGCCCACCTCGGCCTCCCAAAGTGCTGGGATTACAGGTGTGAGCCACCACACCTAGCCACAGAGGGTTTTTAGAGCAGTTTTAGGTTCACAGCAAAACAGAATGGAAAGTTCTTACATGCCCTCTGCCCCCACACATGCATAGCTTCCCCCAACATCCTGCACTATAGAAGTACATTTGTTACCATCAGTGAACCTACATTGACATATCGGTATCACCCAAAGTTCATAATTTCCATTAACTTTCACTCTTGGTGTTGTACATTCTATGGGTTTTGAAATGTATAACGACATGCATCCATCATTGTAGTATCACACAGAATAGTTTTATTGTCTTAAAAATTCTCCATGCTCCTCCTATTCATCTCTCTCCCTCTACCCACTGAAAACCACTGTTATTTTTACTGTCTTCATAGTTTTGCCTTTTCCAGAATGTCATATAGTTGGAATCCTTATAGAAATTTAAAAATAATTCCTCTTACAGTAAGTTATAAAACATAAAAGTTCCCATTTATATAATCAATTCTAATCTTTACAGTGAATTCTTTGTGATTACTATGGAAACCCGATGTCTTAACTAAACCATGTCTGTATCTTACTAGAGGCTCATGGACAACCTGGTGAGAGCCACTGACCCATGCAAGGCAGGCAGGGAAGTTGGGGCGGAGAAGATACTGGTATGTTGGATAGGGGATCTATCCAGAGATCTGCAGAGTATTTGTTCTCAGCTCTTTCAATGTGACTTGTGATGGAAATAGTAACATGTGCCTATTGATCCAAAAAGTAACATACTACAGTGGTGTACAAAGTAAATACTGTCCATGCTTTTATGCCCCAGAAATGACCTCTGTTAACAGTTAATGTATATCCTTCTGTACTACAGGTGGGTTCATACTACACTTATTATTTTGCAACATGCTGATTTTATGGAAGAGTGTATCATGGTCCGCTTTCCATGTCAATTCCTGAAAATCTCATCTTTTTAAAGATATATAAAAATTTATTTAATCCTCTGTGGAGGTAACTTGGATTATTTTCAAATATTTGCTGTGAAACACCAGCAATAAAGATTCTCATGCCTCTTTGTACATTTGATTATTTCCTTAAGATAAATTCCTAGAAGTGAAATTTTTGGATCAAAAGATAAGCATGTTTAAAAGTTTTTTTTATTTGTTGTGTTTAATATTTTTATACATGTTGCCAAATTATACTCTTACCAAAAGCATATGGGAATACACTTTTCTACATCCAAGTCAAGAGAAAGATTAGTCTTTCATCTTTGCCAATTTGTTCGGTAAAAAATGGTTTTAGTTTTAACTTTTTTATTCAGATATTAATGACGTTTAATTTTTATTTCAGTGCTGCGTTATATAAGTATACTTAGATTGTTGTGAGCTATGTATTTGTGATATGCATACTTTATTGGGATAAGTATTATATATTGGCCTTTGCACAGGGGTGGGGGGGATTTCTTTCTTTTTTGAGACAGGTTTTCACTATGCCACTTAGGCTGGAGTGCAGTGGTATGATCCTAGCTCACTGCAGCCTCAACCTCCTAGGCTCAAGCAATCCTCCCACCTCAGCCTCCTGAGTAGCTGGGACCACAGGCATGTACCACCATGCCTGGTTAGTTTTTAAATTTTTAGTGGAAAAAGACTCTCCCTATGTTACCCAGGCTGGTTCTGAACTCCTGGGCTCAAGAAATCTTCCTGCTTCAGCCTCCCAAAGTGCTGGGATTACAGGTGTGAGCCACTGCACCCAGCCAAGGTTTCTTGCATATCTGTTAGGCTGCTTAGGGTTGCAAATAACAGAAAAGCCCAAATCAAATATGTATAGATATATTTGTATTCTCTCATATAGCATGAATTCTCTAACTAGGGTGTACAGGGTTGATGAATTCTGCAGATCAGTACATCCTCAGTCATTCTCAGTGCTTTGGCTTAGCTCCCCTCATGCATGCCAGATGGCTGCAGTAACTCCATGTCTCACATGGAAATGCTGCAATATCCAGTGGGAGGAGAGACCATTTCTTTCTACCTATCTTTATCCCATATCTGAGGAAAAGTTTTTCTCAGATACTTCCCTCCTCTTCCTAAGGCTTGCTCTCACATCTAATTGGCCAAAATTCTATCAGGTGTCCATACTTCCACTAGTCAATGGCAAGAGGAATGAGAACACCATGACTGATCCAAACGGATAAAGATTCTCCCTCTGCAGCTGCAGCAAGGCCCACCTTCCCTGCAGTCCATGGCTGGGGGGAGGAAATCAGCAGTGTTTGCTGGAGTTGGAGTATGGATAGGAAAGCAATGGGAGATCAGATGGGAGAGGCAGAGGGGAGAGGATTGGGACAGACCTGGGTTGCCAGTTCAGATGGACTTGAAGGGAGATAGCACAGACTGAGAGAGCTGTTAGTAAGCCACTTTATGGTCTACAGAAGATAGTGAAACTCAGTATTCATCGAGGCCCCTCTCAGTGTCAGATAATGTGCTTGGTGCTTGTGGATACAGTGAGGATGAAAGCAGACTTTATTGACATTACAACCAGCATCTTAACTCAATGACATTAGGACTCCATTGCATTGAGAGGCATAAAAATGATATTAATAGCAGCTAATAGTCTGGGCGCAGTGGCTCACGTCTGTAATCTCAGCATTTTGGGAGGCTGGGGCCGGTGGATCACGAGGTCAGGAGTTCAAGACCAACCTGGCCAACATGGTGAAACCCCGTCTCTTCTAAAAATACAAAAATTAGCTGGGCATGGTGGCGCATGCCTGTAATCCCAGCTACTTGGGAGGCTGAGGTAGGAGAATTGCTTGAACCTGGGAGGCGGAGGTTGCAGTGAGCCGAGACCCTGCCAATGCACTCCAGCCTGGGCAACAGAGCGAGACTCCGTCTCGGGAAAAAAAATGTCTAATAGTTACTGAGAGTTTCCTACAGCTGGGTATTGTTTTAAGTACTTTAATGAATTAACTCATTTGGTGCTCACAGTAACTTTAGGAACTAGGCATTATCACTCCTATTTTAAAGGACAGACTGAATCAGAGAGGTGAAGTATAATCAATTACCCTAGGTCAAAGGGCCAATAAATAGGGGAGACAGGAATTGAGCCCAGGCAGTGGGACTTTTGAATTCATGTTCCTAAGTGATCTACTGTGTTGCCCAGGAAACCCACACATCAGCAGCTAGAATGTTAGTAATATGAACGGTGGACTCAGTACAAAACGGTGGAAGCAGTACAAATATAAAAGGGGGTAGCTGTGATTATATTCCTATCTGACAATTACTGAGTGCTTACCATCTGACAGCAATTGTGTTAAATGCTATTTATGTATAATCTAACTTAATTCTCACAAGTCTGTAAAATAAGTACCCTATTCCACCTGTGAGGAAACTGTGGCTTAGAGATGTTAAGTCATTTACCAAAGGTCAAAATTGTATTTGAATCTGGGTCTTTAAGACTCCAAAGCCTATGGAATTGGTTAATTCCACTATATTAGCATGAAAGTTATTTTCCAAACAGAAGACAAGGAATTCTGAAAAAGAGCACTAAAGGACATAAAGGTGTCCTTATGTTCCTTTTTTATTGAAGAACTTCAGGACAAATTTTAAATGTTCTGTTGCACTCTGGCTGGTCTGAGCTGGCCTTCACATCGGCCATGGTACACTGATCAGACATGATATATATTTTTTTTGAGATGAAGTCTCACTCTGTTGCCCAGTCTGGAGTGCAGTGTTATAATCTCAGCTCACTGCAACCTCTGCTTCCCGGATTCAAGTGATTCTAGTGCCTCAGCCTCCCGAGTAGCTAGGATTACAGGCGCCCACCACCACACTTGGCTAATTTTTGTATTTTTAGTAGAGATGGGGTTTCACCATGTTGGCCAGGCTGGTCTCTAACTCCTGACCTCAGGTGATCTGCCTGCCTCGGCCTCCCAAAGTATTGGGATTACAGGCATGAGCCACTGCATCCGGCCAGATACGATACTTCAGGATAACTCAAATTATTTTTTTCCCAAGAAGCTAAACCTAGAATTCAGAAACCCTTTTCCAAACATTTTTCCATTAAAAAAGTTTTGTATGTTAACATTTTATCATGCATTTATAGTCTTTCTGCAATACATTTGTGTATATAATAGGCATCTTGTATTTACTAATTTTTTTAGATGAATGCAAATCAATTTTAATTTGTATAACCCACCAGCCATTCCATTGCTGACTATACTCACAAACGAAAAGCTCCACCTCACTCCACCCCCATTCAACTGTGGTCTCCTTGTGGAGGGAGGCTTGCTGTCCTGCCTAGTTAGGGAGCACAATTACCTCGAGCAAGCCTGTCCAACCCATAGCCCATGGCCCACACGTGGCCCAGGATGGCTTCGAATGCCACCCAACAGAAATTTGCAAACTTTCCTAAAACATCAAGAGTTTTTTTATTTTTATTTTTATTTTTTTAAGCTCACCAGCTATCATTAGTATTAGTGTGTTTTATGTGTGGCCCAAGACAATCTTCTTCTTCCAGTGTGGCCTAGGGAAGCTAAAAGATTGGCTACCCATGACCTAGACAGTTTTTTTCTTTTCTTTTTCGGTTTCCAGGGAGATTCCCTCAAGCCCTCGTCTAGATGTTAATGTGGCACGTGTGGCATTGGAGTCTTAGCTTTTCAAGTCTTCTTTTCTTTACTAGAATGACTGGGTGGAGCAAAGGAAATTCTTACAAGGTATTATGGTTTCTCTTCTAAGCTGAGTTGAATCCAGACATCATCAGTGACCAAAGTCACTGCCATCTGTCAGTTGTGGGAGCCCCAAACAAGAGGTCTTCCTCTGCTCCCAGTGAACAGGTAACTTGCATCTCAAAAACCAACACATCCCACCTGGAACTTATTGGCAGACTCAAAAGAGAATCCAAAAATGAAATCAGTCACAGAGATAGAACACACTGCTTTTTCTTGGAGCTGGTGTCTCCTAGGTTCAGGCTTGTGGCATATGGGTTGAACAATTCAATAAAGTTTTCCAATGGTATAGGCCAACTGAACATACTTTTCTAAAGCACAATATTCTTCCAAAAATGGAAAGAAAAAATAAAGCCCAAACCAAACACACCCAAATCAGCTCACTTCTTTGGTGTGCCATGTAAAACATTAATAAAATTGCCTGCTGTGAAGATATTTGAATTTAAATCGTTGTCAGGTCTAAGTAGGGTTAGCTGCTTGAGAGATAATCAGCATTCTAACAAAGTACAAACATTATATACAAAGCACTAACACTATAATTAGTAAACACAGGTGCAACAACTTCTTGCTTCCTCTTCCTTAGATATATAGAGATTACCCGGGGAATAAGAATGACAGGATGGAAAAAAAATAGAAAACATGTAAGGAAATAACTTTATAAATAGTCAGAATACAGCTAGTTTTGCATCAAAATGACAAAAATAAATGCACATCTCTTTAAATATTATTTTATTTTGCAATATTTTATATACACGTAAGTATACAGGTATATAAAGTTTTAATAATCACTTGTTAGGCTTTACATAGCATTGCCTTTCATATGCACTTCAAACAACAATATACAATTCATTTCAAATATAAACCATGAGTTCCATTATAATAATATTAAAGAAAGAGTGAACAATTTAGGTGGGTCAGGGACATGGGAAGACTATATTTGAAGAGTAGTCTGATGTATTCCTGGGGAGGTTGAACAGGTAGAGATTTTAGAGGGAATATTTGTCCTCCACTCAACCAGGGCCTTATATACATACATTTTTCTCTGGAGCTTTGAGCATCAAATGAAAGGAGTGTAAGTAGGAGAAAATTCATGAGCTCTGACGTCAGACAGCCCTGGATTTAACTCCCGGCTCTGCTACTTACTAGCTGTATGAGTTTAGGCAAGTTACTTAAACTCGTTCAACTTCAGTTTCCTCATCTATAAAATGAGAGTTGTTAACACCTTCCTGGAAAGCTATTGTCAGGATCAAATAAGATAATGGTATTAAAGCACATAGGGCATAAGGAATGCTTCACCATTGGGCGCGGTGGCTTATGCCTGTAATCCCAGCACTTTGGGAGGCCGAGGTGGGTGGATCACTTGAGGTCAGGAGTTTGAGACCAGCCTGGCTAACATGGTGAAACCCTATCTCTACTAAAAATACAAAAAAAAAAAAAAAAAACCAGCTAGGTGAGATGGCACACACCTGTAATTCTAATTACTTGGGAGGCTGAGGCAGGAGAATCACTTGAACCAGGGAGGCGGAGGTTTCAGTGAGCTGAGATCACGCCATTGCACTCCAGCCTGGGCTACAGAGTGACACTTCATCTCAAAACACAAACAAACAAACAAACAAGCAAACAACAAAAAGGAATGCTTCACCAATGCTGTTTCATTTCCTCTCGCTTGTCTGTAGGTGTAGGAATCGGTGTCATTCAGGTTACCAAACAGGTTTCTCAGTCAGAGACAAGACAGCTTTAGCAGACTGGAATCCAATCTTTTCTATCTTGCTCTCTTTTTCCTCTCTTTTCTCTTCCTTTTTGTTTTTCATTGTAATAACAGTATGATTACATGGCCCTAATGGAAGATCTGATTCACTTCCAATGTTCCTTTTCCCTAACCCAAGAGTAAAACCTACAGTATTCACTTCTGGTAAAGAAACATTTTCTTAACTGTGTTTTTTTTTTTTTTTTTTTTTTTTTTTTGAGACAGAGTTTTGCTCTGTCGCCCAAGCTGGAGTGCAGTGGTGTGATCTTGGCTCACTGCAACCTCCGCCTCCCGAGTTCAAGCGATTCTCCTGCCTCAGCCTCCCGAGTAGCTGGGATTGCAGGCACCCACCACCACGCCCAGCTAATTTTTGTATTTTCAGTAGAGACAGGGTTTCACCATCTTGTCCAGGCTGGTCTGGAACTCCTGACCTCGTGATCCACTCACCTTGGCCTCCCAAAGTGCGGGGATTACAGGCGTGAGCCACCGCGTCTGGCCATTTTCTTAATTGTTAAGGGAAATTTATAATTCAGCCACACAAAGCTTAATTTTTCTTTTTTTAATTATTATTATTTTTATTATACTTTAAGTTCTAGGGTACATGTGCAGAACGTGCAGGTTTGTTACATATGTATACATGTGCCATGTTGGTGTGCTGCACCCATTAACTCATCATTTACATTAGGTATATCTCCTAATGCTATTCCTCCTGCCTCCCCCCACCCCACAACAGGCCCTGGTGTGTGATGTTCCCCTTCCTGTGTCCACAAAGCTTAATTTTTCTACCTCAGTGTGAGCATATGAAGGATAAAAGAACACTAAGGATGCTTGCTTTGAGGTTACTTAGGGTCAGTTAGATATTGTGCTTTTCTGTTTCTAAGTCTATATCCTCATCTATCCCAAAGTGATTGAGATTCATATAACAATTCTGTTGGTGTGGATTGGGATAATTCACTTCTACCTCATTGCTTCAATGTTGTGCCATTATGGGCTCCTGAGTGTACATGACTTTGTCAATGTCTGGATGAGTCTACTTGTTTTATACCTTTTATAGTGCCAGCTACACATTGGGGCATCCAGGAAGCAGTCAGTAAATTCTGAATGAGCAAATGATGAATGAATACTTTTAGAACAGTATTTCTTCAGTTTTTGAAACTTATGCTTTTTTTTTTTGTTTTGTTTTTTTTGAGAGAGAGTCTT
Organism: Homo sapiens; assembly: GCF_000001405.40. Lineage (NCBI taxonomy): Eukaryota > Metazoa > Chordata > Mammalia > Primates > Hominidae > Homo > Homo sapiens. The sequence goes on along the minus strand of NC_000004.12, from coordinate 108,562,293 downwards.
GCTCTGAGGCCCAGGGTGGAATGCAGTGGCATGATCTTGGCTCACTGCAACCTCTGCTTCCCAGGTTCAAGCAATTCTCCTGCCTCAGCCTCCCCAGTAGCTGGGATTACAGGCATGCACCACCATGCCCACCTAACTTTTGTATTTTTAGTAGAAATGGGATTTCAGGCCGGGTGAGGTGGCTCACGCCTTTAATCCTAGCACTTTGGGAGGCCAAGGTGGGCAGATTGGCTGAGCTCAGGAGTTCAAGACCAGCCTGGACAACATGGGAAAACTTTGTCTCTACCAAAAATGCAAAAATTAGCCTATTGTGGTGGCACACACCTGTAATTCCAGCTACTGGGGAGGCTGAGGCAGGAGGATCGCTTGAACTCAGGAGGCAGAGGTCACGGTGAGCCGAGATCATGCCACTGCACTCCAGCCGGGGCAACAGAGCAAGACTCTGTCTCCAAAACAATAAATAAATAAAATAAAAGGAAAAAAGAAACAGGGTTTCACCATGTTGGCCAGGCTGGTCTCAAACTCCTGACCTCAAGTGATCCACCTGCCTCAGCCTCCCAAAATGCTGGGATTCCAGGCATGAGCCAACACGCCTGGCTGAAAATTATGCTATCTTTTGATCAACAGCTCCCACACCCCAAATGTGATACTCTTCTACAGGGTCGCCTTCCAGTGATGATGAATTGTATTCTCCACCAGTTAAAACTTTCTAGTCTCTCCCACCCTAATTACACACTAAAAAAATACTACTGGACATGCTCTCTCCCACCCAAGGTTCTGCTATTTACCCCATTTCCAAGAGTATCTGCACCATTTTAGATCAGAGGCCCCAGAAAGGCAGGGACATTCCTATTTAAACATCTGCCATGCATAGACATATTAGGTACCAAATAAGTGCTTTTGATAATGACACAAATTGACAGCTTTGGGAAAGCTGTAGTGCCCTACCATCACCGATTACATTCAGTCATTCAAAACTGGATTTAAATCCAGACCTCCCACGTAGAGTCCCCATAGCCTAGTCTGAGATGGAATGCATGGCATTCTTCAACCTCTCTTCCTTAAATATCTGTCCAGATTATGCCCTTTCATGTGTTTTTGAAGTAAAAAAGAAAATCGTATCCTCTCCTAAAACTTTTCCTGACTCAGGCATTTAATATTATTCATGAAGACTAATGGCTGCAGTTTAATTATTTTAATGTTTCCAGCTCAAACTATAGAAGTCTAGGAACCAAATGTTTGGCCCATCGTAGCTAAAAGCCTGCCTATACTTTTCATGTGCACGACTGTAAAATGAAAAACAAGGAAAGTGGCTTGTAATTGTATAGCAACCAAACACATGGTTTTTCCCTTTCCTTTGGGATGAAAATGCCTTCCTGTAGAAACTAAGGTTATGCCCCTACTTCTGAAGCCCAAGGAGGGACACTTTGATGTGAAAGAGGATCCTGGCCAAGTAACGGATGCAGAAGCCAGTGTGGGAATAGGAGGAGCCTCCAGAAACAGGAAAAGGCATTGTCCCAGGGAGGGGTTATTTCATCCCACTCTGTCGTCATTCGGGCTGTCTGGTTTATTTCCTCCCCCAGATTGGTGTGAGTTGGAAGGACAGTCCTTTGTTAATGAGGTCAAGAACAAGACTGACCATTTTGTGAGGTGGTTAGGGCTGAACTTTCAGATTTCAGATTTTATAAGAAGTGACCGAGAAAAAAATTAATCTGGGCTTCATCTAAGCAACACCAAGGCAACTGGTTAGGAAGTGAGAAGTCCAGTCAATTGGTGTGGCTAAGCAACATCAAACACCTTGGTTTTTCTAAGGAAATATTTCAACATGCCAACAATTTAGGCTTTATGCAGATATAAGACTGAAATCCTGCCTGCAGCCAGGTTCCCTCAATAAAACTTGCTAAAATAAAAAAGATTTTATTTTAAGAGTTTCATATCACAAATGAATAGCTGCTGGTCAAAGCACTGATAAACACAAAGCAATGTATAGAGCTGGGAAAATCCCTGGGCTTGTTTTCTGGGACAGCATTAGCAATGCCCCCACGTGGGTTCCATCTTTCTTGGGGGCTTTCTCAGCACACACTTGTGTGTGCCCTGCAGCTCCTTGTGGGAATACTGATGCACGGGTCCTTGCAGAATCTTCAGCCAAACCTCTGTCAGCTGGGAGCAGCAGTATGGGAAAGAGTGGCCAAAGCTGGTTCCATCTGGCACAGGCCCGAGGCCTCTGGCCACATTATTTTCATTGTACTTAGCACTGAATGCTTCATAGTGCTTGAGAAGGCTTTGTCTTTATTAGTTTTCACAACAGTCCATGTTGTAGGATATCATTAATATTAGATTTCCCATTTTAGAGTTCAAGAAGCTGCTGATCAGAAGGCTTAAGGGACTTGTCCATCATCACCTGGAAAATGAGTATTTGACCCAGGATTAGATTGCATAAATACGGGTCTCCAATGGCTCTAATACTGCAGAGTCCACATAGAGTCTCTAATGGCTCTAACGGCTGCATAGTCCACATAGAGCATTGGGTCTCTAATGGGTGCATAGTCCACATAGAGCATTGCCATTTTCTCTGAGAACCTAAGGGAATACTTTTCTCATCTCGTAGGAACCCCTCTCTTCCCAGGGCCCAGGGAAGCCCCTCCCAGTCTTATCTCAGGACATGAACTGGGTCTGAACTGCTGGAGGCACTCTCTTAACCGAGGTTGGGCTCAGCTCAGCTCTCATTCTATGTCACACAAAAAGACCCACGAGGGTTTGAGATGAGCTGGGTTTTTTTTTTTTTCCTAATCTGCAATACTAGTACATAAAAACATAACCTTAGGGAGCATAAACTGAATAAGCCAAAGCTAATCTTTTAAAGCAATTCAATTTGATATGGCAAAATATGAGTCATCTTCCATGTGCAAGACCCAAGGATGAATGAAAACAGTCCTGACACTCCAGGAGTTCACACCCTTCCGAGGTAGACAAATGCACACACACTCATTTGCACTACAGGGTTCACTGCATAATTGTTACACAAGAAGTAGAAACTACATGTTAAGTGGGTCCAGAAGAGGAAGGAGACTCCGATTCTGACCAGGGATGTCTGGAAGCTTTCTCTGAGGAGATGGGAGGGGCCCTTGACAAGTCAGACTTGCAAAAGCAGAAACAGAGGTCCTGCGTGATTTGCCCAAGCTCAGAATGCATTTCTTCATCCATCATACCAAATAGCTTCAGAATCATTATCTGAATGTTACAAGGGAGATATGGTGTAGTGTAAAATTGAGATGATTTTTATTCTCAGCTCTATTTTGCTAAAAAAAAATTCCAAGAATAAGGCAGTGGCAGAAGTGACCCATTTTTCTCATTTTGCATAAATTTGATTTAAATTCTCACTACTGGGGACTTTAATAATAATAAGATTTATCCAGAGCCTTGCATCAGTGTTAAAGAAGGACGTTCATTCAGAGGAAAATTTTCAAAAAGATCAACCATGCATTGAAATCCATTTATGTTTCCTATGTTTCTAACTGGCGTTCCTTGAAATATTTGCTAATTGCTAAATTATTTTAGCCAAGATTAAATCCCCTGGTTTTTCTACTTATTTGAGTTAGTATCAAGTGAATAGATAAGGTGAAATCTATTTCCTCCACGGAAGTAGATTAAGAGGTTATAAACATAGGATTAGACTTAACTATAGTATTAAGCAGGAGAAACTGGTCATAATGTATGACAATGAGTTTTTTTCCATGTTCAAAAATAGTGTACTTGTCAAAGCACCGGGGCATTACACTGAGAGATGCTGCATAAATACTTTCTATTATTATCTCCCCTTTAAAAGTGATTTTCTGAGAAATCTCTAATACAAAAAATTTTTTCTGCTTAGACAGATATGTGTTCTTTGTTTTAAGGTATCTACTTGTTTGGAAATTTCTGCTTAAAACCAGTACCTTGAGGCTGGGTGTGGTGGCTCATACCTGTAATCCCAGCACTTTGGGAGGCTGAGGCGGGCAGATCACTTGAGGTCAGGAGTTCGAGACCAGTCTGGCCAACATGGTGAAACCCTCATCTCTACTAAAAATACAAAAAAATTAGCTGGACGTGGTGATGTGCACCTGTGGTCCCAGCTACTCGGGAGGCTGAGGCAGGAGAATTGCTTGAACCCAGAAGGCAGAGGTTGCAGTGAGCCAAGATTGCACCACTGCACTCCAGCTTGGGCAACAGAGTGAGATTCAAAAAAAAAAAAATCCAAAAAACAAAAACACCAGTACTTTGAGATAAGATATTGGGTACATGTGAATCTGACAGAGAGACTATATATTCAATTTTGTCCAAAAATCTTAAGTCACCTGATTATACACAGTATTGTGTACAGTGTTCTTCAGCTGAGAGCTGTACAACCCTAAGGTTAATGAATTCAGGCCGAGCTCCATGGCTCATGCCTATAATCCCACCACTTTTTGGGAGGCCGAGGCAGGAGGATCACTTGAGCCTAGGAGTTCAAGACCAGCCTGGGCAACATAGTAGGACCCTGTCTCAAAAAAAATTAAAATAAATACATAAAATTAATGAATTCAGTCATTTGATTAATCATTATTGAATACATATGATGCACCAGGCATTGTACTACATGCTAGTGCTTGCTTTAAAGAAGCCTACAGTTTTATAGAGTAGACAAACAAACAGTAAACATACAAACAACACTCACTGAATATGATGAAAACTCTATTTTCTTGAATAGAAATGGCACAGGTTATAAAATGCACCATTTAAAAAAATCACTTAGAAAAACTGTGGCCAATTAAACTATGACACAGTATTGATTATAAGATTCATTCCAACTTCAGATATGTTAAAATATGAAAAAAAAGTATATATCAGAATCAGCGAAATGCAGTACTCTCAAGGAAAAACAGGGCTGCGTTAGACTATCACAGGGAGATCTTTAAATAGGGATGGCCTCCACGCTGAGATACATTTTAGCTCGTACCTGAAGAATAAGAAGTTGGTCTCACTTCAGCCCAAGAGGAACGTTCCAGGCAGCAGGAAGAGCCTCAGGTCACAGAGGCATGTTTGAGGCACCTAAATTATATTTCACAGGTTTGGTAGCAGTTATCTTGGGGCTTCTTCCAAACCACCACTGTTTTTAATATAGAATTCTAAACCATTGAGGCATCTCCCTTTCCACATGGTCCTCTGCAGCTGTTGTAGCTTTCCTGCTGTTGTTGTGTGTTCTGCTTTCAGGCTGCTCACTGGCCCGTCTCCTCTCATGACTGCTGCTCTGGGAACCACCTCTCTGCTCTCCATCGCTACCACTCTAGCCTGTGGCCTGCTCCTGGTTGAAGAAGCCATCAATGAAAATGAATACCACTCTGGAAATCTTGGGTGGTCTGACCTGATATTTTCGCATAGTGGCCACAGATATTTTAGGCCCCCAAGAGGTAGTCTTACTCTTTCAATTTTACTGGCTCCACTGTTTGAGGAACTTGGAACAATTTCCCCAGGGACTGGTCTGGAGGTACTGTTGAATAACACCACGGTGTTTTTTTTCCTCTCCACCAAGGGCCCGTTGATGTCTCAAGACCAGACATAAAACTTTTGGTGCTCAAGTCACTCAGAATGAGAGTCCTGCTTTCCCTCAGCACTCTTGCCCTTTGAGGGTGGGGCCAAATGTTTTCTTCCTTTCTTACTGAGGACTTTTGATCCTGGTTTTTGATATTTGTCATTCCCAGGGGGAATTTTGTACCCTGTGTCTTGGTAAAGTGTAAGACCACTGTGGATTTTGGGGTTAAGTCTCATTTCCCTATCCCTCCCTTCAAGAGAAGAAAGAAAGAGAGAATACCCAAACCCTGCATCGTCTCTCACTCGCCTGTCCAGAGCCTATGGAACAGCCATTGGGGCAGCTGTCACAAGCTGTTCACACAGCTTTTCTGATATACTGACAGTCTCATGAGGAAGTGCATATAACTCCCTGCAATGGTTTGAATGTGTCCTCCGAAGTTTATGTGCTGGAAACTTAATACTCAATACAACAGTGTTGACAGGTGGGACCTTTAAGAGGTGATTAGATCACAAGGGCTCCGTCCTTATGAATGGATTAAGGTTATTGAGAGAGTGGGACGCTTATGCAAGCAAGTTTAGCCTCCTTCCTGTGTGCTCTCTCTCTCTTTCTCTCTAAAAAAGAATGGGAGTTATTAGATGCTTTTTTTCAAAAAGAACCCTGGCTCCTTATACTATCTCTACAATTTCTTTACATCCTATTCTAACTCCTCACATTCCATTCCTTCTTAATCTTACTTAACCTTACTATAGTTTTCATTTTCACCAAGATTTATAGTGACTCCAGCTAGTCAAAAACGATGGTTAACATTCTTTATGATTTCATCTTACTGACCAATTGGCATGTGGTTAACCACTCTTCCACTCTTAAAACACCCTTGGCTTCCCTGAGACCATGTTCTTTGGATTTTTTCCCATACCATTGGCTTTTGTTTCACTCCTTTGGGTTTTCTTTCTTTGCTCAACTCCTAAATTTTTGAGTACTCTATAGGCTTGATTTTGGTTTCTCTGTTTGTTTTCTGTCTTTATCCTCATTCTAGGCAATCTCATAACCACCAGAATTATGACAATTTCCAAATGTATTTCACTAGCCCCACTAAGATCCAAACTTACATATCCAACCTCCTCCTTAATATGAAATTTGATAGCTAATAATCATTTGAAACCAGAATTCTTGATTCCTCTCTCAAATCTGTTCTTGTCTTTATCATTTCAGTAAATGACATATCTACTTAGTTGTTCAAGCTAAAAACCTAGAAGTCATTCTTGATTCCTTCCTTTCTGTCACCCCTGTGTCCATCCATCAGCAAATCTAGTCAGCTCACCCTCCAAAATCAATCTCAAATCTGATTATCTCTTTTATTCTCTATCTTTACTCTCTTAGTCCAAATAATTGGCTGCAGTAACTATCTAACTGGTCTCCATGCTTCTATGTTTGCCCCCTTACAACCCATCCTCTACATAGCATTCAGGGTGATTTTTTAAGGAAAATGTAACTCAGCGCATGTCTATTCTCTATCATTTAAATTAAACAAAATTCGACTTCTTCACTTTGTGTGATTTGGTCTCATCACACAAGCTTTATCCATTTGAGATTTTGTTAATTTGTTATCAGGTGCAAAGATAGATCCTTTTATTCTTTAAAGGCAGATATAACTTTTCAAATACATCCTTTTACTTTCAACTAAACCCCAATTTTGCTGGCAAAAGAACACTGCTTTTCCTTTTTAGGAACTGGTTGTGGGCAGGTTTAAGGTACTGATAGGATGACCAGACATGTAGTGGAGAACCCCAGTGTCATTGCACAAATGCCAGCCTTCCCCATGTTCATGGCTGAGCCTAGTTAAAACTGTAGGGGAATTAAAGTTTTCTTCAGTGCACCAGCCATTTTTGGGGGGGTAATTATTGGGGGAAATGCTGTATCACTATCACCTGCCTCTCCTGCACTTATTTTGCAAAGTTTATAGTGCTTTCTTCTAGGCCTCCATAAAAATTTGTTCTCACAATTTCTGTGTGTGAAATGTGAACCCAAAAGTATCTGAGACAGGTCTTGATCAATTTAGAAAGTTTACTTTGCCGAGGCTAAGGACACACCCGAGACACAGCCTCAGGAGGTCCTGACAACATGTGCCCAAGGTGGCAGGGTACAGCTTGCTTTTATACATTTTAGGGGGACATAATAATACATCAATCAATAGATGTAAGATTTACAGCGGTTCAATCTAAAAAGGCAGGACAACTTGAAGTGGGGACTTCCAGGTCATAGGTAGATTTAAAAATTTTCTGATTGCCAATTGATTGAAAGAGTTTTTATCAGTAGAAAACAAAGTCTGGGTTGTGATAAGTGGTTGTGCAGTCCAAGGTTTTATCATGCAGTCGAAGCCTCCAGGTAGCAAGTTTCAAAGAGAATACATTGCAAATGTTTCTTATCAGACTTAGGGTTTGTGTTGATGTTAAATGCTGGTCAGCTTTTCCTGAATTCCAAAAGGGAGGACGGCATAATGAGGCATGTCCAATCCGCCATTCCCGTCATGGCCTGAACCAGTCTTTCAGGTTATCTTAGGAGTGCCCTGGCCAAGAGGAGGGAGTCCATTCAAATGGTTGCGGGGGTCATAGAATTTTATTTTTGGTTTACAGAAATAATCTGTAAAAATGTATTAAAAATAACAAAGCAAACAGTTTGCATTTGTTTTTAAAAGATAGTCATGCCTTGTGGCATGTAATACTTGTAATCCCAACACTTAGGGAGGCCAAGGTGGGAGGAACACTTGAGGACAGGAGTTCAAGACCAGCCTGGGCAACATACTGAGATCTCATCTCCAAAAATAACAGAAATAAAAAAAAAAATTAGCCAGGCATAGCAGCATGCACCTGTAATCCCACCTCCTCAGGAGGCTGAGGTGGGAAGATCTCTTAAGCCTAGGAGTTTAAGGTTACGGTGAGCTATGATGGCACCACTGCACTCCAGCCTGGATGACAGACAAGAAAGAAAGAACAAAAGAAAGAAAGGATGAACAAAAGAAAGAAGTGGGGAAGGAAGGAAGGAAAGAAAGGAAGGGAAGGAAATAGTTCATTTGACAAAGACTCCCTTATTGAGCAAATGTAGTCAGGCTCCTCTGAGCCCTCCTTTGACTAGACTTTCTCTTTGGCCCAATCTTTGGCTTGCCAAGTCTAGTTTTAGCTTTGGATACTGCTTAGCCAGTTTATAGAGAATCCCACCACCTTTGATATCTAATCAAGCTCTCCTCCCTACCCTTGATGTCTAATCAAGTTCTTCTCCCCCAATGTTGTTGATACCTAACCAAGTCCCTCTTTAGTATGTTTCTATCCAATGACTCCCTCATCATGCCCCTTGAATATATATTCCCACTTATCCCTGTTGTATTTATTTATTGATTGATTTTTGAGGTAGGGTCTCACTCTTGTCACTTAGGTTGTTATCCCTGTTGTATTTAGAATTGAGTTCAATCTCTCTCCTCTATTGCAATAGTCTTGAGTAAAGTCTTCCTTGCCATTTTTAACAAGTGTCTAGTGCAAAATTTCTCTTCAATGTGTTGATTCTATGCACCTCTTTTTCATTTTTAAATTATCATTAATTCTCCCCCGATCCCCCACAGTATAAATCTTCTCTTCTCACTATGTTCTGACACATTAATTATTTAAGCAAGGTTATTATTATTTTAAAAATCATAGACATCTATCTATTCCTTGATCTCTGTTCTTAGAGCGGCTTCACAGTTGTAATCCTGATATCTCTTTCACATTGCATTTTGGGGATTCTTTTTGCCTTTCTCTTATGTAGGATTCCCCTATTTAGTTCCGCTGTCTTCTTCTTTTTAATTTTTTTAAACAAATTTTTGGGATACATGTGAAATTTTGTTACATGTATGTAATGCACAGTGATCAAGTTGGGGTATTTAGGATGTCCATCACCTGAGTACAACACATTTTTTGTTAACTATAGTCACCCTACTCTGCTATCAAACATTGCATTTATCTCTTCTATCTAATTGCATGTTTGTACTCTTTAACCTATTTCTTTTCATTCTTTCTCCTTCCCCCAGTCACCTTTCCCAATCTCCATTATCTCTTTCCACTCTACCTCTAGGTGATCAAATTTTTTAGCTTCCACATGTAAGTAAGTACATACAATATTTATCTTTTTATGCCTGGCTTACTTCACTTAATATAATGATCATTCATGTTGCTGCAAATGACATGATTTCATTCTTTTTTTATGGCCAAATGGTATTCCACTGTGTATATTTACCACATTTTCTCTACCTATTCATCCATTGATGGGTATTTAAGTTTGTTTCATGTATTTGCTATTGTGAATAGTGCTGCAATAAAAATGCAAATGCTTTGTATCCCTTTGATCTATTGGTTTCTTTTGGATAGATACTTGGTAGTGGGGCTGCTGGATTGAATTCTGTTTTTAGTTTTTTGAGAAATCTCCATACTGTTTTTCATAGTGGCTGCACCAGTTTACATTCCCAGCAACAGAGTATACAACTTCCTTTTTCTCCACATCCTCACCAACATCCATTTTTTTTTTGTCTTTTTAATAATAGCCGTTCTGACTGGGGTGAGATGATGTCTCATTGTGGTTTTGATTTGCATTTCTCTGATGGATTAGTGATGTTGAGCATTTGAGCATTTTTTCATATACCTGTTGGCCATTTGTAGGTTGTCTTTTGAGAAATATCTATTCATGTGCTTTCCCCCACTTTTTTTTTTTGAGACTGAGTCTCGCTCTGTCACCAGGCTGGAGTGCAGTGGTGAGATCTTGGCTCACGGCAACCTCCGCCTCTCGGGTTCAAGCAATTATCCTGCCTCAGCCTCCCGAGTAGTTGGGACTACAGGCGCACCACCACACCCAGCTAGTTTTTGTATTTTTAGTAGATGGGGTTTCAGCATGTTGGCCAGGATGGTCTCTATCTCTTGACCTCGTGATCTGCCTGCCTTGGCCTCCCAAAGTGCTGCGATTGCAGGCATGAGCCACTGCGCCCAGCCTCTCCCACTTTTTAATGGAATTATTTGTTGCCTTTTATTCCTGTTGAGTTGTTTGAGTTCCTTGTATATTCTGGATATTAGTCCCCTGTTGGATGAAGTTTGCAAATGTTTTCTCCAAATCAACAGGGTGTCTCTTCACTTTGTTAATTATTTCTTTTTTGTGCAGAAGCTTTTTTTGTTTAATTAAGTCCCGTGTGTCTATTTTTATTTCTGTTATCTATGCTTTTGAGGTCTCAGTCATACATTCTTCGCCTAGACCAATGCCCAGAAGAGTTTTCCCTAGGTTTTCTTCTAGTATTTTTATAGTTTTAGAGCTTGTGTTTAAGTCTTTAATCAACTTCAAGTTGATTTTGGTATGTGGTGAGAAATAGGGGTCCAGTTTCCTTCTTCTGGAATGTGGCTATCCTATTTTTCCAGCACCATTTATTTAAGAGATTGTCCTTTCTCCAATATGAGTTCTTGGTGTCTTTGTCAAACATCAGTTGACTGTAAGTGTGTGGCCTTATTTTTAGGTTCCCTGTTCTGTTCCATTGGTCTATATGCCTATTTTTATACCAGTATGATGCTGTTTGGGGTATTATAGCCTTGTGGTATATTTTGAAGTCAGGCAATGTGATGCTTCCAGCTTTGTTCATTTTGCTCAGGATTGCTTTGGCTCTTGGGTTCTTTTTTGATTCCACATGCATTTTAGGACTGTTTTTTCTAGTTCTGTGAAAAATGATGGGATGTTATCATTAAAATTGCATTGAATCTGTAGATTGCTTTGGTCCATATGGTCATTTTAACAATTTTAATTCTGATTCATGAGCTTGAGATGTTTTTCCATTTGTTTGTATTATCTTCAATTTCTTTCATCAGTGTTTTGTAGTTTTCCTTGTAGAGATCTTTCACCTCTTTGGTTAAATATATTCCTAGGTTTTTATTTCTTTCTTTGTTTTTGTAGCTATTGTAAATTGGAATGCCTTCTTGATTTCTTTCTTGGCTAGATCATTATTGATGTATAGAAATACCACTGATTTTTGGGCATTGATTTTGCATCCTGCAGCTTTACTGAATTCATTAATCAAATCTAAGAGTTGTGTGTGTGTGTGCACGCGTGTGCATGTGTGTGTGTGTGTGTGTAGTCTAGTTTTTTCTAGGTATATCATATCAATAGCAAAGAGGGACAATTTAACTTCCTCTTTTCCATTTTGGATGCTGTTTATTTTTTTCACTTGTCTGATTGCTCTGGTTAGGACTTCCAGCACTGTGTTGAACAGGAGTGGTGAAAGTGAGCATACTTGTCGTGTTCTAGTTCTTAGAGGAAAGGCCTTCAACTTTTCCACATTCAGTATGCTGCTAGTTGTGGGTTTGTTGTATATGGCCTTTCTTATTTTGTGGTATGTTCCTTCTATACATAGTTTGTTGAGAGTTTTTTTTGTTAATCATGCAGCCATGTTGAATTTTATTAAGTGATTTTTCTGCATCTATTGAGATGATTATGTAGTTTTTGTCCTTCATTCTGTTGACATGATATATCATGTTTATTGACTTGCATATGTTGAACCATTGTTATATCCCTGGTATAAATCTCATGTGATCATGGTATATTATCTTTTTGTTTTTTGTTTATTTGTTTGTTTGTTTGAGACAGGATCTCCTTATGTTGCCCAGGCTGGAGTGCAGTGGTGTGATCTTAGCTTATTACAGCCTCAACCTTCTGGGCTCCAGCAATCCTCCCACGTAAGCCTCCTGAATAGCTGGGACTACAGGTGGATGCCAACACACCTGACTAATTTTTGTATTTTTTGTAGAGATGGGGTCTCACTATGTTGCCCATACTGGTCTTGAACTCCTGGGCTCAAGTAATCCTACCACCTTGCCTTGGCCTCTGAAAGTGCTGGGGTTACAGATGTGATAATCCAATAGCAAATCCAACAGCACATCAAAAAGATAATACACTCTGCCAGGCCCTGGGGTATTATCTTTTTGATGTGCTGTTGGATTTGGTTTGCTAGTATTTTGTTGAGGATTTTTGTGTCTATGTTTATCAGAGATATTGGCCTGTAGTTTTCTTTTTTGTTGTCTCCTTGTAGTTTTGATATTAGGGTGATGCTGACCTCATAGATGAGTTAGGAAGAATTCCCTCCTCTCTGATATTTTGAAATAACTTCAAGAAGATTGATATTAGTGCTTTGTACATTTGGTAGAATTCAGCTGTAAATCTATCTGGTCCTGGGCTTTTTGTTGTTGTTGTCTTACTCATTCAATCTTACTACCTGTTATTGGTTTGTTCAGGTGTTCTATTTCTTCATGATTGAATCTGGGTAGGTTGTATGTTTTCAGGAATTTATCTGTATCTTACAGGTTTTCCAGTTTGTCAGTGTATAATTGTTCATCGTAGTCTCTGATGATCTTTTGTATTCCTGTGATGTCAGTCGTAATGTTTCCTTTTTCATTTCTGTTTTTGTTTGGATCTTCTTTCTTCTTGGTTAGTCTAGCTAGTGGTTTATCAATATTGTTTATTTTTTTGAAGAACCAACGTTTCATTTTGTTAATCTTTAGTATTTTTTTAAGTCTCTATTTCATTTAGTTCTGTTCCAATCTTTATTATTTCTTTTCTTCTGCTAATTTTTGATTTAATTTGTTCTTGGTTTTCTAACTCCTCAAGGTGCATTATTAGAATGCTCCTTTGTAATTTTTCTACCTTTTTGGTGCAGGCATTTAGTCCTATAAACTTCTCACTTAGCACTGCTTTTGCTGTATTCCACAGGTTTTGGTATGTTTGATATTTATGTTTCATTTGTTTCAAGAAATTTTTTGATTTCTGTTTTGATTTCCTCATTGGCTCAATGGTCGTTCAAGAACATGTTGTTTAATGTCCTTGTATTTGTCTAGTTTTGAGAGTTTCTCATGATATTGATTTTTAGCTTTATTCTATTGTGATCTGAGAAAATACTTGATATGAACTTGATTTTTAAAAATTTTCTGAGACTTATTTTGTGGCCTTACATATAGTCTGTCTTGGAGCATGTTCCATATGCTAATGAGCAGAATGTGTATTTGGCAGTTGTTGGATAGAATGTTCTGTAAATGACTAAATAAAGCCTACTTTAAGTTCAATTTTTTGTGTCAATTTTCTGTCTAGATAAGCTGTGTAATGCTGAGAGTGGGGTGTTGGGAAATCCCCCACTATTCCTGTACTACAGTCTATCTCTCTCTTTAGATATAGGAATATTTGCTTTATGAATCTGGGTGTTCCAGCCTTGGGTGCATATATGTTTAGAATTGTTGTATTCTCTTGCTGGATTGACTTTCACTAACATATAATTATCATCTTTGTCCTTTCTTTTTTTTAACTGTTCTTGACTTAAAGTCTGTTTTATCGGATATAGCTGCTCCTACTCACTTTCGGTTTCCATTTGCATGGAATGTCTTTTTTCATCCCTTTGCTTTCAGTCTATATGTCTTTACTAGTGAGATGAATTCCTCAAAAGCAGCATATAGCTGAATCATTTAAAAAATATCAATTCAACCATTCTGTATCTTTCAATTGGATAATTTGATCCATTTACATTGCTATGTGAGGTTTTGTTCCTGTCACATTGCTAATTGTTTTCTGATTTTCAATATATTCTTTGTTAATTTTTTTTTCTGTTATTGTTTGTCATTGTGGTTTGGTGGGTTTCTGTCATGGTACCATTTGAGTCCTTTCCTCCACTGTGTGATTTCTTTACCAGTGAGATTTACAGTTTGATGTGTATTCATGATGGCAAATGACATTCTTTTGCTTCCAGGTTTAGGATGGCCTTGAGCATTTCTTGTAGAGCTGGTCTAGTGGTAATGAATTCCCTCAGCATTTGCTTGTCTAGGAAAGACTTTAATTCTTCTTCATTTACAAAGGATAATTTTGCTGGATCTAATATTCTTGGCCCTGACCCATGTTCAATTTCTGATATTCTTTCTTCTGCTCAATCTAGTCAGTTGATGAAGTTTTTAGATGTATTTTGTATTTCATTCAATGAACTATTCACTTCCAGAATTTCTGTTTGGTTCTTTTTAAAAATGTCTATGTCTTTAGTAAATTTCTGATTCATATTCTGAACTGTTTATCTGACTTCTTCAAGAATTCTCTTGTATCTCACAGAGCTTCTTTAAAATCAGTATTTTGAATTCTTTATCTGGAATTTTATAAATTTATTTATTTTTGAGATGTCATTCTGTTGCCCAGGCCAGGGTGCAGTGGTGTGATCTCAGCTCACTGCAACCTCTACCTCCCAGACTCAAGCAATTCTTCCTGCCTCAGCCTAACAAGTAGCTGGGATTACAGGCACCTCCCACCATGCCCAGCAATTTTAAAAAAATTTTTAGTAGAGATGGGGTTTCACCATGTTGGCCAGGCTGGTCTCAAACTTCTGGCCTCAAGTGATCCACTGGCCTTGGCCTCCCAAAGTGTTGGGATTACAGGCATGAGCCCTGAGCCCAGCTTATAAATTTCTTTTTGATTGGGATATGTTGCAGGAGAATAATTATGTTCCTTGCGAGGTTTCATATTTCCTTGCTTTTTTATGTTGATATTTGTGTATCTGGTGTAACTGTTGCTTCTTCCAATTTTTTGAAATTGCTTTCTTAGGGAAGGACTTTCTCCTGAAGGTGTATATAACGTTGTTGGTTGGGTAGGGCACTTTGGCTTTTCTTTTGGGAGCATGCAGTATTGTAATTTCTGTATGACTTCTTTGGCTATAAACAGTATCAGTGGTATCTGTGATTTACTCAGTGGCTTATGATGTGGTTATTATTTGAGACTGTGATGAAGTTTTGCTGGGGAGTAGGATGCCATGGGCCAGTCACCAGGTCTCAGTGGTGGTAGTGGTGAGCTTAGCATGCCTGTTCTTTGGCTTCAAGGCAGCTTGTGCCGGCACTGGTGTTATTGGGTCCAGGAGGGTTGATCCTTGCCTCTAGGTGGCTTGGGAGGGTGCTGGTAATGCCAATGGCGGGGGAGGGGGGGTTGCTGGGCATGTGAGCAAGTTCTTGGGCCCTTGGAAGCTGGTGTGATATGGGTGATGGCAGTGGCGGTGATGGAGCATCCCCATTGGAACCCACACTGTGGCCTGTGAGAAAGCCCAAACTAAACCTGTGAAAGACTATGTGGAAAGAGAGAAATGCCCAGCAACCCCCAAGCTGTTCAACTCACCCATCTGAGATAATAGACATTGAGAAATAGAGACAATCTGTCTCCTCTGTGCTCCATCCAAATTCTTGGAATCAAAAGATATAGTTGCTACAAGTCACTAAGTTTTGAGATCTTTTCCATGAAGCCACATAAAACTGTAACATTTAGGAAATAATTTGAGACCTTGAATGTCTTGAAATGTCTTCTATTTATCACTTATTTAATAGTTTGGATGGATATAGAATTCTTGATTATTAGATTTTTTCTTCAGAACATTGAAGGTATTGTTCTGTCGTCTTCCAGCCATTAGACACCTCAGTGGCATAGAAAAAGGCACATATTACTTCAGAGATTCTGAGGGTTTTCTGAGCTATGTGATAGAAAATGAGGCAGAGATCAAGTATATATTTCTTATTATAATATTGCACTCTAGTTCCTCCATCTACTTCCTAGTTTTCAAAATTGTGTTGTTCTATCCCTCTACTACTGTCATTCTCTTGTAGATTAATTCCTTCTTAAACCATCTACTATAATATTAATAGGATTAGGGGAAACAGTGGTTGTAATTGTGTGTGCAGGTAACCTGTATTTCTGTTTTGTATGCTGTATTATTTAGAATTATTTGTTTCACATTGTCTCCCCTGTGAAATTGTAAACTCCATGATTAGGGACCATTTTCTTTTTCACTACTGTATCCTCATCTCCTAGCACAGTGCCTGGCACGTAGTCGTTATTTAATAAACACCTCTTAAATAAATGAATAGAGAAATGCCCGAGGCAGGAGACAGGAAAGGTGACAGGGACAGACACATCAAAATAAAACATTATAATATCCCTCATCATTTTGTCTAGACCAGTGGTTCTTAAAAGAGGGTGACTTTACCACCCAGAAGACATTGGTAATGTCTGAGGACATTTTTGATTACCAAAATTAGAAGGTGGGACAGTTTGCTATTGACATCTAGTGAGCAGTGTCCAGGGATTCTGCTAAACATCTTACAATGCACAGCTCAGCTCCCTGCAACAAGGAATTATACACTCTAAATGTCAGTAGTGCTGAGGCTGAGAAACCCTGGTCTAGACCAAGCTCTAATATATAGCTAATATTTATAATTTGGTATTTCTTAAATACGTGGCCCATTTTCAAAATACCACAAGCGTGGGTCAAAACTTCTATCTATATGCCTTTTTTGGTGTATGGGCTCGGTGGAGAAGTACTAGGTTTGAGTATCCTATGGCTCACCCCTTTATAGCAGTTCATTTTACATATTCCCCACCTTTTTTTTGAAAGCTAGGATTAGTGGATAAGGAAAAGAGTAGGAAAGAAATCCACAGAGTCCCTACTTAATTCATTAATTTTCTTCCTACCTTCAGTTGTAAGTAGATTTAATGGTGTCTTACATTGTTTCTCAGCTGTTCCCCTATCTTCTCAGAGAAAAGTGCCTACCAGGCTGTTCACAATAACCAAACAGGGTAATCATAGCACTCTAAGACTAGAAGGGGCCTCGTTTTAAGATAAAGTAATTATGCCTTATGTAGCTAGCTCAATACAGAACTAGAATAAAAATTTGGGTTTGTACTATAAGGTAGCTGTATTCTGTTGTAGCATGTTCTTCGAATTAAAAACAGCAGCCACAAAACTCTGTTGACCTCACAAATCTATCTTCAACAACGCAGTGAATAAAATGCTTACCCTATTCTACTTTCATAAAAACTGAAATCACCTGGGGCGACCATTCCATGTTATCCAACCATACCAAATGCTACACCACAGACAGTTGATTATGACCTTGCAGAGAAAGCATGGATTTGTAGTTATACGTTGTGACATGCAGCACATTTGGGAGTCTTGCGTAAGCTATGTTTTGATGACAGCTATGTTTGCAGAATGAATTCATTCAGGCTAAACTCAGCAGTTAGTCATGGTTGGTTATTTAATGCTTTACTACTCCCCAACTCCACCTCACTCTTCCAAATTCATCATTTAAGTCCAGACAAAGTTGGCACAAAAGGGAAGTTGCGCCTTCTCCTCTGCAGTTCTTGTTCCACTAATGACTTGCTATAAATTCAAAGCTAACCATTTTGCTTTTGTTACTCTCTCTCTAGAAGCTGGATAATAATATGGCCTCCTTCCTCATTTTCTTCTCCCAGAGTTTTTTTTTTTTTTTACATGAAGTGGAGTGCAGTGGCACGATCTGAGCTCACTGCAACCTCTGCCTCCTGGGTTCAAGCGATTCTCCTGCCTCAGCCTCCCGAGTAGCTGGGATTACAGGCGTGTGCCACCACACCTGGATAATTTTTTTGTATTTTTAGTAGAGACGGGGTTTTGCCATATTGGCCAGGCTGGTCTCGAACTTCTGACCTTAGGTGATCTGCCTGCCTCAGTCTCCCAAAGTGCTGGGATTACAGACATAAGCCACTGCACCTGGCCTTCTGCCAGAATTTCCGAAAGCCCGTAACACAAAAGTTCTTTGACATCTTCAGATAAATGAAAGCCCTGAACCAAATCCATGTAGTCTCTGACTGCTTCTCCCTTCACAGCTCTGTATCATGAGAGTTCAGTCATTCCTTTCTTTTCTCACCTTGCCTAAAGGTGTCCTCTTCCTCCAGGCTCTGCAGTACTTCTCTAAGCCCGAATATTTAACCACACTTCTGGGCTGGGTTTTTTAACAGAAGTCACTCAGCCTTCTCATTGGGCCACAGACTGGAGTGGATAATCCGCCATCATCTGTGACCACGGAATAGCTTTTAAGCTCCTTTCATCGCCAAGAGGGAGCCTGGATACTGGCTGCTTTTCTATCAATCCCCCGCTGAGCACTTCCTCCTTCCTCATTTATGTTCATTTTCTTGTATTATTTATGTACGTTACTTTTCTCCACTAAATGTAGTTCCTTGAGGACAGGACTCTATCCACAGAATCGCCATGACAGCCAACTCTATGGTTTGTCCCTAATGGATTTAATTAGTATTTGTGCTAGAGTGATAGGGGAAGTTATAGCAGATGTGCTCTATGCCCTGGTCCTTATTTCCCTTTTTACCTTATTTATCTGGTGACTTCCTATTTATGTAGCTAGATCAGGGGGCATTCATTTCTTTAGGGGTTTTCAATGATGAGATCAGAAAGGAAAAAATGCAAATTCTTGCAAAATAAATTTAACATCACATTTTTGTCCTAAATATTAAAATGGGAAAAATTTTTAAGGATAAGCAAATAGGTAGAATCATTTTTTCTCCTTCCTCCACACTTTCCCTACCAGGTCAAGATCCCAGCAACTAAAGATAAAGAGTGTGGGAGGAGCAAAACAGTTTAAGAAATTAGTCTGGCCAGGAGCAATGTCTCATGCCTGTTACCCCAGCATTTTGGAAGGCCAAAACAAGAGGCTCACTTGAGGCCAGGAGTTCAAGACCAGCCTGGGTAACATAGTGAGACCTTGTTTTGATAAATTTTTTTTTTTTCAGTTAGCCAGGCATGATGGTGTGAGCCTGTAGTCTCAGATCTTCAGGAGGCTGAGTGGGGAGGATTGCTTGAGCCCAGGAGTCTGAGGTTACAGTGAGCTATGATTGCACCACTGCACTCCAGCCTGGGCAACAAGGTGAGATCCTGTTTGTAAAATGAAAAAGAAAAGAAAGACATTAGTTTGTCTGTGGACCTTGTCTCCTGCCCCAACCCCCAGAGAGCTTAAGGATATCCCTGATCTGAGTTCACCTGGTCTTTCTGATCTCTTCTGGAACTCATCTATGACTTAGAGAAAGAGGATAGAGATAGCATTGAGGGTAGAAGGAGCACAGTGAGTGCCTGTGACAGTTCAAGGTTCTTTGGGGAGCCCAGAGGACTATAGATGACTGATCTTCTGGTTCTGTAAGAAAGTCCAAGAAAATAGGGACAGAAGGAGAGGTGAAAAAGGAGAGAGAGTGGGGGAGAGGGGAAGATGAAAGGGGAGAGAGAGAGAGACAGAGAACCCACTACCCAGGAAACACATAGAAGGAAAAGGGGAAAGAAATAGAGAAAAAGGAGAGAGAAGAAAAGGAGAAAGGGAGAGAAAGAAATGGATTACCTTCTTTACCTGGCTTGAGTTGAGATTTTCTACAAACCAGGAAAGGGTCGTCCGAGAGATATGTAGTAAGTAGATCAAAACTGTTTCGTAGACCTGAAACAATTGGTTGTCAGCAATATTGTATCATTTAACCTAATATCACAGGCAAGGCTGCATGGTAACTTTCAGGAGCAGTAGGCACTTCCTCCTTAGAAAAAAAGTAAAAAGTATATTTTATGACCAGGTTAGAATAAAGGTGAATGTATTAACATTACCCATTAAAACATGTTCTTTGACCTAAAACTTTATTTTTTCCTCCGGATTTCTAAAGAAATAAAAATCTGTCCATGGGCCCTAAACATATTGTGAGTCTCTAGTCGCTGTGCCCTTTGTGCCTGCTGGGGATATTGGCCCTGGCAACAGGATGAACATGGACCACTGGAGCCTGGAATTCTGCCACTGAGAGATTCCCCGGGAGCATGGCTTTCTTTTCTTTCCTGGGTTCCGTGGATTCTCTCCTTCTCCTGAGGTATGGTATGCTAGTCCCTCTTGCATTCCTATAAAGAAATACCTGAGGCTGGGTAATTCATAAAGAAAAGGGGTTTAATTCACTCATGGTTCTGCAGGCTGTACAGGAAGCATAGCAGCAACATGGGCTCGACTTCTGATGAGTGCCTCAGGAAGCTCACAGTCATGGTGGAAGGTGAAAAGGGAAGCCAGCATATCACATGGTGAGAGCAGGAGCAAGGGAGAGAAGGGGGAGGTCCTAGACTTTTTTTTTTTTTTGAGACAGGGTCCCACTCTGTCACCCGGGCTGCAGTGCAGTGGTGCAATCATGGTTCACTGCAACCTCAACCTCCTGGACCCAAGCAATCCTCCCACCTCAGCCTCCCAAGTAGCTGGGACCATAGGTGGGTGCCACCATGCTCAACTAATTTCTTTTTTGTTTTTGTAGAGACAGGATCTCACTATGTTGCCCAGGCTGGTCTCGAACTCTTGGACTCAAGTGATCCTCCTGCCTTGGCCTCCCAAAGTGCTGGAATTACAGGTGTGAGCCATTGAACTTGGCCTCCAGACTCTTTTAAACAACCAGATCTTAAGTGAACTAACTGAGCAAGAACTCACTCATCACCAAGGGGATGGCACTAAGCCATTCATGAGGGATCTGCCCCCATGATTCAATACCTTCCACTAGGCCCCACCTCCAACATTGGAGGTCATGTTTCAACATGAAATTTGGAGGGGACAAACATCCAAACCATGTCATATAGGTTTCTCCTGCATTGGCCTTTACACAGGTAAATAAATGCCTCTAATCTCGAACCCCAATCAGAAAGTCCCTCATGTCATTAGTAAGGATAATTCCATTTCAACTGGGAACTAATTGTAAATGCAGGGCTTTCATGCTGCTATGTATATTAGCTTGACAATCCAATTGAGAGCTGCCCACTCTAATATTAAAAAACAAGCAAAACCTCAAAGCATCACTCTCACCATATGGATACAGAGCTCCTGACCACCATGCACATTGTGGCTAGTGACCAGGGAAGGGAACTAAAAGCTCGTCTTCATTGTTGGGTGCATTCACATATTGGCAAGCTTGCAGAACTCCCACCCATTTCCTTCTCCACTTATTGCCCTATTAAGACTGTGGCAGAAAACACATCGGATCCTGCTCTGAAAACCACAGGGGCTCATAGGAGTGAGTGACATTTTATTTCTCTGCCTTTCAGGAATTAGCCTCCTTACTGTCAGACCAGCCACAGAACTTCCTCCCACTTATCCCTTAGATGTCAACTACCCACACTTCAAATCACCCTGGAGACTGATGTGACTGGGATGATTTGACTGCATGTAGGTCAGAGCTGCCTCCAGGCAACTTGTGGGGCCAAGGCTCTGTGGCTAGAAGGAAGTGAGCATTAATACATCACTTAGAACAGCAAAAATCATCATCTGAAGATCATCATCTGAAAAGATCAGCATCAGAAGAGCTGTGAATATCACCGATCTGATAATTGGGTATTTTTGGTAAAACACACACACACACACACACACACACACACACACACACACACGCACAGATGCACACAGCCCTGCTTTTATGAGAATTGAGCTTAAATAGATGTGGGTGGAGGTTTTACTGAACTGGATATTTCTTAACTTTTGGAGTACAACACCTAGTCTCCTAATTCCTGTCCTGCATAGCGTGCTTACACAGTATTTTAAAATTAGAGATAATTAAATTTGATTTTGTTTCAATAATTATTTTGACAGTTTTAAAATATCTTTTGGAATTGTTTGTACCATTCCAGTCCTTTTCAAATCCAAGACTGAAATGAATTTTTCTAGCTATTTATCCCATCTTTGAGTTAAGAACATAGGTCCTTGCGTTTCAGTTTAATAGGTGATTCTTTAAAATTTGTTTATTTATTTAGAAGCAGGGTCTCACTATGTTGCTGGCTGGTCTTGAACTTCTGGGGTCAAGTGATCCTCTCACCTCAGCCTCCCAAGTAGCTGGGATTACAGGTGTGAGCCACTGCACCTGGCTCTAATAGTTGATTTTTGAAACCATATGGAACATTTCAAGTTAATAAAAATTTTTAATTAAAAAATATGTGCACAATTCACAGATGATCAGTCTTTTGGAATTATTATAGAATATTTTTGACAATAAAACTATGCTGAACTCAATCTTTTCTTAATGATTATGAAGATATTTTCTGATTGCAAAACTATGAAAATTAATGGTCATTGTGATATTGTTGTGAGTCTAGGTCAATGTGGAGTTCTGGAGACAGAATAATACCTAAAGTAGATCTGTTTTTTACTTTGGGAACTGATTATAACACCTGGAAATTATGTGTTATATTATTTAATTAAATGAGACAATGTATATAAATAAACCAAGCATTGGGGCTTGGCACATAGTATTTTTCAGTCAATGAGAGAAGAGTTTGAATATGAAATTTTTTATGCACTGGGGAGTAACTTCCTAGATCTATTTCTCTATGTACTTCCTCTCTGTCAATCTCACTCATTCAACAATACTTACTAAGCATATACTATTAATATTATATTGCATTGATTCTAAATCAGACACATAGTCACATTTTATTAACTCTAAAACTGTGATCAGTTTTAACATTGCTGGTGGCTTACAAATACTGTCAGCTAGAAGCAATCATGATGTACTAGTTGGCTATTCTTTTTGGTGGCACAATTGGATAACTGAGCCCCTTCGTGTTTCTGTCAACTGACGTTTATGTTTGAGGAAGGCACATGAATCAGGGCCATTGTTTGAAATCTAACCTTTGGCAAAAATCGGTAAGGAACTAGCCCTCAAACTTGCCTAATGGTAGGTGTCAGCGGCTTGGATGAAAATTCCCAGGGATAATAGAGGAGTACTCTTTTAAGAAATAGTGTAGCACCAACACTCTAGATGGTACAGAAGATGGATACTGTGGGAAAGTCAGGGACACTGATCACTCTATTTGAAAGGTAATTCAGCAAATTTAGACTCACACATATAAAGAAGTTTAGAAAATTGAACCAATTACTTTTGTTTATATTTTTCTTTTTATGTATGTGTAAGAGATAAGATAAATATCTGTGACTAAATATGTCTCTTATACCAAATAGAAAAATATATCCAAGAAGAAATTATAATGTCATTGTTTTATTAAGCATTATGTCATGCTTTTTGGAGGCATTTCCACCCTTTTTTATCTTTCTTAATGGTATATAAAATTGCAGTGCATTTCACCATCAGTGGTTCATTGGATTCGGTGAAGTCTAAGTAACTGCTGGACCTTGCGTTAGGCTTTTTAGATACAATTAATTAAGCAAATATTTATTTATTTATTTATTTAAATTGAGATGGATTCTTGCTCTGTCGCCTACGGTGAAGTGCAATGGCACCATCTCGGCTCACTGCAACTTCCGCCTCCCAGGTTAAAGCGATTCTTCCACCTCAGCTTCCCAGGTAGCTGGGATTACAGGCACTCGCCATCATGCCCAGCTAATTTTTGTATTTTTGTAGAGATGGGGTTCTACCATGTTGGCCAGTCTGGACTTGAACTCTTGACCTCAGGTGATCCACCCGCCTTGGCCTCCCAAAGTACTGGGATTACAGGCGTGAGCCACCACACCCGGCAGCAAATATTTATTGAATGCCTACTGTGTGCCCCAAGCTGTTCTAGGTGCTATAAATGGGCCAGACAAGCTGTCAGGGAGGTTGCCCTGGCTGGGAAGACAGACATCAGACAACATAATTCCAGAGCTGGATAAATACTAGGGAGAAAAACAAATGTGTGATGTATTATAATGGATATTGCAATAAACACTGGGATTTAAGACACAATTTCTGTTCACAAGGCATGTATGATCTAGGGTCAAAGTAAGTGGTGGGTAAAATGCCATGAACTCCTGAAAAGTGTGAAGGACGTAATAGTTAAACTGCCCTGAAAGGCTAGTAAGGTTTAGCCAGCTGAAGAGCATGGGAAGGGCATTCCAAGCAGAAGGACGATCATGTTTAAAGGTCAAGAAAGAAGAGGGAGGCTGGTGAGTTCCTTCAACAGCAACTAGTCAGATGGCAGAGTCTACAGTGTGAGGGGCAAAGGAGAGGCCTAGAAAGGTAGGCAAGGCTTGGAAGATCTTGGATGTTATGGTGAGTCTTTTGGTCTTTATACTAAGAGAAATGGAGAGATACTCCAGGATTTCATGCAGGGTATAAACATGATAGGATTTGCGTTTTAGGAAGATTACCCTTGCTGGAGTATGGAGAGTGGATTAATCTTCCTTCTCCCTCTGCAAGCAAAGATGACAGTTGCAGTCATTCAAAAATAAGAAGATGGTAGCCATGTTAAATTCCCCAATTTTCCCAACTTGATTGGATTGTTGTCCTGTTTGTATGGGGTCTTTATAAGAAAATGTCGACTTCAGCAACCTATGATCTCTGCCCAAGGTGAGCCCAGTTACAGCCACTACAATGACTTTTAAATGAAGTCCTATCAAGTTACTTGGTTAGAAAAAGAGATTAATAAACCCACTGATCTAGTGAACAACCTGTCAATAAAAATGCCACCCCAATTACATGATAAAGTCAAAAATCAAAGTGTACAGTTACCCTCCTAAGCTTCTGTGAGACTGAAGAATTTCCATCTGAGATTTATCAAAGGGTCTCAAAAGGCAAAGAATGGTTCAGATGAAACTCAATTGATTTTATATTTCTGCCAGAACTCTGAGTTTTCTACAGGTCCCAGCCTGTCAAGTATTTAAAAAATCATAATTTTATCACAGATTCCTTTTACGGTTTGGAAGGAAGAATGCCCCAGCAAGTGCTAGACTGATAAATGCTGGTCATGTGTCTGTTTAAGCAGATGTAAATGAAAATGCCAAAAGGCTCAAGTTCAAAGGATTCACTACCTGAGAAATGTCCCTTTTTGGAATTCCCTCTTTGGAAATGCACTTGGCAAAAAGGTTTCTTAAGCAGGCTGGGAAGACACAGCTTCAGTACAGTTCGTGCCTCTCCCAGCCAGCTTGACCACCATCATTTCTTCTTGGAGCCCATGAAGGGCTACAATACCTAGAAGCTCACCTGGAGAGATGCGCTGTTTACTGAGCTACCTTGGAAGGCTCCAGATCACAGAGCGTTGACATGTGTTCCTCAGTTGCTTATGTCATTTTGAAAGTACTTGAATTTCATAAGCAAACTGTTGTTGCAAGGAAATAACAATGGGCCAGCTTAGTCACCTCCAGACATTTTATCCTGTGTACTTTTGTATTTCTGTATGTGCACAGGGCTTAGTCCTGCAGGGAACCATTTAAAGAATATAGATAATACCTATCAGTGTTGAGTCACCCTGTCAAGAGAGTAATGTACAATTGTGCATCCTTGTAAGTTATTTATTATACTCTGAGGTTTGAAGGAATACAGTTTCCTTGATGAAGAGATAAAAAGGAGCAACATAAAAGCAAGGTAAAAGAAGAACACTTCATTAAAACTAAATCTACCTTCCGGTCTTAACTTTTTTTGAGTTGATATTTTTAATTAGTAAAGTATTACTAAAATTTATCTCATAAAAATTTACTTTGTAGAACATCTTTCCAAAAAACAAATAGAACATGTTCATGACAGAAGGAATAAGGTTGGAAAGGGACAGAAATACATGGAGACAGAGAAAAGCAGAGAGATTGGAAGACAAAAATAAAGCAAAGATGAGACAGAAAGAGAGAGTGAGAGGGGGAGAGAAGTTGAGAGTTTAAGAGAGATAAACTAAAGAAATCGAGTTCTGTAGAACTGGAATCTTCAAAATACAATTAAACAAACTAATTCCCCAGAGAATGGAAGTAAACAGCTCTGAAAAAGCACCAGTTTTCTCTGTTGAAATTAGTGAGAGGAGTTCTGTCCAGTTAAACAGAAAGGACTGAGCCCAACTCCATTTCACTCCCAAAAGGGTTATAAAATGAGGCTATAGAGAATAGGATGAGTCAAGAGGAACAACAGATTCTAACTTGAGCAAACCAGCACTCTCACCTAAACATGAGGGGTCGACGCAAAGGTTTTGTAAGGTGCTTTGTGGTTCTAGAATTCTATGTCTGTCAGGGTGCGTAGGGTGGCCACTGAGAAGTACAGTGATGGGCTCAGATCCAAGAGAGGGTGGAGAAGGAAGGAAGTTGGTGTTTTATTCCATGCTGAAGTTTAATTCAAATTCTAGCTTGTTTATCCTCTTTCTTCCCACTGCTCCTTTACAACAGAACCTCAGGACTAAATAACTCTCATAAAAAGAGCTGATTTTCAGGACAATATTGGGGTTTAGTTAAATAAGCAATGCAAGAAGTCAATGCTTTTTAAAGTACCACTTAATACTGTGACTGTTTAAAAGGACTTAAATTTGAACTATATAAATAACATGGATACAGTTTCTTTGTAAAAACTGAAAATATTATATGTCAGGCTAAACTCCCCTTTCACCACTACCCTTCTTTTTTTTTTTTTTTTTTTTTTTTTTTTTTTTTTTTTGGCAGGGTCTTGCGCTGTTGCCCAGGCACAATCTCGGCTCAGGGCAACCTCTACCTCCTGAGTTTGAGTGATTCTCATGCCTCAGCTTCCCGATTAGCTGGGATTACAGGTGCACACCACCATGCCAAGCTAATTTTTTTTTTTTTAATTTTTAGTAGGGACAGGTTTCACCATGTTGGCCAGGCTGGTTTTAAACTCCTGGCCTCAAGAGTTTCGCCCACCTCAGCCTCCCAAAGTGCTGGGATTACAGGCATGAGGCACTGCACCTGGCTTTCACCACTATTCTTAATCTCAAATCATCCCAACCTCTCCCAGTTTACTACATTTTCTTAACAGACCTTTTTCTAGGTAGAAACTACGTAGTATTGTTTCATGTTTGTAAGTATGTCTTTTTAATATAAACAATATATTTTTAAAAAATTTTATGTCTTAGAGATGGATCCTTATCAGTATGCAAGCTCCATCTCATTCCTTTGAACTACTTTGTAGTGTTCTGTGGCTTAGATGGATCATAGCTTATTTAGTCATTCCTCTATGATCTACAAGTGGTTTCCAAGTTATTGTTTGTTTTTTGCTACTGCAAATAAATGCTGCATCCTTGTATATGCTTCCTTGTATACCCTATGCAATTGTTTCTCTAAGGTAGAAATAATTTGGTTTTTAGCCTTTGGGTCTCCAGGTCTTATGTATGCAGCTTGAATTTAGCTACATGCCACAGAAAATTTGAAAAATGGCCCCCAAATTGGAGAGAAGAGTCACTTTTTAATCTTAGCAAAACATTGGCCCACTTTGCAGCTTCATAAAATGACTACTGTATTCATTTTCCTGTCTAGGTGAGACTATTGATTAAGAATGCTACATATGGCATCACACAGAAAAATACTATTTTAGTGCTCGTCTTGGCAGCACATATACTAGAAAAATACTATTTTAATATTCTTTCTTTTGTAGCTTGCATGTTAAAAATGTGTTTCAGGAATAAAAAATAATTTTATATTTATGTGAAAACATGTATAAACCAAGACTTTCAACATACTGCAAAGAGCCACTCTGTAAGAGTAAAGTATTTTCTTTTACTAAATGAACACTTAATCAATAACATGAAATGGGCAAGAATGAAAAGAGAATAATGTCAAAATTGAAAAGCAGCTGATAAGCTCACATCATCATTTTTGACATGTAATGTCTATACTGGCAGCTTTAGGATCAATCCAGTCACAAATCCTTTGAGCAGCTGTTTGTATGCCTTCGACTAATGAAGCTCTTTGAGTGCTCTGTTATTAATGTCATAAAGGGGGAGAGAGGATAAAGAAAGAGACAGTGGACCAAAGAAGAGACATTCTAAAAAGAGACTCCCTTTCCCCAGCCACTTGTGGAAATCCATTTCAGGTCAACTGGGACCAATTGTGAGTTCTGGCCTTGGGCAAAATTCCTATTTGCAGTCAATAAATTAATGGGTGACACCTTTAAATGGGTTAGCTTTAACTGAATCAATGTCTGATGTGGCAATCTATCCTCGGGCCAAATTCCCACTGAAGTTCATATGTTGGGCCTCACTGAAGAAATGGACAAATCCTTGAACTTTTTTTTTTTTTTTAAATCACTTCTTTAAAAAGCAGCATTCAGGCGCTGTTTTTACTTTCCTGTCCTTGCCCATCCTTTCTTTAATTGGCATGGAAGAACTCCCAATATTAATTGATTTCATTTGCACAGAACTCTACAATGTACAGAGTTCTTAGCCTGGGTGATTCTAGTTGAATCTGTTTCTTCTAAAAAAGTTGTCCATAAGGCCAAAGAGGTAACCGTTCCTTTACAGTAGCCCTTTTGAAACCTCTAGGCAGCAGGAAACAGAGAAGGGCTGCTCTGTTGGTTCAGCTGGCTTTTACAGCTGAAGATAACATGAACCACAAATCTGTCGAGGTTCATGTTTTCTTGGAGGGGGAGGAGAATTCAGGGAGCAAAATAAAGAGAAGTTGAAGTTTAATGTTTCATAACCGTGTGCTCTTTTCCAGGTTTTATTCCTGTAATATTCTCTGTGTGTGGCCAGGCCCTTCATAACACAGCGCTATTGAAGAAGAAGGAGAGGGAAAAGGAAAAGGGAGGAAAGGGTGGAGGTAGGGATAAAAAGTAGCCTTTGAGGGGGCAAAAAGTCCACTGCTCTTAAGTGACAACTGTGACCTTAACTGGAACTAATCAAGCCCTCATGGAATTGAGTTGGCCATTCAATTCTGAAAATAGGATAGGGGGTAAGTATGTGGATGGAATTTGTAGTGAAGCCACAAAAGGGAAATGACCCACTTAGAATCTTCTCTGGAAAAAGTGGGTTCCTGAGGCGTCAAAAAGTTGATGGGATGAGAGCTTTCCTTTCCCTGAGGGTATACGTGGGTAATGTCTGCTAGGAAAAAAAAAAAAATTGAGGGACAAAGATGGTGGAAACATTGGAACATAATCTTTTTTTCTATTTTGGAATCTATTTGTGGGATTAAAACTTGGGAGAAATATTTAAAATCTCTGGAAAAAGAGCAAGCATTGGCATGTCTACATTATGTATGCAATGCTGTTCCTCCCATCAG
This sequence comes from Homo sapiens, assembly GCF_000001405.40. NCBI lineage: Eukaryota > Metazoa > Chordata > Mammalia > Primates > Hominidae > Homo > Homo sapiens. The sequence goes on along the minus strand of NC_000004.12, from coordinate 108,532,953 downwards.
AAGGGGAGGCTAACAAGCTTAGCTGCTGAGGAGAAGCATATTTTATTCTCAAGTTGGCCAAGCTGTTTCCTGCCCTTGGAGCAAAAACCAGTACAGCCAGTGCACCCTGATGATATTTGTTTTCTCCGAATATCAGAACCTTTTAAATAACAAGCACATTATTCTTTTAAAGGCTCTGAAAACATGAATGAATAAATACAACAACACCGTTGTATCTCTTCCCTTGAGAACACCCTTTTCTCTAGAACTATACACCATTGCTAGAGTTTCTGAATGTAAATTTAGAAAATGACCATTTTTCTTTTTTTCTGCCCAAACTGGACTCGAATTCCTGAACCCAAGCAATCATCCCACCCCAGCCTCCTGACAGCTGGGATTACAGGAGACTGCCACTGCACCTGGCTGGCAATTGTTTTTTCATCTCTCACGAGTGAGAAAACATAGCCAAAACACATAGTAGTGATGAAGTCCTATAGCCTTGAATAGAGGCAATAAAAATAAGGCCAGTTATGGTTTCTGAGCTGAGCTGGAGTCTCTCAAAGCTGAGCAGTGTGTGCTGGGCAGGGCGGAGGAAGAGCGGGGCGGTAGCTGTACCTGTGATGGAAAGGCTCCACAGTGGTGTTTGACAGTTCACGTCATTGATGAATAGTTCTCAGGTGCATAAGCCTAGAGCTATAACAAAAAGGACCTTAGATTTCATATAATCCAATTCCTTCATTGTGCAGAATGACTTGCAAGGGTTAGTGGCAGAGTCAAGCCTAGATTCTGGGGTTCTTGTCTTCCAGGTTGGTATTTTCCATTGCTTTGAGTTGGGCATTTTACCAGACAGGTTAAAATACACAGTCTCTGTCTTCTAGTAGCTTACAATTTAAAATGTCTGTTTCCCAGAAGAAAAAGGAGTAGTTTAGGGAATGAATGAACACTATGAGGACCAAAAAAGATACTTGGTTCCAAGCTCGCGTCGCTGGGTGACCATAACAAAACCACTGATCTTGTCTGTGCTTGCGAAGGAAGCTGAGGGAAAGCGGGGACTGGGGAGCAGCTTCATTCACCTTTTTAACAGTTAGTGGTTCTGCACTAAACCAGAGAAGGCTCTTTACTGTGCCATGAGGGATGTAAGAGTGGACAAATGTGAGGTTAAATTTCTCATTTGAAAGTGTGATAATGGAATAATAATATTAACTGTTTCTCTAACAAAGGTCAATGTACATTCTCACAGTGACACAAAATACCCTGGCTCTGTACTTCTTCCTTTACAAACAGGCCCATGTCAGCTTCCTGGCTGACTTCTGGTAAATCATCCTAAAACGATTCCTGGCATTCACCTCATAGAGGGTTAAAACTTCCTCTGCACAAACCAAGGGCTACACACAGAGAAGAGAGGCTACAAAGGAGGATATTGTTGCTTATTTTATACCAACTGCGAGAAGAGAATGCTGAAAGGAGAAAATGCTGTGGTATAATTTTGAAAATCCAGATTCATAAGAAAAATTTTATGGAGGTTATTTTATTTTATTTTTTAACTCAATTTTTTTCTCTCTGTGTTCCACCCAGACTAAACCAACCTTAAAAATGTCCTTATTTGGGTGAGAAAGACTCTTAATGCTATAGAATTCTGTGTGGAAACCCAGAAACAGAAGGTTGACCGAGGCAGCACAGATAGGGGTTAGTGATACTGATCCCTTGTCTTCTCACCCTTGACCCTAGAAGGGCTTAGTGGCAAAAGGAGAATTTCCTGCAGGGCTGCGTTCAACCTTCCTGTTAGCAGAACTGGAGGAAGAATACAATGTACTAAAAAGCAGCCCCTCCCTCATTCCTCTGCCTCATCTACTTCTTTGAGATAAATGAAAGAAGGAAAATAGCCATATCCACCAACAACCCTGAGGATCCCTGACAAATGGCCCTAAGGTATATCACACCACATCCTTGGAAACCAGGAAGAAACCAGGGAACAGGATTGGGTTTAGCTCGTATAATTGAGTTTAGCTTGTATAATTGAGTTTAGCTGTAATTACTGTGTGGAAAACTGCAGTATTTTCCCTACCATAGATTGGATCTTCACCCCTCATGAATACTGTGCTGGTCAGTACTACATCTTGCAATCTTTTGCTGGTGTAATTTTCAAAGGTGGAATATATGCAATGAGGAATTAATGTCTGTTGAAAATACATGAGCTGCTGGAAACTTGTTCGCGGTTACATTAGAATATGCAGACAAGCTGATATAGTGCATGTTGGAACAGTCCAGAATGAGACAATATTAAAAATATTTATTTTGGGACCCGAGGTAGGTGTTGAAATGGATATGAAGGGCATGTAGCCTCACCCAACTGTCTTTTTATGCATTGCCGTGCCATTTAAAGGGCCAAGCACCTTTTGAGAATTGATGCACTTTATTTACTAAAAGTAAAAATATCTTTGGTCTCACTTTTCTTTTCTTTTGGGGGTAAAAACTAATTTGTTAGTTGTCAAGATAGCCAGGCTGAAGAAAAAATGGCTTTTCCCCTCGTTTTTAACCTGCTTTGATGACACAGTAACCAAATAACCAAGTGGTTCATATACACTCAAAATATTGAATCACAGTCTCTAGGGGCAGGGCTGGATCATCAGAACTTTTCTAAAGTTCCCCACATCACTCTATTGTGCCATCAGGATTGAGAAACCACTTGTCTGAAGTCTCACCAGTTTGAACTGACATTAGTAAGGAGAAAACTTAGTCCAAAAGAGAAGGCTAGCAAAAGGAAACATGTAAATCGGCTACGAAATGTGAATGTGTTGCTTCAGGAATTGCTTCATTGAATTAAGGGCATGAAAAGAACTTTGAGAGTTCAATTATTTCATTCATGTGCATCCAAATAGAAACATACTCCGGAATTGATGTTCTGTTTTTAACAGCTTTCAGTGCTACTTATCCAAGCATCTTTTGTAATCCATTCCCAAATATTGCAATGCATGGAAAAGCAAGCAAGCAAGTAGGCCAATAGTACAAAACATTATAGAAAGAACTTATTTTTACACATAATAAAAATGGAAGTAAAATTAGTTATTTTAGGATTAGTTAAATTAGGACAAGTTAAATTAGGATTGAGACTATGCATCATGGGTAAATTTTCATATATGCTTATTACAATAACACTGATTTTGCAAGACCAATTTATGACTAATCTTAGAGTTTCCTACCAGAATATTTCTTCTTAATTCCAGAGAGGATGTTTTTAGCTATTTCTCTGATCTCTTATAAAGGTACTGGCCTGGCTAGATTTATAAGTAATTTTCAGGTCATAATAGCAATAACCTATAACTTACTGATATTTGAAAGCTGTAATTATTGGAGGAGAAAATTACAGGTGAATCTTTCATCTTCATTGAGATACAAGGGGATAGGAAAGCTTTATAAAAGAAAAGGCCAAAAAAAAAGTCATATAAATGTTAAGGTTGAAAATATAAGATCTGTTTTCTTAATTAAAGGAATTTGGCCACATATAATAGTAAGAAGGTTTTTTGTTGTTATTTTGATTTTCAGAGCTAAATAGGCAACCAGCTGGGCTCAGCTCCATGTCTGATGGTCTCACCTCTTTGTTTCCTTTAGGGTAATTTCCTTTTGCCTTGTCTCACTGTACCCAGGAGGTCAGTGGAGATCCTTAAGGAAGGTGTGATGGGCCGTGGGGAGAGACCTCAAGGTGGGATTCCATTCAGTTGATAGCAGGCCCTCACTCTTTGTATGAAGCAAAGTTCAAAGAGCTGAGCACAAGGAAGAAAAGCAGTTGCTGAACAATGAAAAACAGGATCCAATGGGAGACACAAAATCAAGAAGCAGGGAGCAGTTACTTAGCCCACTATATTAAATAGTCAGACTTTCCCAGCTCAGCCCAAACTTCCCAGGGGCCTCTTAGGATTTTCGTGTACCCTAGGATGCCTTTGTCTTTGTGGGTCCTTTCCTTCATTGAAACAATACTAAAAATTATATTTTATGACTGTGTTGATATAAAGACAAATAATTAACACTGTATGTTAAAATATAGTTTTTTAACCTAGAATTTTTTCTTCTGTTTTTTAAAAGAAGTTAAACGTTTTTGTGGGCTCCTAAAAGCAAGGCTCAGACCTTCGGCACTATGCCAACTGCCTAAAGGGTAAGTCAACCCTAACTGGAGTGGGTTAAGTGAGGAGAGGACTAGCAGAATTAATAGGAATAATAGCAGGTGGACAGATCACATAGGGCCCTTTAGGTCATAGTACAATGAAAAGGATGTTGGAGTTTATTTTCATAAGTGAGATGGGACATTTTTGAGGGTTGTAAACAGAGAAGTGATATGACGTGAAACATTTTAAAGGGATAGTTCCTTTTGTAGAGAATATGCTATAGGAGGTAAGGAAGAAAATCATAGAGACCAGTCAGGAGGCCATTCTGATAATCCAGGGAAGAGATGATGTAGCTTGTCATAAGGTGATGGTAGAGGTGATAAGAAGTGGACAGGTTCTAAATAGATATTAAAAGTAAAGGCAAGAAGGATTGGCTGATGGATTGGATGTTGAATGTGATAGGGATGATTCAAAGATGACCTCAAGGCTTTTGCTTGAACAACTGGAAGAGTGAAGTTATCATTTATTGAGATGGAGAAAAATTTTAAGGAGAGCACATTTAGGGAGGGAAACAGAGAGCTCAGTTTTGGACATGTTAAGTTTTATATGTTTATTAGACATACAAGAGGAGATAGATATCTGGAGTTTAAAAGTGTTTCAGACTGAGGTAGAAATTTGGAAGCATCAGCTTACAGGTGATATTTAAAGTCAGGAAGAGAGGATGATATCAGAGAGATGGTATTATGTAGATTCAATAGAGAAGAGATTAAAGGACTGAAATCTCAGGTATTCCCATATTTAGAGGTTGGGAACATGAAGAGGAACCAGCAAAAGCAGCTTTGTAGAAGTGGCTAATCATTGCCAAGAAAGAGCGGTGTCCTGGAGACCAAGTAAAGAAGCACTCAGGTCTGCACGAACAGTTGCTTTCAAACTTGGACCATCTCTGGCTGCTTAACACCACAAGAAATTATGGTGCACCCACAAACTTCCTTCCTGATGGGGGAGGAGGCTAAGTGCCTACTGCCAAAAATGGAATGGAAAATTAATCTAACAACCATTTCCCCCCTCTATGTGACAAAAAAATTTAATCTCATATGGTTCAGTTAAGGCACAAATACCACTAAAAGATTAAAACATACCCAAGAAATAAGTTTTTTCTCCTGGCAGGAGAGTCCTTTCTGTAGATGGAACCCCTCTTCTGGTCACATCTGAAAAGGCATTTTCTTCCCTAGAGCTCCAACATGATTTTAGATGTATAAAAGGAAACAATGGGAAGCATGTACAAATGGCAGTCTGAGGAAGGAACCCAACAGTGAATTCTGTCATGGACGTGGACATGGTGAACATGTAGATATGATGATGGAGGAGCTTAGAAAAAGGAAAAGCATGGCTTAAACCTAAGAGAGAAGGAAAAAGATGCAGTCATAAAAAACCCAAAACATTCACTGATACAAACTGAATGTTCATGTCCTCTCCCACCTGAAATTCCTATATTGAACTTCTAATCCCTGGTGTGATGGTACAGTAATTCCCTCTTTTCCATAGAGGATATGTTCCAAGACCTCCAGTGCGTGCCTGAAACTGTGCATAGAACTGAACCCTATATCTACTATGTTTTTTTCCCATACATATATACCTAAGATAAAGTTTAATTTATAAATTAGGCATAGCAAGAGATTAACAACAATAGATAATAACACAATAGAACAATTATAACAATATACAGTGGACCTTTGAACAATTCAGGATTAAGGACCACTGATTTCCCCCTCCCGCCTGTGCAGTTTTGACCTCACTTAACTACTAATAACTTACTGTTGACCAGAAGCCTTACCGATAACATAAACAGTCAATTAACAGATATTTTGTGTGTTACTTGTATTACATACAGTATTCTTACAATGAAGTAAGCCAGAGACAAGAAAATGCTATTAAGAAAAATCATAAAGAAGCGAAGATACATTTACTATTTATTAAGTGGAAGTGATCATCATAAAATTCTTTATCCTTGTCATCTTCACATTTAGTAGCGTGAGGAGGAGGAGGAAGAGGAGGGTTTGGCTTGCTGTCTCAGGGGTGGCAGAGGTGGAATATGTGGAGAAGGTGGAAGGGGAGGCAGGGGAGGCAGGTACATTTGGTATAGCTTTACAAAAATACTTTATAATTTCTATATGACATTTTTGCTGTTCCGTTTCTTGAAAAATGTTTCTGGTGGTACCAATCCTTCTTCTACCATTTGCTTTAGTTTCAGTGCTTGTATCAAATGATCCATGTTATAAAATAAGTCAAAAGCAATCTTGAATAATTGGAACCCTCCTGCCAGCTTGTTTAATGTCAACTTGTTTTCTGACACTGCTTCTTCTACATCTTCCTCACAGTGTGGCAGTGGTTCAGGAGCACTCATCTCCATCAAGTTTTCTTCTGTTTCTTCCTCTGGTGTGGTGTCCATTAGAGCTTGAATTCATCCAAAACCCATATCCTAAAACCTTTCATCTTCTACCTTTTTTTTTTTTTGCCATATCCACAATCTCTTTCATGATTTCCTTGATTGACTCCATCATAAATTGTACAAATATCAACACCATTTCTCCAGTAGGAATTAATTTTTTTCATGCTTAAACTCATTTATGCCTAGTGTTCCATTATTGGAACCCTAAGCATGTGGGAGTTATTTATATCCTATTACTCAAGGTCATCACCAAGGTCTGATTGCAAAAATTCAAAAAATTGCAACCTCAGTCATAAATGGGTTAATGGCTTTCATAGTTTTTTCTATAACAATGATGACACCTTCAATGGTGTAATCCTTTTGGATTTTCATGATATGCTTTCTATCGGGGTTCTCTTCCATGGCATTGACTATCCTTTCCCTACAGTAATGTGTAATGACCTTTAAAGGTCCTTTTGACCCCCTGCTCTAGATGCTGAATTAGACACATTGTGCTTGGGGGCAAGTAGACCATTTTGGCAACTTTGGTGTTGAAGCAAAGAAGAACCTATGGGGTTCTGGGTGGCCTGGGGCATTGTCCAATAGCAAACATTAAAAGGTTACTGGCAGGGTACTTTCTGACTTCAGAGACAAAGCATTGATGGAACCCATTCAGAAAAAGTGTTCTTATTGTCCAGGCCTTCTTGTTGTACAACCAAAAGACTGGCAGCAGATGTTTATCTTTTCCCTTCAAAGCTCACAGTTTTAGTGGCTTTATAGATAAGGGCATCCCTGATCATAAAATGGACTGCATTTTCACAAAATAGTAAAGTTATCCTATCCTTCCTGCTTTAAATCCTGGTGCTCGCTTGTCCTTCCTATTAATAAATTTCCTTTGTGGCATTTTTTTTTTTTTTTCCAGAATAGGGCACTTTTGTCTATGTTAAAGACCTGTTCAGGCAGATATCCTTTCTCCGTAATGATTTCCTTCATGGTGTTTGAGAACTCTTCTGCTGCCTTTTGGTTGGCAGAAGCTGCTCTTCCTGTTATCTTCACAGTTTTTGTTGTTGTTGTTGTTGTTGTTGGTATTTAGAGGTGGAGTCTCCCTGTGTTGTTTAGGCTGGCCTAGAACTCCTAAGCTCGAGATCCTCCGGACACAAACTTCTTGAGTAGGTGGGACTACAAGTGCATTTCACAGCACCTTACCTGGACATTTTTAAAGCCAAACCTCTTTCTAAAATTATCAAACCATCCCTTACTGGTATTAAACTTTCCAGCTTTAGATCCTTCTTCTTCCTTTTTTTTAAGTTGTTACATGATAACTTTGTTTTTCTCAGATTACATCAGAGTCTATAGGTATGCCTTTTTATAGCAATCATGAATCCACATAAAAGCTGCATTTTCAATATGAGAGAAAAAGATTTTTGCAAAAATGCAAAGTTTTTGTGCCTGTTGGAATAGCTGCCGCTATGGCTTCACACATTTTCTTTTCTTTCTTTCTTTCTTTTTTTTTTTTTTTCCCACAATGATCCTTACACTGGATTCATTTATCTTAAAATGGTGGGCAACTGCAACTCCTGACCTCAATCTGCAGTACATATCAAGCAATCAGCTTTTTCTTGTAATGTTATGGCTTTTCTCTGCCTCTTGGGAGCACTTCCAGCATCACTAGTGGCACTTTGTATGGGTCCCATGGTGTTATGCAAGGTTTATGATATTGCACTACATACAGTGGAAAATACACAAGAACCACAGAAGATCACTTTTTACTGTGATACACAATTTACTGGAGAGAGGAACTGCTCACGTGGAGATGATTAGCATCACAAGGCATTTTAAGCAGATACTCTTAACACTTGTGTTCATCACAATAGTAACAGGAGACAGCTACAAAATTATGGTAGTGTGGTATTACTACAGTTAATTTTATGCAGTTATGATTTATGCTTGTTTACATTTCTCTTGACTGTAAATGGTGCCATATACAGTATTCTGTTTGTGTGTTTTGATAAATTTTAACTTTTTATAACAGATTTTTATATATTTTATGGTAGTAAATGAGAAAACAGACTACTACCTACATATATTTTATGCATTCATGACATACCTATATTTTTCTTAATTTTTAAAAATATTTCTAGGCTATGCAGTTTGCAAGTTTTTTCAAATAGTCTCAAATCTTAAAACATTTTTTCAATATACTTACTGAAAAAAGTTTGCATATAGGTGGACCTGTGCAGTTCAAAGCTGTGTTGTTCAACGGTCAACTCTACTGTAATAAAAGTTATGTGAATGTTTATTTCTGGAATTTTTCATTTAATATTCTTGGACTGCAGTTGACTGAAGGTAACTGAAACCTCGGAAAGTAAAACTGCAGACAAATGCGGGAATACTGTATTTGGAGGTGGGAATTTGGGGAGGTAACTAGATCACCAGGGTGGAGCCCACGTGGTGGGTTTAGTACCCTTATAAGAAGAAACTCGAGAGAGATAATCTCTCTCTCTGCCATATGAGGAATCAGCAAGAAGATGGCTGTCGACAAACCAGGAAGAGGACTCTCACTAGTCATCAAATCTGCCCATATTTTGAGAAGTGTGAGAATTAAATCTTGGTTATTTAATTCACCCAGTCTTTGGTATTTTGTTATAGCATCCCAAATTAAGATATTTGCTTTGCTCCAAATAAAGCCTTGCACAAAAATCAAAAGTTACACTTAAACATGATTGTCATGGATTTAGTCAGATATTGACCATAAATACAGTGTCAGCACCCAAGGCTGCCATTATGATATCTCAGAAGACTTTGAGAGGATTGTAGAAGAAAGTCTTGGGTCGCATTTATATAGGGATATAGCTTTAATTTTTTAAAAAAGGTGTGGGAGACGGAAACTAATTTTCATTATTCACGGAGGGATGGAAGGGGATGTCTGAAGTTTTTAAGCAATTGAGAAATAAAATCTTTTTAAAAGTCCCTGCTTCCGAGTCTCTTTCCTGACTCTAAAAATATAAATACTGTTTATATTTTTATAATAAATGCTATTTATATTTGTTAACCTCATTCTGTTCAATGGGGTTAAAAGTATAAAGAAACAAAACCAGAAATAATAAGTTTATGACTTTAAAAATTACATACACATCTCTCTCTATATGTCAGTATGAGGTAATATAATCACATGAAACTTTGAAAAACGAAGAAAAGACCAAAAAATCACCCCACATCAAACCACCCAACACAACTACTATTATAGTCTATTTCTTTCTAATCCTTTTTTCTAGGCAAATTTTAAAAACTGTATTATAATTATAAGATAAATTAATGTTCATATCTTACTTTTTCCACAGATCATTAAGACATAATTTTTAAAGTGGATAATTGCCTTTCTAAACTGGAAATTTCTTACAGCAGGATCTTACCTACCTTTGGGCAACAACTCTTTTATTGCTTCAAAATTATTTTCTATAATCAACTGCCCTACAGCAAGTTTCCTTTTTTTTCTCTAACAACCTAAATCCCACTTTTGTAAAGATGTTTATACATCGTTTATTTGCACCCATTCCCAACTCCAAAGTGATTGTAGCCAGTTCTGGTGGTCCATTCTTCTTGTGAGGGATGAGTATGAGCATACAACTCAATTCTATTTAATGAAGTATAAGAGGAAATATGGGGAGACTTTGTTATTAGTAAAAGAGTAATGAAGAAGAGACAGTCTTCTTCCCCTGGACACTGTCACATCTGTTTGATAAAAAAAAACTCTGGAACTCTGGAAGTCATCTTGTAACCAGGAAGAGAGCCAGCCAAGGAAAAAGCAGATATGCTACGGTTGGTGGAAAAAAAAGATGAAAGGAACCTAAATACTAATTTAGGTATTTATGCTCTACTTAACATCCTACTTAACTGTTTGTTATTGCTTAAATTACTAAGTTGAAGTCTTCTGTTTCCTGAAGCCAAAGGCATCTGTATTAATACTGTGCCACTGGCCTGAAGCTTGATCCTCTCTTCATTAGGAATTGAGGCCATCACTTGGGTTGCTCAGAGAGAAGGGCCCCCAAAGTGGTTACCCTTGGCTCCTGATGTTGTTGAAGAGTTTGGCCTGTTGTAATGACTGCTTATTTTTCTCTGATCTGTGCTTTTCTCTATTCCCTTAATTTCATAAACAAAGCTTAAAGTGTGTCTAGGATCTGGTATTAAGTGTTGCAAAGCTTAAGTTTGATATTAACTCATTTACATTTGAGCTCCTCCTCTGGTCTTGTATTAGACATTGCAAGTACAAATAAGAATGAATTATAATATCAGTTCTCAGGTTGTTGAATCAATATGTGTTGATTGCCAGTCATGTGTTAGATGCTGTTATCATAGAAACCAGAGTCTGATGGGAAAAGACAAACATTCCCTCCATACCTAAACTTAATATAATATACTATACGTTCCAACAGTGGCATAAATAAAATATTATAGGAATCAAAATGGAAAGGTGACTCATTGCCAAACAGTCAGGAAAAATTATACTAACTAAAGGCAAGAATATTTGGCTATGATGTTCCTGCGTACAGAAATAATATTCGAATTGGGTACTGCAAAATGAATAAAAGTTTTTCTGGTGTGAAAGTGGAGCGGGAAAGGCTATCTTTGACGAGTGTAATATGAATAAACATGTAGAGTTAGGCTAAAAAAAAACACGGAGAACTTCAGGAGGGCAGGAGATATGTGTGAGAAGAGTTAGAGATGAGCCTACAGAGATTGATGTGTGATTGCAAACAACCTGGTGGGTCAGGCTAAGAACTTGGGGTTCTATCTTGCATGTAAGTGAACTTGTACACCAGGGGAACATGGAACATGGCACTAAATATGCAACAGGAGCCATCCAATTTAAGTCTTGTGGTTTATTATTGTGAATTTTGCAATCCTACTCCATAATATACTTGATATAATAGACAATATATTTTTCTAAATCTTCAAGTAAAATTGATGGCTAAGGAAGACATTTCCATTTTTTCTATGTATTAGTCCTCCAGCATACTGTCACAATCTTTGAGACTACGTACTACAGATTGAGATGCACTCTGCGGGCAATGGGAAGCTAAAAATTATTTTTAAGAAGCAGTTAAGGAACAGGAATAGTGTACCCCACCATCTCCTGAAGGTATCAGTAGTAGATGAACAAGATAGATAGAGAGAGACAAGACAGGTGACATGTGTGTGGAGAGAAAGCACAAAATGAGATTTAGCGAGAGGTGGGATTTAAGATAAAGTGAATATTAGTTTGTCTTCCCAGCTTCTATTTCCTCTCCTTCCAGCAACAGCCTGGCTTTAATGTGTGTATCCACTCTTCAGTGTTCCACTTTCAGCTCATATGGTCTGCGTAGGGCTGTGCATTGAGCCCTAGGAATGGAGAGCTTGACTCTGCTCTGAGCCAATCAGCAAGTGGTATTTTCCTGTCCACAGAGATGGATTAAAGACCAGTCATGTGACCTAAGTGGGTTCAATCAGGCAAATCTCAGAATTTATGCTAACAATGCTGGGAAAAAGATACTTGTTCTTTTCTACTGAATTAGAAGCCAGGAAGATTCAGCCCTAGAAGCTGTTGGAAGCTTTCTTCTGATTATTTGGACCCTGAAGCAGGAGCAAGAAACAGAGAAAGAAATATAAATCCTGGCTCAATTTGGACACCTCAGTTATATAAGCTAGTAAATCTTTGTTTAAACCAGTTTGATTTGTATTCTCTGTCACTGCAACCAATAGAATCCTAACAGAGAGAGAAGAAAAAGAAACCTGTTCTATTTCTGTGTTATATTTGCTGAAGATATGTTATGGGTCAAGTTCTATGGAAAAGTTAGAGATTTGAAGAACTTTATGTATTTTTTAGGCTTCACTATTCCTTGCCCAAAAGTAATCAAGTTTTCAGCAAAACTGATAACACACACAAAAAGAAAAAAGCTAAGTTCTTAAAATTAGATATTTAAGAAGATATGCTTTTCAGAGGCTATGCTGGGAATCTCTTTTACATACACACACACAAACACACACACACCCCTTAATTTGAATGGAGAATTTTTGCATAACAGTGATTTGGTGGAAAGCCAAATGAGAAACAAGATCATATCTAAGGTTATTCCTCTCTGGCAAATCCACTGATATACTTTGAAGCAACTTGCTTTAAAAATCCACTTTCTCTACACCAAAACCACAACTGAATACTGAAAGTAAAAAATAAAAATTGCACATTAAGTAATAGTTTCTAAACTCTAAAACTGTTCTGACATAGGCTGAATCTGGTCTAGAGATTTGAGGAGATAATTTGGCACTTATATTGCTTGAGCTAGCTATAGCTACAGTCAAGGTCACTGCCTCTATTTCTTCATCGTGTGCCTCGCCTGACTCAACCCTATCCTGGGTTAGCTATTTCAGTGATTCAGCCCCCCATATAGAAACCTACTGACCCAATAAACAATGATCAAATCTTTGATTCAGACATTTCAAGTCGGAAATGTATTTTCAGCCCTGACACTAGCTGACACATCAGATTCCGTTTAACTATTAAAAGACTAAGCCCAAAAGTACAGAAAACTTCCCTCCTTCTCATGAGTGTTTCAAATGCAGTGCAGTGTGGTCAGCAGTAAGCAACTCACAAAGAAACAGACCTTATTTTTAGGGTTCTCTTGGACAAAATTTTCTCCAAAAAATGCTCCAAAAAACAGGCATTGCTCTGTAAAACATTTAAAAATGATTGGTTTTGGATGATAACTTTGATAGCTGTGTAGCAGATGGACTAGTAAGGGCACTGCTGCAGTAATAGCCCAGATAAGACTTGAAGAGCACAGAGGTCATGGGTACAGGTAAATGAGCCTTATGGAAGAGTCTTGTTGGTTGAATAAATACATGAAGGAACAAATAAATTACCCTGTGTAACCAATTCTTACCCTGCTTTCCAATTCTTTCCATAGTAATATTTAACTCCTACCAAGCCAGATGCCACTTCTTCAGACTAGACTATATTTGTCTGTTGTATGATTTTATTGTTCACTGTACTCTTCCTTTATTGTACTCATTAAACTACTCAATGTCTGTTATTCCTAACAGACCATAAGCTCCATGACAGCTGGAACCATGCCTGTCTTGTGTGCTGCTGCACTTAGTACATTTGTTGAATGAAAGATGCTACATAAATATTATTAAGTATTCTTATCCTTGTTTTGCATGTAAGGAGACCAAGTCTTCTGGAAGCTCAGTGACTTGTAGAAGTTAATAAGGTACATCTCAGAATATGTTAAATACATTGAAAACTCCAAGTTAGACTGTAAAGAGAAATGCTCTAAAAGTTAATTTTTAATTTCTTAGGTCATTTTCATTATTTTGGGGCCACATACAATAATTTCAACAATTTTAAAGATATATTGAATGCAAGAAATCAGAACACACGTACACTTACACATACACACACCTGCCTATGTACTCCACTTTTTCTCAAGTATTCTGTATATTTCAATCTCTGTTAGTGCCTCAGAGCATTGAGTTAAAAATGGGAAGGCCTACCCAGTATAAACCCGGTGTAGCCGGTAAGGAAAAATTATGGTAGAATAAAAAATAAAAGCCAAAATAAAAACTTCACATTCTCAACCAAACAAGAATCATAGAAGTGATAATGATAATAGCTAACTTTTATTAACTGCTTGGAATATGCTCAAAACTCTGCTGAAAGCATGCCATTCTCTCTCATTCAAGCCTCACAGCGAAGGCATGTGGTAGACGTGATTAATATTCTTACTTTATACAGAAGTAGACTACCTTGGAGAGGTTAATAATATTCCCAAAGTCACAGGGACAGTGAGTTATAAAACTCAGAACCAAATGTGCATCTGTCTGATACCCAAGCCTATCAGAGAGAAAACAAAACTCTGGGTGCTGCATCACCCAGTGAGTTAAGTTAAGGCCCCTTAAAAGAACATTTTATAGTAGTGATGAAAAACTTTAGCCTCTAGAAATTTGACAATTTCCATATGCATTAGACTAGGTTTTAGTATTGTTGATCTAAAGTACCTTTTAAAAAATTTTACTTCAAGTTTTGGGATACATGTACAGAATGTGCAGGTTTTTTACATAGGTAAACGTGTGCCATGGTGGTTTGCTGCACCTATCAACCTGTCACCAAGATATTAAGCCATGCATGCGTTAGCTATTTGTCCTGATGCTCTCCCTCCCCTTGCTCCCCCTGACAGGCCCTGATGTGTGTTGTTCCCCTTTTTGTGTCCATATTTTCTCATTGTTCAGGTCCCACTTATGAGTGAGAACATGCAGTGTTTGGTTTTCTGTTTCTGTGTTAGTTTGCTGAGGATGATGGTTTCCAGCTTCATCCATGTCCCTACAAAGGACATGATCTCATTCCTCTTTATTGCTGCACAGTATTCCATGGTGTGTATGTATCACTTTTTTTATCCAGTCTATCATTGATGAGCATTTGGGTTGGTTCCATGTCTTTGTTATTGTGAATAGTGCTGCAATAAACATACATGTGCATGTATCTTGTAAGAGAATGATTTATATTTCTTTGGGTATGTACCCAGTAATGGGATTGCTGGGTCAAATGGTATTTCTGGTTCTAGATCCTTGAGAAATCACCACACTGTTTTCTACAATGGTTGAACTATTTGCATTCCCACCAACAGTGTAAAAATATTCATATTTCTCCACAGCCTTGCCAGCATCTGTTGTTTCTTGACTCTTTAATAATCACCATTCTGACTGGCATGAGAAGGTATCCCACTGTGGTTTTGATTTGCATTTCTTTAATTATCAGTGATGTTGAGCTTTATTTCATATGTTGGTTGGCCGCATAAATGTCTTCTTTTGAGAAGTGTCTGTTCATAACCTTTGCCCACTTTTTGATGAGGTTGTTTGTTTTTTTCTTGTGAATTTGTTTAAGGTCCTTGTAAATTCTAAATATTAGACCTTTGTAAGATGGGCAGATTGCAAAAATTTTCTCCTATTATGTAGGTTGCCTGTTCACTCTGATGATAATTTCTTTGGCTGTGCAGAAGCTCTTTAGTTTAATTAGATCTCATTTGTCAATTTTAGCTTTTGTTGCAATTGCTTTTGGTATTTTAGTCATGAAGTCTTTGCCCATGCCTATGTCCTGAATGGTATTGCCTAGGCTTTCTTCTAGGGTTTTTATAGTTTTGCGTTTTACATTTAAGTCTTTAATCCATCTTGAGTTAACTTTTGTAAAATGCATAAGAAAGGGGTCCAATTTCAGTTTTCTGCATATGGTTAGCCAGTTTTCCCAGCACCATTTATTAAATAGGGAATCCCTTCCCCATTGCTCATTTTTGTCAGGTTTGTTGAAGATCAGATGGTTGTAGATGTGGTGTTATTTCTGAGGTCTCTGTTCTGTTTCATTGGTCTATATGTCTGTTTTGGTGCCACTACCATGCTGTTTTGCTGTTTTGGTTACTGTAGCCTTGTAGTATAGTTTGAAGTCGGGTAGCATGATGCCTATAGCTTTGTTCTTTTTGCTTAGGACTGACTTGACTATAAAGGATCTTTAAAATTTCATATGAATTTTAAAGTAGTTTTTTTCTAATTCTGTGAAGAACGTCAATGGTAGTTTGATGGGAATAGCATTGAATCTATACATTGGGCAGTATGGCCATTTTCATGATATTGATTCTTCCTATTCGTGAGGATGGAATGTTTTTCCATCTGTTTGTGCCCTCTCTGATTTCCTTGAGCAGTGGTTTGTAGTTCTCCTTGAAGAGGCCCTTCATGTCCCTTGTTAGCTGAATTCCTAGGTATTTTATTCTCTTTGCAGCAATTGTGAAGGGAGTTCATTCATGATTTGGTTCTCTGCTTGTCTATTGTTGGTATATAGGAATGCTTGTGATTTTAGCACATTGATTTTTGTGTCCTGAGATTTTGCTGAAGTTTGCTTATGAGCTTGAGAAGCTTTTGGGCTGAGATGATGGGGTATTTTAAATATAAGCTCATGTCATCTGCAAACAGAGACAATTTGACTTCCTCTCTTCCTATTTGAATATGCTTTATTTCTTTTTCTTGCTTGATTGCCCTGGCCAGAACTTCCAATACTATATTGACTAGGAGTCGTGAGAGAGGGCATCCTTGTCATGTGGTGGTTTTCAAAGGGAATGCTTCCAGTTTTTGCCCATTCAGTATGATATTGGCTGTGGGTTTGTCATAAATAGCTGTTATTATTTTGATATATGTTCCATCAATATTTAGTTTATTGAGAGTTTTTAACATAAACAGATGCTGAATTTTATTGAAGGCCTTTTCTGCATCTATCGAGATTAATCATGTGGTTTTTGTCGCTGGTTCTGTTTATGTGATGGATTACGTTTATTGATTTTCATACGTTGAACCAGCCTTGCATCCCAGGGATGAAGCCAACTTGATCATGGTGGATAAACTTTTTGATGTAAAGTACTTTTTTTAAAACTTTTTTTCTGATATTTGGAAACATGACCAAACATGGATTTAAGTCTTTAAATCCATCATTTTTTGTGGCTGCAAAGTTGGCTTAATGTATTTCTTCTTCACTAGGTAAGGAATCATTTTACTGTTTTCTCTCTCTCTCTACCCCCAAAGCATCTCCTATCAAAGAAGCTAAATTTTTGGTACAAGTGTGGTCTGGTGGTCTCCATTCCTAGCTGTGCATCAGCATCACTTGGGGAGTTTATTTAATTTTTTTTGGACTATTGTTAATATTTAAAGCAAAACAGTTCATAAGTGAAGCAAAACAACAAGACAAGCACTTTGTTAAAATATGTTACATTAACCTTCTCATTTAATCTTTCCAGCAACTTTACCCTATTAGTGAACTGCAGTGCAAATAAATTGTTAGTTGCCAAAGTCACACAGTTTTAAGTGGTCCAAGCTGTTAAACGCTGGGATACACTACTTCCTTTCATTGGTGATATCAAAACCATTTCCAAAATAAACTTGATTCCCCCACATTAACTAATATTCTCTTCGTTTATTCCTTCAGAAGGCCAACCTCATCCCTTAGATGGTAATTCCACGTTTCCTTTTGTAGAAGCTACACTTTTTCCCATTGTTTCTAAAATCTGTCTAAAATAAAAGACTTTCTGCTAGAGGAAACACAAAAGTACCCTTCACTGTTGCTATAGAAAATTATAGAATTTTCATTTAAAGAGGCATTCAAAGAGCATGCAGATTAAAAAGTAGAAAAATATTGCAGAAGTGTCAGGTAGTTAGTACACACATTCTGTTAACCTGGATTTTGTGATGCTTACAGTATTTGTCAACTTTGTAAAATTATTCTTAAATAGTCACTTTCTTACCTAATGGTACTTTTATGTTCTGTTTCTTAAAGAGCTCTCCAAGTGGCATAAGCACCAGCTTCCACAGAATGGGATATGCCCCCGGGGAGGGAAATCATATTCATGATCTTGGTCGCCTAACGTAGTGTTTTAACCAAGGAGCTAACCTATAAGTAGAGGCAACATATAGCTATTATCATCTTCTAGAGTCCACCTGTTATTCTAGAACTGGATTAGAATGTCATGGATAATAATAAGTAACTATCTTGTTAGTTTATATCAGCTGCCAAACTGTGGGATTAAAAGGAGTCTATGACTGAGAAGAAAGTTAAGAACGTCCAGTTAGTTCTCATTTATTCCTGCTTGGTTTCAAAAAGGAAGCAATCCATAAACTAGTCAAGAAATGAAATTAACATAACAGCACTGTTGGGAGTATTTAACAGAGTATCTGCCTTACATTGTTGTACCAGTTGAGTTGGGCCTTTTCTAAATTTTCTATGTGAACATATATTTTGGTAAATGTCCCTTAACTAATAGTATACCCAAATGGACTGCATTTAACTTATTGAACAGGGGACCCCAGCAGGGGTAGTGGTCCACAGCCTGTTAGGAACTGGGCAGCACAGCAGGAGGTGAGAGGGGCAAGCGTGCATTACTGCCTAAGCTGCACCTCCTGTCAGATCAGCAGCGGCATAGATTTTCATAGGAGAGCAAACCCCGCTGTGAACTGCGCATGTGAGGGATCTAGGTTGCATGCTCCTTATGAGAATCTAATTAATAATTAATGCCTGATGATCTGAGGTGAAACAGTTGCATCCCAAAACCATCCTCTGTCCCACCTTCCCCTGCCCCCATGTATGTGGCAAAAGTGTCTTTCACTGGTTCATGGTGCCAAAAAGGCTGGGGACTGCTGTATTTGAAGGTGGCTTATTCAGCCATCTCAATTTTCTTGAAGACATCTGCTAGTTCAGAATAAAGTGGAATAAGACAGGCGAGTGTTGTCACAAATTTCATTCATTACATGTACATTTTACTCATAGATGAGCCACAGCAGGTCTCACTTCTTCTACTAAATTTAGTTATATGATTGCCTACCAGTAAGTTTAAAAGAAGTAAAAGATGAAGAAATGTGGTGCATGCATAGGGTGCTACAGGAAGGTAGAATTACTTTGGATATAAGAAGGAAGAAAAGCAATGAAAAGAAGAGACAAGAACTTAACTGGAAAAGGAGCATTTAGCATAAGGGCAAACAGTTCCACGTATTATAATTGTTCCTGAGGTCTTGCATAGTAAATGATGTTCATAATAAACAGCTCTTGGTCATGTATAAAAATTTAATTTTCCTTTGTATTCCTTTGAAAATAATATTAAACCTTATGGTGCTTAAAATTTTGATTATCTAAAAAATTATTTATATATCAGTTTATCTTAAAATAATGTAGTTTGAAAGATAATGAACTGTAATAAAGAGCCACGTTAGAACAGCATTCTATTTTATCCAATTTCGGAATACTGTTTGTGAGATTTTCCCAGGTGTTATTTGCTTTGATGATATTACAATTATTTTCATCCCCCCCCCACTCATCAAGGACAAATTAATGAGTCAAATATCTCAGGTTAGAGACAATGTAAGATTGAATAACAAGATGAAATATTTGTTGTTTATAATTCAAAATGTGGATATATGTAACCCACACACGATAAACAGTGAGTAATTATGTACCACCTGTGAGGATGGATGTAAAACTTTCCTCCCTGTATTTAGGGCCACATGAGTTCTTGTTTCTGAAGTCGCATTGTAATCCCCCAGTAGATGGTGCTGAACAAGCAGGGAGGACTGGACCGGGAGCCTTTCCGATCCCCCGCCCCGATCCTGACTCTCACCTCTCCGCTCTGCTCGGTGCTTGATGTTCTGAGAGCGATTGTTCAGGAACGTCTAACGATAACAAAACCTCTTTCAAACATTACACAAACACAAGCCGAGGTGGGTCAACATCATTAGCGGACTTCTCCTTTGTCTGTTATTAAAAGGAGTGAAGCCCAGTAGCCTAAGATACAAGCTGGTGAGTTTCCAGTTATCCTTTCAGTAACAAGGCACCTTTTGAAAAACATGGATTATCTGTTTGAGGTGGAAGAGAGTAAAGGGGGAGGCACAGGATAGAAGAACATTTAAAAAGTGTGTGTGAGTGGGGGTGGAGGGGAGAAATATGAATTATCCTTTGACAACACGATTCAAGACTCAGACACAAGCCCCCTGGAGTCAGATGTTCTTGTGTTTGAACCTGCATATTTATAGAGTCAAAAAGAAAGGAGACGTTATTTATGCAAAGCTGAAATATCATACACTTAAATGGATAGCTCCTTGTGACAATAAGTGACTCATATGTCAAGACAAGTAATCAATTTTTCATTCTGATTAAGACCTTTCAACTTAACGCAGGGAGAATGCTCCTGGCTGCCTTAAATACATCCTGTTAAAACAGAAGTCTGCACTTAATCGCTCCTTTTTAGAACATGAGTCTGATTTCAGGCCAGGCAAAAACATGGGGGAAAACACTTTAGGAATAAAGTAAGCTTTGTTTCCCCTTTTGCACTGGAAAAAAAACCATAAAGCATTTGAGTAATGTTAATACTTAGGTGTTCATTTTAGAGAAACTTGGGGGATCTAGTGAGCTGAAACTAACTCTTTACCTTATAAATCTTAAAGAACTTTAAGTTGAAGGAATTTAACTTAAAATAATGCTATCAAAAAAGGAAGTTAAGCATTATTACTTTTCTGTTAGTATTATTGCCAAACCAACTAGAGCAGAATTTCTTGACCAAGACTATGAATCTACAATAGTTCTTTCTGTAATCGACCAAGACTGGCATAACGCTTCCTTCATTGCTTCCTCCAGGGAGAAAAACCTGTGTAGAAGTGTGCATTGTACTAGTTCCTCCAGAGGACTGCCAACGTGCCAGGAAACGTAGGGGATGTGGACAGTGGGACTATGTTTGGGGAGGCAAAGTGGAAATTGGGATGTATATAATATCAGAAGTAGGGATAAAATTGCAATCATAGGCAGTTGCAGCTATGGGTCTACAGACATATGCAGGAAGTGAGAAACGGCTGAGGAAGAGGGAATTTGCAGCCAGGAACAATAGAAATGGGCATGGATGTGCTTGTGTGTTTCTCAGCAGCCCTGTTTTGAAGGGGAGCTTTGTTTCAGGATGGAGGCTGAGAAGAGTGAAAACAGACTGGGGAGGAGGGTAGAGACATGCCAAAATTCACGCCCCTAGCAAAGTTCAAAGGACCCAGAAAGTTATTCTAGTGCCTTTTCACCAAGTGCCATGCTGTGTTGCCACCAGCAAGGCATCAAAGCTGCAGCCAGTGTGCAGATCCCAGGCGGCTGGGCTATGTGATTGCTGACTGCCAGCACTGAGGCACCTCTCTGGGTGCCCACCTAGTGGGAAGATCCTCACAACCACATGGTTGTCTGTGGCCACTGGGCTGTCACCTGGAAAAGGAAAACCATGCAGCACCCTCATAAATGGCTCTGAGCTGCTGGGGCAGTTCACCATCGGCAGATGACCTTGGTGAGGAAATGATGAGGAGTGGCGAGACCCAGTGTCACAGCATGTTAGGTATTTATCGCTGCATAAAAATTACCTAAAACTTAGCAACCTAAAACAATAAACCTGTATTATCTCATCAGTCTCTGTAGGTAAAAAATCTGAGATTGACTTAGTCGGGTGGTTTTGGCTCAGGATTTCTCATGAAGTTGCAGATATTGGTCAGGGCTGCAGGCATGTGAAGGTCTGACTGAGGTTGGATGATCCTTTTCCAAGGTGTTTCACTTACATGCCCACCTGATTCCTTCTGGCTGTTGGCAGGAGGCTTCAATTCCTTACCCAGTGGGCCTTTCCACTGGGCTGCTTGAGTGCCTTCACGACATGGCAGATGGCTTCTCCCAGGACAAGTAATTAAAGAGAGAGTGCAAGAAGGAAGCCACATGCTTTTTATAACTTAGTCTTGGAAGTCATATACCATCACTTCTGCCACATTCTGTTAGTTAGAAGCCAGTCATTAAGCCCTTTCCACACAGAAGAGGAGGGGAATTAAATTCCACTTTTCGAAGGAAGAATTATCAAACAATCTTTGAATGCATTTAAATATCACTACAAACAGAGAGGATGGCCATTAGAGGATGGCCAAATGGATATATTCCAGATGGCTAGGGCAGATATGTGTCTTCCACAGACCCTGGAACAGTTGTATATTGTCTCAGTTGGGAGATTAAAAAAGAAATGTCAGCACAAGAGTCTCAGTCCAGACTAATATGATAAGAATCTTTCTGAGGATGGAGCCTGGGAATCTGTATCTTTAAAGCTTCCTGTACAATTTTGCATACAGGGAAGTTTGAGAGCCCCTGATCTAGAACAGCGCTGTCCAGTGGAAATAGAGTATAAGCTGAATATGTGATTTAAAATTTTCTACTAGACACATTAAAAGAGTAAAGAGAAACAGGTGAAGCTAATTGTAACAATATACTTCCGTTAATACTGCCAAAATAGTATCATTTTGACAGGTAATCAATGTAAAAATGATTAGTGAGATATTTACCTTATTTTTTGACACTAAGTGTTGGAAATCCAGTGTGTATTTTACACTTACAGTACATTTTGACTTGGTCTAGCCACACGGATCTAGTAGCTATTGGATTTATTGATTACTGCTGGTCTAGAATAGAGGGCCATAATCATGGGAAGTTTGACTATTTTATTCACTGCTTTGTGTAGATCCTGGGACATGGTATGTGTTCAAGAAGTATTTGTTGAATAGATTAATAATGTGCTGATATGAACTTAAAGGTCAGTTATAAAGTATATATCCTTTCATATAGAGTAGATTTTCTCAGATTCCCATAATTTTCTGGACTTTTCCAAAAAAGATTGAGCTATGATACACAATGCTAAAACTCTTCATAAGAAAACTTTCTGGTGCTGAAGTGGATTTATGGGAGACATTAGAAATATTCAGAAGAAACAGTAAAATGTGATCAATTTGGAAGAGAAACATAACCAAGTATACCTGGCATCTCTGGAAGATAATTTCAATAAATTGAAACATAGATATTAAAAAAAAAGAAAGAAAACTTTCTGGTGCTTTGTTATATCTTGATCTGCATTCAATCCGAAAAAAAATCTAAATAATTTTATCCTCTGTGTGCTTGATCTGACTACTACAAGCCTACATACATTTTATTTATTTATTTATTTAATTTCAATCGATTTTTAGAAGACAGGTGGTGTTCAGTTACATGAATAAGTTCTTTAGTGGTGATTTCTGAGATTTTGGTACACTCATCATCCAAGCAGCGTACACTGTACCCAATGTGTAGTCTTTTATCCATCACCCTCCTCCCATACCTTCCTCTGAGTCCCCAAAGTCCATTGTATCATTCTTATGCCTTTGCATCCTCATAGCTTATCTCCCACTTATGAATGAGACCATACAATGTTTGGTTTTCCATTCCTGAGTTACTTCGCTTAGAATAATGGTCTCCAATTCCATCCAGGTTGTTACAAATGCCATTATTTCATTCCATTTTATGGCTGAGTAGTATTCCATGGTGTATATACATATATACACACATATATATACACATATATATAAATACATATATATACACATATATAAATACATATATATATATATACCACATTTTGTTTTAACTGTAAAAATGGTGTGTTTATTGCAGAAAGTTTAGAAATTACAGGGAAAAGCACAAAGAAGAAAATTAAGATTAACATCCTTGAGTATATAATTTGTTCTTTTGTCTACATATATATTTTAATAAGATTGAATTCATATTGTATGTGCCACTTATAATCTTTTTTCATTTAACAGTATAATAAGTAATTTGTCATATCTTTTTTTTTTCTTTTTTTAATTATACTTTAAGTTCTGGGGTACATGTGCATAATGTGCAGTTTTGTGACATAGGTATACATGTGCCATGGTGGTTTGCTGCACCCATCAATCCATCGCCTACATTAGGTATTTATTCTAATGCTATCTCTCCCCTAGTGCCCTACCCCCTGACAGGCCCAGGTGTGTGATATTCGCCTCCCTGTGTCCATGTGTTCTCATTGTTCAACTCCCACTTATGAGTGAGAACATGCGGTGTTTGGTTTTCTGTTCTTGTGATAGTTTGCTGAGTGGTTTCCAGCTTCATCCATGTCCCTGCAAAGGACATGAACTCATCCTTTTTTATGACTGCATAGTATTCCATGGTGTATATGTGCCACATTTGCTTTATCCAGTCTATCATTGATGGACCTTTGGGTTGGTTCCAAGTCTTTGTTATTGTTAATAGTGCCACAATAAACATACGTGTGCAGTGTCTTTATAGTAGAATGATTTATAATCCTTTGGGTATATACCCAGTAATGGGATTGCTGGGCCAAATGGTATTTCTAGTTCTAGATCCTTGAGGAATTGCCACACTGTCTACCACAATGGTTGAACTAATTTACACTCCCACCAACAGTGTAAAAGCGTTCCTCTTTCTCCACATCCTCTCCAGCATCTATTGTTTCCTGACTTTTTAATGATTGCTATTCTAACTGGCGTGAGATGGTATCTCATTGTGGTTTTGGTGTGCATTTCTCTGATGACCAGTGATGATGAGCATGTTTTCATATGTCTGTTGGCTGCATAAATGTCTTCTTTTGAGAAGTGTCTGTTCACATCCTTTGCCCACTTTTTGATGGGGTTGTTTTTTTCTTGTAAATTTGTTTAAGTTCTTTGTAGATTCTGGATATTAGCCCTTTGTCAGATGGATAGATCACAAAAATGTTCTCCCATTCTGTAGGTTGCCTGTTCACTCTGATGATAGTTTCTTTTGCTGTGCAGAAGATCTTTAGTTTAATAAGATCCCATTTGTCAATTTGGCTTTTGTTGCCATTGCTTTTGGTGTTTTAGACATGAAGTTTTTGCCCATGCCTATGTCCTAAATGGTATTGCCTAGGTTTTCTTCTAGGATTTTTATGGTTTTAGGTCTTACATTTAAGTCTTTAATCCATCTTGAGTTTATTTTTGTATAAGGTGTAAGGAAGGTATCCAGTTTCAGTTTTCTTCTTATGGCTAGCCAGTTTTCCCAACACCATTATTAAATAGGGAATCTTTTCCCCATTGCTTGTTTGTGTCAGGTTGTGTCAGGTTTGTCAAAGATCAGATGGTTGTAGATGTATGGTGTTATTTCTGAGGCCTCTGTTCTGTTCTATTGGTCTATATCTCTGTTTTGGTACCATTACCATGCTGTTTTGGTTACTGTAGCCTTGTAGTATAGTTTGAAGTCAGGTAGTGTGATGCCTCCAGCTCTATTCTTTTTGCTTAGGATTGTCTTGGCTGTGTGGGCTCTTTTTTGGTTCCATATGAAGTTAAAGTAGTTTTTTCCAATTCTGTGAAGAAAATCAGTGGAAGCTTGATGGGTATAGCATTGAATCTATAAATAACTTTGGGCAGTATGGCCATTTTCACGATATTGATTTTTCCTATCCATGAGCATGGAATGTTTTTCCATTTGTTTGTGTCCTCTCTTATCTCCTTGAGCAGTGGTTTGTAATTCTCCTTGAAGAGGTCTTTTACATCCCTTGTAAGTTGTATTTCTAGGTATTTTATTCTCTTAGTAGCAGTTGTGAATGGGAGTTCATTCATGATTTGGCTTTCTGTCTGTTATTGATGTATAGGAATGCTTGTAATTTTTGCACATTGATTTTGTATCCTGAGACTTTGCTGAAGTTGCTTATCAGCTTAAGGAGATTTTGAGCTGAGATGATGGGGTTTTTTAGATAAGCAATCATGTCATCTGCAAACAGAGGCAATTTGACTTCCTCTCTTCCTATCTGAATACCTTTTATTTCCTTCTCTTGCCTGATTGCCCTGGCCAGAACTTCCAATACTATGTTGAATATGGGTGGTGAGAGAGGGCATCCTTGTCTTGTGCCAGTTTTCAAAGGGAATGCTTCCAGCTTTTGCCCATTCAGTATGATATTGGCTATGGGTTTGTCATAAATTGTTCTTATTATTTTGAGATACATTCCATCGATACCTAGTTTATTGAGTTTTTAGCATGAAGGGATGTTGAATTTTGTTAAAGGCCTTTTCCGCATCTATTGAGATAATCATGTGTTTTTTGTCATTGGTTCTGTTTATGTGATGGATTATATTTATTGATTTTTGTATGTTGAACCAGCCTTGCATCCCAGGGATGAGGCCAACTTGATCATGGTGGATAAGCTTTTTGATGTGCTGCTGGATTTGGTTTGCCAGTAATTTATTGAGGATTTTTGCATTGATGTTCATCAAGAATATTGGCCTGAAATTTTCTTTTTTTGTTGTGTCTTTGCCAGGTTTTGGTATCAGAATGATCCTGGCCTCATAAAATGAGTTAGGGAGGAGTCCCTCTTTTTCTATTGTTTGGAATAGTTTCAGAAGGTACCAGTTCCTTTTTGTACCTCTTGTAGAATTCAGCTGTGAATCCGTCTGATCTGGGGCTTTCTTTGGTTGGTAGGCTATTAATTACTGCCTCAATTTCAGAACTGGTTTTTGTCTATTCAGGGATTCGACTTCTTCCTGGTTTAGTCTTGGAAAGGTGTATGTGTCCAGGAACTTAGCCATTTCTTCTAGATTTTCTAGTTTATTTGCATAGAGGTGTTTATAGTATTCTATGATGGTAGTCTGTATTTCCGTGGGATCAATGGTGAAATCCCCTTTATCATTTTTTATTAGATCTGTTTGATTCTTCTCTCTTTTCTTCTTTATCAGTCTGGCTAGTGGTCAATCTATTTTGTTGATCTTTTCAAAAAAACCAGCTCCTGGCTTCATTGATTTTTTGAAGGATTTTTCGTGTCGCTATCTCCTTCAGTTCTGCTCTGATCTTAGTTATTTCTTGTCTTCTGCTAGCTTTTGAATTTGCTTGCTGTTATTTCTCTAGTTCTTCTAATTTTGATGTTAGAGTGTCAATTTTAGATCTTTCCTGCTTTCTCTTGTGGGCATTTAGTGCTATAAATTTGCCACTATACACTGCTTTAAATGTGTCCCAGAGATTCTGGTACATTGTGTCTTCATTCTCATTGGTTTCAAAGAACATCTTTATTTCTGCCTTCATTTTATTATTTATCCAGTAGTCATTCAAGAGCAGGTTGTTCAGTTTCCATGTAGTTGTGTGGTTTTGAGTGAGTTTCTTAATCTTGAGTACTAATTTGATTGCACTGTGGTCTGAGAAACTGTTTGCTATGATTTCTGTTCTTTTGCATTTGCTGAGGAG
Organism: Homo sapiens; assembly: GCF_000001405.40. Classification (NCBI taxonomy): domain Eukaryota; kingdom Metazoa; phylum Chordata; class Mammalia; order Primates; family Hominidae; genus Homo; species Homo sapiens. Next base: position 108,505,841 of record NC_000004.12, on the reverse strand, counting down.
TGCTTTACTTTCACTTATGTGGTCAATTTTGGAATAAGTGTGATGAGATGCTGAGAAGAATGTATATTCTGTTGATTTCTGTTGGAGAGTTCTGCAGATGTTTATTAGGTCTGCTTGGTCCAGAGCTGAATTCAAGTCCTGAATATCCTTGTTAATTTTCTGTCTCGTTGACCTGTCTAATATTGACGGTGGGGTGTTAAAGTCTCCCACTATTATTGCGTGAGAGTCTAAGTCTCTTTGTAGGTCTCTAAGAACTTGCTTTATGAATCTGGGTGCTCCTGTATTGGGTGCATGTATATTTATGATAGTTAGGTCTTCTTGCTGCATTGATCCCTTTACCATTATGTAATGCCCTTCTTTGTCTCTTTTGATCTTTGTTGGTTTAAAGTCTGTTTTATCAGAGACTTTATCAGAGACTTGGTAAATATTCCTCCATCCCTTTATTTTGAGCCTATGCGTGTCTTTGCACGTGAGATGGGTCTCCTGAATACAGCACACTGATGGGCTGTGACTCTATCCAATTTGCCAGTCTGTGTCTTTTAATTGGAGCATTTAGCCCATTTACATTTCAGGTTAATACTGTTTTGTGTGAATTTGATCGTGTCATTATGATGCTAGCTGGTTGTTTTGCCCATTAGTTGATGCAGTTTTCTCATAGTGTCGATGTTTTTTACAATTTTGTATGTTTTTGCAGTGGCTGGTACCAGTTGTTCCTTTCCGTGTTTAGTGCTTCCTTCAGGAGCTCTTGTAAGGCAGGCCTGGTGGTGACAAAATCTCTCAGCATTCGCTTGTCCATAAAGGTTTTTATTTCTCCTTCACTTATGAAGCTTAGTTTGGCTGGAAATGAAATTCTGAGTTGAAAATTCTTTTCTTTAAGAATGTTGAATATTGGCCCCCACTCTCTTCTGGCTTGTAGGGTTTCTGCCGAGAGATCCACCGTTAGTCTGATGGGCTTCCCTTTGTAGGTAACCCGACCTTTCTCTCTGGCTGCCCTTAACATTTTTTCTTGATTTCAACCTTGGTGAATCTGACAATTATGTGTCTTGGAGTTGCTCTTCTCAAGGAGTATCTTTGTGGCGTTCTCTGTATTTCCTGAATCTGAATGTTGGCCTGCCTTGCTAGATTGGGGAAGTTCTGGATAATATCCTGCAGAGTGTTTTCCAACTTGGTTCCATTTTCCCCGTCACTTTCAGGTACACCAATGAGACATAGATTTGGTCTTTTCACATAGTCCCACATATCTTGGAGGCTTTGTTCATTTCTTTTTATTCTTTTTTCTGTAAACTTCCCTTCTTTCTTCATTTCATTCATTTGATCTTCCATCACTGATACCCTTTCTTCCAGTTGATCGCATCAGCTCCTGAGGCTTCTGCATTCTTCACGTAGTTCTCGAGCCTTGGCTTTCAGCTCCATCAGCTCCTTTAAGCGCTTCTATGTATTGGTTATTCTAGTTATACATTCGTCTAAATTTTTTTCAAAGTTTTTAACTTCTTTGCCTTTGATTTGAATTTCCTCCTGTAGCTTGGAGTAGTTTGATCATCTGAAGCCTTCTTCTCTCAACTCGTCAAAGTCATTGTCCGTCCAGCTTTGTTCCGTTGCTGGTGAGGAAGTGTGTTCCTTTGGAGGAGGAGAGGCGCTCTCCTTTTTAGAGTTTCCAGTTTTTCGGCTCTGTTTTTTCCCCATCTTTGTGGTTTTATCTACTTTTGGTCTTTGATGATGGTGATGTACAGATGGGTTTTTGGTGTGGATATCCTTTCTGTTTGTTAGTTTTCCTTCTAACAGACAGGACCCTCAGCTGCAGGTCTGTTGGAGTTTGCTAGAGGTCCACTCCAGACCCTGTTTGCCTGGGTATCAGCAGCGGTGGCTGCAGAACAGCGGATTTTCATGAACCGCAAATGCTGCTGTCTGATCGTTCTTCTGGAAGTTTTGTCTCAGAGGAGTACCTGGCCGTGTGAGGTGTCAGTCTGCCCCTACTCGGGGGTGCCTCCCAGTTAGGCTGCTCAGGGGTCAGGGGCCAGGGACCCACTTGAGGAGGCAGTCTGCCCATTCTCAGATCTCCAGCTGTGTGCTGGAAGAACCACTACTCTCTTCAAAGCTGTCAGACAGGGACATTTAAGTCTGCAGAGGTTACTGCTGTCTTTTTGTTTGTCTGTGCCCTGCCCCCAGAGGTGGAGCCTACAGAGGCAGGCAGGCCTCCTGGAGCTGTGGTGGGCTCCACCCAGTTCGAGCTTTCTAGCTGCTTTGTTTACCTAAGCAAGCCTGGGCAATGGCGGGCACCCCTCCCCCAGCCTCGCTGCCACCTTGCTGTTTGATCTCAGACTGCTGTGCTAGCAATCAGCGAGACTCCGTGGGCATAGGACCCTCTGAGCCAGGTGCAGGATATAATCTCCTGGTGCGCCGTTTTTTAAGTCTGTTGGAAAAGCGCAGTATTAGGGTGGGAGTGACCCGATTTTCCAGGTGCCGTCTGTCACCCCTTTCTTTGACTAGGAAAGGGAACTCCCTGACCCCTTGTGCTTCCCGAGAGAGGCAATGCCTCGCCCTGCTTCGGCTCGTGCACCGTGCGCTGCACCCACTGTCCTGCACCCACTGTCTGGCACTCCCTAGTGAAATGAACCCGGTACCTCAGATGGAAATGCAGAAACCACCCATCTTCTGTGTCACTCACGTTGGGAGCTGTAGACCGGAGCTGTTCCTATTTGGCCATCTTGGCTGCCCTCCTCAATCTTGTAGATTTTAAATTGCAATGACCTCAAAGCAAGTATTTCTTAGTGACGTGACACTGGGCAAGTCACTTAAACTCTCAAATTCAGATATCTCATGTGAAAAATAAGAACCATAGTACATAGATCTTAGAGCTAGGGTAAGAATAAAACAAAATAATCCATGCAAAGCACTTAGGACAGGATAGGGCACATAGAAAACACCCAATACCTGGTAACTGCTGTTATTATCTGGAGGAGCCCAAGGAAGGAAGAACATATGAAATCTACATAGTGTGTGACACAAGATAAATATATTCACTGATACATCAAAGTTAGCAAATGTACCTGTGGGAGGAAAAACTGGCCCATGATTCAGTGGGAATAAATTCCCACTAAAACAATGTTCAGCTTCAAAAACATGAAAAAAGACTAAAGCAGACATCAGATAGGGCACTGAAAGTTGTTGCTCAAAGACAATAGTTTACCTCCCACATGGATTCCATTCAGTTTGTTAAGTGCTAAAAGTCAGATCACAGTCAGGTACTGTACCTTATTTTCTGTCCCTGAGGGCATGGTAACCAACCAGGGCACCTGGCCACATGTCAATGATCCATGTTGTAACGGCAGCTCTGACAATGCACATTTGTGGCATCTTTCCAGGGATGAACCAAGCTTTTTCATTTCCTGTTTAGTTTCACAGCCTGGCGATTATTTATGGGGTAGCAGGAGTTTTTTTTTTTGTTTTTTTTTTTTTAGGTTGAGCAACCAATTGTGGGTTTTGAGGTTCATTCTCTAAATAACAGTAAAACTAATAGTTTGGTTAATCTAAGTTAATACCACTGAGGGGAACATCACTACACTTGGCATTGAGGGGATGTCAAAAATACAGCTCCCCAAAATATCCTGGAACTCTACATAGGATTCTGATGTCACTGATTTCACTGTTTGTCGGCAGCCATTTCCTGGAGTCTCTTCTGCCAGGAATGTCTATACCTGGTTGTTGACTTGTTTCTGGCCTGCCATTCCTCCCCAGTTGAGTACCTTCTCATCACCTTTGTGAGTTTTCCTAGTTCCCTTTTGGCTACAACCCCTGAGATCAGGCTTTTCTCTGCAAGGCCTATATGACTGATTTAAGGCTGCGCAAAACAGAATTCTCCGTTGTTCTTGGTGCAGTGTAATGCATAGACCAACCCCAGTTCCCATCTTTCTAAAGAAAGTCCAGGAGAATTTGCTATGTAGTGTCTAGAGTCAGCTTCCTGTTAAGTGTTTGTAGCTAGAGAAGGTCTTTCTGCTTTAGTCCAAGGTGGGGAAAAGTGATGTCTTAAATGTCCATTGTCTTCTCACATCCACTCAACACAAGCTTTAGGCAACCAGCTCACATGGAGCTAGCTGCATGCACACCTGAGCTTCTGGACAAGAAGACACATCACATGCATATATTCTTATTTATATATTTATTCAATGTTTATCCCCATCCCAAATTGTATTTCTGTTGGGCTCAAAATGAGCAAGAAGAAGAAAAAGAGCAACATGAACAAATGGTTTGGAAAAATTTAGGCGCACTTAGAAAAAATTTATTTAAAGGCAGGGATCATGCCAATTTCATTCATCTTTAAATCCTGAATTCAGATATAGTGGCACTGTATTCCTGGCATCCATTCCCAGTTCTTCTTTTTCAACAGTACTCATTTTCCATTTGTAGATTATGTGGTTCCAGGGATGACACACCTGGCCTGGGCTAAGCCAATTATTGTATTCCTTCTTCTGGTCCTGGTATTGGCTCAAAAGCATGTGTGTGATCCAAAGTGGTCCAATTGCAATAAATCTCAGAATATTGCTAGGAATTATGAGGCAAATAAACCCTTTCTGGGAGCTGTTAGTAGCTATTTTGGGATGAGCAGGGGATGATGCAGAAACTGTAGAAAGCAGAGCAGAGAAACAGATGGCAAGGAAACAGTTTCCACATTTGACATGTTGAGCCATTGGGTGACACCCAGCCAGAAGAAGCCAGCCCCATCTCTGCCCTTTTCAGTTACATGACCCCAAACATTTTCTTTATCTTCAAGGTGTTTTGAGTTATGTTTATTTTTATATGCCACCGAAAGCATCCTCACTAATATATTGTAATGGTGCCTGCCACATAGTAGGTACTCAATAAATATTTGTAAAATCAGTAAATTATTGAACGATCACACCACATTGAAACTTTAATAAAGAATGAAAATATCTTTGTTATTTCTATACTTCAACAATCATTAAAACTAGGAAAATTAGTATATCAAAAGTAGAGGAAGTCATCAATTTATATGAAGTGTTCCGGAAGTGGGTTTGAATATGTCTATACAGCTTTTTGTGAATGAAAACACTGGTAACCTTTTAACCCAGAAGTGTGTAACATAATGGAGGTAAATACCCTGACCATCCTATCAAAAGTTACAGCCTCTGCTGCAACACTCTAACAACACCTTCCTTTCCTTTTTTCATGCATAACAAGTATTACCATCTAACATACCAGATATTTTCTTTTACTTATTTTACTTATGTATGCATGAGTGTAAGCTCCAGGCATTGGGGATTTTGATCTCTTTTATTAAGTGCTGTATCCTCAACACCTAGAACAGTGCCTAACATGTAACAAGCACTTGTAAATAATTGACAAGTGAATGAATAAATTATCACCTTCCTTAACAATCAGCAATAAAGACAGGTCACACACACATCATCATTTAGAATAATTCAGGGTCTTCTCTTTCAGATTAGCTAAGGGAGTTTACTGAGGACCCAGAGACATCCTAGATCTGAGCTTTAGGAGCTCCTATTTCACTAAAGATTGGATGGGAAACGTCAATTTCATTTTGTCCAAAACCAGAGAGAGACACACAGTTGGTCAAGACGTCTCTGTGTACTCTCATCCATATTGTTGTCATTCTCATCTCTGACAGGCTCTGATTTGAGGGCCAATTTCAGTGAATCTTTAAAAAAAAAAGTTTCCAGGCTAGTAAATCAAACACAGGTGAGGCCAAAATAACAACAGTTGCATTTTGCTCCAGAAGTAGACAATGCCTTTAATTCAGCTGCCATTTTTCAAAATAATCAAGCATTGTAGCAAAATTTAAGGAAAGATTTTCGCTCCCAGGAAATATTTTTATCAGAATCATATAAAATACTTTGGGTCCAGGTGTATAATTTGTCAAATGCATTTATATCACAAGTGTAGTCACAATAGCCTTCTAAGAAATCCTTTGATTTTTCCAAACCAAACAAGGAGACACATTTCAAAGCATTACAGGAATTCACTGTAGGCTGCATTTTGTTCTGGACATTTCTAAGCTTTTCCAAAATTAGTGGCATTCTTGTTTCTATAGAAACTAATGCACTTTAAAGGCAAAAGTAGAAGAAAACTTATGGCCAAAAGTGAACAAAATGAGAAAGCCTTGTGACAGAAATCACATACCTGAGGGAAGAGTTTGTCAAAGAGTTTTCCTTTAATTTAAGGAACTTTTGATTGGAGAAAAATATCTTCAAGGAGTAGCTCATGAAGTTGTCTTACATTAATAGTTATGAGTTATTATTTTTTATTAATCTTTAAGTACTGGATCATGCTGGAAACTGGGATCAGGTGAAATGGAAAAGATGACCCAATAATTAAACAGTGATAAGCATTTACTTTAAAAAAAACTGACAAAAAGTTGTATGTATTTATCATGTACAACATGATGTTTTGAAGTATATATATATATATATATATATATATATAGCTGGGCTCAGTGGCTCATGCCTATAATCTCAGCACTTTAGGAGGATGAGGTGGGAGGCTCACTTGAGGGCAAGAGTTCAAGGCCAGTCTGGCTAACATAGTGAGACCCCCGTCTCTACAAAAAGAAAAAAAGGAAGTATGTATACATTGTGAATGGTTAAACAAATGAATTACCTCACATAGCTATCACTTTTGTTGTGAGAACACTTAACACTCACTATCACTAGCATTTTTCAATAATAAAATACGTCATCATTAACTGTAGTCACCATGCTGTACGATAGATCTCTTGAGCTTATTTACCCTTTCTCTTCTCTTCTCTTCTTTTTTTTTTTTGAAGTCAGAGTCTGTCTTTGTCCCCCAGACTGGAGTACAGTGGCTCAATCACAGCTCACTGTAACCTCAACCTCCTGTGCTCAAATGATCCTCCTACCTCAGCCTCTTGAATAGCTAAGACTACAGGCATGAAGTGCCCTGTCTGGCTAGTTTTTTTTTTTTTTTTTTGTAGAGATCGGGTTTTGCCATGTTGCTCAGGTTCATCTTGAACTCCTGAGTTCAAGCGATCTGCTTACCTCAGCCTCCCAAAGTGCTAGGGTTACAGGCATGAGCCACCACATCTGGCCCTATTCACCCTTTCTTACTGTAAATATCTATTCTTTTACCAACATCTCCCCAAACCCACTTCCCTCTAACCATCGCAGCCTCTGGTAACCATCATTCTACTCTCTACTTCTATGAGATCAAGTTTTTAGACTTCACATATGGGTGAGAACAGGCAGTATTTGTATTTCTGTGCCTGGCTTATTTCACTTAGTTATGTCTTCCAGGTCCATCCATGTTGTTGCAAATGACAGGATTTCCTTCTTTTTATGGTTGAATAGTATTCCATTGTGTATATATACCACGCTTTCTTTATTCTTTCATCTGTTGATAGATATATCTTGGCTGTTGTGAATGGTGTTGCAGTAAATGTGAGAGTGCAGATATATTGATTTGACATACTGATTTCATTTCCATTGGATATATGATTGGTAGTGGGATTACTGAATCATATGGTAGCTCTATTTTCAGTTTTTTGAGGAACATCCATACCATTTTCCATGATGGTTGTGCATTCTCACTCACAGTGTACAAGGATTTCCTTTTCTTCACATCCTCTCCAACACTTGTCTTTTGTCTTTTTGATAGTAGCCCTTCTAACAGGAATGAGGTGGTATCTTATTTTGGTTTTGATTTGCATTTCCCTGATGATTAGTGATGCTGAGCATTTTAAAAATACACCTGTTGGCCATTTGCATATCTTCTTTTGAGAAACATCTATTCAAGTCTTTTGCTAATTTTTAAATTGAACTGTTTGTTTTCTTACTACTGAGTTGTTTGAATTCCCCACGTATTTTGGCCATTGACCCCTTATCAGATGTGTAATTTGCAAATATTTTCTCCCATTCTGTAGATTGTCTTCTTACTCTGTTGTTTCCTTTGCTGTGGAGAAGCTTTTTAGTTTGATGCAATTCAATTTCTCTGTTTTTACTTTTGTTGCCTGTGCTTTTGAGGTCATATCCAGAAAATTGCCCAAACCAATGTCATGGAGATTTTATTCTACGTTTTCTTCTAGTATATTCATAGTTTTGGGTTTTATGTTTAAGTCTTTTATCCATTTTGAGTTAATTTTTGTATATGGTGAGGAATAAGGATTTAATTTCATTCTACAAGCGAATATTCAGTTTCCTGAACACTGCTTATTGAAGACACTGTCCCTTCCCCATTATGTGTTCTTGGCACCTTTGTCAAAAATCAGTTTGGTATAAATATTTGGATTTATTTCTAGGATCTCTATTTTGTCCCATTGGTCTGTGTGTCTGTTTTTATGCCAGTACCATGCTGTTTGGGTTACTGTAGCTCTGTAGTATAATTTGAAGTCAGATAGTGTGATGCTACCAACTTTGTTCTTTTTTGCTCAGGATTGTTTTTGGCTATTTGGGGTCTTGTATGGGTCCATATGAATTTTAAGATTTTTCTTCTATTTCTGTGAAGAATATCATTGGTATAGGGATTTCATTGGGTCTGTAGATTACTTTGGGTAGTATAGACATTTTAACAATATTAATTCTTCCAATCCATGAACACAAATATCTTTCAACTTATTTTTGTTTTCTTCAATTTATTTCATTAGTGTTTTATAGTTTTCAATGTAAAGGTCTTTAACCTATTTGGTTAAATTTAATCCTAAGTATTGTTTGTAGGTATTGCATATGGGATTGCTGTCTTGGTTTCATTTTTGATAGTTTACTCAGTATATAGAAACACACTGATTTTATATGTTGATTTTGTATCCTGCAACTTTTCTGAATTTATTAGCTCCAATAGCTATTTTGGTGGAGTTTTTATGGTTTCTAACTGTAAGATAGTGTCATCTGAAAACACAGGCAATTTGACTTCCTCCTTTCCAATTTAGATGCCTTTTATTTATTTATTTATTATCACTTGCCTAATTGCTTGGACTAGGACTTCCAGTACTATATTGAATAGTAGTGTCAAAAGTGGACATCTTGTCTTGTTCCAGATGTTAGAGGAAAAGCTTTCATCTTTTCCCCATTCAGTATGATATTACCTGTGGGTTTACCATATATGATAATAATATGATATCATATATTTATGGTGTTAAGGTACATTCCTTCTATACCTAATTTTTGAGAGCCTTTTTTAAACCATAAAGAGATGATTAATTTTCCCAAATGCTTCTTGTGCATCTATTGAATGTTCAGTGGCTTTTGTTCTTTGTTCTGCTAATGTGATGTATCATGTTTATTCATTTGCATATGTCGAACGATCCTTGCATTCTTGGAATGACTCCTAACTTGATCATGGTGAATGATCTTTTTAATGTGCTGTGGAATTTGGTTTGCTAGTATTTTGTGGAGGATTTTTGCATCTATGTCCCTCAAGGATATTGGCCTTTAGTTTTCTTTTTTTTATTATATCTTTGTCTGGTTTTAGTGTTAAGATAATGCTGGCCTTATAGAATAAATTTGGAAGAATTCTCTCCTCTTTAATTTTCTGGAATAGTTTGAGAAGAATTGGTATTATTTCTTCTTTAACTGTTGGGTATAATTCTACAGTGAAACCATCAGGTCCTGGGCTTTTCTTTGATGACAGACTTTTTATTACAGATTCAATCTTCTTACTTATTATTCATCTGTTCAGATTTTCTATCTCTTCATAACTCTATCTTGATAGGTTGCATGTGTCCAAGAATGTATTCATTTCTTCTAAGTTACTCAATTCGTTGGCATATAATTGTTTATAATAGTCTCTTATGATGCTTTATATTTTGTGATCAGTTTTAGTGTTTCCTTTTTCATCTCTGATTTTATTTACTTGAATTTTCTTTCCTTTTTTCTTAGTCTAGCTAAAGATTTGTCAATTCTGTTTATCTTCTCAAAAAACAGACTCTTCATTTTGTTGATCTTTTCTATTGATTTTCTAGGCTCTATTTCATTTATTTTTGCTCTGGTCTTTATTATTTATTTTATTCTACTAATTTTGAGTTTAGTGTGTTCTTATTTTTCTATTTCTTTAAGGTGGAATGTAAGGTTGTCTGGTATTTTTTTTTAAAAGTAGGTGTTTATTGCTATAAGCTTCCCTCCTTGTACTGCTTTTGCTGTATCCCATAGGTTTTGGTATAATGTGTTTCCATTTTCATTTGTCTCAAGAAAATTTTTAATTTCCCTTTAAATTTTTTAATTGATCCTTTGTTATTCAGGAGCACATTGTTTAATTTTTATATATTTGTGAATTTTCCAAATTTTCTTCTGTTACTGATTGCTAGTTTTATACCATTGTGTCAGAATAAAAGACATTTGACACGATTTCAATCTTAAATTGTTAGGATTTGTTTTGTGACCTAACATATGATTTATTCTGGGGGAGTGGTCCATGTGTAATTGGGAATAATGTGTATTCCATAGCTGCTGGGTGGAATGTTCTGTGTCCTAATATGTCTGTTAGGTCTATTTGGTTAGAGTATGGTTTAAGTCTGATGTGTCCCTGTTGATTTTGTCTGGATGATACATCCATTGCTGAAAGTGGGGTATTGAAGTCTCCTACTATCATTGTATTGCAATCTATCTCTCCCTGCAGATTGATTAATATTTGCCTTATATATTTAGGTGCTCAGATTTGGGGTACATATATAATTCTTATATCCTCTTGCTTAATTAACCTCTTTATAATTATATAATTACCTTCTTTGTTTCTTTCCACAGTTTTGGACATAAAGTCATTTTACCTGATATAAGTATAGCCACTCCTGGTCTCGCTTTGGTATTCATTTGCATGGAATATGTTTTTCCATTTCTTCATTTTCAGTGTATATGGGTCCTTTTAGGTGAAGCGAATCTATTGTAGACAGCATATAGTTAGGTGTTGTTTTTAAATCCATTCAGTCACTCTGTTTTTTGATTGAATAATTTAATTCATTTACATTCAATGTAATTATTGGTAGGTAGGGATTTACTATTGGCATTTTGTTAACTGTTTTTCAATTGTTTGATAGATCTTTTTTTTCTTCCCCTCTTACTATCTTTGTTTGTGATTAAGTGATTTTCTTTAGTAGTATATTTTTTATTTCTTACTTTTTTGTGTGTATCTATTATAGGTTTTTGTTTTATGGTTACCATGAGGCTTACAAAAAAATTCTTACAGTTATAACAGGTTATTTTAAGCTGATAACAACAACTTTGTTTATTCAAGCTGATAATGACAACTTTGTTTATTATTATTATTAAAACTTCACTCTCCCCCATACATTTTGGATGTCATGTTACAATTTACATCTTTCAATATTGTACATTCCTTAACAAATTATTTTAGTAATTAATATTTTTAATAGTTTTGTCTTTTAACCTTTATACTGAAGATATAATTGATTTACACATTCCTATTACAATACTAGAGTATTATAAATTAGACCATGCTTTTATTAGTGAGTTTTATGCTTCCACATATTTTAATGTTGCTCATTAGTGTTCTTTTCTCTCAGATTGAAGAACTTCCTTTAGCATTTCTTGTGAGACAGGTCTGGTGGCGATGAACTCCCTCAGCTTTTTTTTGGTGTGTGAAAATCTTTATCTGTCCTTCATTCCTAAAAGACAGCTTTGCTGGGTACAGCATTCTTGCTTGGCAGTTATTTTCCTTTAACACTTTGACTATATCATCCCATTCCTTTTGGCCCATTGGATTTTTGCTGAGAAATCTGCTACTGGGTGTATTAGAACTCCCTCATATATTGGTTGCTTCTCTTCTCTTGCTGTCTTCAGGATTATGTCTTTGATATTTGATAATTTTATTATAGTATGTTTTGGGGCAGTGTTATTTGGATGGAAATTGTTTGGTGGCCCTCGAACTTCCTACATCTAGATATTTCTTTCTTTCTTCAGGTTTAGAAAGTTTTCTGCTCTTTCTTTAAATAAGATTTCTACCCCTTTGTCTTTCTCCACTTCCTCTTGAGCTCCAATGACTCTAATATTTGCTTTTTTTTATGTTGTCCTATTAATCCTATAAGCTTTCTTTATTCCATTTCATTCTTTTCTCTTTTTTCTCCCTGACTGTATAGTTTCAAATAGCTTTCAGTTCACAAATTCTTTTTTCTACTTGATCAGTTCTGTTGTTGATGCTTTCTATTGCATTTTTCATTTGTTTATTACATTTTTCATCTTCAAGATTGATTTTTTTAATTATTATTTTAAACTCTCTGTTATATTTCTTATTCTTGCCTTTTATTCTTTTCCTCATTTCATTGAAATATTTCTATTTATTATCTTGAAGTTTGCTGTGCTCCCTTAAAAAGCTACTTTGAATTCTTTTTTAGGTAGTTCATACATCTCTGTCTCTTTAGGGTTGGTCATTGGTACTTTATTTTGTCCGTTTAGTGACATCAGGTTTCTCTGATTGTTCCTGATTCTTGGGGCTGTGTGTCAATGTCTGTGCATTAAAGAAGTGGGTGTATATTCCAGTCTTTTTAGTCTGGCTTTGTCTAGGAATGCCCTTAAACAATAAGTTTGTCCAGAGATACTAGGCAGGTAGTGCCTGGTCCCTATGCCTGTGACCACTGCAGCTGTTTCAGCACTAGGGGGCACACTAAGCCCAGGACCTTCATGGTTGGCACAGTACTGGGCTGGAATTCCGTGGCCACTGAGGCTGGTGCAGCAGTCGGTGTGCTTGAAGACCCTGCCACTGAGGCCGGCTCACTGCTCTGCTTTGTCTGAAACTCATGGCTGCTATAGCTGACTGGCAGTGATTCAGGCCAGAAATTGAGTCAGTTTTGCAGAGGTCATGGGTTCCCTGTTAACACAGGGAAGCTCAGTCCATGGGTACTAGCCTGGATTCACTGGATTCAGGGGCCATGGGAGTCTGCCTGTGCTGGATTTTACTGTGGTAGGCCCAGTGTTGGAGACCAAGGCAAAGTTCTACACTCAGTTCCCTCACTTTCCCCTAAGTGAATAGTACCTCTCTCCTCAGTGTGCTGCTCAGGATTGAGGGAAGGGTGAGATGGGTAATGTAAAACTATCCACCCTACTCTCTTTAATGTTTAATGTGTCTTTTAACATTATCCCATAATTAAGTACTATTATCTTTCACCTGGTTTTCTTAGCTCTTGCTAAGGTATGTTTGTGCACACATAGCTGTTCAAATTGGTGTTTCTGTTGGGGATGATTGATGGAGAGTCCTATTCTGTGATATTGCTCTGCTCTCTTCCAGTGGTAAGTATTGAATTGTGTGGTATGACTTATTATGGCTGCTTAAAGGCAAGGAAAACAATAAAATAAATTCAGAAGGCGAGTACTGATGTTATGTTCCAAGGTGATAGGCTTTATCTGGCAATGGCACATAAATACATTGCAGTAAATAACTTAGCAAGATCAGGTATCAATTTAGCAAGATCAATGTTGATTTAATTTATTCTCTTGTGACAAAAGAACTTACCATGAAATTTATTCTGCATATGTGAGCTTGAGTGTGTATACACACACACAGACATCCATGCATATGAAACATGTGGATAAAGAAAATGTGAGCAGGGAAACTATGCAGCATCAGGAACTAACTACCAACAGAAATTTTATGCCATTTCAATTAGCTCAAGGGAATTTTAGTGGAATGTAGGTATATGGAACAGGATGGACAGGAGCAGACAGAGAATAGGCATGACTGCAAAATCATGTCATCTGCTATCATTATCTGCCTAACACACATGTACATTTCTTGTAGTAGTACATATTGAAGCTGAATCTATATTTCACAGTCTCCACCTAGGAGACTTCTCAGTTGAGGGGGGCTGAGGGGATGATATTTCACAACATACAAAAATCTTGGGTTCATGTCGGCAGAAGGAATTGACCTAAAAGATATTTGTTATGTTTTTACCTAGAACCAGTACTTTAGAATAGGGTATTTACTTGTAGGCTGACACATATTTGCACAACTAAATAAACATCTGCATTTTGGTTGACTGACTGACTTGGTAGAAACAACAAACCACAAAATCAATTTGAATATAAGAGTGGGAGAAATGTGAAAGAAGAAAAAGTTAGAAGAATTTTATATCTTATGAAGATGTTAGCATTACAAAATTTTTACCAAGATACACTTCATATTCTAAAGGCAGTGATGCAGGAAGTATGTAGATAGACAGAAGTCAAGGTTGAATTAGTCAAGTTAGGCTAAAACAAGTTAGGCGAAAGTCAAGGTTGAATTAGCCAAGTTAGGCTGCAATAACAAATTAATTCCCAAATCTCAGGGCTTGATGCAGTGAAAGTTTTTTTCTAACTCACACAAAGTCCAATGTCTATTGTCAGAGACTCTCCTCTTCCCAAAGACTCAGGAATCCAGGTTCTTGCCACTTCAGGATTCTGCTGTCTTCACAAGTGGCTTCCAAGTTGTTAGATGAGAGAAAGATGAGAAGGCTATGATGGTTACTTTTTTTTTTTTTTAGATGAAGTTTTGCTCTTATTGCTCAAGCTGGAGTTCAGTCGTGTGATCTCGGCTCACTGCAACCTCTGCCTCCTGGGTTCAAGTGATTCTCTTGCCTCAGCCTCCCGAGTAGCTGGAACTACAGGCGTGTGCCACCACACTCGGCTAATTTTTTGTCATTTTAGTAGAAACAGGTTTCACCATATTGGTCAGGCTGGTCTCGAACTCCTGACCTCATGCAATCTGCCCACCTTGGCCTCCTAAAGTGCTGGGATTACAGGCATGAGTGACCACACCAAGTGGATGTTTAATTTTATGTGTCAACTTGGCTGGTCTAAGCGATGACTAGATAGCTGGTAAAACATTATTTCCAGGTGTATCTGTGAGAGTGTTTCCAGAAGAGATTAACATTTGAATTGGTGAACTGAGTAAAGCAGATGGCCCTCCCCAATGTATGTGTGGGCATTTTGTAATCTACTGAGGACCTGAATAAAACAAGAAGTCAGAGGAAAGGTGAATTTGCTCTTTCTCTATTTGAGCTGGGACAGTCATCTTCTCCTGCCCCAGGACATTCTGGCTCTTGGGCATTTAGAGCAGTACTTACACCAGCCCAGCACCACCCACCTCCACCCTCCCCAGGCCTTTGGACTCAGATTAAGACTTACGTCATTATCTCCATTATCTACCTATCTATCTATCTATCTATCTATCTATCATCTATCTATCTATCATCTATCTATCTATACCTTCTGTTGGTTCTATCTCTCTGGAGGACCCTGACTACTACAAAAGCACTCTGGCTTTTAAGTACCTTAGTCTGAATGTGACAAATGTTATTTCTGTTCACAATCATATTGCCCCAACTCAACTCTGGGGGAGTCTGGGAATTGGAGAGAAGCATATGCACGTTCAACAAACATTAACTGACTTAGCAACTGACAGTGAAGTAAATGACAGATAATGGGTGAAGAAAAGAAACCACAAATAAGTGAATGAGAAATGTAATGGCAGGAGAGCAATAATGACCCCCAAAATCCAGCCTCTCTCTCATGGCATTAATGGATAATCTAGGGCTGATTTTAATCTTCATTTATAAACAGTGCTTTTCTTCTTTCATATTTCTTAATTACAAAGTAATGCATGAGGACATTTAGGGGAAAAAAGAATAAAAAGGAAAATAAAAAATTATATGTATAATTCCACTCCCTGATATAATTATAACATGTTTTTCTCACTTTTTAAATTTTATGTGTCAGAACGAGATATTTTGATGCCCCTTACTGATGAAGTCTGTGGTAAAAACTCTTTTAACTATTACTTCCTCAGAAATCCTCAAGGAATCCACACTAGTAGGAGGCTGGGATATGTGGAGGTCTAAGTCTATAAAGACCGTGTGATACACAACATTACTGGAGTGTGCTAGGGCAGGATGGGGCCATTGAATGCAGTTAATAACTTATACCACAGAAATAGAGGGCCATCTGCTAAGGCACAGGATAAAGGTGGAAACTATAGGCATTTCAGAGAAACACAGGATAAGAAAAAAAAAGTGAGCTGGGATGACCTAGGATGTCTAAGACTGAGATAGAGCTCAGCAGAAATAACTAGACTATTCTAAATTTGAACAATGAGAGACCTGTGAGTGTATTTCAGAAGGCCATGAAATGTTGCCATGAGGTCTCCCAGAGAGAGGGTTTGCTCTGCAGCTAAATGGACTGACATGTCAACCAGACAGAATCTTCTTTTTCCAGGAAGCAAAACATAGCCTTGGATGAAAGACTAAAAATTTTAGCAAGAATAAAGACAGGATAGTGAGTAAAAAGGGCTGGGCTTTGCGAAGGGGAAGGGACAAAAATTGGGAGAGAGAAACAGGGAGAGTGAGGAAGGGACTGTCTAATGTTCCCTGAGTGGAACCAAATGCTTTAAACCTGTGCCAAGCTAATTGAATAACGTGAAGCTTTGTGCTTATAACTCACGTGATCTTTACATCACCTGTGCTTTGAGATGCTCTCGCATTGTCGTATACACAGTTCGTACACATGAACTGAGTGTGTCTTCTGGTTCAGTGGCTGCAGTGTGGAAAGGACGTGGCTGGAGGAAAGAATGAGGGAGAGACCAGAACTGCCGGGAGCACCCTGTTTAAAGGAATCAATCCTGATACTCCCCAGGTGAGGTTAAAAAAAAAATAGAGAAACATGGAAAGAAGGCAGTGCTTTCTACTTGGAGACTGTTTCTGCAGTCTTCCTCTCACCATCCCCTTCTTGTTGAGGCTCATCCCGTTCTGAGGAAATGGTCTGACCCTGCTTTGGAAAGATAGACTTGGATCCTCTAAGCCTGCTGGGGTGAGTCATGGGCAGGACCTACATTATTCCAAAGCAGCAGAGAGAAAGGCTGTGCTAGTCTCTGCTACCACTGTGAAACTTTGGACAGTCTCCACACCCTTGGTACATCTCTACAGCTCTCAAAAGAAAACAGCCAATTGTCCTCAGGAATGACAATTTTTATCAAAAACCTGGGCAAGATGAAAAATTAAATAAATATATTGTCAGTTCAGACTTAAGGCAGGTTGAAGATCCCACAAAAAGGAGGAATGGAAGTGAGTGGGGGAACTATTGCCCATGGGAACCAACAAGTAACTAAAGGGGAAAAGCTGAGGCATGATCAGAAACTCCAGTATTTAGAAATTAAATACAGTCATGTGTTGCATAACAACATTTTGGTCAACAACAGATTGCATATATGATGGTGGTCCTATAAAGGTTATAATGGAGCTGAAAAATTCCTATCACGTAGTGACGTCGTAGCTGTCATAACATCACAGCACAATTGATATGGTTTGGATTTGTGTCCCCACCCAAATCTCAAGTCGAATTTTAATCTCCAGTGTTGGAGGAGGGGCCTGGTGGGAGGTGATTGGATCATGGGAGCGGATTTCCCCTTGCTGTTCTCGTGATAGTGAGTGAGTTCTCACAAGATCTTGTTGTTTAAAAGTGTGTAGCGCTTCCCCATTCTCTCTCCTGCTCAGGCCATGTGAAGACATGCCTGCTTCCCTTCCACCTTCTGCCATGATTGAAAGTTTCCTGAGGCAGGCCGGGTGCAGTGGCTCATGCCTGTAATCCCAGCACTTTGGGAGGTTGAGGAAGGAGGATCACGAAGTCAGGAGATCGAGACCATCCTGGCTAACACGGTGAAACCCCGTCTCTGCTAAAAAAAAAATACAAAAAATCAGCCAGGTGTGGTGGCAGGCGCCCGTAGTCCCAGCTACTGGGGAGGCTGAGGCAGGAGAATGGCGTGAACCTGGGAGGCGGAGCTTGCAGTGAGCCGAGATTGTGCCACTGCACTCCAGCCTGGGCGACAGAGCAAGACTCCGTCTCAAAAAAAAAAAAAAAAAAAAAGTTTCCTGAGGCCTCCCCAGCCATGCTACCCGTATAGCCTGTGGAACCGTGAGCCAATTAAACCTATTTTCTTTATAAATTACCCAGTCTCAGGTATTTATAGCAGTGCGAGAATGGACTAATACAACAATGCATTACCTTTTCTATGTTTAGATACACAAATACCATGTGTTACAATTGCCTGAAGTGGTCAGTACGAATATATTCTGTACAGGTTTGTAGCCCGGGACAATAGACTATACCATATAGCCTAGGTGTATAGTAGGCTATTCCATCTAGGTTTATGTATATACACTATGATGTTTGCACAATGATGAAATCACCTAGCTATGCATTTTTCAGAATATATGCCTGTCATTAAGCAATGCAGGACTGGACTCTCAATTCACACCATAACACTGTAGAGAAGCATTCCCTATAAAGTTGAGAGAATTCTAATAATATTAGTAGTAGAGAGCTGGCATTAAATTTATACCACATCAAGTACAAACATTGAGAAAACTGAGAACAAAAAAAGGTATGATTTTCTCTAAGTCACATCATTATTGAAAATGTGACCCAACACGTGAAAAAACATGCAAATGACCCGTCAATATGCTGCCAGCCCTCAACTGAAAACAAATAATCCCTCTCCCATCTAATAAACACAAGTAGAGCCTGCTAAACACAAATAAAATTACAACCACCAAAAAAAATGTATCGCCACGAAACAAAACAAAACAACAAACTCCTATAGGCGCAAAAGTTCATTTTATAAAAAGTGGCGTTATGGCATAGACATTTGGCAAAACTTGTGACAGGGAGAGGATTTGCATCTCTAGACTTTGAATCCATCTGAATCTTAGCACTTTTGACCACTCCCATATATTAACATCGATTTGCTGTCTAGTCTCTACTCCCCCAGGGACACAGCCCTAGATAGAGCCTACAGTGGAGCTAAAACATGAGGGTGAGGAGACCTCCTGATTCCTCCCCCTACTGTGTCCTCACTATGTGCTAGGTGATTGACACTCATTATCCTACTTAATTTTACAGCAGCCTTGTAAGTTACCTTATCTACCTTACAGATGAAGTAACGGAGGCTCAGAAACATTGAGTAGCTCTCAAATTCACGTAGCTAGCGGATGCTTAAGCTGACACTTGAGCATAAATCATGTTCTTTTCACAATGCATCTCTCCAGGTCTTGGTTTTGCTCAGAGCTACAAAGTCCAGGACACATCCAGGATTCAGCTCAACTGCTCACAAGCCCAGGTCACCCACATGAGTGAGATCTTAAGGCCCATCTGTGAGAATCATTTCACTACATCCTAGTGGCTTCTTTCTCCTGATAAGAGCAAGGAAGGGTGTACTGGTGGTGGATCTCCAAGTGTGGTGACAGCTCTCTTTAAATAAGTGACCTCGTTTATTTGAAAACAGCACTGGCCTCATGATGCAGTTGATTCAGAGCCTTGGCCTGCAATTTCAATAGCCCAGCCCTCATCCCATCAGCACTGACCACCATCCAGTGCCTCTCCTATGGGTCTCTTTGCCTTTTAGGCAATGTCCCTGTCTCCAAGCAGCACCACCCTGGCAGCAGGGCAAAGGTATAGGAGAGAGAACACCTGAAAAAAGAGAGGCCAAGTTTGCTGCAAGAGAGCCTCCCTATTTCTTTCTGCCTTCAAAGAGATAGTACGTATAGTGGTTAAATTCTCAGGGATTAGAGTCTCTAGCCTGTTCTGACCACCTCCTAATAGAATGAGGTGGCCCAACACATGACAGCCAACACTAGGCAGATGAAATCAACAGCTGTTTATTAGTCACATATACTTGCTGCCTGGGGGAGGTGAACACTACATAGAATACAGGACCACACAAGGGTTATGTCTGGGAGCAGAGTGAACCAGAAGGGGCTGTGGGAGGCAGGATCTGTAGTAACAAGAGGGTGAGATGCACCTTGGTTCCTGTGGAAGGGTGAGATTGGCTTGTTTCAGTAGTTTCAAAAGCTAGCAGGGAGGTAAAACACATTAGATTGAGGACCAGGTGGGGACCTGCTGGTCCAGCTAATAGGGGAACTAGGCAGGTGGGAAGCCTCTCCTACTGGGTCATGTGGGGGTCGGGGGCAGGCAGGGAGACAGGCATATGTGGTAAGAATAGGGAAATTTCATGGTTATGCCTTTGGGGCCCAGTGAGGCTCAAAGATGTTCAGGCAGCACTTGAAATTTCAAGGCTTACAATACATTGTCCAAGGTTGAACGTGTCTGCTCCACTATGTTCTGGCTGTATGACCTTGGTCAAGTTACCTCCAAGCTTGCTCTCCTGTGAAACATGCTGTATAGTACTCACCTCATGGAGCCACTGTAAGAATAAGTATAAGGTGCCTTATGTGCCTGGCATCTAACTGTTGAGTAGATGTTAGTTATTGTCATCATCATCTTCATCATCATCATCATCACTGGAGACAGTAACTGTGGTGGATGATTTCCTTCAATTTTGTTCTTGGTTGAGCTGATATTTGAGCAAGATCTTGCTTTTAGGTTTTGGATCATGCAGTGGCCTCATCATTCACATGGAAAATGCAAACATTACTGTGTTCACATCAACTGCCTTGACTTTACTTGGTAGCAAATACTTTCCAGCATCACGAAACAGATGCGGAAGAGGTCAGTAAATGGCTTAAAAGGTGAGGGGGAGAAAAAATTCTAGCCAAGTCCTTTCTTTTTGGCTGAAGATTTAGACTACTTATAAGTTCTTTCCTTTTTCTGTCTAAAAAAATCTTTATTTTGATCAGAAATGGAAACAAAGAGATTAAAGGAATCAGAAGAGTGATTTGTAATTGGTCTCCAGGCTGCACTTCTGTTTCCATTTGTAAAGAGCAAGCTAGTGAATAAAACTTCACGGAGGGACTTCATTAGCAGTAGCTTTCCTCCTGCAGCCTGGGATTAGAAAAATACTTTAACCTTGATACATTCATTTTATGATTACAATGCCCTTCATCTATCTGTCTATTTTCCTCTTTTCATATTGCCCTGATCCTGGTAGAAGCTTTCAAAATTAACAGAGAATGGTTCCATGTTTCTTGCTTCTTTCTCTTTCTGTTTATTGCTCCCTTTCTCTTTCTCTCTCTCTCTCTTTCCCTTTATCTTCCCCTAATGTACCCACCAATCTTTGCTAAGACAGAAAAACAAACCCTCAAGTCTATTAGTGTTGCAATGTTGTTTACATGTATTCTAGAAGTCTGCTAAAGAGGACATAAGCATTGCCCTCAATGAAAAGTCAATGCATATATTAACAGTATTGATTTCCAAAAAGAAATTTATTGAAATTAATAGATATCCAGGAAAAGCACCAAACAGCATGTATTTTTCTACATGTCACCCTCTTTTTACTACAGAACCTGCCTCCCACAGCCCCTTCCGGTTCACTCTGCTCCCAGGCATAACCCTTGTGTGGTCCTGTATTCTATGTAGTATTCAAAATCTGGCAGAGAGGTAAAACACATTAGGTTGAGGACCAGGTGGGGTCCTGCTGGTCCAGCTAATAGGGGAATTAGCCAGATGGGAAGCCATCAACTCATCTGCAAAGAAAAAAGGAAACTAAGAATCTGTATATGAGAAAAATATGCATGACTCATTGTATCAGTATGGTGATTATGAAAAAGATGCATAACCTTGTTTTTAAGAATTGATTTGAAATTGGTGTCGGGTGGGTGCCACTGATGTGCATCAGTCTCTGAGGTTCAAGTGTGCAATTGACTTGTATGTTTGTTAATGTGAGATCTTTATTCAGAGTTAAATGTTAATTATAAAACACTTGACTACAGTATCTCAAAGACATAACCACCTTTCTTGTTTGATAGGTGGGAAACCTATCCATTGTATACCAATTTAGTATAATTTTGGAGTTTTATTTTACTTTTTGCTTTATCCAGCAACATTTTTGACTTATTTTAGATTAAAGTATATGTCTCGTTAATTATGGCATTTAGTTCTCAGCTTGTAATTGGTATCTGGTGCTTCTAACTCCTAGCGCTCTTAATGTCACTATTCCAAGGGGGCCTGATGAATATGCTTGAAGTAAACTAAAATGGAAAGTACCAACTTTCTGAAATAATTTCAGTTATTTCTTGTGGCTTCCGCAATTGAAGATTGCTCCAGCATAGGGGGTGGGGGTGGTGAAAGGTAGGTGGTACATCTGATTATCTTTCAATCAGAGGGACTGAGATAGGGGCTCTATATGACTGGCAGGGCTATGTGCCAAAATGTAATCAAATAGGAAACTGGGTGCCAATGGTAATTTTTTGAAATGTGCTTTTATGACATCCTCCACAAAGATGAAAGCAGTGTTCCCTAAAACAAACAAACAGCACCGGACTTGGGCTAAAGCTCTGATATGAAATTTATTTATGTTTCACCAACCCCAACTTGAAAGTAATTGTACATGATTTGAAACTTTTAATTGTTCTTGTTATTTCTCTCTGCAAATAAGGAAATCCTGGCTTTCTGCAAAAAAGTCTAGATCCTGGCTATTGGTTTCTTTTCAAGGTTCTGTCACACGAATTGCTTTCTGTTTGATTCTGTGCCCTTCTGAAATTGAAGTTTGTCTCAAGGCAGGGATAGTAGCTGTGGGATGACTTGTGGGTTTGGGGACTGGGGTAACCCACAGCTGTGGCAACAAGCCAGTCTCATTATCCCACAGCTTCACTGGGCCATCCAGGGGGCCCATTTTACTGCTTCAGATCTGTGCCTATGACTAGAAGGGTGAGAATCTCAAGGCTTTTTCTTTGCATTATTTATCATTTCTGACTGTTAACAGCACTACTTTCTTCTAGGAACCAAACACTGGTCGTTATGGTTTTGTTTTAATGTGGTATTTGGTATTGTATTTCACTGCTCTTCAACCACAGATATAAAAACTAAAAATAGATTAAATGACATGTATTTCACAGGAAATAGACATTTCACTTCTTTTCAGCAATCATGTGACTTTATTGCTTTTACACCAACATATCTCTAATATTACCATGCAATTGCTTCTATTAAGTCTGGCTACACTGATGTGATGAAAGTTGAAGTGACCTTATTGGTATCTGTGAACAGGCATATGCTCAATGAAGTCAAAGATAATTTCATCAGTTGTGTAACAACGGTTTTGTAAATGGGATTTCAAAACCATGAAATCAAAGTATTGTATTAATAAAATGAATTGCTTAGTTATCCAGAAAAGTTGACTCTGTGGGCTTTATAAACATCCCTCTGAATGAAAACTTTACAGAGAGTGATAGTTAACAGGGAAGGCTATGATCCAGACTGCCTAGGTTTAAATCCCAGCTCTATCAGTGTTGCTCACCAGCGAGGAGGCTCCACTGAGTAACGTCTCTGTGCTTCAGTTTCTCCTATATCACCTCAGGGTTATAATGTTACCTGGGTCATAAGGCTGTTAACACATGCCTAGTGCTTAGAACAACACCAGGCACCTGGCGGTGGTTTAGTAAATGTCAACTGCCATTATTTTCCTAAAATGTGCCAGGCACTTCTTTTTATTTTGTTCATTAAATATAATTTAGACTTTTCTTGCACACTCTGGGTCATCATTAGGGATTTCATTGATTCCACAGGGACTCCCCGGAGGGGCTCTGAGGGGATCTGCCTGCCCTCAGGGTGGTGCAGTTATATCCTAGAGCCATTAGTCGCCCACCCACCACCTTGTGGGCCAACCAGGGTATTTTCTTGTTTTTTTCCCTCACATCTCTCTCCGTTTTCCACCTCACTGCTTTTTTCTCCCCCAATTAAAACACAACTTCCCACACTACCCTTTCATCATAGTCATCCTGCTTATAATGACCCAAGTCAGTCTTTCCCCCAACCCTCTGGCATTCAGCAAGCTCTCCGAGTCCAGGACCACACACCCGTCCTGTCCCGTGCTCTTCCTCAGGGCTCTGATACACAGCGTGTATTCCACTTACAGGCACGTGCTTGGTGGCCCACTTCCTGGGTTCAAATTCTGGTTTTACAGTTTGCTGACCTGTGTGATCATGAGAAGATTACCCCAAATTTCAAGTTTAAAGCTTTAGTGACTTGATTAATTAAAAAGTTGATAACAGTACTGACTTCTCAGAATTGTTGCAGGTATTAGATGAAGCAAGTCAAGTGGAACAGCTAGAATATAAGTGCCCAATAAAAATTAGCAGTTATTGTAATTGTGGCTAAACTGAGAAAGCAATCCATAATATTCATCTATGTACCTCTTGTATGCTTTGTTGTAGTGCTGGTGAGAAACGTACGAAACTCTAACATGATCAACAGAGTAGGAGTTCTTGGTGTAATGTTGTGGCATTGCAAATAGGACAAAGCAGGGAGTTGAAACAACTATTCTGCTCATTCAAATTAAAACTAAATATCATCTTTTGGCCAGGTGCGGTGGCTCACGTCTGTAATCCCAGCACTTTGGGAGGCCGAGGCGGGTGGATCATGAGGTCAGGAGATCCAGACCATCCTGGCCAACATGGTGAAACCCTGTCTCTACTAAAAATACAAAAATTAGCTAGGTGTGGTGATGGGCGCCTGTAATCCCAGCTACTCAGGAGGCTGAGGTAGGAGAATCGCTTGAACCCGGGAGGCGGAGCTTGCAGTGAGCCAAGATCACACCACTTCACTCCAGCCTGGGCAACAGAGTGAGACTCTGTCTCAAAAAATGAAAACGAAAACAAAAACAAAACAAAACAAAAAACAAAAACCTAAATATCATCTTTTGACTCTTAAAGCAGCATGTTTCGTTTTCTAAAAGGCACCTGCTATCTCATTTTATCTATGCATTAAACTTCAGCTGGACCTGAATTACCTGCTCTTTGTCCACATGGCCCAAATTCACTAAATAATTGCAGGTATTGCAGGTATGGACTCAATGGTTCCAAGCTCCATTCTGTCTGTAAATTTAAATAAAACTATCCCTTTTGTTTTCTCTGCATAATGATACAATCTAAACAAATAGAGTTTTTGTCTCCAGGCCACCTGGCTCATGGTGATACTACCACACTTTTTATGGGGCATAGAGTCACAGGCCCCAGGTCTAGAGCAAACCTCAGGGACCATCTAGTTCAATCACATTATTCTACAGATGAGGATGAGGAAGCCTAAAAAGGTGAAGCCACTTGTGTAAGGCCATACAGCTAATAACTAGTCAAGGAACAAGAAGAAGGCCTCCTATCATCCATTAGTTGCTGAGCTAAGACTTGTGAAAGTATAAGTGCTCAGACTTATCCATAAGTTTTTCACTAAACTATCTACTTTGATTGTAGGTTTTAATAAAAATTATATTTATTGAAAGAACACTGAATCAGGAGTGAGGAAGCCTGGCTTGCCTGACTCTATCTGTTATAATATTGGGAACTGAAACATCATTTTTTCCCTAGTCTTCATCTAGAAAAATGGAGAACATGATGCTTTGCTCTGCCACCTTCGCAGGGTTGCTATAGCTATCAAATGAACTGATGAAGGAGAAAGTACTTTAAAGTCCAGGCAGACACTTGTGAGAGCAGGGCTTTGGGGTATTAGTCATGAACCCCAGCTCTGCCATATATCATCTGTGGAACTTTGGTCAACGCAATTCATAAATGGGAATAAAGCTGATCTTACTATTATTAAATCCACTTAAAGACTGAATAAAATGTCAGGCATATAAAGTATCTGCCACAAAGTAGACACTCAAGAAATGGTAGCTATTACTAAATAATTAAAACAGTGTACAAAACAGTGGATTGTTGTCTGTTTTCTATTATAGAGATGTGTGACTGCATTCTGTTCAATGCTGTTCCCCAGATTATTATATTTCACTTTCTGTGAATTTTTATACATCTTCAACAGCGAGAACGAAATCAGTCAATAATAGAAATGAAATCAGTCAATAATAGAGACGCATGACACATTCATGCTGAACTGAACTGAGTACACCTAGAGTACGTTTCGACTTACAGAACGGCTCGTTAGAAACCTTCACTGTAGAATTTACAATAGGAAGAAAAGGCTGTTTTGAAAATCAATTCTGAACTTATTCAGGTTGTTCTCAAAACAATGAACTCTTCCACTTCATCCAAATTCAAAATCTGATAAATAGAGTGTATGAGGAGATCAGGCACAAATCACAGACCAAGGGGGTCCCTGCACCTTTAAATGAACTTGGCCTGATTGCTCTCTTCATATACAATGTGTGCATATGTATATACGTCACGAAGCCACGTGGAGATCACCAAAAAGGCCTGTGTGGCAAGTGTGCACACTCTGAGGCTGATTGGGAGAATGGAAACTCCATGTGCAGATATTTTCCCACATAGGAAGCATGGGCACCCTATGGCTCTTTTGGCTTACTCCAATTTTATTCTTCCATTTATGAGGAAGAAGAGAGATTGAAAAATTAGGCTGATGCATAATAATACACATAAATTCATAAAGTCCTTCATTACAAAGTAAAACCGCAGGGTGGGAGTGATCAAAATAAATTGTATTGTCATAAAGCAATTAGGAGAAAATTAGGTAATCATAAGGTGATAAAAGCCTATTAGTTAAAGGGCCTGAAAAACACAGCGGGTTGTAAAAAATTAAATTCTCACATACAGAAAAAATGCAAATACATGCAATTGTCTCTCCATGGCAAAGAGTCAAATTACTGATGTGTGTGAAGAGTTAAAATAGAAGCCCTGAAAAATGTTAAGTGCAATTTTATTTCTCATCAGTGCTCAGATTTGAGATTCTAAGTTCTTAGCTTTTCTTTCTAACACAATAAGCCTTAAAAACAATTCTGTTATTTGAAGGTAAGGAGATACACCCTTTACAATGAAATGTAATAGTATGTAATGAATTTCACATTGATTTCTACTTTTTAACTCATTGAGACCATTCTAGAATTATAGTCTTCAGATGTCAAAAGAATTTTATTTCTAATGCCATTATTGGAAATTAAGAGACTGAAACATGGGGACGTTAAAGCCAAGTTTGCATTTGGATAATGAGTTAGTTGATGGGAGTAGATCTGATTCCAGAGACTAAATCACTTCTGCTCTTTTTCCCAATCCAGAGCCCTTTCCATTCAGCTATCCTGCTTTTCTTCTATAACGTTAGTGCTTGAAACAGTTGGGCTATATCAGCTGCTGGGAAACTTTTTATGTAAAGAGACAGATAGTAATATTTTTAGTTTTGTTGGTCGTAGGGTCTTTCTTGCAGTTACTCAGTTCTGCTGTTATAGTGCAAAAACAGCCACAGACAATACATAAATGAATGAGCATAGCTGCATCCCAATGAACTTTCCTTTCAAAAACAGACTCAGGGCCAAAACTGGCCTGCTGGCAGTAGTTTACCTACACCTGTTCTGTATCTTTTTTTTTTTTTTTTTTTTTTTAGAAATAAGTAAGAAGGTTTTAAAATAAGTTTAACGAAAATTTCCAGTTGTCATAAAGATATTTGTAATGGGAAGATTGACCAATTCCCTTACTCAAATGTGTCGCTTTTCCTGAGCACTATTCTGAGGCCATCCTCATTGAGCCCAGTTCTTGGCATTGGTATTACAAACAGAAGAAGCTCCTATCTCAGATTAATCTTACCCTTTTCTTCCTCCGTTTCAGTAGATGGTAACACAATGCAGACTGATGCCAGTACACAATGACCCTGTAGTTATCCCAGGACAGTCCTCTCTCTCTTTGTCCAAAATGGCTGATCTGAGTTTAAGGTAGGAATCTAGCTATTTTTCTGCAGCTGGAAAACCAGTTGTCCCAACACTTCAAATAATCTCTTTTTGGCACTGATTAGGAATGCCACATTTATCATATATGAAATTTCTCTGTGTACATAAGTCTGTCTCTAGATTTGCACTTCTGTTTCATGAATGTACCTGTCTATTTCTCTATGAATACATCTTTACTATATTGTATCTCTCTACCAGGAAAATCTCTATTTAGGTTTTCTTTTGGATTTCTTTAACAAAAAATCTACAGTTTTCTTCATATGTCTTGTACATTTTTATAATAGCTTTTACATAAGCTCCATTTCACTGAGTTCTAAAAGAGCAAACAGTAATACACGTAGCTGAAGACTGTGCACTGAAAGTATAGGAGACTGAACTGTAAACAGTTGCCAACTCAGAGCCTGAGAGTGTGGTATAGTTTCTATATCCTTTCTGGTACTAGAAGTGACTGACCAGTGTGCAACAAACAAAACAAAAAAGAAATACAGACTGGACAAGACCAGGAAGAAGAAGAGAAAAAGCCAGACAATTTTACAAAGGACCTGGCCCCAGTCCCGGAGAGTCTTGGTGAACTGTCTTATCAACACCCTCTGGAGGAGGTATCAGAAGCTGTCCCTGGGAACAAGGATTCCAGGAAGAGCTGGGCAGAAGGCACCATCCTGTGAGGTTGTGCAAGCTTTAGAGTTTCAGTTAGATGAAATTGATCTTTCTATGTTTTCCTTCTTCCAGATCTCCACTCTTCCCATTCTGGCTAACTGGCCTCCATTCTCATTATGGACTTGAGTTTATTTAGCCCAGTGTGCCTTATTTTAGTTATTTGTTCTCATTCTTACATTCACTTCTGAGCCTGTGTTTATTTGAACTGGCATGATGTTCATTTACTACATGGTACTAGTCTCTTGGTTTCTCTTGCTTTGCTATGAGAATGACCTCTACTTGGGCCATTTTTGACTCTTCGTTTTCCATTCTTGGGCAATCCCCCTGCTACTTTGGTCACCATCTATTCTCCTGGAATATCTTTCCCCTCAGAGGCTGCTGGCCTCCTAGGTGTGACTCCAAGCCAACCCAGTGCCTCTATTTTCCCCACAACTCATTATTGCTCTAGATCACACTGGTAGCTAATTTAAATTATTCTCTCTGTGTTTATGTGTGTCTGTGTGTGTGTGTGTGTGTGAGTGTGTGTGTGTCCACATTTTACAAAGTGGTATCAAATGCATGCCATAGAGTAGGGTCACTCCTCAACTAATCCTCTTATTTATTTTATAAAGTCCTGTGTTAAATTAACTATTGCAGATATTGAGGAAGCAGTATCTATACCAGATGGATTCAACCAACATATGGAGTCACTCTCTTAGTGAGCACACTGGACAAATCAGGTGAGCGGTGCTCCTTAGACAAAGGCAGATGTTATATGAATGGGTTATTGTTTGTGTTGCCACCCTCTATGACAGTTAACATATTATTTGATGCATATTCTCATGTACATACACTTTTATTGCATACAGAAAGACACATCTATACAAAGCTATGGCCAATAGCCATGGTAACGTCACCAGAAGAATTCCAGCTTGTGTTTACAGCCTGAATTCACACTCATACGGAGGTCTCCAACCATGGTCTTAGATTACCTGGCAAACTTTTGAAAGGTAGAGATGCTTGGCTGGGCGTGGTGACTCACGACTGTAATCCCAGCACTTTGGGAGGCCAAGGTGGGTGAATCACGAGGTCAGGAGTTCAAGACCAGCCTGGCCAAGATGGTGAAACCCCGTCTCTACTAAAAAATACAAAAAAATTAGCTGGGCGTGGTGTTGGGCACTGTAAACCCAGCTACTCGGGGGTCTGAGGCAGAGAATTGCTTGAACCCAGGAGGCGGAGGTTGCAGTGAGCCGAGATCGCGCCACTGCACTCAGCCTGGGTGACAGAGAGAGACTCCATCTCAAAAAAAAAAAAAAAAAAAAAAAAAGATAGAGATGCTCAGGCCATACTCCAGACCAATAAAAGCAGAGTTTCTGAGAGTGGGGCCCAGGCATTCATATTTTTAAAAAATTTCCCAGGTGATTCCAATATGCAGCCAAGGCTGCAAACCACTGTTTTAGCAGAACTTGAGGAGGCACCAACTTTTTTTACTATACATCCTAGTGTCACCAAATCTTCTGTCTCTTAAACTTACAGAAGACTTATGGGAGCTCACTCTCTAATTTAGGTCAGGCAATCTAACTTAGTATTCAACTTGGATTTATTTTTGTCCTTTCTCTATTGCATTAATCCTCTGAACTCGGAAAGCAATGTATCAGAGAGAATTATTTATAATTTTTAAAAGGGCCACATCAATACTCAGATCCCATGGGTTTGTCTCCACAGGGACACAGCTGTGGTATTTTTGAAGAGCCTGGTAGGAATTTCAACAGAATGAAAAGTCCACTGAGTATTATTAGACTCAAAGCAAGTCCACAGTGTAACAGTACTGTTGCAACAATATTGTATCTGTCAGTCTTTCTAGATGAAGACAAGAGGACTCACTGCAGCTAGTGTAAGCAGAAAATGAATTTGTTAAGGGTTAGGATGCAGCTAGGAGGAGTGCCCAAACCATGCCATGGGATTGCTTCTATAAAGATTCTGCTGCTGCCACTGGAGGACTAGATGGGGCAGTTCACACTGAGGACTTGGAACTAGACTCCTGTAAGTTCTGTTAGCCCCTATGCCTCCCTGCAACAGATGCCTCCATCACTAGCTTTGCCAAGTGATGTCCTTTCTCAAGGTGCACTTTTCTAAGTGGAAATCTCACCAATGTGCACAATGCACATTGTGCAAGATTGTGCCTAGCTGCAAGAATTGCTGGAAAACAGTACTTTTTTTCTCTTTTTTTCTAATTTTTATTTTTTAAATTCTACCCCCACTGGGATGCAAATAGTACTTTGTTTTAATACTGGGGAAGCAAAACAGAGATTATGAGGAATTCCTAAACACAGAAAGGATGTTTAAAAGATTTAGAATGGCCTCAAAGAATGACAAACACCATTTTGTGTTCTTTCACTTTTCTTCCTAGAGGTACCCTGTGTGCACACACTCCTACTAAAAATTTACTGGAAAAGAACTGATATCATTCATGTCTATATGAATTTAAGACTCTGGCTCTATCTCTTTCTAGAATATTTGCATGTTGTCTCATCTCTGATTGTATTAGCCGTTTCTTGCATTGCTATAAAGAAATATCTGAGGCTGGGTAATGTATAAAGAGGTTTAATTGGCTCACAGTTCTGTAGGCTATACAGAAATCATGGTGCTGTCATCTGCTCGGCTTGTGGTGAGGCCTCACGGGGCTTTTGCTCATGGCAGAAGGCAAAGTGGGAGCAGGAGTGTCACATGGCATGAGCAGAAGCAAGAGGAAGAGGGAAGTGCCAGGCTCTTTAAACAAACGGTTGTTACATGAACTACCAGAGTGAAAATCCACTCATTATCAGGGGGATGGCACCAAGCCGTTCATGAAGGATCTGCCCCCAATGACCCAACACCTCCTACTAGGACCTCCTCCAACATTAGGGATTACATTTCAACATCAGATTTGGAGGCGACAAGTATCTAAACCATGTCACTAATAATGGAGTGGAAGGAAGGCTTTATTCTTTCCCCCCAAAAAATTAATCCTCGAAGAGTTCCCTGCAACCCCACTATATTAGTCCATTCTCACGCTGCTATGAAGAAATACCCAAGACTGGATAATTTATAAAGGAAAGAGGTTTAATTGACTCACAGTTCCACAGAGCTGGGGAGGCCTCAGAAAACTTACAATCATGGCAGAAGGGGAAGGAAATACATCCTTCTTCACACGGTGGCAGCAAGGAGAAGTGCAGAGCAAAGTGGGGGAAAGTCCCTTATAAATCCATCAGATCTCGTGAGAACTCACTCACAATCACGAGAACAGCATGGAGATAACCACCCCCACGATTCAATCATCTCCTACTGGGTCCATCCCCTGACACATGGGGATTATGGGAACTACAATTCAAGATGAGATTTGGGTGGGGATACAGCCAAACCATATCACTCACCTACTCTGATTTACACACGATGTGTCCCTGAAGTCCAGAGTTGAAGTTTACAATCAAGAAAGTTTACAGAGTACTTGAAGCAAATCTGGAAATAACTACACTAAAATACTAATAGAAAATTAAAGCTATGAGGAAATGCTGGTAAGAGAATGCTGAGAAAATATGAAAAGAAAATACAATAGATGGTATGGAGAAGATGGTACTCTTTCTGTCAGGGACAGAACAAAGGGAATTTTTTTAAATTATAGAATAACAAAAGGAGTTTATTTAGACCAAAAGAACCGCTCCCCACAGGGTTGTCCTCAGGACCCTCGGCAATTCCCTTGGCTTTTCAGTAGAGGAAATTCTCATCTAAGGCAGATGGTTTCCAGGAGGACTTGCCTAGAGGCAATATAATGACCCAAATAATCTCTTCAAGTTTTAAAGGTTTTGATGCTGTGAAAAAGCTTATTCTTAGTCCTTCAGTAGAAACCAAATTAGTGTCTTCAAGTACATTGGTTAAGTTTGTGGAGCCAAATGAAGTCTCTGAGTACTTAATGGAATGTGTGAGTAGATACACATCTGAGAGCCTGCCTGTGCAGTGATCTAGTCTTAGCCTCTTCTCATAGCACGAGCAGTTTGCTTCCATCTTGTCCCCCTTGCCTTCCTACCCAGAGTGGCCCCTTGCTTTCTGAAAAGGAGCAAAAAGTCTAAAACACAGACTTCAAAGTCAAAGGGAATTCTATTTTAACATTATAATTTCATTAAACTGTTACCTATCATGAAAGGTCATCAGTAAAGAACAAACAAGATAAGCATTAGTCTGGACATCCTCCAGAAAGGCTGAGGAAGGAGTGGCTTCAGAGAAAAGCACAACATAATTAAATCTGTGCTGGCTGCTGATATTGCATTGTCAATTCTGTCTGTGCACAGGAGGGAGCCATTTTCTATCACATTTGGTTAGTGTTGGTCCAGTTTCACTGCGCAAGAAAAACTACTTGTTGGAACACTTACTGTGTTATCAAGCTACTTGAAGATGTTACTGTTTCTTTTTTTTTCTTCTTTTTTAATACAACTTTTATTATTAGTATTTTGGAGCAGTTTTAGGTTCACAGCAAAACTGAATGGAAAGTGCAGAGATTTCCCTTATATGCTCTCTGCTGACACACGTATAGCCTTCTCCATTATCAATATCCCCCACAAGAGTGGTATATTTATGACAATTGATAAATTAACATTGACACATCATAAACACCCAAAGTCCAGAGTTTACATTAGGGTTTTTTCTTGGTGGTGTACATTCTGTGAGTTTTCACAGATGTTTAACAACATGTGTCCACCAATATAGTAACATACAGAGTATTTTCACTGCTCTAGAAATCCTCCGTGCTTTATTTGTCACCACTCCATTATACTCTGGTAACCACTGATCTTTTTATATTCTCAATAGTCAAAAAAAAAAAAATTAGGGTAGGTCACGCCTGTAATCCCAGCACTTTGGGAGGCCGAGGGAGGCAGATCACCTGAAGTGAGGAGTTGGAGACCAACCTGGCAAATATGGTGAAACCCTGTCCCTACTGAAAATACAAAAATTAGCCAGATGTGGTCCCGGGTGCCTGTAATTCCAGCTACCTGGGAAGCTGATGCATGAGAATCACTTGAACCCAGGAGGCGGAGGTTGCAGTGAGCTGAGATCGTGCCACTGCACTCCAGCCTGGGCAACAGAGCAAGACTCCATCTCAAAAAAAAAAACAAAACAAAACAAAACAAAACTCATTCTCAGTCCTTCAACTTTGTTCAACTTTGTTTTTTTCTAGTATGTCATATAGTTGGAATCATACAGTATGTAGTTTTTTCAGACTGGCTTCTTTCACTTAGTAATGTGGATTTAAGATTCCTCCATGACTTTTCATGGCTTGATAGTGTAATTCTTTTTAGCACTGAATAATATTTCATTGTTTGGATGTACCGTAGATTATCCATTCACCTGCTAAAGAAAATTTTGGTGCTTCCAAGTTTTGGCAACTATGAATAAAGTTGCTATAAACATCTGCATACAGGCTTTTGTTTGGATGTAGGTTTTCAACTCCTTTGGGTAAATACCAAGGAACACAGTTGCTGGATTATATGGTAAGAGTTTTCTAAGAAACTGCCAAACTGTCCCCCAAAGAGGTTATACCACTTTACATTCCCACCAGCAATGAATGAGAGTTTCTTTTGCTCCACATCCTTGTTAGCATTTGGTGTTGTAGGTGTTCTGCATTTAGCCATTCTTGTGTGTAGTAGTGGTGTCAGGCTGCTGTTTTAATTTGTATTTCCCTGATGACATATGATAAGGAATATCTTTTAATTTGCTAATTTCCATCTGCATACCTTCTTTTGTGAGGTGTCTGTTAAGGTCTTTGGCCCATTTTTAATTGAGTTGTTTGTTTTCCTATTGTTGAGTTTTAAGTGTTCTTTGTATATTTTGGATAACGGTCTTTTATCAGATGTGTCTTTTGCAAATATTTTTCTCCCAGTCTGTAGTTTGTCTTTTCATTATATTAACATTGTCTTTCACAGAGCAGAAGTTTTTAATTTTAATGAAGCTAGAGTTTATCATTTTTTTGTGGATAGTGCCTTTGATGTTGTGTTAAAAAAGCTACCTTCATATCCAAAGTCATCTGGGTTTTCTCTTATGTTATGTTCTAGGAGTTTGGTAGTTTTACATTTCACACTTAGGTCTATGGTCTATTTTGAGTTAATTTTTGTGAAGGGTATAAGGTTTATATCTAGACTTATTTTTTTGCAAGAGGAAGTCCAGTTGTTACAGCACTATTTGTTGAAAAGGCTATATTTGTTCCATCTTATTGCCTTTGTTCCTTTGTCAAAGATAAGTTGACTATATTTATATGGATTTATTTCTGGACTGTCTATTGTGTTTCATTATTTTTCTATTCTTTTGCCAATATCACACTGTCTTGATTACTGTAACTTTATATGATGCCTTGAATTGGGGAATGGTCCTTTAGCTTTGTTTTTCAATATTGTCTTGGCTATTGTGGGTCTTTTGCCTCTCCATATAAACTTTAAAATCCCACAAATAATTTGCTGGAATTTTGATTGGGATTGTATTGAATCCATAGATCAAGTTGGGAAGAACTGACATTTTAACAATATTGAGTCTTCCTATTCATGAACATTAAAAATCTCTGCATTTACTTCTTTGATTTCATTCATCAGAGTTTTGTAGTTTTGTTTATATAGATATTCTACATATGTTGTTGGGCTTATACCTAAGGATTTAATTTCAAGGTTACTAATATAAATGGTAAATTGTATTATGGGTTTTTTTGTTTGTTTGTTTTTGTTTTTTTTTGAGACAGAATCTCGCTCTGTAGCCCAGACTGGGGTGCAGTGGCACAATCATGGCTCACTGCAGCCTTGACCTCCTGGGCTCAAGCAATCCTTCCATTTCAGCCTCCTGAGTAGCCGGGACCACAGGCATGCACCACCATGCCTGGCTAATTTTTGTGTTTTTTGTAGAAGTGGAGTGTCCCACATTGCCCAGGCTGGTCTTGAACTCCTGATCTCAAGCGATCTGCCTCCCTTGGCCTCCCAAAGTGCTGGAATTACAGGCCTGAGCCAACACACCCCGCCATGTTTTTCATTTCAAATCTCACTTGTTCATTGCTGGTAGATAAGAAAGCAATTGACTTCTGCATAATAACCTTGTATCCTGCAACCTAGTTATAACTTCATATTAGATTCAGGAGGTTTTTTGTTGCTGTTTATTCTTTTGGATTTTCTACATAAATGATCATGTCATCTGTAAACAGTTTCATTTTTTCCTTCCCAATTTGTATATACTTTTTATTTCCTTTTTGTGACTTATTGCATTAGCTAAGATTTCCAGTACCACACTGAAAACAAGTGTAAGAAGGGACATCTTGTTCCTGATTTTAGGGAGAAAGCTTTGAGTTTCTCATCATTAATTAGGATGTGAGTTTTAGGGTTTTATTGTGGCTGTTCTGTGTCAAGTTGAGGTTCCCTTCTACTTCTGGTTTAGTGAATTTTTATTATGAATGGGTGTTGGATTTTGTCAAATGCTTTTTCTGCATCTGTTGATAATCATGTGATTTTTCTATTTTAAGCAATTGATATAATGGATTACCTTAGCTGATTTTTGAATATGGAACCACCCTCGCATACCTGGGATAAGTCCCACTTGGTCATGACATATAACAATTATATGAGCAGAATGCTCACACATTGTTGGATTCAATTTGCTAATATTTTGTTGAAGATTATTGCACCATGTTCATGAGAGATACTGGTTTGTAGCTTTCTTTTCTTGTAATGTCTTTATCTGGTTTCAATATTAGGACAATGCTAGCCTCATAGAATAAGTTAAGAGGGGTTCTTTCTACTTCTATTTTCTGAAAGGAATTGTAGAGAATTGGAATGGTTCCTTTGTTAAATGTTTGTTCTAATTCACCAGTGAACCAATCTGGGTCTGTGTCTTCTGCTTTGAAAGGTTATTAATTATTAAATTTCTTTAACAGAGATAGGGCTACTTACATTGTCTATGTATTATTGTGTGAGTTTTGACAGATCATGTCTTTTAAGAAGTTTGTCTGTTTCTTCTAGGTTATCAAATTTGTGGTCATACAGTTGCTCATACTAACCTTTGTTATCCTTTTAATGTCAATGCTCTCTACAGTCTCCTCTTTCATTTCTGATATTAGTAATTTGTGTCTTCTCTGCCTTTTTCTTCATTAGCCTGGCTAAAGGTTTATTGATTTTCATGTCTTTGCAAATAACCACTTTTGGTTTAAGTGATTTTCTCTATTGATTTCTTGTTTTCAATTTCATTGATTTCCACTCTGATTTTTATTACCTTGTTTATTCCGCTCACTTTGGGTTTAATTTTCTCTTCTTTCTCTAGTTTCCTAAGGTAAAAGTGTAGATTACTGATTTTAGATTATTTCTTCTTTTCCAATATATGCATTAAATGCTATCATTTTCCCTCTAAGCACTATTTTTGCTATAGCACACAAATTTTAATAAGATGAATTTTCATTTTCACTTAGTTTAAAATATTTTAAAATTTCTCTTGAGAGTTCTTCTTTGACTCATATGTTATTTAGAATTGTGTTATTTAATTTCCACATATTTTGGGATTTTCCAGTTATATTTCTGTTATGGATTTCTAGTTGAATTTCACTTGTGGTCTGAGAGCAGACACTGTATGATTTCTATTAAGTTTGTTAAGGTGTGTATTATGGCCCAGAATGTGATCTATTTTGGTGACAATTCCATGTGAGTTTGAGAACAACGTGTACGCAGTTATGGTTAGCTGTAGTAGCCTAAAGATGTCAATTATGCTGCTGTTTCTTAAACTTCCAAGTTCCATTCTGTTCTTGGATGTATATATTTTGCTATGGGAGCCTGTCATAGATGTCACAGCAGCGGGCAAAGTGTGAAACAGGGGGCCTAAACAAATATTTTAAAAGATATGCTTATTTCCACTCAAACTCTTGAGGAATGAATGAATGGAAACAAAAATATCTTGATAGATATTAACACCCAGCACTTATTTATTTACCAGACACTATAAACATACCATCTCAATTTTATCTTCAAAAAAATGCTCATGAAGTACCTACTATTGAGGAAAGGGAGGCTCAGGAATATTAGGGAATTTGTTCATAGCTAAAAACAGGATTTGCTCATAATCTTTCCATTGGGCTACACTGTAACTTTTGGCAGATTTTATTGCAATCAGCAGAAGCTGTTGAGTGATATAATGAACACTATCAGTGTCCTGCCATATCCTATTGCCCTTCCCATTTGGTGTATGCTGCCCACCTTCTAACTGCTAGCTCTGGCAAATTCTTTGCCTGAAGACTTTCCCTGGCTAATTGGAACCCATTCTGCTTCTGCAGCAGTACAAAAGTATCCACACATGAGTGCTCTACGTCCACCCAACCAGTTGTCAACCATTGACTGAGAGGAGCTGGTACAGAAATATCCTAGCTGCTTCATTCTTTAGGTAGGATAACTCTAAGATGTGTGTTCTACACTGGCTCCAAGTGAGTTCTCTAGCAAGAATATGCTTCAGTTATCCACAATGGTAAGTAACTTGCTTGATAACAAACATTTTATTGGCTGCTTCCTTCCCTTTCTCAACTCCTCACCTTCCTATCAGTGTTTGCTAGCATTGCCGTTCAAATAAACCACTTGTATTGGATCCTTGTCTCAGAACCCACAGGAACTCAAACTAAGACAGTTGTGCTTATACCTTGCTACTAATAAGTAAAAAATTGGGGCCAGGTGCAGTGGCTTATGCCTGTAATCCCAGCATTTTGGGAGGCTGAGGTGGGTGGATAGCTTGAGCCCAGGAGTTTGAGACCAGCCTGGACAAAATGGTGATACTTCATTTCTACAAAAAACGCAAAATTAGCTGGGCATGTGGTGTGCGCCTGGAATTCCAGATACTCAGGAGGCTGAGGTGGGAGGATTGCTTGAGCCTGTAGGGCAGAGGTTGCAGTGAGCTGAGATTGTGCCACTGCACTCCAGCCTGGGTGACAGAATGACTTCCTGTCTCAATTTAAAAAAAATGAGGCTGAGTTAAGTATGATGGTTTGATTGAAAAATGGCTCCAATTTTGTACCCCTCTCTATATCCAAACCCTTTATAATGTGAGTTTGCAGCTCCTCCCACCAAGAGACAGAGTATATTTTTCCATTCCTTATATCTATATTGGCTTTGAAATTTGCTTTGGCCAACATAATGAGGTGGAAGTGACAATCTGCCAGTTTTAAGCCTAGGCGTCATGAAGTTTGGTGAGCTTCTGAACATGCTTGCTCTCTCACTCTTGCTCTTGCTTTCACTCTCTCAGAGGTCTTCCACCTGCATAAAAACAAGTCTAGGCTAGTTTCCTGGAGGCTAAAAGCACATATGGAACCAAACCCTTCAGAGGCTCTAGCCATCTGACACCAGCCAGCCCTTAGCTGACTCACCAGCTGACCACAGATACATGAATAAATCCAGCTATTCTCAGCCAAGTACAGCCCAGATCAGCAAAACAACCTAGAAAAATGAGAGACTTTGGGCAAAAATAAATGCTTATCCTGTAACCCACCGCTCTTTTCTATGCAGCACTTTTGTGGCAATAGATAACTGATGCAGGTACCGTGAGCTCTGTCGATTTCTGTTCTTTCCACTTCCTTCCTTTTGCCATAGCCTCTGCATACTCTCTGCTAGTGTTTGTAAATATATTAATATTTTCTTCTGATCACTGATTAAGCTGAAACTGCTAAGCAATGTGTAGTAGCCTCTGCCGTTAATTTTACTGCAATCTAAAGTTTCAGAAAATCTTTTTAGACCTTTCCTTCAGTTACTCTGCATATTGCATGTTGAGTAGCTAGTGTATTTTTATTAGAAATGATTATACTATAAGGAATTGTCTAAAGAGAGAGTAGAGGGCTTGAGGGAACACAGGGACCTCAGAGAACATAATGGGAAAGGACAATTCTCTCCAGAAAAAAACATTTTAAAACAGCAAAGAGAAGATGAGAGACAAGACCATGGCTCCATTTCTTCATTCTGCAAATTGTTCAGCTTCTACTTTGTTCAATGCTGAAGATTCTAGGGCGTATAAAAAGATGGTCCCTGCCTTTGAAGAACTAAGATTCTAGTAGAGGATTGTGCCCAGAACAAAAAAAAAATTAAGTAATTCTCTATGTTCTGGAAGTTTGAGAGAACATTTAGTAAATGCATGTTTCTTATTTGGGGATGATGTTAGACAATGAGAAAGTTCTTATGTGGCCTGAGGCTTCCTGGAGGGCAATGCGAAGAAGATCAAAAGCGCAAGGACTGGCAGGGTAAGGTCAGTACTAGTGGGAGGGAGGACTTGACAGAGAAGGAGCCGAGAGGGAATTCACAACCACCACCATGCTTCAGTGCATGCAGTGGAGTCCTGAGAATCTGGGAGGCTGGAGATGGCGAGGTGCATCCGGAGGGCTCCCATGCCTGCTCAGGAAGAGAAATAAAGCTTCTGTGGTTGCTGAGGGAAGTAGGTTTTATAGTCGCCCAGTAGTTCACAGATTTACAGAGAGTCTACATACTTAATGGCAATGAATGTGTCATTTGGTATTTGTGTTCATTAAACTTTTTAATAAAACTTTGGGTTAAGAGTGCTTATCTCATATTTCAGACATTCCCAGGAGTGCTTATAAAGTGGCTCGAAGTAGGAAAAATATGCCATTTGGCAATATTCCATGAAACTAATTACCATGAAGAAGTCATGGAAATTTGCACAGAAAGGCTTGCTGCAAAAATTTGAATCAATTCAGAAGATAATTTACCGAGTGTTGCCAGATTCTCATTATATCCCGTCCCTCACCTCCCGCATAGAAGCTTGAAAAGGTTCTGTCACTTTGCCTCCCTGAATTTCAACCATCTGAATTAGTCCCTTACAGTCTGACTTTTTAGGACCTCATGGAGGTCTGTATACTAACACTATGATAGAGCACGGTGTGTTTTTCTTTGCTTTTTAGAACAGACTCATTGACATGAAATACATCATCAAAGTTCCCAGTTTAGATCAAGTTCTCCGTGGTCATCTTCTGAGACACAGAAAATGGTATCATGTCAGCCACTTGAATGCCAGCTCCTTGAGGGCAATGATTTTACCAGTTCAGTTCAGCTCAATTGTATTCCCAGTGCCCGACGTATTTGTTCAATAAGTGGATAAAAGGATTAAATACCATCTCATGCCCAAGAATAACAAAGCCAGTTAAAAACAAAAACAAGAACAAAAGTGAGCACTTCTTCTCTAGGGAAATGAAAAAATAAAGCATTTCTCAATAATATATGAATTAGGGGTGTCTATATAGGAATTATTTCTATGTGGCCCAGGGTATAAAGGGGCCTTAGAATAGGCCAGGGCAAA
The DNA here is from genome assembly GCF_000001405.40 of Homo sapiens. Lineage (NCBI taxonomy): Eukaryota > Metazoa > Chordata > Mammalia > Primates > Hominidae > Homo > Homo sapiens. Next base: position 108,465,341 of record NC_000004.12, on the reverse strand, counting down.
TGTCTTAGGTCTCATAATTTGAAAGTCTCTGGGCAGCTCTCTATAACTCTCGTCTCAATCATATTCTGACTATCTGCCCCTATTCAAAAGAACCATATGTGGCCCATGATGGTAGAGAGAGAGATGGCCCCCTTTCTCTGGTAGGTCTGAGCCAAGGGGATTTTGAATAACAGAAGACTGGTAGGTAGTGTTTTGAGAAAGAAAGTACTGGTCACAAAAAAAGATGATGAGGCCGGGCGCAGGGGCTCATGCCTGTAATCTCAGCACTTTGAGAGACCTAGGCCAGCGGATCACTTGAGGTCAGGAGTTTGAGACCAGTCTGGACAACATGGTGAAACTCCATCTCTACTAAAAATACAAAAATTAGCTGGGCATGGTGGTGGGTGCCTGTAATCCCAGCTTTTCAGGAGGGTGAGGTGCGAGAATTGCTTCAACCTAGGAGGTGGAGGTTACAGTGCAGTGGATGGTGCCACTGTACTCCAGCCTGGGCGACAGAGGAAGACTCCATCTCAAAAAAAACCAGGATGGGTCCCTCCCAGCTTTCTCTGTTTTGTGGTCTTCTGTCTTGATTCTTTGGTTTTATAAAATACCTTTTCTTAAAATAATGACATTATTTTTATTGTTCTTCAGATTTAATTTGGTTCTAGGTGTCTGTGAAAGATTTGTGACTTGCTGCTTTGCAAGTCACACCTGGTAAAGCATTCAGTGAGGTCCTCCCCCATACCGTCTGTGACTCCAGTCTTCACCATCATCAGCCCTGCATTGGCATGCAGAGGAAAATCATTCTGGGTAAATGATTTCTGTCGCTGAAATCTTATGAACACAATTTTCTCAGTTTCTTCTATGGAAGACAAAGATGTAGCTCTGGTATTTGATAAACATCAAAAGCATTTGGCTTAATCTTGACTTTGTCACCATGGGCTTTCTTTGAAACCAATAAGAAATGCTTTAATTGAAAACCAAGGGATGGACTGGGGCTTTTGGGCAGTACTCTGGGACTACTCATGCTTTGCTGGCATAAGGAACAGAACTAGTGTTTGTCAGTAAATGTGACCCGTTGTCTGGGGTTATCAGTCCTAGATGAGAGTCTCAGAGTTGGAAAGGACCCTAATAGTTTCAGGGTCTAACCATTCATTTTGTGCTTGTGAAATGGGCAAAGTTCCCTTGTGCCTCTCGCAGGGTGTGCTATGGTGGTATGGCTCGCTTCTTCAGTGCCCCGCTGCTCAAAACCCCTAGTGGGAGCAGGCAGACAGGCAGGTCATGGGGAGCATGGGCTCTGACCCCACAGCAGCATCTAAGGGTGAATGTTTACAGCTCCTGAAGCCCCTGTGGGCATGTTACAGTGTGCTCTTTTAGTTTTGCCATCTGTAGGTGGCTTGTGTTAATCAGCTCAGGTAGAACCTTTGCCTTATCGCAAAGACAGAGGGCTTTCTCTATCCTGGGGTTCTTGTCTTGGTGTACTGGAAAAACTGGATCACACGTGGGCTTGGAGAAGGAGTGCACGGTTTTACTGAATGATGGAAGTAGCTCTCAGCAGATGGATGGGGAGCCAGAAGGGGTATGGAGTGGGAAAGTGGTTTTCCTCTGGAGTCAGGCCGCTCCGCACCTGGACTCTCCTCCAACCGCCCCAGCCAAATGCCCCTGGGCGTCCACATTGTTCTGCCAGTTGATGGCCTGACGCGTCTGCTGGTGCCTGTTGGTGTGGTCTCCCACTCCTCTGCTCCTCTCGATGTCCAGTCGCCTGTGTGCTTGTCTGCCAGTATGTTCCTCTGGAAGTCCAGCTGCTTGTGTGTGTGCGCCCATTAGGGACTCAGGTTTTATAGGCACAGAATGGGGGGTCTGGTGGGCCAGGCTGGTCTTGGAAAATGCAATATTTGGACGCAAAAACAAGAGGGCTTGTCCTCACCTAGGTCCATGGGCACAGGCCCAAGGGTGGTGCCCTCGCCAGGGACCCCACCCTTCTCCTCCCAGCATTTCCCTGTCCCCCCTCCCATATCACTTGCATCACCACAATGACATATTGCCCATCTCTGCCTCTGTTCCTCAAGACATTCCATCTCATACAACAGAGATTGCAAACTGGCAGTCCACAGAAGAGTTTCATTTGGCATGCCTAGAATTTCAATGTTTTTAAAAAGTATTTGTTAACATTTAAAAGTTGGGAAAGTCCTCATAGATTCTCAGAACTCTGGCTTCTCCTGAAAAGCAGTTAACAACATTGGTGAAACAATAGCCTGGAGCACAGTAGCCATTCCCCACTTACACAAAGCATATGCTCTCCAGCTCACCCCAGTTTCCATCCAGACTGCTTTCCATTCGTTTACGTTGCTTTTGTAAGCCTTTCAGTATCTGACTTCTGTCCGAGAACCCCTGTTCACTGTCTTGACATTGTAAAAGACCAACCCTAGTCTGTATGAGTGTCCATGTTTTTTTTTTAAAAAGGAGAACACAAGTTAATTTCTCCAGTTACAGTCTTCCTGCTATGGTTCATGTTTTCTGCACTCTTCTAATTTGTGTAAGGACACAAACCTATTGATACTCTAGTTCATTTTAATGTTGGACTCAAACATTATTTGGGCTCTCACAGGGTCTACTGTTTTTAATAGGTTCTGTAGTTGGTGTAAGAATAAGTGAAGAATATGGTCTCCATATTGAAGGAGTTAATAGCACATTTAGATGAAGTGAAAGGATGGTTGAAAATAGTTGAGGCAGATTAATATGAATGAAGTAATAAATAGATCAGGATAAATGCTATCACCCAGCTGTGGGAATCCCACCTGCAGAGAGGTTCACTTATTTGGCATTGGCTAGCTGGTTCTTCCTGTGTTGAGAAAACAACTGAGTGCTTTCCCAACATCCAGTGCTGTTAGACCCGACTTGAAAGAAACAAGTATCTTGTCCATATGGGAGCTGAGTCTGATATCTTTGTCTAATATCAGACTCAGTTCTTTTAATGTCATCAAAGCAAATTTCTTAAAGGTCCTTTGCCTTTTCTGGACTCACTTATTGTTGTGTGTTGTGCTAAGCTCAAATCATGGGAAAGCTAAGATTGACTTTACATTCATATTCAAAATAGAGCATTCAAAAAATAACATTACAGCTGCTTTCGGGTGGTCTAAATGCCTCCTCAAACTTGGAGAGCCCACCCAGCTGTTAGGAGAGTGAATTTCTTACGTCTAAATGATCAGATTTCTATTTACACATTAATAACAGGACTTCCTTCAACACTACCTCTCAGAAAATGTAAATTTTAAAAATATACGTATACACACACACACATACAGACACAAAGAGAGAGAAACAAATAGGGAAATTGTAAATGTAGAAAACGTTACCTTAAAACATAAGACATACATTGTCTAATCTTGTCACAAGCAGATAGCAGTGAATACACAATTGACCATCTTCCTGAGCTTCTCCATGAAGTGAAAGAAGCTGATCCTCCCCACTGGGTCTCACTGGCTCCCCAGCTGTTTAACATCAACAGATACTGGCATGGCACACCACATTTACTGGACAAATCTATTATTAGTTGGGAAAAGGGGAATTGTTTCAAGTAAAATAAAATATAACCCAAATCTTTAACCCAATCCAAGCTCTATTCCATTTCTGGAAGTCTGATCTATATAGTTTACATTTTAAACTGTGGCTTTTTCAAACCCTAACCTTCTTAAAGGGTGACTTAGGGCTGGCCACAAATCATATAACACAAAAGTATTTTCCCTGATGCTATTTCTAGCCTGATTGAAAACTGAAAGCTTTAGAAATCCACCAAGACTACCTAATTTTGCTAGATTTTTAGCTCAATATTGAGGCCTGTGGGTTTGGATAAAGCTCAGAGAAGTCTGTGGTAATACCTCAAGACATACATTTTCATATAAGATAATATGAGGCAAAGAGAGAGTGGGAGTGTAAATGAATGTTTTTAAATGGCGATCCAGTATTTTATAAGTTCAAATGGTTTTAGTTGTCATCCAAAGTAAAATTGCAATTGAAATGGAAACAATTTAATTTGTCTTAAACATGCTAGATGGTAAGTGAAGTTACTGAACTCCAATCAATGTGGTCAAGGCATAGGTACTTAGGTCCACTCTGAGTGTGGTCATTGAAAGAATTCTGAAGAATGAAGATTTAGGAGAGCACCACGAGACAGTGGCTCGTGGAAGACAGGCTTGGGAAATTTACCTAGAAATCATTGAATCAATCCTTGAATTGGTATAGGCTTCTACAGGAAGCACAGAGAAGTGAAGCCAAAGTAAGAAAGACCAAGACCTAGAGACAGGACTCAACGTGATAATACTCAGACAGAGCTTCCACTGGTAAAATAAAAACGCTTTGTGTTGAACACGGGTGCCCTTCCCTTTACAAAGTGGATTTCCTTCTAAGAACTTAAAAATAAATGAAATTTTGGTAAAGTGATTCCTACTGGAGGAATAAATGAAAGAATCTTTTGTTTTTGTTGTTGTTGTTTTATTATTTGAGACAGGGTCTCACTCTGGTTGCCCTATAGTGGCCCAATCTCGGCTCACTGCAGCCTCAAGTTCCTGGGCTCAAGTGATCCTCCCACATCAGCCTCCTGAGTAGCTGGGACTACAGATGGGTACCATCATGCCCAGCTAATTTTTTGTATTTTTTTTTTTGTAGAGATGGAGTTTTGCCATGTTGTCCAGGTTGGTCTCAAACTCCTGGACTCAAGAAATCTGCCAGCCTCCACTTCCCAAAGTGTTGGGATTACAGGCGTGAGCCACAGGGCCTGGCCAAAAGGATCTTTTATGGTTATTTTACAGAGATTCCTTCATAACATAGGTAATCAATTGCTAATTTGGTTATTTTGTAAGTTTGCATTTTTTTATGATGAGATTTTTTTAAAGAGGGCACAACTGTTGTTTATATATCCAGCTGAGACACTTGAAGGGCAAATGTTATGTCTTGGTTAATTCATTATTGTTTATTATTGTTAATTTATTACTGTTTTGAAGATATTTCTACTCTATAAAACTCAGTAAAGGGCTGCTCGCCATTTATTTGGCATCATAGCTATTATAAAAATAAGTTTATCTTGGATTTTTAAGACTTTCCTTTGTGAAATATTGCCTCAAGATAAGAGGACATGCACTTAAATTAGTCGTCCCTCTAATCACCAAGTCACAGGGAGAAGGGCGGTGCAAGGAGGATATTCTTTGACCTGAATAGAGAACATTAAGGGGCAGGGAGGAGCTGGCAAGGCATTGATGTGATTAACAAACATGTTTTAAAAACTTGTTGGGATAGACAAATTCTGCCTTTCTAGGAGACATGTGAAACCCACTCCTCTAAGCATTTCCTTTGGAATTGCATCACAGGGCTTTTTATTTGCCTTCAGCTTCAGCTATTGACTCAAGAAGATGGTGGGAACTGTTGTCTTTCCTCTTGCAAATCTCATTTGGCTGCTGAGACAGGGCCATCCTTCAGGACTGGACACCTGAAGATGGGTGCAGGAAAAAGGAAACTGGAGAGTGGAGACAGGAAGGCATTTGAGATGTCAGTTTTCCTGAGGCCAGGCACTTTAGGATTAAGGAGCAGGTCCCAATTTATTTCCCCCAAGACTATGCCAGGCCACCTCATCCATCCCAAATAAGGTCCAATGGGTGCTTCCAAGTGAGTGGCTCAAACCACTTGTTTGTTTGGTTCAACTAACCCTCCATTGTCTGACAGACTGAGTAGGAGGGAGAAATCGCAGGAGAGAAGAGGAGGACGGAGATCCTTTATTTAGAAATATTTATTTTTCTTACTCAACTTTCTTGCTTGTAATGCACTGACAGTATTATTAATCACAAATGATATTGGAAGAGTAAATAAAAATAATGTTTGTGCTGGGTCGCTTGAGCTCAGGAGTTTTAGACCAGCCTGGGCAACATGGTGAAGCCCCATCTCTACCAAAAATACAAAAATATTAGCCGGGTTTGGTGGTGTGCTCCTGTAGCCCCAGCTACTCAGAGGCTGAGGTGGAAGTATCACTAGAGCCCAGGAGGTGGAGGCTGCAGTGAGCCAAGATTGCACCACTGTACTCTAGTCTGGGTGACAGAGTGAGACCCTGTCTCAAAAAAATAAAAAAATAATGTTTTCCAAAAGTCCCACAGAGGCTCTGGTCCACAGACAAGACATAATATACTGGTGTGAATCGGGACTTCACTCCTGGTGCCAGTGCTAATCCCAGGCTATAGTGGGCAGGGGCAGGTCTAGAGGATGGCGGAAAGGCATGATCACTTGCAAATGCACTAATTCCAACAGCCACATGATGATCCTATGTCCACCTTGGCCATTCTTATTGAATCTACTGTGCTAGTTATTAAGCTATCACCTCTCAGCTTTAAACCCATCCTTCTACACTCCATGCTGGGACTCAGGAAACTACATTTTTCCTTTGTCAGCTCGTTCTCTGTTAGATTTTGCCAATAGGGAGTAATAGAGGAAGACTGAAAGGCAGAAAGGGGAAGCATGGTGGAGCAATTTGTTCCTATCTCCAGCTTGTACTTGCACTCCCAGAACCAGTCTCAGTTTCAATGTGGTTTCATACTGCTATGGTTTCAATGTGTCTCCCAAAGTTCACAGGGGCTGGAAATTTGATTCTCAGTGCAGCCGTGTTGAGAGGTGGGACCCTTAAGGGGGGATTAGGCCATGAGGGCTCTGCTCTCATAAATCAATTAATGTCATTATTGCCAGGATGGATTAGTTATTGTGGGAATGAGTTCCTGATAAAGGATGACTTTGGCCCCCTTCCTCTCTGGCAAATGTGCTCTCTTGCCCTTTCACCTCCTGCCATGGGACGACATAGCAAGATGGCCTTTGCCAGATGTGAGATCCTAAACCTTGGACTTCCCAGCCTTCATAACTATAAGAAATAAATATATTTTCTTTATAAATGTACCCAGTCTGTGGTATTCTGTTATAGCAACACAAAACAGACTAAGATAGTCTCCCACCACTCCCATCAGAGATGTCAGCACCAGCCCGGTGGTTCTCCTTCTCAGAGGTATGAGTCCCAGCTCCATGTGCTTATCCCTTCAAGTTTCTAGGTTATGATAACACCAACATCTTCCCTGTGTTTTTCTAACCTTAGAGGTGGTGGATAATTTTCACACTTAATATTGCTGCATTATTTTTGACTTTTTTATTCTCAAGCACCTATTCTCTATTTTCTCACATTTTACCATAAAGTTTAGAGCACTATACACATGGTGCTGCACCTTGCATTTTTCATGTCGCAATACGTCTTACAGAGATGTGTGCATAGAGTTCTTCACAATTCTTTACATTAACCGATAATATTCCTTTAGGCTGAAGTACCATAATTTATTTAACTAGTCCGCTATTGGTGGAGGTTTTGCTTACTTCAATATTTTTCCAATTGAGAAAAAATGTCTTAATGAATGACATAGCAGAATTCAGAATTATATATACCATACATCATTTTGCATATGTGCAAATGTCTCAGTTCATTTTGTGCTGCTGTAACAGAACACCCAAGACTAGGTAATTAAAAAAGAACAGGAATTTATTTCTCACAGTTCTCAAGGCTGGTAAGTACAAGGTCAAGGCACCAGCATCTGGTGAGGACCTTATTTCCATGCCTCAAATGGTAGAAGGCAGAGGGCAAGAGAGAAACAACTCCCTCTGCCAAACACCTTTATAATGGCACCTAATTCCATTCATAGGGGTGGCACCTTCATGGCCTGGTCGCGTCTTAAAGGCCTCATCTCTTAATACAACCACATTGGCAACACCTAAGTTTTGGAGGGGATTCATTAAAAGCATAGCAGCAAGTATATCTGGTGGACAAATTTTCCAAAGTGACCTCACCTGGATCTAAGAGTATAAAAGAAAATTGCCCCCCATGGTGACTGTACCAATTTACACTCATACTAACAATGTATGAGAGTGTTTGCTTCCCTCACCTTCACTGAAAGAGTGTTATAAACCACTTACTGAAGTCAGTAAAATGAGTCTTTCATTGAGCATCTGAAGTCATGGCCTTGGTAGTTAAAAGGTACTGTCTCTCTTTTATAGACCTTAAAAATCCAGAACACTACTTGGTTGATCCATACCTGGTTCTTTTTTCAGGTAGACAGTTCAAGTTTCCTTAAGAAGACACCATCCTTTTTCCTAGGCCTATCTTCTTTGCTGTCTCTGCACAAAATGAAGCCTGGAGTGAGGCAGCCTAGGAATCAAAATTCTAGCTTTGCAGTCAAAAGCCTGAGGGTGTTGCTAGATGTCAATTTGACTTCCCTCTTGTCCTTACTTTTAGATTCCATTCCAATGTTATCCTTTAATAGTTTTATTTCAGGGAATTTGATTTTATTTCCCAGGCAGTGGAAGTTTGCATAAAGGTTTCATCAGGGGAGTGAATAGGGAAAATGGACTGATGGTGGAGGAGATTAAGCCCGGGGGGTGGAAGTCCAGGTGATTCATGATGGAGGACCCATGAGGGCAGTGTGGCAGCAATGGTGGAGGGTGGTACAGAGACTCAAGATATGGAGAGATAAAGACCAGATGATAGGAGGGAAGGAAGTAGGAGATCTGAAGAGGAAAAGAGAAGTTAGAGATGATGCTAAGATTTTTAGCTTCATCTACTTGGTAAATTATGAATAGAAAAAATAGGGAAGGGGGAGGCAGAAGAAAAGTATTAAATTTATATTTATAGTTTTTGGCTACTCTTTCTCTACTTTTTTTGTTTTTTGCCTACTTCATTTTCCCTTCATATTTTCTACTTTTTTGTTATGAAAATTTTAAAACATGCCAGAATGTTGAAGGAAAGTACATTCAACATTCCCACACTTACCCCCTAAATTAAAAAATTATTGATGCTTTGCTGTATTTGAGTTATACACACATGCAGATGTTTATTTTTGCAGAACGTTTGAAAGTAAGTTGCAGGTAACACAAAAGTTCATCCCTAAATGCTTCAGCATGCATCTCCCAATAATAAGGAAATCCTCCTCCAAAAGCACAATACCATAAAACATTTAAGAAAATTTACATTATTTCTCTAATATTAGCTAATTTAAAGCTTGTCTTCAAATTTTCTACATTATACCCAAAATATCTTTTATAGCTGGTTGTTTCAAAGCAAGATTCAATCACGCTTTATGCATTGCATTTGACTGTTATCTCTTTTAGTTCTTTTATCTCAGAACAGTCTCCATTTTTAAAAATGATATTGACTCTTATTGTCTTTTTGAAGAGACCAGGCCAATCAACCTATAGAGATCACACAATCTGGATTTGCCTGATTGTTGCTTTGTGGTATCCTTTAGCTTTTTACTCTCTCCCTTGTGTTTTATACAAACAGCAAGTTAGGTCTAAAAGACTTGATTACATTCAGGTTAAACATCATTGGCAAGAATAACTTACAGGTATTGCCACATACTTTCTATTTATCCCCTCAGCAGGTATCAAATGGCAGATTGTCCACAATTAGTGATAGTATATTTGATCACTTGGTTAAGGTAGTGGCCATCACATATTTTCATTTTGAAGATACATTTTCCTCTTTGCAATTATCAAGTTGTTTGTGGGGTGATATTTTGACACCTTGCAAATATCCCATCTCTCCTTATAACTTATATTTTGGAATGCTGGCCTATGGAATACCAGGCGAAATTGTCCAATGAGCAACTGGTAAAGCTTAGGGAGTTAAGTTTCAGCAATAGGACTTGAAGTCACTGGTATCAGGATGATGGTTAAAGCCAGTGAAGAGGGTGGGACCATCTAGAAAGAGTATACAGAGAAGAGGACTGGGGATGGGCAAAGGAAGCAGAGCCAGTAGAAGAGACCTAGGGGAAAATAATCCTGAACAAGAATAGGAACCTGCAAGGCTGGGACATGAAAGTTTCAAGTAAGGGTAGGAAGAGGAAACAATATTCAACCCTGTAGAGAGTCTTATCAGACGAAGCCCAGAAGAATGTCATGGAGGAGGGAAACCACCAGAAGATTCTTAGCAGAATGGTGAGGACAGAATCTGCTTGGCAATGAGGGCAGGCTGACTGTAGGGGCAAAGAGAGGGAGAAGAGCATATTCAGAAATAAGGTAATGTGGTTATGAAAAAGATTTTATTTTGCTTGCTTGTTTATTTGAGGGATGCAATATATTTGATCCTATTTGAGGACAAATGGAAAAGAACCAGTGGAGAGGGAGAGGACTAAGACTGTAAGGGGATGATTTATGGTGTTGGAGGAGAGGGCAAGGGAATGTGATTAAGGACACAGGGGTTTCACCTTGCGAAAGGATTGTCCCTTTCACAACAGAGCAACCTCAGTAAGAATGAGGTTTGACAAGGATGATTATGTTGGAGGAAAGTTGGAGGAATTCTCACCGGATGACCTCGATTTCTTCAGTGAGGTAGGAGATTGTCTCATGTAAGCAGGTGTGGGTAATCTGGGTCTTGAATCCCAAACCTTGAAGAGAATAGAGAGTTTTGAACAGCTGTTGAGAAGCCAGTGCATGCCCATATAATAGCAAGGAAGAGGAATATGAAGAGCCCACCAAAAATATGAATGAAGGGTTTGTTCCTTACACATCTGTAGCTCACTAAGTAGATCATAGCTTCCTAAAGAGTCCTCATTTGTTTTCCATTTCCCTCTGTTATTGGTTTAAAATATGGTGTCAGTCAGTGCCTGGCCCTCTGCACTCCCACCCTGTCTGACAACCAACCATTCCTCAGATGGGCCGCCCTCCTGCCCCTCATCCAAGCCCAGTGAGATGCTTGAGAAGTCAGACTCACAGAGACTCACAGAGACCCACTGTGGCATGTCAGAACCCACAGAAAATGTTCCTCCTGTGCATTATTTATGACTTTCCTGCATTTATATAATATCCAGCTTCCTGAAAGTAATTTGTTTTGGATTGTGTAGTGCTGGGCAGCACATCAAAGGTATGCTAAGCAGTGGTAATAAAACATTGAGGTTTATGGTCACTGAGGTATTAAATATCGCTCATAAATTACAGGGTGAGTATTTTAAATGAGCTATGGCTCAGAGAACAGTAGGTGCCCCATCTCTACACATATTAATTGCTACTCCCTGGCTTATTAATTATCAATAGTTTCAAAGGCTTTTTTACGGTCATTTTCTTAAGGAACCATTCTATGCCATTTCTGTGGTTCTGTGAGTGTTCATGTGAATGATGTATTGTGTGCATGAGCTGGCATTAGGCATAATAAAAATGTGAGGATACTTTAGAACATTGTAGTGTCTGATAGCCTTTCATTTAAAAATCAAATATTCCCCCTGTTTTAACCACTGGCATTCTGGTTGCTTTTTCCTAACAAGGCACCCTGCTTACTGCTTTGGACTTCAAGTGGCAAAGTCAGGAGGAGAGTACAGATCTGTTTCATTTCAGTTCTGATCAACTTTTGGTTGTAAGGCTCTATCCCATTGATTCCCACCTTTTTCTGCCAAATTGCCCTGTTGACATTTGATTAAGTTTTACAGGCTCTTTTTCCATTTGAAAACTCCAGTGTCCTTTTTTTCTATACCTGCCTTTAGCATTGTTTTATCATCAACATATCTGAGTTCCTACTTTCTCGCCTCCGCAAGTCTCTGCATATTTCTTCTCAGGCTAGTTCCTTCAGATTCTTGGGTTTAATTATCCGATGTAGAAGTTACCAAGGAGTCCCAGAGGACACCCAAGCACCACACTTGGAAAGGAGCTGGTGTTTTATAAAGTTGAACGGCTCACAATGCATCCCTTGGAAATCTCATTTAAAACAGACATTCCAGACACACAAAGTCAACCCAAAGGTACGGAGCCTTGAGGCATTCTCCCCAGCTTTGTGTATTGTTGGACCAGAGCTATAACAGGCAGTTGAGAGGTTTAAGAAGTAGGTGGCTGAGTGTATAAATCAGATGAGAGTCTTGTCGTCAGATGGCCTTGACCTTGCTGGTCAACCCACATTTTTTGCTGGAGGTACCTCTGTGGGGCTACCTTTGTCTGGCAAAGCCATTCTACACATTTTTAGTTTGATTTCAATCAGATGACCATAGGAATCTCAGAGAGGAAAGATGGGTGGATTTGGACAATTTCTTAGTCCTACAGGTTAGAGCTAGTCTGTCCAATATAGCTATGCATGTGGCTAGTGGAACTTAAAATGTGGTGAGGAAGACTGAGAAACTGAATTTGTAATTTTATTTAATTTTAATTAACTTAAAAGTTTAAAATTACAATTTAAAATTTAAATTTACAAACTAATACCTCATTTAGTTATTAGAAGGCTTCTAAGTATATTTGAAATAAGTTGAGTATGTAAATCTGCATTTACACCTGTAAATTTTAGGAGATCTAAATACATATCAAGTAATTCTAGCAAAAATTTAACATCCAAATAGAGATGCACTCTACATGTAAGATGCACATCAAATTTTAAAGATTTAGTATAAAAAAGATTTTAAAATCTCAATTTTGATGAATTACATATTGAATCTTTTTAATATATTTAGTTAATATCTATTATTACCATTAATTTCAACTGTTCATTAAAAAATGTGGTTAAAAGAAAAATTCAAATTACATATGAGGCTCACATTCTGTTTCTATTGGACAGCTCTGTGCTACTATAAAACAAATTCTTCTTGGAGCAGTGTGGGGACTCGGGCCCATTTCTACTAAATTATATGTAAATTTCTATCGTAGCAATAATTTGGCACCAGTGAGGCAAAAGTTTCAAGAAAGTGCTGAAATACTAACTTGAGAGAAACTGCCAAGACTAGAAATTCAGCCTCTACATGCAGATTAAGAGTCTGAATTTTTCTCTGGTAACCACTAGTTGCCTTCTTTTGAGTATTTTTAAACTTCATACAGGCAACATTTTTACGGTATGCTTCCACGGGACTTTTTTTTTTTTGTCCTGAACATTATGTTTTCCTGAGAGTTATCCATAATGATCCAGAGTGATATTTGTAGCTCTAGTGAGTTCAGTTTCACTGCTGTATAGTGTGTGGTATTTCATTACATGAACACACCATAGTTTATTCACTGGCCTCCTTTTGATGAACATTTAGATTGTGTCCATCACTTAGATACTTTCTCCTCATTACAGACAAATGGTGCTAGGAACGTCAATATGCACATGTGCAAGAGTTTCTGTAGCGTGTAAGTCCAGAAATGAAATGTTGACCTTTAGTGGATACATATCTTCAACTCTACTAGACAGCGTTAAATTGCCTCCAGGGGTTGTATAAATGTGTATTCTGACAGTGTCGCTTTACTTTTCTCTCCATGTGTGACAATCTCTAAATAAAAATCCCAGGCAACTAAAGTGTGAAACAGTGTCTCTACTGTTTCTTTAGGCATCTTTTTTATATTTATTGGTCATTTAGGTTTATTTTGTGACGTTCCTGTCCGTAACTATTGCCATTTTTTCTATTGGGTAGCTGGCTTTTTCTTCTGAAGAGCTCTTCTATCACTCATCTGGAAACCGATATGTAGGTAATAATGCTGGGCTGCATCGCATTACTGGGTATATACCCAAAGGACTATAAATCATGCTGCTATAAAGACACATGCACACGTATGTTTATTGTGGCACTATTCACAATAGCAAAGACTTGGAACCAACCCAAATGTCCATCAGTGATAGACTGGATTAAGAAAATGTGGCACATATACACCATGGAATACTATGCAGCCATAAAAAAGGATGAGTTCATGTCCTTTGTATGGACATGGATGAAGCTGGAAACCATCATTCTCAGCAAACTATCGCAAGGACAAAAAACCAAACACCACATGTTCTCACTCACAGGTGGGAATTGAACAATGAGAACACTTGGACACAGGAAGGGGAACATCACACACCGGGGCCTGTTGTGGGGTGGGGGGAGGGGGGAGGGATAGCATTAGGAGATATACCTAATGTAAATGACGAGTTAATGGGTGCAGCACACCAACATGGCACGTGTATACATATGTAACAAACCTGCACTTTGTGCACATGTACCCTAAAACTTAAAGTGTAATTTAAAAAAATAATAATAATGCTGGGCTGCACAAGAGCTCAGCATTGCTCCTTTTTCTGAATTTGTTTTTTTCTTTTGTCTAAAAGTTTGTCTTTTATATATGTCATCTGAGATCAAAAAAGGACCCCTGTCTTTCCAATTCCCTGCTAACTTCTGCATTTTTTGATAATTACAAGGAATGGAGTGAGAAGAGTCAGGCAGGATGTTAAAGCCATGAGCTATGAATAGTAGAAGAAAGGAAGAAACAAAGCAATCTTGATTTCTTCACCATGATCAATGGCCAATGTTATGTGTTCTTCCTATGTTAAGGATAAAAACTGCTGTTCACAGCCGGGTGGGCACAGTGGCCCACGCCTGTAATCTCAGCACTTTGGGAGGCCAAGGCAGGCGGATCATACTGGAGGTCAGGAATTCGAGACCAGCCTGGCCAACATGGTGAAACCCCATCTCTACTAAAAATACAAAAAGTAGCCGGGCATGGTAGTGGGCACCTGTAATCCCAGCTACTTGGGAGGCTGAGGCAGAAGAATCCCTTGAACCCAGGAGGCAGAGCAACGTTGTAGTGAGCCGAGATCACACCACTGCACTCCAGCCTGGGAGACAGAGCGAGACTCTGTCTCAAAAACAACAACAACAATCAAAACTGCTGTTCACAAGACTACCACAAAACTACTACAAAAACTACCACATTTAGCATATGCAAATATTAAGAAGGTTCTACTGAGAATTTATTCAAATGAAATAATTTGAAGTTTCCAAAATTACCTAGTTTAAAAGTAGTAATAAAAACTAGTTTGAAGACAGCAAAAATGCTTTAAAAGGCATCTTTTGAATCTATAGCTAAATATCAATTTGAACTCATAAGACTGCAGTTTTTAAGCTGACAATGAGATCTCTTATTTCAGCTGACACAAAGATCTCTTGGTAATTCTAGCTTACGTCTTCATAGATACTTGGGAAGCAGCCTGTGAAAGCTTTTCTGTGGCCTGTAACAGCTTTTGTTACTTGGGACACTTAGTATCATAAGTATAGATACAGTAATTAAATGTTAATAATGATACCTAGTATTTATATAACACCTTTCATCCAAGGACCTCAAAGAACCAAGCAAACATTAACTTGTTAATTCCCGTAAGAGCCATGAGGCAAGAGTTTTTATATCCATTTTACTGATGAAGAAACTGAGGCACAGAGAACTTAAGTAACTTAACTTACTCAACGTCATATAGGACATTAAAATTTTACTAAAAAGAGGTCCAGTTCTCATATTATCTGTTCAAAATTGTCTAAAAAATTATCTAGTCATTTTCAAAGATGTGTGGGATTTTTTTCCTCCCCTCCTCTATTTTCGCCTAGTGAACTGTGTTAAATAAACAAGTATGAAAAGGGGGAAATTTTATGCTTGATAGTACGTTTCCAGAAGGCAGAACAATGGCATAGAATTTTGAAGACATATTTATTGAACAAAAGAATAAATACTTGTGGCAGAAGAGGGCAAAAAGATTATATAAACTGTATCTAGTTTCTGATTTAAGAAAAAAAAAAAACCTAAAAGCATTCCCTGAAATAAGTTGCCTGCCATTTCTTTAAAATTAACTAAGAAACCTCCACCATCTAAGCTATCAATAAGCTCCACCATAATAAGAAGAACTAGACATTTTTGTTTCTGCTTGACTAATCCCAGGGAACTTCATTAGTCTACTTGCAGCCTATTCTATGAAGCTCTAAATTTCTTTTTATATTAAACTCACATCTGACCTCACTGGTCTTAGTTCTGGCTTCTTGGCTTCTGGCGTGATACAGGACAAGGCCAAGCTCTCTCCAGTATTACAGATCTTCACAGCTTTGGACCCAGATCTTTCCTCGCCCTTATGCCTTTTCCCTGGAGCAACCAATTTCTGCAACTGTAACTCATATGTTGCTGTTTCTGGGTACACCCCATCATGTTCACCCATATCTAATACACTGCAGTTGATCAAGTCTCTCTTTAAAATGTGGTACCCAGCATTAAACATAATATTCCAGATGTGGTTTGAGATTGGAGAACAGCTGCTCCCACTAACCACACCAGAGTTCTTCCTTTATTTCAAAACTGTGGTTTAATCTTCCTGCAGACTTCTTCAGGCAACAAAACAAAACAAAAAAAGCAAAAACAACCCAATTGACATTGTCATTAAAGATTTATTTTTCATTATTTGAATAATTTCTGTTTCCTAATTCTCTTTTTCTAATGTATTCTAAATTTCATAGAAGTGAACATCATGATCAAATAATATTTTAAAGCTGATTTAAAATGATGAGCCTCAATTCAATTAAATCTTTTTTTCTTTTCCTTTTTCTTTCTTTCTTTCTTTCTTTCTTTCTTTCTTTTTTTTTTTTTTTTTTTTTTTTTGAGACAGAGTCTTGCTGTGTCTCCCAGGCTGGAGTGCAGTGGCGCTATCTCCACTCACTGCAACCTCCACCTCCAGGGTTCAAGTGATCCTCCTGCCACAGCCTCCCGAGAAGCTGGGACTACAGATGTGTGCCACTGCACCCAGCTAATTTTTTGTATTTTTATTAGAGATGGGGTTTTACCATGTTGCCCAGGCTGATCTCAAACTCCTGGGCTCAAGCAATCTTCTGGCCTTGGCCTCCAAAGTGTTGGCATAAACCACCGTGCCTGGCCTTTTTCTTTCTTAACCTGCTGTTAGGTTAACCTTGGCATATATGCCTAGACATGCAAGTGCACATTTAATATTTGTAATGCAAGTTATATGCTAAATATTTATGTTTATTATTTTTAGAACAAAATTGTGTGTGTGTGTGTGTGTGTGTGTGTGTGTGTGTATCTGATTACCAAAGAAATAAAGTTTGGCACAGAGGTTAGTAGCTTAAGTTCTTTTTTTAAGAGACGGATTCTCACTATGTTGCCCAGGCTGAACTCAAACTCTTAGGCTCAAGGGATCCTCTTGCCTTAACCTTCCAAATAGCTAGGACTACAAGTGTGCACCACCACACCCAGCCAATAACCTAAGTTTTGAATCAGATATACATGGGTTTGAATTCTGGACCCACCACTTATGAGTAATTTATTTAAATTCTTTCAGCTTCATGTGGAAAGTGAGGATGACTGAGCATGGTGGCTCAAACCTATATTCCCAGCACTTCTGGAGACACAGGCAGGAGGATCACTTGAGCCCAGGAGTCCCAGACATGCCTGGGCAACATAGTGAGACCCCACTCTCCACAAAAAGGAAAAAAAGGAAGATTTTTTTAAAAAAGTGTAAAGTGAAGATAATAATAGGACCTCTCTTATGGGGCTATTGTGAAGATATTATGTAATAAAGAACATTAAAAACTTAGCACTGAGCTTGGCCTAGAGAAAACACTTAGCAAATATAAACTATTCTTATTGTGGAAATTTTTAGCACATACAGAAAGACAAAAGAAAATAAAAGTCACCTGTAGTCTCCAGCTTAATCCAGAAATAACTACTATTGGTATTTTAAATATATTCTTTTTCCTACATTGTAACTACCTCTGAGTAAAAGGGGTACTTGCAGAGCAAACAAGATTATGAAAACAGTGAAATTTCCAATATATCATGAAAAGCACTAAAACAACAATAATATCAATACTTTAATAGACTTAGCCTAGAATTACAAGAAATATACATATACACATTTTAGGTCGTTATCATTAGAATTTGCCTGCGAATAGTACATAATGGATCAGATGCAGCATTCCGTCTTTCATAAAAGTAAATCAGAAATGGACATCATTGATACAGTGGACATGGTGAAAGAAAACCTCTCGGATAACCCGCTGTGTCCAGGACAGGTATACGTAGATCCAAGACCAAAGAGCATCAGGGAAAGTGTAGTTCTCAGAACCGTCTGTGATTTAACATGAGCAAATTAGAGATTTATCAAGTTTGGCAAAAATACCAAAGTAGTACTTCGAAACTAGGAATCTCATCAGGCAATTTATATTCCAGCAGTAGTTTATTAAAATTTACTTAGTGATTTACAGGAGTCATCTAACTGTAATCAATGTGAACTTGCATTAAGTAAGTTTGTTTGTTTCTCTAGAGCCATCACATTTTCTTCCTATAACGTGGCCTCCACCCCGGGAAAAAGAAACTATGGTTCCCAAAGCAATTTTATTTTTGGCTTCTCTGTTGTGCCTGACATGTGTGAGAATATTATTAGATATAGGAAGACACTTGTTCACCAGGATGTGCATGGAGCCTTCAGTTTTATTTCACTATTCCTTCTTTACACAGCCTCCTGCAACTGCTAATAATATCCAGCTATTACCCAGCAGGGCTGGACTTTGGCCGAAGTGGGCAGACACCCAGGCTCAGCATGAGACCCTGAGGCATCCTTTACCATCCCTTTCCCAAACCCCTGAGCCACACCATTGCTGCGTAATAAAACTTCTAAACCAGGCACTGAAGCCAAGGCAGGGGGCACTGACTTCACTGACTCCAGCCGAGCCCTTGCCCTCCTCAGCCACAGGTTGGGCCAACTGTGTGAAGGTGGAGCACCTGCCAGACAGTCCTGGAAGCTGCAGAGACTGGGCTGGATGGTAGGTGGGGAGGGGAGCAGGAGCTCCAGACACCACCGTGTTTTATGGCACCATCATATCAGCACAGAGGCAGATGGCCATGGAGGCTGTTTAAAGAGAAGCCTGCGACAGCCTCGGAGAGGGTGCATGCTGCGTGAGTCACACCAACAGGTGTGTGATTATCGAGGTGATACAGGGGGCCTGGAATGTGACTTAAAAGGCTGTCACAAGACATTATTCATAAACATATTAACTACTTCAAGTAACATGGCCCTAAAAGGTGAGAGCAGCTCAATTTAGATGAAATCTCTGCTCTCTGAGTGATCAAATACAAGTGACAAGAAAGCAGAATAAATAAGTGAAGTGGGGGCAACACCTCTCTCTGGAAGAAGCCACACATTCCTCACTCTCTATACTTCTCTCCTTCCTCATTTCCCCAACATAATCTCTGTGACTATTATAAACAGCCTTCCTATATTTGATATCCATTTAGTTTTCAAGACAATCTTTTCTTTTCCTGCCACCCGGACCTAAGATGTAAAGCTTTCCTTTTTCGTGAACAATTGTTTGACTTCAGACTAGATGGCAAGGGGTCTAGCATTGCCCCCTATTTGTTCCTGTCTTTCAGGATGTAGAACGATGTGCTTACAATCCATTCTGCAGATATGGAGACCTTCTCCAGCCTGGGGCTCTGCACAGTAATCAATAGCAGTTGTTTTCAGCTTTATGATACTGACTGCAATCCCAAGAGAGGTGTGTGCAGTGACTGTCTTCAAGGATGGTGTCCATTCATGACTGTAGCTGATATGTCTGAACCTTGATCTTTGGCCTAGACCAGGCTCTTCTGCACTCTGCAGGCCTGTTTCTATCTGCCAACCCAACAGCCTTACCAGAGTGCCCCTCAGGTACCTCAAGGAACATTTTATTATCATCAGAATCACTTCAGCAAAGACAGACTCAGGAGGTTACCCCGACCAATGGTTATGAGTAGGATGATTACCCATTCCAAGTCACCACATTATGTACGTTTCACCTGCTGTTTTCCTGCCTATGGAGTCAGGATAATTTACAGCTTGAAACCTGCTTTACCTCATTCCTTCTTGACTGTTTTGCCTTTTACCAGTACTAACATCTTCAATAATAATCACCATCAACTACATTTGCCCATACTTCTTACTTTCTCTATGTGTTTTTAGATATTGCATATTATCCCACTATTATTATTTCACAATAACTTTATAGTTGATCTATTTGGAGCAAATACAGCACACTATTAAAGAGTATCAAATACATTTTAAGATTGTAATTTGCTGTCTTCATACAAAAGATATTAGGTGTTGCCTCCATGCATTAGCTCAAATTTCAGCTGATACCTGATTTGAGAGAATAGTTTTTCCCAAACATATTCTTTACTTAACTAATGGCTTTTTTTGTCCTGATTAGGAGAAAGGAGGAAGAAACTAACATTTATTAAGGTGTAATGCTTGGAAGTTACTTTTTCATGTCTAATCTAATTGAGTTCTCCATTGATCCTAACAGATAGCTCTTATGTCCATATTATAGATGAGAACATGGCAATATCCCCCAAGGTCACAGAATTAATACGCGAGAGATCCAGAATTTAAACTCAGTTCTGTTTGTCTCAAAATATTCCAATAACAAGCCTGAATTTCTGGTGTACCATGTGAGACATCTGGGATCTCCAAGCCAGAGTATTCAGCATTTCAACTTATTTGAAAAAATCAAATAAATGATATAGAACCAAGTCATGAAGACAGATTCCATAGGCTAGAACTAATCTTGTAACAACTTGTAAGCTTACTTATTTACTAGGGACATTTGATTTTCGATTCTCTCACAAAGGATAACTTAGAAGCAAATCTGAAATTACTGAAGTAATGACAGGGTTAATAAAGTGTTTTTTATTATTACATAATTTAAATACTTCAGCTTATGTCCTCTATATGATTAACCTACATTGATTGATTGATTGATTGAGACAGGGTCTCAATCTGTCACCCAGGCATGATCTTGGCTCACTGCAGCCTCAACCTTCCACGCTCAAGTGATCTTTCTGCCTCAGCCTCCCTAGTAACTGGGACTACAGGTGTGCACTACTATGCCCATCTTTTTTTTTTTTAATTAAGTAAAGACAAGGTGTTTGTATGTTGCCCAGGCTGGTCTTGAACTCCTGACCCCAGGCAATCCTGCCTCGGCCTCCCAAAGTGCTAGGATTACAGGCATAAGCCACAGAGCCCAGCCCATCTTTCTATTCTGTTTTCGAATTCAAGGTCCTGAGAGTTTTATTAGCTAATTCATTTCCACTGCCAGACAATAGCAATCTTTCTGCAGATGAGGTAAGTGGACAAATGTCCGGTAGATGCTAATTGTCATATTGTCTCCTTTACCCTTGTGCCACACTGGAAATGGACAGAAACTGAAATCTACGCAGTATGAGTTTCTGATGAAAAATTGAGCTGGAAGTTAAATTCAAGCTGTAAAGGATCACTGCAAACAGTCCTTGACTTATATCTATGGGATATCTGTGGTTTGTAATCTCAAGAGGATCATTAGAACTTTCTGTACCTCAGTTTCCACATGTAAAGGGTGGAACTAGATAACTACTACACACCCTTATATTTCAAACTTCCATGATTCTATAATTCACAGCAAGATCAGAGCTAAGTTCCAATCTTGTTTCTCGGTATAACTCCTGTTTAGGGCTGCCCAGAACCCTTTCCTCCTTTGCTGGTAACAGCACCTGCCCTCACTCTTGTTTTGCCAAACTACTCTTCTTTCCCCATCATCCCAACAACCACTATGCACATGTCATTCTGGTAAGGCAGCCACTCCAAGTATTCCATCTACTTGACCACAGGGACAAGCCAGTGGTGGGCATGTAGCCCAAGTGGGGCCAGATCTGGGGTTTTTCATCCAGAAGGTGGCGGGGATGTTTATCTTTTTCCTTTGGGACTCTAACCATAAAGATGTGTCCTCATGTTACCCAAAATGAGCAAGAGCTGGTAAGCAAGAAGCCTGGCCTGAGGCAGAGGCCAAGATGAGAGGAGGGAAGGAGCAGATGGATTCCTGACGGTGTTCACGTTCCTGGATCCTGATGATGCTGAAGTGAGCTCTGTGGTTGCCTTTCTGTGATGTGGGTAAACCACTTCTTTGCTTAAGTCCTTTTTGTTTGGAGTCTCTGTCACTTACAACCAAAAGTTGTTGTAACCAGTATAACTGTCCTAACCAATATAATTCTCCACCTTCCTCTAAACTGCTAATATTCTATATTTCAATTCAGTCAATTTAACAAAAAATAGTTTTTATGGCTCCAGCAGTTTAAAAAGTCACCAGATCCTTAGGCCTTTTACTTTTGAGGTAGTACAAACAAATGATAGACTTACATCAGTGCTGTAAAACATGGTGATTTCAACTTCTGAGGACTGAGTTTTAAGAGATGGATACTTTAAATCA
The DNA here is from genome assembly GCF_000001405.40 of Homo sapiens. Classification (NCBI taxonomy): domain Eukaryota; kingdom Metazoa; phylum Chordata; class Mammalia; order Primates; family Hominidae; genus Homo; species Homo sapiens. Next base: position 108,443,328 of record NC_000004.12, on the reverse strand, counting down.
TGAACCAAATACACTTCTTCTTCTACAAGAGTGTCTCAGACCTTCTTCAGTGTCTTGATTTTCCAAAAGACAAATTAAAGAAGAAGAAAATATCAGATAAGTTATGAAGTCTCTGTACAGAACTTCTAGAGTGAAATCCAGGGATTGGGAATGTCTTCTGTCATGTAGGATTTGACACTAGGATCTACTACTAGTGGTAACAGACCCTTTTTCTGGTGTCATTTGCAAGGGAGCGGGAAGAGAGGAGGGAGCAACAGTGGTTGACAGCTCTAGAAGCCCTGATCTGGCATCATGGAGATTTTCTGGCCAACCCTGGAGAGATTCCTGAGTAGCGCACTCTGAGTGAAAGCACAGATACAGCCCAGAGCACCCTGGCTCCCTATTGTGGGGAAACTCGGGGTGCATGTTTTGGGGGAGTAGTTCAGCAAGTAGAGAAAACATATAGATTGAGACATTTTGTTTAATGGCAAGGGAAGGAAACCCCATACAAAAACTTCAATCTACAGCTGAAAATGTAGGCTGGGAAGAGAGGTCTTTCTGCCTTACTAGTAAGAACAACTCTAGAAAGCCCAAAGGCAACTGCCAAGCCCGTGTTTGGAGCATGGCAGAACTTGTGAAAGACACAAAAGCCAGTGAGTGGCTGAAAGCACTGACCGACTCCTCAGATGGGGAGAGACGGTTGGCTCCTGGGAGAGAAAAGCAACTACAGCTGCTCTCCACCACAGACATACAAAGATAAACAAGATTGTTTTCCTTTTAAGTGCAACTTATTTGCTTTAAATATAGGTACACCTGAATCCAAACTGCAAGATGATATGTATAAATCCTATTCCTTCTTTTACCATTTCCACAGTCAGAACAGTTTGTAGTCTCGTAGTTGGGATTTGATTTACACAAATATAATTATCACTGCAGCACACTAGTATTTTGAGAATTAAAGCTTTAACACTGCCATACAAAAGATTGCATGGTAAGTTATTCTAAGCACCACAATTTTGGTCATTGTAAATTCAACTCTGACGGGTTTATAGGATTGAGCACTCCATATACATTATTTGTGCCTCATTCTTTTCCCCATTGCCTCAAGCATTTGGACACTTTTCTAAAGTCATACTTTGATGCCAAGTGGTACCATTGAAATGATCTGGCCTAACCTTGTCTTTTGAAGACCAAGATACAAAGGCTCAAACAGATGATATGACTTGCTCTGGGTCATACAGGCTTTTTTTTTTTTTTTTTTTTTTTTTGGGATGGAGTCTCACTCTGTTGCCTAGGCTGGAGTGCAGTGGTGCGATCTCAGCTCACTGCAATCTCCACCTCCTGGGTTCAAGTGATTCTCCTGTCTCAGCTTCCTGAGTAGCTGGGACTACAGGTGTGTGCCACCACGCCTGGCTAATTTTTGTATTTTTAGTAGTGATGGGGTTTCACTATGTTGGTCAGGATGGTCTTCAACTCCTGACCTCAGGTGATCCACCTGCCTCAGCCTCCCAGCATACAAGCTATTAATGGCAGAGCCAGTGCTAGAAGCTGTGTCTCTAGAATGCCAGCTTCTGACTCAAACTCCTGCTCTTCGAGCTTCTATGCAGAAAATGGCCATCGTAAGAGGGGTTTACAAGAGGAGGTGAAAAGGACAATCACCCTAACCCAAATTGACCAGAATAGAGTTGAGTGAGCAGGTCAAAATTGTGGCAAGATAAAAACAAATAACGATTATTTGAGTGAAAATTACCAGGGATTGGGGGGGTGGAGCCAAGATGGCTGAAAAGGAACAGCTCCAGTCTACAGCTCCCAGTGTGAATGATGCAGAAGACAAATGATTTCTGCATTTCCAACTGAGGTACCAGGTTCATCTCACTGGGGAGTGTCAGACAGTGGGTGCAGGACAGTGGGTGCAGCACACTGAGCATGAGCCGAAGCAGGGCAAGGCAGCACCTCACCTGGGAAGTGCAAGGGGTCAGGGAATTCCCTTTCCTTGCCAAGGAAAGGGGTGACAGAAGGCACCTCAAAAATCAGGTCACTCCCACCCTAATACTGTGCTTTTCCAATGGTCTTAGCAAATGGCACACCAGGAGATTGTATCCTGCGCCTGGCTCAGAGGGTCCTACGCCCATGGAGCCTCGCTCATTGCTAGCACTGATCAATGCTAGCAATCTGATCAGCAGTCTCAGATCAAACTACAAGATGGCAGCGAGGCTGGGGGAGGGGCACCTGCCATTGCCAAGGCTTGAGTAGGTAAACAAAGCAGCCGGGAAGCTCAAACTGGGTGGAGCCCACCGCAGCTCAAGGAGGCCTGCCTGCCTCTGTAGACTCCACCTCTGTGGGCAGGGCATAGCCAAACAAAAGGCAGCAGAAACCTCTGCAGACTTAAATGTCCCTGTCTGACAGCTTTGAAGAGAGTAGTAGTTCTCCCAGCACACAGCTTGAGATCTGAGAACGGACAGACTGCCTCCTCAAGTAGGTCCCCAACCCCCGAGTAGCCTAACTGGGAGGCACCCCCCAGTAGGGGCAGACTGACACCTCACACAGCCGGGTACTCCTCTGAGACAAAACTTCCAGAGGAACAATCAGGCAGCAACATTTGCTGTTCACCAATATCCGTTGTTCTGCAGCCTCTGCTGCTGATACCCAGGCAAACAGGGTCTGGAGTGGACCTCCAGCAAAATTCAACAGACCTGCAGCTGAGAGTCCTGACTGTTAGAAGGAAAACTAACAAACAGAAAGGACATCCACACCAAAACCACATCTGTAAGTCACCATCATCAAAGACCAAAAGTAGATAAAACCACAAAGATGGGGAGAAAACAGAGCAGGAAAACTGAAAATTCTAAAAATCAGAGCACCTCTCCTCCTCCAAAGGAATGCACCTCCTCACCAGCAATGGAACAAAGCTGGACGGAGAATGACTTTGACGAGTTGCAAGAAGAAGGCTTCAGACGGTCAAACTACTCGGAGCTAAAGGAGGAAGTTCAAACCCATGGCAAAGAAGTTAAAAACCTTGAAAAAAGATTAGATGAATGGCTAGCTAGAATAACCAATGCAGAGAAGTCCTTAAAGGGCCTGATGGAGCTGAAAACCATGGCACGAGAACCATGTGATGAATGCACAAGCCTCAGTAGCCAATTCAATCAACTGGAAGAAAGGGTATCAGTGATGGAAGATCAAATGAATGAAATGAAGGAGAAGAGAAGTTTAGAGAAAAAAGAATAAAAAGAAACGAACAAAGCCTCCAAGATATATGGGACTATGTGAAAAGACCAAATCTACGTCTCATTGGTGTACCTGAAAGTGACGGGGAGAATGGAACCAAATTGGAAAACACTCTGCAGGATATTATCCAGGGGAACTCCCCCAATCTAGCAAGGCAGGCCAACATTCAGATTCAGGAAATACAGAGAATGCCACAAAAATACTCCTCGAGAAGAGCAACTCCAAGACACTTAATTGTCAGATTCACCAAAGTTGAAATGAAGGAAAAAATGTTAAGGGCAGCCAGAGAGAAAGGTCGGGTTACCCACAAAGGGAAGCCCATCAGACTAACAGCAGATCTCTTGGCAGAAACTCTACAAGCCAGAAGAGAGTGGGGGCCAATATTCAACATTCTTAAAGAAAAGAATTTTTAACCCAGAATTTCATATCCAGCCAAACTAAGCTTCATAAGTGAAGGAGAAATAAAATACTTTACAGACAAGCAAATGCTGAGAGATTTTGTCACCACCAGGCCTGCCCTAAAAGAGCTCCTGAAGGAAGCACTAAACATGGAAAGGAACAACCAGTACCAGCCACTGCAAAAACATGCCAAATTGTAAAGACCACTGAAGCTAGGAAGAAACTGCATCAACTAATGAACAAAATAACCAGCTAACATCATAATGACAGGATCAAATTCACACATAACAATATTAATCTTGAATGTAAATGGGCTAAATGCTCCCATTAAAAGACACAGACTGGCAAATTGGATAAAGAGTCAAGACCCATCAGTGTGCTGTATTCAGGAAACCCATCTCATGTGCAGAGACACACATAGGCTCAAAATAAAGGGATGGAGGAAGACCTACCAAGCAAATGGAAAACAAAAAAAGGCAGGGGTTGCAATCCTAGTCTCTGATAAAACAGACTTTAAACCAACAAAGATCAAAAGAGACAAAGAAGGACATTACATAAGGGTAAAGGGATCAATTCAACAAGAAGAGCTAACTATCCTGAATATATATGCACCCAATATAGGAGCACCGAGTTTCATAAAGCAAGTCTTAGAGACCTACAAAGAGACTTAGACCCCCACACAATAATAATGGGAGACTTTAACAACCCACTGTCAACATTAGACAGATCAATGAGACAGAAAGTTAACAAGGATATCCAGGAATTGAACTCAGCTCTGCACCAAGCAGACCTAATAGACATCTGCACAACTCTCCACCCCAAATCAACAGAACATACATTCTTCTCAGCACCACATTGCACTTATTCCAAAATTGACCACATAGTTGGAAGTAAAGCACTCCTCAGCAAATGTAAAAGAACAGAAATTATAACAAACTGTCTCTCAGACCACAGTGCAAACTAGAACTCAGCATTAAGAAACTCACTCAAAACCGCTCAACTACATGGAAACTGAACCACCTGCTCCTGAACGACTACTGGGTACATAACGAAATGAAGACAGAAATAAAGATGTTCCTTGAAACCAACGAGAACAGAGACACAACATACCAGAATCTCTGGGACACATTCAAAGCGTGTGTAGAGGGAAATTTATAGCACTAAATGCCCACAAGAGAAAGCGGGAAAGATCTAAAATTGACACTCTAACATCACAATTAAAAGAACTAGAAAAGCAAGAGCAAACACATTCAAAAGCTAGCAGAAGGCAAGAAATAACGAAGATCAGAGCAGAACTGTAGGAAATAGAGACACAAAAAAACCCTTCAAAAAATCAATGAATCCAGGAGCTGGTTTTTTGAAAAGATCAACAAAATTGATAGACCACTAGCAAGACTAATAAAGAAGAAAAGAGAGAAGAATCAAATGGACACAATAAAAAATGATAAAGGGGATATCACCACCGATCCCACAGAAATACAAACTACCATCAGAGAATACTATAAACACCTCTATGCAAATAAACTAGAAAATCTAGAAGAAATGGATAAATTCCTCGACACATATACCCTTCCAAGACTAAACCAGGAAGAAGTTGAATCTCTGAATAGACCAGTAAGAGGCTCTGAAATTGAGGCAATAATTAATAGCTTACCAACCAAAAAAGTCCAGGACCAGATGAATTCACAGCCGAATTCTACCAAAGGTACAAGCAGGAGCTGGTACCATTCCTTCTGAAACTATTCCAATAAATAGAAAAAGAGGGAATCCTCCCTAACTCATTTTATGAGGCCAGCATCATACTGATACCAAAGCCTGGCAGAGACGCAACAAAAAAAGAGAATTTTAGACCAATATCCCTGATGAACATTAATGCAAAAATCCTCAATAAAATACTGGCAAACTGAATCCAGCAGCACATCAAAAAGCTTATCCACCGTGATCAAGTGGGCTTCATCCCTGGGATGCAAGGCTGGTTCAACATACACAAATCAATAAATGTAATCCAGCATATAAACAGAACCAAAGACAAAAACCACATGATTATCTCAATTCATGCAGAAAAGGCCTTTGACAAAATTCAACAAGCCTTCACCCTAAAAACTCTCAATAAATTAGTTATTGATGGGACGTATCGCAAAATAATAAGAGCTATCTGTGACAAACCCACAGCCAATATCATACTGAATGGGCAAAAACTGGAAGCATTCCCTTTGAAAACTGGCACAAGACAGGGATGCCCTCTCTCACCACTCCTATTCAACATAGTGTTGGAAGTTCTGGACAGGGCAATCAGGCAAGAGAAGGAAATAACGTGTATTCAATTAGGAAAAGAGGAAGTCAAATTGTCCCTGTTTGCAGATGACATGATTGTATATCTAGAAAACCCAATCATCTCAGCCCAAAATCTCCTTAAGCTGATAAGCAACTTCAGCAAAGTCTCAGGATACAAAATCAATGTACAAAAATCACAAGCATTCTTATACACCAATAATAGACAAACAGAGAGCCAAATCATGAGTGAACTCCCATTCACAATTGCTTCAAAGAAAATAAAATACCTAGGAATCCAACTTACAAGGGATGTGAAGGACCTCTTCAAGGAGAACTACAAACCACTGCTTAATGAAATAAAAGAGGATACAAACAAATGGGAGAACATTCCATGCTCATGGGTAGGAAGAATCAATATCATGAAAATGGCCATACTGCCCAAGGTAATTTATAGATTCAATGCCATCCCCATCAAGCTACCAGTGGCTTTCTTCACAGAATTGGAAAAAACTACTTTAAAGTTCATATGGGACCAAAAACGGGCCTACATTGCGAAGTCAATCCTAAGCCAAAAGAACAAAGCTGGAGTCATCATGCTACCTGACTTCAAACTATACTACAAGGCTACAGTAACCAAAACAGCATGGTACTGGTACCAAAACAGAGATATAGATCAATGGAACAGAACAGAGCCCTCAGAAATAATGCTGCATATCTACAACTATCTGATCTTTGACAAACCTGACAAAGATGAGCAATGGGGTAAGGATTCCCTGTTTAATAAATGGTGTTGGGAAAACTGGCTAGACATATGGAGAAAGCTGAAACTGGATCCCTTTCTTACACCTTATACAAAAATTAATTCAAGATGGATTAAAGACTTAAATGTTAGACCTAAAACCATAAAAACCCTAGAAGAAAACCTAGGCAATACCATTCTGGACATAGGCATGGGCAAGGACTTCATGTCTAAAACACCAAAAGCAATGGCAACAAAAGCCAAAATTGACAACTGGGATCTAATTAAACTAAAGAGCTTCTGCACAGCAAAAGAAACTACCATCAGAGTGAACAGGCAACCCACAAAATGGGAGAAAATTTTCACAACCTACTCATCTGACAAAGGGCTAATATCCAGAATCTACAAAGAACTCAAACAAATTTACAAGAAAAAAACGAACAACCCCATGAACAAATGGGCGAAGGATATGAACAGACACTTCTCAAAAGAAGACATTTATGCAGCCAAAAGACACATGAAAAAATGCTCATCATCACTGGCCATCAGAGAAATGCAAATCAAAACCACAATGAGATACCATCTCACACCAGTTAGAATGGTGATCATTAAAAAGTCAGGAAACAACAGGTGCTGGAGAGGATGTGGAGAAATAGGAACACTTTTACACTGTTGGTGGGACTGTAAACTAGTTCAACCATTGTGGAAGTCAGTGTGGCGATTCCTCAGGGATCTAGAACTAGAAATACCATTTGACCCAGCCATCCCATTACGGGGTATATACCCAAAGGATTATAAATCATGCTGCTATAAAGACACATGCACACGTATGTTTATTGCGGCACTATTCACAATAGCAAAGACTTGGAACCAACCCAAATGTCTAACAATGATAGACTGGATTAAGAAAATGTGGCACATATACACCATGGAATACTATGCAGCCATAAAAAAGGATGAGTTCATGTCCTCTGTAGGGACATGGATGAAATTGGAAATCATCATTCTCAGTAAACTATTGCAAGGACAAAAAAACCAAACACCGTATGTTCTCACTCATAGGTGGGAATTGAACAATGAGAACACATGGACACAGGAAGGGGAACATCACACACCGGGGCCTGTTGTGGGGTGGGGGGACGGGGGAGGGATGGCATTAGGAGATATATCTAATGTTAAATGATGAGTTAATGGGTGCAGCCCACCAACATGGCACATGTATACATATGTAACAAACCTGCACGTTGTGCACATGTACCCTAAAACTTAAAGTATAATTAAAAAAGAAAATTACCAGGGATTCATATCTAATCTCCAATGAAATATTGAAAAGTTAAGTTATTAAAATTGCCTTTAAGGCTTTGATGATAACCAGCATTTGCCTAATATCTTTCATCTGTGAGTTTTCAAAATATTGTAAAATTAGTATGAGTAACTCAATTTTACATATGGGAAAGCTGAGGGACAGGGTGGAATAAAAACTTGCCCAAGTTTATACAGAGAAGCAAGAATGGAACCTAGCTTATGATCTTCCTGTAAATCACAGAACCATGGTGTTCTGAAATGAAAGGGTCTGGATGATTATCTGGTTCTACCCTCTGAGTGTAGAGGCTGCGGTGCAGGAGGGTCTAATGACTGGTCCAAGGTCACAAAGCTAGTTAGTAAGTGAGCTGCAGTAACAATCATGCTCCGTGAATCCCACTGCTGGGTTTTCTTCCCTTGTTCATATGGCCTGAATATACAGTATCCCTTGGTATTGGTAGGGGATTGGTTCCAGGACCTCCTGCCAATACTCAGAACTGCAGATGCTCAAGTACCTCATATAAAATGGCATAGTATTTGCACATACCTCCTCCTGCATACTTTAAATCATCTCTAGATTACTTATAATACCTAATACAACACAAATGTTCCATAAATAGTTGTTATACTGTATTGTTTTTTATTTCTATTACTTTTTATTGGTGTATTGTTAATTTTTATTGCTTTTATTCCCCCAAATATTTTCAATCCACAGTTGGTTGAATCCAGATGCAGATCCAGGGACTGGGAGGGCTGATGGAGGGCTGACTGTGTTTCTGCTCAGGCAGATGTGAAGTGAGCCCTAAAAGAACTTCCCACTGGCCAAGGTACTTTCTAACTGCAGAATCATGCTTCTTCCCATATTCCCCCAAGGGATAATTGGCTCTAAGAGGGCTGACTATCCATCCTTCCTCTGAGGCTTGAAGACCCAGTATGAGATCCAGGTTGAGGATAAGGAAGGGTGGCTTAAGGAAGTCCACCCAGCAGTCCTTGTTTCAACTGGACAGTGGCATCTCCCAGACTCTTCAACTGCATCTGCTGCTGCAGAGGCTGCCAGTCATCAAACTGGAGGTCTGGTAGTTGCTAAAATGGCCTGGCAGAATTTGGTGGCTACTGACTGGACTTATTGGTTCCATTGAAGTGTCTTAATGGTGCCTTCTTCAACTTGAAAATGCTTGTGATTCTTCCTCCTACAGGCCACCCCTAAGCAAAGAACAACCTCCTATTTTTCGTTTAAGTATTATTTTGGCAACCACAAGAGATGGCAACCCTGCTGCAGTTGAAAATGTGCTCCACATCAAAGCCACACTTTCTTTTCAGCAGACTCACAAAGCTTTTTATTTCCAGCCCTCCTGAATACTCCACACGCCACCAATGTTTACATTTTTGTCCAGCCTACGCGTCTTTTCCTGCTTAAGAACCATATGCCCTATCACTTTAGTCATGTGGCTAACACACCCTGCTTCCTTCCTTTTCCTCCGGCTTTTCTGGCCTCTGACTCAGTTACACCCATCCTGGCAGGTAGAGAACTTTTTTTTAACGTATCAATTCTTGCCAGTGCCCTCTGATGTGGTTCTCTTGTGCAGCATAGAAAAGTTCCAAGAGTCCCCAGTGTTCCTCACTACTGATCCCTTCATACTAAGTATTTCACTAAATGTTCTCTGATGGTGACCACTGTAGAGTTTGTTTCATCTGAAGTCTGCTTGTACTGTTCTTATCCTTAGTAAACAGGAGGCAGTAAGAAGTGTTGTTTGGGTTTGCAAGAAAGGTACAAATTTAATGAGGCTGCAATCTGTATCTTGCCTCAAAAATGAAAATAGAAACCCCATTCTACCCAATTACATTAGGTGGAAAAAATGCAACAGTCATATTGGGAGCAGTAAAGCCAACACTGCATGTTCTCACTCATAGGTGGGAATTGAACAATGAGAACACATGGACACAGGATGGGGAACATCACACACCGGGGCCTGTTGTGGGGTGGGGGGAGGGAGGAGGGATAGCATTAGGAGATATACCTAATGTAAATGATGAGTTAATGGTTGCAGCACACCAACATGTCACATGTACACATATGTAACAAACCTGCACGTTGTGCACATGTACCCTAGAACTTAAAATATAATGAAAAATATATATATATAAAAATTAAAAAAAATTAAAAAAAGAGACTTATTCTCGAATCCTGTTAAAGAAAGCGGAAGTGAATTTTCCAGAGAACTCCCCATTCTTTCATAGTGCAACTCCTTAAAACATCAAGTCAAGCCATCTTCTTAGGTTGTGGCTGGACTTTGTAATTAAGTCATTCAACAAAATATTTATTGACTCACTACCAGGTTTGGGGAACTGTGCTAGGTTCTGGAGATAGAGGAGTGAGCAAAACACATGCAATGCCTGCCACCATGGAGATTACAGTCTAGTAGAAGACTATGCATTGGCTGCCTACCTTGCTCAACTAGGTCAAGTCAGTCAGTTGACATGTTAAAAAGTTAAATATCCATGGAATACAGGGTATTATATAAGGATATAGATGATTTGGTGTTGAGATCTTTAGTAATAAGTCCTGCTAAATCTGGAAGCTGCAATAAAGTCCGGCTTAGGGTCAGCAGCCTCCCCAGCAGCAGGCCCCACTGCGCACTAGGGCAGAGACAGTAGCCAAGTCAGCCTTTTGGGTGCTCTCTAGGCACAGCATGGGCTAGAGGACACTTTTCACCTACTTACACGGCATGGAACATTCCAAGAGGGCCCACACTCTGTGCTATGTACATAGTCTCATTGAATACTCATAATTACCCTGGAAGTAGGTTTTGTTGTTTCTGCTTTATGGAGAAACTGAAAGTCAGGAAGGAAAGTGACTTGTTCAAGATCAATAGCTAATGTCAGGTCTGAGCTCAGATCTGTTGACTCCAAAGTTCTTGCTTTCAGGGGATGATCACACACTCTTAAACCAGAGAAATTAAGATCTGCAATGTAATATCTTAAAACTGAAAACCTGCCAAAGTCATCATTTGTGTAATAGAGAAGATATACTTTCAGAAAGAAGCTGTTTGACGGTTAGATCCATAAGGATGGGGTTCAGTAGTAAAATATTTTCCCTCCACCTCACCTTTTCTTTTCTTATCTCAGAGCTTTTAACTACAGAAGTACCCTTTGATTTTACACACACACACACCACACACACCCCTACATCAGTTTCAAAAGATGTATTTCACATCTGGATCTACTATTTCATTTTTTGCCCCAGTCCAGACCACAACAAAAACACCAACACAAAAACATGAGTAAAAGGGAAATATTGTAGGAGCATTCACATGAGAATTGTTATTTAGAAATCATGTCCCTGAGCTCCACTTGTTTTGCCTCTCTGATCCAGTCCCCAATTCTCCAGACAATGTAATAGTTTGTCATACCCTAAAGGAAAACAAAAAAGCCAAAAACTACTTCAAAGCACAGAAAGTCCTCACTAACTTAAAAGAAATGATCAAGCAATTTAATATGAAAATAAGTCAAACTTATTTTAAAAAACAAACATAATTTGAGTCCTATTGAATGAAGCAAAATAAATAATTAAGTTTTTTTTTTGAAGCAGATTATTTTGGAAGGAAATCAGGCTTTTGTAAGAATTCCTATGGTTGTTGAGTGTGGTCAGGTGGTTGCAACATGGGTATGGAAATGTAGAATTCATGGCCTCCTTCTCCAAATCGTGAATGTCTGATGTACTATAAGCTTTCAGAAAACTTGTTTACAAACTCTATGCTGTTGTTTGGCTGTCTATAACATCAGCATTACTTTTACAATATCATTTTTTAACTAATGACTCTCATAAGATTGTAGGAACTTACAACGCAAGTGGAATCATCCTGCCATGATACAGTCTGACGGGCAGAAGGGCACCATGTGATGAAAAGAGTGATCAGGAGACATCAGTGAAAAAGAGGTCTGTGTTTACATCAGTGTCTGTGGGAACTTAACATATAATGGGTCACGAATGGACATGGAGCCCAGACAACGAGGAAGGCACAAGGTCAGTTTTTGGAAGGAGCTAAGGAGGGAGGTACGTATTTATAGAGAGTCTGAGCTATATGCTGAGCTGTGGGAAAATCCAAAGCCTGGGTCAGAAAGGTGAGCTGGCTATAAAAATGGAGCAATGAGGTGAGAAATGAGACAGAACCCAAGATTAACAGTAGTGGCAATGGATGGAGAGGGTTTGAGAAAAGATTCCTTTCTCCATACTAATGAAGATAACGTTGCATAATTATTGATTTATAAGTATCCATTATATGCTAGAGTCAGCATTAAACATGCACATGACACACTCATTTTATTTATTTATTTATTTTTGAGACAGGGTCTCACTCTGTCATCCAGGCTGGAGTGCAGTCGCATGATTCTAGCTCACTGTAGTCTTGACCTCCTAGGTTCAAGTGATCCTCCCACCTCAGCCTCCCGAGCAGGTAAGACTACAGGCACATGTCACCATGCCTGGCTAATTTTTTTTTTTATTTTTTTACAGAGATGGCGTCTTACTATGTTGCCCAAACTAGTCTCGAACTCCTGGCCTCAAGCAATTCCCTTGCCTTGGAATCCCATAACACTGGAATTATAGGCATGAGCCACCACACTCAGCCTGACATACTCATTTTTAAGCAAAGGACTTCTAAGTCATGGCTTGTTAATCTAACACCGACGATAACGTCCCAGGCAGAAGCCACAGCCCAGAAGACTTCCCAGCGTGGGAAGGCTTAGGAGACCAGCTGGCATCAGGCACATTCCACAGAAATACTGAGAAACTTGTGAAGAACAAACAGACCTGGCAGGAGCAAGAGGAAGATACCTGGCCTGAGTAGCACTAAATATGTCCCAATTAAACAGAACTACTATCCCAATTAAGCAACTGTCATGACCATTAATAAACACAAAAGGGTGTGTTGCACGATGGCCTGATTCAGTGCCGTTACTGATTTAGTGCACTGTAATGATTATTAATAATCCTCAGCTACTTCATGCTTCTCTGAGTGCTCTGGGAATTCACATTTGCCTGGATCCTTGAATGAAGATGATACTGGAAGTGAAACTCAAAGAGAATCATTTGGATGGCCGAAATAGGTCTGATGAAACTGCTGATACAGATGCCTGAGCATTTCATGGAATTCTGGGCCATTTCCTCTCCCTGGTCATCTCATGTCTTGTGATCTAACCAGCTCTTAGGGGTTCCTTGGTCAAGCACTCTGGCCCTGCTTCCTCCTTTCACTTGGCTGGCAAATCTCATATAGACTTCAATGGCGAAAAGCTGTCAACAGTTCATAAAAGGATCAAACACCTTAAGATGTTGTATACAAGTTCCAGTGATGTTTTCAAATATACTTCCTTTCCTAGTTCCTCACAGATAACCTTTTGGCATCCAGTGAAGTAACGTGGAGGGTAGATACCCAGTTCTGATTTGGGGAAATGTTTTCCACCCACTAGTTGTCATCATACATGGTTTGGTTCAACACATTTCATCAATGGAATCTTGTGATGTTCCTGTTAGCAACTTTTTTTTTTTCCTGGGGAATAGGGGTCAAGGAAAGGCCTTTCAAAGGAGGCCAACTGTAAAGAGCTGGGCTTACTTTCATGTCTGCCATCACAGCTCTTAACTATTGCTCCCCAAAGAGAAGCAAAAGAAAACACAGCTTTCCATGACACCTGTTCCTTTCATGCCAGCCTAGTTCCAAGGAAAAAGATTTTCCAAATCAAGTAGAGATTTCAGATGTTTTTTTTAAATTTCCAACTCTGAGTCTAAATATTGGTAAAGAGAATGCTTAAAGAGGACTTGAAAGATAAAAGCAAGGTGTTTTGCTAACATCATATCCATGGCTAGTGGGATTGTTTTGGGGTGTGTGTGCGTGCGTGTGTGTGCGCATGTGTGTGTGTTTTGATTTCTGGGACAGGAGGCAATGAATGGATAAACTAGCAAGGAAAAAGTGAGACTGGGCCATTAGCCCATTGGTAAGAAAATCACAATCTCTGGTAATCTATGAGAAATATTTCCTAAGGACCTTTTTTGAGACCTTGCAGCTTTTCTCAATTGGAGTTTCTCATGTGAACCACAAAACAGACAATGATTTAAGTGACTATTTTCTCAGTTCTCCCAAGATGGCACAGAGCTAGTACTATCCTGGAATATGCATAGAAGAGAAGGTAATTCGTTGTGTACAATGGATATCTTACAACAATTAGGGCTTAGTTCTATCCCTGAAATGGTTGAGGAAAACCATTAGAAAAACACCACACCCAAGGCCCATGCCTGGAGACAGACCAAATACAAATTGCCTTTCCAAGAAGCACAGATGACTAAAGTGGTTCAAAAATAAATGTATGTACATACTTGAAAGATAACTTTCATGTAGTCACAAAGTTTAGGGAAAATTCTTTCTGATAAATCTAAAAGTTCCAAAAGTCTTTTAAACCTTTCGATGACGGGGTTAAGAAAAAAATGATGTGCATTAAGGGCCGACTAAATGTTTCAGTTATAGCTGGGTGCAGTGGCTCTCACCTGTAATCCTAGCACTTTGGGAGGCTGATGGGGGAGAATCACCTGAGGCCAGGAGTTCAAGACCAGCCTGGCCAACATCACAAGACCCCATCTCTACAATTTTTTTTAAAATTAGCTGGGCAGGATTGTGCATGCCTGTAGTCTCAGCTACTCAGAAGGCAGAGGCAGAAGGATCACTTGAGCCCAGGAGTTCAAGGCTGCAGTGATCCATGATTGTGCCACTGCACTCCATCCAGAATGGCAGAGCAAGACCCTGTCTCCACACACACAAAAAAAAAATTAAAAAAAAAAAGGTTTTAGCTGTAAGTTAGACAATGTCTGTTGTCAAGGCTCTCATAATCATTGCAGGGAGGAGGACAAGCATACAAGATGGCCCTGGGAGCAAGAGACAGAGATAGATGAGAGAAAGATTAAGGAAATTAAGGAAATAGAATCTTTACGAGTTAGTAATCAACTCTATGTGTAGATTGAAGGAAGGAGCTAATTTGAGTGGTTGGTTTTTCCAGGCCTTAAATGGAAAATACATGAGGTAAAATTGATTTGTTGTGGTTGTCATTATTGTGGTTGCTATTGCCATGTGTGGTGGGAGAGATGGTGACAGCCAGCTTAGCGCTGGAAAAATTTGAGGTTCCATTAAGGCACTCAAATGAAAGTATACTGTAAATAGTTGGACACAGCTCTGAGTTTCAGGAGAGAGGTCTCACTGGAGATGCAGATCTGAGAATTATTAAAGATTGTGAAATATGTCCAGCTTACTCATGGAAGATGTGTTTACTGAGAAGAGGAAAGGTCTTTATTTTTGAAAACTTGAGAAAGAAAGCTGTATTTTCAGTTGCACATTCAAAAGATGATTTAAAAGCAGCCATCAGCAAAATCCATAGTATTAATCTGAGAAAACCTTTGCATGCTTGCTGCTTTAGGGACTAAATTCAACAGCTTTGACACTGTTTTCTTGGATGCAACTCCTTTTTCGCCTTTCAAATGCTATAATTCTCCAGTTTTCCCTAAGCACTTGACTTCCCTGAGAGAGACCCTAAAACCCTCTGTGCTTCAATATGTCCTCTTTGGAAATCCGTTTGATTATGCTGCCCATTGCAGGAGGAGATTAAATAGGAAGATTAGCTAATAGATTTTAATATAATTAGTATCCAAGTAGCCAAAATTTTGCCAGACTCTTGACAGCTTAAAATATCTACATCTGGCCGGGCATGGTGGCTCACGCCTGTAATCCCAGCACTTTGGGAGGCTGAGGCGGGTGGATCACGAGGTCAGGAGATTGAGACCATCCTGGCTAACATGGTGAAACCCCGTCTCTACTAAAAATACAAAAAATTAGCCGGGTGTGGTGGCAGGCGCCTGTAGTCCCAGCTACTTGGGAGGCTGAGGCAGGAGAATTGCTTGAACCCGGGATTTGGAGGTTGCAGTAAGCTGAGATTGTGCCACTGCACTCCAGCCTGGGCGACAGAGCGAGACACCTTCTCAAAAAGAAAAAAAATCTACATCTACTCTTGTGACAAAACAGACAACTAGGATAATATGAAATTTTAAACACTGACTTCTGTCTATAAACCATTACACAAAAACGTTCTCATGACAAATATTGAAACATTGTGTATGCATGACAAATACTGAAACATTGTCTACATTGCAAAATACTAAGAAAATAATGTAATTTGAAAAGTAAAATTTGGCATACCGTAAAAATGAGAGATTACATATAGTTACTTTCACCTAGGTAAGTGAATAAAGATATCAAACATTAGTGATAATATTCAAAATTATATGTAGTAATTAATTGGTGTAAAAAATCAATGAGTATTATAGATTAAAATAGATTGTTTTTTCTAAATGAAACAAAGTAATTAGCTCCAATGTCTTCATAAATATACTCCCCCTCACAAAAGGTTCCTTACTATGTAGATTCAAATCCTTGCTCCATAGCATAACCTTGGGCAAATTATTTGACTTCTCTAAGTCTCAACTTTCTCATTTTACAAATGAGAAATACCATTAGAACTTTTGGTTAAGGCCAGTGTAAGGAATCAATGAGAGAACAGAGTCTGGTACGTATGTTCAATAGATATTGAAGTGATGATGCCTGAAAGTGGTTTTGAATTGAGATGTGACTCAAAACCACACTTTATGAAAACAGAACATTAAACAGCATTATAAATTACAAGACTTTTACAATATGACACTGATGGAGAGTCAGAGCTGCTGCATTTGGCTGCGAGTCTGTGCACTGAATAATTCCAGGGCTCCATTTACAGATATGGTGACATGCACAGAGCCTGCAGTATTTATGCAATGCAATGGTCCTGGCTAGAAAAAGAAATTAACCCACATGGAAAAGAACTTTTCTTCCCTCTCGGAATTCACAAAGAGTGGTTTTTCTTCATTTAATCTTAGACTTCTTAACCTCTGTACACAGTTTTTCACTTCTGCTACTTTACCTAAATCAATGATTCCAAATAAATATCTCCGTGGGCCAGGAGTTGAAAAAGTATTGTGTGCACTAAGCTTGCTATAATCAAAAGAAAGAAGCAGCATTACCTAAAGCTATTCATATTCAAATGGTTTTGAAACACTGCATAGACCAAATAAAACACATTTGTATGCCTTAGCACACTAATCAACTTTGTGGCCTTGTTTGAGTCATGTAATTTCAGTTTTTTTAATCTAGAAAAGTGAAAGGATCATTTTCTTACAGTGACTCAAGAATGACGATCACAGAAACTCAGAGATTCAGCTCTTGTTCAGTCTTTTCTTTTAACCCCAGAAATTATTGTCTCCTGAGTCAGCTAAAGATGGTGGTCTGAAAAACAGCCTGTTTCCGCAGAAGCAGCTCGATTCCCCTCTTCCCACTGCTCTATTGCATGGTCTCTATTTATTTGAGTATTGCTTTTTAAAATTACTTAAGGGAATAAATGTTTGTTTTAAATTATAGCATTGAAAAATACGGCCGGGCACGGCGGCTCACGCCTGTAATCCCAGCACCTTGGGAGGCCGAGGCGGGAGGATCACGAGGTCAGGAGATCGAGACCATCCTGGCTAACACAGTGAAACCCCGTCTCTACTAAAAATACAAAAAATTAGCCGGGCACGGTGGCAGGTGCCTGTAGTCCCAGCTACTCAGGAGGCTGAGGCAGGAGAAAGGCGTAAACCCAGGAGGTGGAGCTTGCAGTGAGCCGAGATCGCGCCCCTGCACTCCAGCCTGGGCGACAGAGCGAGACTCCGTCTCAAAAAAAAGAAAAGAAAAATACAGAAAAACAGAAAAGAGAAATAAAATTTACCTATGGTCATATCTCTGACAATATGTATGATGTCACATACATATTTGGTTTTTCCTCTGGTACACATTCACATATTAGTTACACGGAATTGGGATCATTCTATGTATGCTCTTTTAAAATATACCTATGTTGTTTTTAAGATTTAAATCAATGTATCTTTTTAGAATAGTTTACAGAAAAGTTGCAAGGATAGTGCAGAGTTACCGTATACCCAATACCGTTTTCTCTATTGTTTACATCTTACATTACTGTGGAATTTTTGTCACAACCAAGGAACCAGCATGGATACATTTTTATCAACTAAACTACACACTTTATTCAGATTTCACAAATTTTCCCCTAATGTCCTTTTCTCTGTCTCAGGATTCCAATCAGGATACCACATTACATTTAGTAATCATGTCTCTAATTCTCCTCTTGGCTGCGACAGTTTCTCAGATTTTTCTTGATTTTTATGGACTTAATATCAAAAGGTTACTGGTTAAATATTTTGTAGCATGCTCCTCAGTTTGGATTTGTCTGATATTTTTTCACTGTTTTGTAAACATTGTGAGTTTTTGGAAGGGAATACATAGAGTTGAAGTTCATTTTCATCACATTCTATCAGGAGTATGTGTATCAGCTTGAATTATCACTGATGAAGGTAACTTTGATCACCTGGTTGAGTAGCGTTTACCAGGTTTCTTCATTATAAAGTAACTTTTCCACCTTTTCGTATTCTACTCTTTGGAAGCAAGCCGCTAAGCACAACCCATTCAAGGGCTGTGGTGTTAAGCTACGTCACCTTGAGGGAGGAGAGTCTACATGAACTACTGGGAATTTTTCTGTTTAGGAGATCTGTCTCTTCTTTATGTACGTGTTCAGTCATTTACTTATATCAGTATGGGCTCATGCTATTTATTTTAAACTTTAGATTATAATTCTGTGTTATGTTACTATTTTATTAGGCTGGCACAAAATTAATTGCAGTTTTTGCAATTAAAAGTAAGGGCAACAACCGCAATTACTTTTGCACCAACCCCAACATACCGTTTATTTTGTTGTTCAGATTGTTTGGGTATTAAAAGCTCTTTCAGGCCGGCTCCTGGGCCCTTCTCACATGCCTTCATCCTTTTACTTTTTGAGCACTTCCTAATTTCCCGGCACAACAAAAATTGTTCCAGGCTCAACTTGTATATTCTCTGTCCCAGCTCTACAACGTGTCTTTTCTCCAGGGAGTCCTGGTTCCTTTTATTGGAGAAGAGTATTAAAAACCAAGGTATGAGCAATTGGTGTGTTTATTCCTATCATGATGTCATCGTGATAGGCCCTTTCAGTAGAAAGATCTACGAAACCTATGTATGTGTACCAAACCATGTATTGCATATGTCTATGACTACTTCTGTGCCTATTCTTCTGAATCTGTATTAAGATAAACATGAGTTCATACTGGTGTCTCCAACTCTAATCTATTACCACATGGTTCATTCTAACCTTGCTTCTCTGTTACATCCCTCTTTAATCATAAGAAATGTGGCTCCAACCAGCTGCTGTCAACTTATTTACTTGTTCAATTCCAGTAAACATATTCAGCAGTTTCAGAATTGTTAAACCATATCCTCAGGAGAAACAAATTTACCAACTAGAAAACAGTGCTTATGTTCAATCTTCAGTTCTTTTTGTCTTTTGTTTTGTAGTGTCCAGTTAAAACACCATTTTTGTATAAAGTGGACATGGTGGCTGACACCCATAATCCCAGCATTTTGGGAGCCCAAGGAGGGTGGATCACTTGAGGCCAGGAGTTCAAGACCAGCCTGGGCAACATGGCAAAACCCTGTCTCTACAAACATACAAAAATTAGCCAGGCATGGTGTCATGTGCCTGTAGTCCCAGCTAGTCAGGAGGCTGAGGCAGGAGGATCACCTGAGTCCAGGGAGGTTAAGGCTGCAGTAAGCCAAAATCACACCACCGCACTCCAGCCTGGGCGACAGAGTGAGACTCTGTCTCAAAAAACAAAAACAACAACAAAAAAACCCCCACTGATATGGTTTGTCTCTGTGTCCCAACAAATCTCATCTCTAATTGTAATCCCCAGATGTTGGGGGAGGGTCCTGGTGGGAGGTGATTGAATCATGGGGGTGAGCTTCCCCTTGTTCTCCTGATAGTGAGTTCTCAAGAGATCTGGTTGTTTGAAAGTGTGTGTGGCATTTCCCCCCTTGCTCGCTCTCTCCTGCTCCACCATGGTAAGACATGCTTGCTTACCCTTCACCTTCTGTCACGATTGTAAGTTTCCTGAGGCCTCCTAGCCATGCTTCCTGTTAAGCCTGCAGAACTGCGAGTCAATTAAACCTACTTACTTCATAAATTACCCAGTCTCAGGTAGTTCTTTATAGCAGTGTGAAAACAGGCTAATACACCCACCATTTTCCAAAGTTACTTAGGTGAGCGTCTAATTCTCCCCAAACCCTTCAGTGGGGTTATGTCATATATTTGTAATACAATTATATTCTTTTGTCAGAGTCTACAGTCTATCCTGAGATCTGTTGACCTCTTCGTCGATTTTTTATTTGCATACATTAAGGTTCATTCTTTGTGCTGCAAAGTTCTCTGTGTTTTGACCAATACATAGGATCATGTATTTGCCACCACAGTACCACAGATTAGTTCCATCACACTTTAAAGATGCCCAATGCTTCCCCTAGTCAAATACCTCTTTCCCCCTAAACTCTTGGCACCACTGATATGTTTTCTATCCGTATAACTTTGACCTTTTCCAGAATATCATATGGTTTGAATTATATTGTGTATGTAATATTGTATGTGAATTATATTGTGTATTCTTGCCCTGGCTTCTTTCACTTGTAAAATGCATTTGTGACTCATCCATGCAGGTGAGTGAAGGAATGGCTAATAAATACTATTCATTGCTGAATAGTATTTCATTGTATGGATATACCACAGTTTGTTCATCCATTCACCTACTGAAGGAAATCTTGGTTAATTCCAGTTTTGAGTAATTATGAATAAAACTGCTATAAACATTTGCATGCAGTTTTTGTGTGAACATAAGATTTAAAAACAGTTAGGTAATGCCTAAGAGAATGATTGCTGGGTATACGGTAAGCCTATGTCTAACTCTATAAGAAACTGCCAAACTGTCTTCCAAAGTCGTATAGCATTTTGCATTCCCAGTAGCAATGAATGAGAGCTCTGCATTTCTCACCAGCATTTGATATTGCATTTTTTTTATTTTAGCCATTCTAATAGATGTGTAGTGGTATCTCATGATTGTTTTAATTTGCATTTCCCTAGTAACAAATGATATTCAGCATCTTTTCATATGCTTATTTGCCATCTGTATGTCTTTTTAAGTGTAGTGTCTTTTCAGATATTTTGCCCATTTTTAATTGGGTTGTTTGTTTTCTTATCATTGAGTTTTAGAGTTCTTTATATTTTCTAGATAAAATTCTTGTCAGAAATATTACTTGCAAATATTTTCTCCCAGTGTGTTGCTTGTCTTTTCATTCCCTTAGTAGTGTCTTTCATGGAGTAAGAGTTTTAAATTTTGATTAAGTCCAATTTACCTGTTTTTTTCTTGGGAATTATGCTTTTGGTGTTGTAGCTAAAAACTCTTTGCTTAACCCAAGATTATACAGATTTTCTCCCATGTTTTTTTTTTTCAGAAGTTTTATAGTTTTACATTTCATCTTCAGGTCTGATACATTTTGAGTTAATTTTTGTATAATGTGTGAGGTATACATTGAGATTCATTTTGCTGTGCATGAATCCCTAATTGTTCCAGTACTATTTGTTGAAAAGACTATCATTTCTCTATTGAATTGTCTTTGCACCTTTGTTAAAAATAAGTTGACTATATTTATGTGGATCAACTATTTCTGGGCTCTCTACACTTTTCATTGATGTATGTGTCTATCATTTTCCTATTTCCACATTGTCTTGATTACTGAGGCGTTACAGTAAGTCTTGGAATTCAGTAATAGGAGTCTTCCAACTTTGTTATTTTTTTCAGAATTGTTTGGCTAATCTTAGTTCTTTGCTTTTCTGTGGTTGGGAGGGGGCAATATTAAAAATCACATTTTTGATACCCACAGAAAACTGCTTGAATTTTTGTTTTAAATCTGTAGGTCAAATTGGGGGAAATTGGCATCTTAACAATCCTTGAGCATGACATAGCACTCCATTTATGTAGGTCTTCATTGATTTCTTTCATTATAGTTTTGTAGTTTCAACATACGGATCTTATACATATTTTAATAGAATCATATCTAACAACTTTTGCTGCTATTTTAAATGGTATATATATTTTTTGCTTTTATATTATTTTTAATTGACACATAATAATTGTACATATCATGGGGAACAGTGTGATATTCCAACACATGTATACGATGTCTAATGATTAAATCAGAATAATTAGAATATCTATCACCTCAAACATTTATCATTACTTGTATTGGGGACATTCAAAATCTGTGCTTTTAACTACTTGAACATATGCAACAGATTGTTGTTAATTATAGCCACCTATCATGCTATAGAACACTAGACCTCACTAGACCTTATTCCTTCTAACTAGCATTACTTTTGTGTTCATTAACCAACCTTAGGCAATCCCCTCCTTCCTCTACCATTCCTGGTCTCTAGTAATTGCTCTCTACTTCTACAAGATAACTTCGTTAGCTTCCTCACATGAGTGATAGTGTGCAATATTTATCTTTGTGTGGTGTATTTCACTTAATATAATATCCTCGAAGCTCATCCATGTTCTCACAAATGACAGAACTTTGTTATTTTTATGGCTAAATAGTATTCAATTGTCTATATGTAACTTTTTTTAATTCATTCATCTGATGATGGACACTTAGATTAATCTGAGTCCATATCCTAGCTATTGTTAATACTGGGGCAGTAAACATGAAAGAGTAGACATCTCTTTAACATGCTCCATATTTCTTTGGATATATACCCAGTGGTGGGATTGCTGGATCATGTGTTAGCTCTACTTTTAGTTTTTTAAGGAACCTCCATACTGTTTTCCATAATGGCTGTACTAGTTCACATTCCCACCAATAGCATGTAAGAGTTCCCTTTTCTCCACATCCTCCCCAGCATTTGTTACTTTTTATCTTTTTGATAAAAGCCTTTCTAACTGTGGTAAGATAGTATCTCTTTGTGGCTTTGATTTGCATTTTCCTGATGATTAATGACATTGAGCATTTTTAATGTACCTGTTGGCCATTTGTATCTCTTCTTACAAGGGATGTCTATTCAGCTCATTTGCCCATGTTTTAATGAATTATGATTATTATTTTGCTGTTGACTTGTTTGAGTTCCTTATATATTCTGGATTTAATCCCTTGTCAGATGGATAGTTTGCAAATATCTTCTCCCATTCTGCAGGTTGTCGCTTCACTCTGTTGGTTGCTTTCTTTGCTGCACAGAAGTTTTTAGTTTCATATAATCCCACTTATCTATTTTTGCTTTCATTACATGTGCTTTTAAGGTCTTCTCCATAAACTCTTTGCCCAGACCAATGTCCTTAAGTGTTTACCCTATATTTTCTCCTACTAGTTTCATAGTTTTGGGTCTTATATTTAAATCTTTAACCCATTTTGAGTTTATTGTTTTATATGGTAAGAGATAGGGTTCTAGTTTCATTTTTCTGCACGTGGCTATCCAGTTTTCCCAGCACCATTTATTGAAGAAACTGTCCCTCCCACCAATGAATGCTCTTAGTGCCTTTATTTATAGTCAGTTGCAGGGTGGGGAGCGCTGAGGAGTGAAACTAGGAAGTGGGAGCCATAGGGTTTGCAGATATGATCCTTCCACTGGAGGCATTCACCTGGCTGCCAGAGATTGAAGAGAAGCTGAATCAGGAGGAGGAGGTGCTGTCCTATATTCAAGACAGCCTGGAGAAAAGTGACCAGCTCACCAAGAACATGATGTCTATCCTGTCATCATATGAGAGCTACCATATAAAGCTGGAGAATTCCATCATCCTGGTGCACAAGCAGACAGATAATCTGCAGCAGCTGCAAGACAATTTTGAGAAGACGCTATCCATCCTGGACCACATCATCAACTCTTACCATGTTGCCAGTGACACTTAGCAGATCATCAGAGAGGGCCCCACAGGTAGGCCGGAAGAGTATCTGGGAAGCATGGCTAAGATTCAGAAGGCTGTGGAGTATTTCCAGGACAATAGCCCAGACAGCCCAGAACACACATCTGAGCTCTGCAGCCTGATGACCAGGCACAATAAGTTTGTATCACCTGTGCTCATCCTGGATCTGATCGGTGGTGATGATGATCTGGAGGTACAGGAGATTATGTCCCTGGAGCACCTGCCCAAGAGTGTGATCCAGGATGTAATCTGCATCGCCTGCTGGCTGGTGGAATACAGCTGCAACCAAGAATTTATGAATGTCTACTACAAGATTTGCTCCAGCCAGCTGGACCGCTTCATCAAGGCCTGGAGAAGTATTTCTGGAAGAACAGTTCTTTTTCTGGAATTCCCTACTGCCCTTCTATCCCCAACAAGAGGAAAAAGACACCTGCCAAAAAGCCAGTCAAGTGGCCAGGGATGTCATAAGGCTCAAAACCTTCTGAAAACAGTATTCATTCCAAGCATGGCTTAGTTGCAGAAAAGGGATGCTCTAACCTCCTTCCTTTGGAAGGTCAAGAGAATAATTTCAAAGTTAAGCACCTGTCCGAGGCCTTGAATGACAAGCATAGGCTGCTGGCCAGGAGAGATGGTGGACATGAAGACTGATGCCTACGTTCACTGTGTCAGTACCTTTGTCAAGCTGACCTAGAGTGAGTGTCAGTTGCTGGCTGACATCATCGCTGAGCACCATCAGGAGAAGACCTTTGACTCTGATACAGGATGTGCTGGATGGGCTGATACCTGAAGGGGAGAGTATTGTCTCCTGCTCAGAGGCCATCATTTGACACAACTTTTCCATGGTGCTTACTGTCTTCTCCATCCCGCAGGGCCTAAGCACAGCAAGCCTGAGTTTGACCAGGTGCTCTAGGGCATGGCCGCCATCAGCAAGAACAAATCACCTGGCCTCATCATCTCCCTAGAGTCTATTGGAGCCAAAGCACTGGAGGACTTTGTGGATAACATCAAAAATGACCTCGACAATGAATGCAACATGCCCAAGAATGGCACCATGCTCACAAGCAACGTCATCCTCTTCCTGCAGCAGCTTCTGGACTTCCAGGAGATGGTGGGTAACATGCTGGCTTCCCAGGAGGCCAGTTCTTCAGCCACAGCCATGGTTCCAAGTTCAGCAAGTGACTGCTAAGCATCTATATCTGTAAAATTCTGGGCAGCCTGCAGTTGAACTTGCTGAGCAAGTCCAAGGTATATGAGGACCCAACTCTGAGCACCATCTTCCTGCATAAAAACTACAACTACATCCTCAAGTTCCTGAAGTCTGAGCTGATCTAGCTGGTGGCTGTGACTCAGCAGACTGCTGAGCACCCCCACTGGGAGCATATTGAGCAGTAGATCCCGACTTACCAGTGCAGCTGGCTAAAGGTGACTGAATATTTCACAGAGAACAATATACTTGTGTTCCAACCAGGAGTCAAACTCTAGAAAAAGGAGCAGCAGATGATCAAGGAGTGTTTCAAGGGCTTCAATGATGGCCTTGAAGAACTGTGCAAGATCCAAAAGGCCTGGGCTATTTCAGACACAGAGAAGAAGGACAGGATTTTCCAGGCCCAAAAAAACATTGTCAAGGAAACCTATGGGGCCTCTCGGCACAAGTTCAGCAGCATGTCCTTCACCAAGAGCCTGGAGAAGTACATATACACATGGAGCAGGTGGATGACATGACCAATCACCTTTTCAACACCTCTGCCTGAGTCTTCCGCTAGCCCTGCCTGGTTGTGCCAGACTAGCCAGGTCACTGGACAGATAACTTGCCTCTGGGCTGGGTGAGTTTGAAGTCCTTTAGGAAAGAGACTTGTCTTCACTGCCCCATCCAGGAGCCCCCCTCCCTGAGCCCTCTAGTCTTGGTTTCTGCTTTTTCCCCGTAGCCCATGTTTCCAACCAAACCAGCATTCACCAAGAAAGCTGGGTTCCTTCTCATCTTGGGTTTTGTGACGCTGATAGCTTGTGAAATAGGATAGGAGAGAAAGAAGACAGAGGCCTGTGCCCACAGCTGCCTCATGTGTACCAAAAGCAGGAGGGCAGAACAGCCCTACCTCTGGCCTCAGTCAAAAATGGGTACTAGCACTTCCTTTTCAGTCCAGAAATGTGGGTAGTTCTCAGAGGAGTAGTCAGAAGGCCTGGGGAAAAGCAATCAGGTTCTCTTGGATTTTGTGCAGAAAACACATTCCCCATTGCCCACAGACCTGAGGTCTGGGGCTGTTCCATCTCCTAGGAGTCCCCTAGGTGACTGGGGGCAGGAGTGCCTGCCTGCTCGCCATTCCCTCTGGGGTCCAGTACTCTCTAGGAGGCATTCAGAAAAGGAGCCCTGACCCACCCTCTGTGGCCTGCTTCCCAGGCCCCCGTCTCCCACTTCCCAGCATTAGTGCCTCCTGGCCCAGGGCCAAACAGCAATGGTTGCAGAAGGAGAAGTGAGGCTGCATGCCTATGGACTGGGAGACTGGTGGACAGTGGAGAGAAATTCAGGAGAAAAGTGGGGATGAAAAGTAAGGGCCTACCTACTTAGGATCAGAATGAATAGCTGAGTTCAATGAAGACAGACCCTTGAGGTGTACTCGCACTTGGGGATGGGTTTATTTCAAGCTCTTTGCTTATATGCTAACAGAGGGAGAGCTCAGGGTGGTTTAGGGTCTTCCGGAGATAGAGACGAGATCTGACTTTCCTCCTCAGCTCTCCAGAGACCCTGTCTTGGCTCTACCCCCAGCCATGGGAAACCGAAACTGCATCCTCAAGTCTGCAACCCAGGCCCAATGCAGTTACAGCCTTGGCTGCTTGTCATGGGGTACAGCCTCTCTAGGGGCTGAGTTGGACTTGCATGCTGCTCACATCCAAATTCCCATGAAGATGAATTGGCTGCACAGCACCCAGGCCACATACATGAGAAAGAAGTCACGGTCAACAGTCTCAGCCCAGCTTCTCTTTGACCACTTTATTCTTCTGGGTGCTTCCATGAGGCAAAGATGCAGAGAAAGGAGTCATTCTTCAGGCTCCCCCCACCAACCAACATGAGCAGAAGGATGAACCCCAGGGGTCATCAGACTCTATCCCTTCTGGAAAGTCTCAGTTAATGAACGTTTGGGTCTGGTCCATTGCGGGCCATCTTCGATGGAAAAAAACACCATCTTAGAGAGGCTCCACAAGGCAACATGTTATCTTGGAGAGCTGAGGTCACCTGGGCCTTTAGGGAGGCCAAGCTTGCCCCTGATGCAGATCTGCCTCTAACAAGAAAGGATATGGTGGAGTCCAGGGACAGGAGAGCCAGCAGGGTTGGTGCAAGGAGCCATACCCACCTAGCAACCTCACCCAGCCCTAGGCAGGCAACCTGCCAGTTTTTCTCTGTTCCAACCTGGACTTAGGCCTCATTCCTTACCCCTCACCCCCAGGAAGGTGCCTCAACCTCCATCCACTTTCAGGATTAGACCCTGGATCCTCATAATCTTGCTTTTCCTCTCTCAGGACTAGTCTGGGGCTGCTCATAGCCCCAAAGTTGCCCCAGGCCAGCAGCCCAGCCAGCAGCACAATCTCTGTGGCACTGAGGAAGAGCAGCAGCAGCAGGACGCTGATGTAGTAAACTGGAGGTGGGAGGGCAGGTGGGATGGTTAGGGGCCAGGTCCTGTGCCTCTGATGTCCAGGGAGCTGAGCTGAAACACCCTGGTATGGGTGACAGCAGGTGGGAGAAACCAGGAAGGCCAGGTAAGGAAGTAGAACTTACTGAGGAGCGGGTTGCAGGAGATGCTGGGCAGGGCCTGCACCAGGGAGGAGCGTAAGAGAGGTAGCCCAGCAGCAGTGTCATCTTGGAAACAATGCGCTTGATGGCCTGGAGGGGCAGCAGCCCCCCTACACATGACGGCCAATATAAGTGCCCCTCAGGCGCCAATAGAGCTATGATGGACTTTAGCGCTGTGTTATTCAGGCTCAACTGGAAGGGGAAAAACTGGGGTTTTCCAGCGGGAGATGGGGAGTGGGCAGCAGGGGTGTGGGTTCATGCCTCTGGCCCTGCATCCCCCACCTTCCTGCCTCCATTAGCCCTCCTGTCATCCTCTTCCTGACTTGACTCACTGGCACCTGGAAGCAGGGCACCAGCTGAACTACATACTCCCTCTTGACACTCACGATCTCATTCACCACGTGGGCCTGGAACTCCAGCTCCATCGCTGAAAAGGGTGGGGGTGAGAACGATGAATAGGAAAGGGAGATCCCTGCCCCCAAATCTCCTGGGAGTAGGGCCAAAAGCAATCTGGAGCCCAGGGGTGATGGAGACTTCTGATGGCTTCTGGGGGACAGACTTGAGGACAAAACTGGTCTACAAGAGGGCTTCCCAAACCTTATTTGCAAAACTTCAAATTGTCTGAAGGTCTTTATCAGATTCATAGACGAATTTTGATTGTAAAAATCAATGAACTTCCCACCAAAAAAGAAAAAGAACATCATTTGGCTGAAAATAAGTGGACTTATTTCTGGGGTCTGTATTTTGTTCCATTGCCAGTAACGTATTGCTTTGGTTACTACAGCTTTGTAGTTTGATAGTGTGATTCCTTCAGCTTTGTTTTTATTTTTGTTATTGCTGTTTTTGCTCAGGATTGCTTTGGTTATTCAGTCTTTTCTTGTTCCATATGAATTTTAGGAATATTTTTTCTACTTCTGTGAAAAATGTCATTGGTATTTTGATAGAGGATTGCATTGAATTTGTAGATTGCTTTGGTGGTATGGTCATTTTCATAATATTAATTCTTCTAATCTATGAACATGGGATATCTTTCCTTTTTTGTGTGTGTCTTCAACTTTTTTCAGCATTGTTTTATAGTTTTCTCTGTAGAGATCTTTCACCTCTTTGGTTAAACATATTCCTGGGTATTTTATTTATTTATTTATTTTTATCGCTATTGTAAGTGAGGTTGTTGTCTTGGTTTCTTTTTCAGATAGTTTATTGTTGGTGTATAGAAACCCTGTTGATTTTTTTCCTTGATTTTTTATCTTGCAACTTTGCTGAATTTGTTTATCAGTCCTAAGAGATTTTTTTTGGTGGAACTTAGGGTTTTCTACATATGAGATCATGTCATCTGCAAACAGGGATAATTTAACTTCTTTTTTTCCAATTTGGATGCCTTTTGTTTCTTTCTTTGGCCTAATTGTTCTGGCTAGGGCTTCCAGTACCCTGTTGAATACAAATGATGAAAGTGGGCTTCCTTGTCTTGTTCCAGGTTGCAGAGGAAAAGCTTTCAACATTTTCCCCTTTCAGTATGATGCTGACTATAAGTTTGTCATATATAGACTTTATTGCATTGGAATACATTCCTTCTATACCTAACTTGTTGATAATTTTTATCATGAAAAATCATTGAGTTTTATCAAATGCTTTTCTGCATTTATTGAGACACACACAGTTTTTGTTCTTCATTCTGTTAATGTGATGTATCATGTTTATTGATTTGCATATGTTGAATCATTCTTGAATCTCTGGGATAAATACCACTTGATTATGGTGAATAATCTTTTAATAATGCTGCTAGATTTGGTTTGCTTGGATTTTGTTGAGGATTTTTGCACTTATGTTCAACAGGGATATTGGCCTGTAGTTTTTTGTTGTTGTTTTGTCTTTGTCTGGTTTTGGTATCAGGGTAATGCTGGTCTTGTAGAATAAGTTTGGAAGAACTCCCTCCTCTTTAATTTTCTGGAATAGTTTTAGAAGAATTGGTATTATTTCTTCTTTAAAAGTTGGATAGAATTTCACAGTAAAGCCATCAGGTCCTGGGCTTCTCTTCGATGGGAGACTTTATTATAGATTCATCTTGTTGCTTATAATTTATCTGCTCATGTTTTCTATTTCTTCTTGGTTTAATCTTTTCAGATAATATGTATAGAGAAATTTATCCATTTTAATCATTTCTGCTAGATTTTCTAATTTACTATCATACAGCTGCTCTTATAATCTCTAGTGATCCTTTGTATTTCTGTGGTATCAGTTGTAATATCTCCTTTTTCATTTCTATTTTATTTATTGGGTCTTTTCTCTTGTTTCTTGGTTAGCCTAGCTAATAGTGTGTGGATTTGTTTACATTAAAAAAAAACTTTTGTTGATTTTTTGCATTTTTTTAGTCTCAATTTTATTTATTTCTGCTCTGATCTTTATTATTTCTTCTACTAATTTTGGGTTTGGTTTGTTCTTGCTTTTCCAGTTCCTCAAAATGCATCATTAAGTTGTTTATTTGAAATCTTTCTACTCTTTTGATGTAAGAGTTGATTTCTATAAACTTACCTCTTAATGCTGCTTTTGCTGTACCCCATTTGTTTTGGTGTTGTGTGTGTATTTTCATTTGTTTCAATAAATTTTAAATGTTTCTTCTTAATTTCCTCATTGCCCCATTGGTCTTTCAGGAGCATGCTGTTTAATTTCCATGTGTTTGTACAGTTTCCAAATTTCCTTTTGTTGTTGATTTCTAGTTTTATTCCATTGTGGTCAGAAAAGATACTTGATATGATTTCAATTCTTTTACATTTGTTGAGACTTATTTTGTGGCCTAATATGTGTTCTATCCTGGAGAATGTTCCATGTGCTGGTGAAAAGAATGTACATTCTGCAACTATTGAATGAAATGTTCTATAAATGTCTGTTAGGTCCGTTTGGTTTAAAATGCATTTTAAATCCAATGTTTCTTTGCTGATTTTCTGTCTGTCTGGATAATCTGTCCAATGCTGAGAGTGGGGTATTGACGTCCTCAACTGTTACTGTATTGGAGTCTATCTCTTCCTTTAAATCTAATAACATTTGCCTTACATATCTGGATACCTCTATATTTGGTACCTATGTATTTACAATTCTTATATTCGCTTTCTGAATTGATCCCTTTGTCATTATAAAATGAGCTTCTTTTTCTCTTTTTCCTTTCCCAGAGGAAGATGTGCTGCTTCAGCTCAGGCCTGGGGGACATGACTTTTCCAGGAAGCCCAGACATCATTTCCCTGGAATGCAGCGTGCCACTTCAACTTAGGTATTGGGGTGCATGACCATTCTGGGTGGTCAAGGAACTGTTTCCAAGGGACGCAGGGCACTGCTTCAGCTTAGGTACCAGAGAGATATGGCTTCTCTGAGTAGCTAAGGTACTATTTTCTTCAGCTTCTGCCCAGGACAGCACAGGGACGGGTAAGCAAATCACTTCCACCTCTGCTTGGCTCCACAGGGAAGGGTGTAATAGCTATTTGCAGCTCAACTTGTGGATGTCAGGCCACCGGGCTGGGGTGGTTCAGTGATGGCTTAGCCTCAGGGATGAAGGGGAGCTGTGGCTACTTGCCCCTGAAGCAAGACACATTTCAGCCATAGTTCCAGTTCAAAGATAGTGTAGCACAGTAGCTGTGTGGGTCACAGGGGAGAGGGCACAGTGTCAGCTCCTTCCCTGTGGAAAGCACAGCTATGTGGACTCCAGGCAGCTCCCTCAGCTGGGCTTGGTGCCTGTGAGAACTGCAGAGGACTGCAGTGGTGAGGTTTATAGGTGTCCAGGGCGCTGATGGGGATTGCTAGGATCCTTTTGCTTACCTCCTCACCATAGGGAGAAGTTCCTCCTGGTTCCCAGCTGATCCCAGTTGGGGGATGAAGTGGTAGAAGCCAGGCATTTTCTTACATTCTCTATGTGGTCCTCCTTAGTTTCTGTGCTCAACAGGTTTCTGTCACTCCCATGATGCACTCCAGAGGTCCCTCTCAGTTATTTTCGTTAAAACATAATTGTTTATTCATTGTTCTGGCTGTCTTTGAAGAGCACGGGGGAGTTGTACTCAACCATCTTGCTGATGTCACTCCAGCATATATGTTTTCAACTTGGGAGTTCACTTTTTCTTTGTCAGTATATAGAAGTACAATTTAATTTTTTTATAGTGATCTTGTATTCTGCAACCTTTACTAAACTTACTAGTTTTAGGAACTGTTTTGTAAATTCTTTGAGATTTTCTACACAGACACGAGTAAATAGAGACAATCTTATTTTTCTATTTTCTTTCTTTCTTTCTTTCTTTCTTTCTTTCTTTCTTTCTTTCTTTCTTTCTTTCCTTTCCTTTCCTTTCTTTCTTTTTGTATTGATTGCACTGGCTAGAACGTACAGCATAATATTGAATAGGACTGGGGATAGAGAACAGCCTTGCCTTATTTCTGATCTTAGAGGTCCTCCTCTGTGCTCTTGTCATCTCAGGCTATTGTTATGGGCCCAGAGGCTGCTCCCCACCGTTTTTTTTAACTATTCCCTTCCCATAGTTTTATTGTGTTTTCACCAGTGCCCCAAGCACAGCAGTGTTTATAGCCCATCCTTCCGCAGAATCAGGCTTCTGTTCCATAAGTAGTAAGGGAGAGAAAAGCATCTGAGTGGAGTTAATTGCCCCTCCAACAGCAGTTGCTTCTCATCCTCCATGCTGCACCCAAAGGACAACTTGTTAAACTTAACTTTCTTCATTCTTTTTCTGGGAGTACCTGGTGACATTTGTGGAGAAAAACCTGAAAAAGGCAATTTCAATGCCCCAAGGAGCTTCCCATTCTTACACCAGCTCCCCATTGGCCTCTACCACATCCCCAACCACCCCATTGAACTCCTTTTACTTGTGTTCAGTCGAATCCACCTGTGTATGCCAGTATATGCATTTCTCTTCCTGGGGCACCTGTTTCTCCTTAGACTAGGAGCCAGCTGGTTGCCCTGCAACCTTAGTTCCTTGATGGGTTCAAGGAAATGCATAAATTTGCAGTTTGTCTGGTTTGGTAAGAATAAGAGCAAAATTCTTTCCAGCTGTTTATTTATTTATTTTTTTTTTATTTTTTTTTTTGTTTGTTTTTTTTTTTTATTTTTTATTTTTTTTATTGATCATTCTTGGGTGTTTCTCGCAGAGGGGGATTTGGCAGGGTCATAGGACAATAGTGGAGGGAAGGTCAGTAGATAAACAAGTGAACAAAGGTCTCTGGTTTTCCTAGGCAGAGGACCCTGCGGCCTTCCGCAGTGTTTGTGTCCCTGGGTACTTAAGATTAGGGAGTGGTGATGACTCTTAACGAGCATGCTGCCTTCAAGCATCTGTTTAACAAAGCACATCTTGCACCGCCCTTAATCCATTTAACCCTGAGTGGACACAGCACATGTTTCAGAGAGCACAGGGTTGGGGATAAGGTCACAGATCAACAGGATCCCAAGGCAGAAGAATTTTTCTTAGTACAGAACAAAATGAAAAGTCTCCCATGTCTACTTCTATCCACACAGACCCGGCAACCATCCGATTTCTCAATTTTTTCCCCACTCTTCCCGCCTTTCTATTCCACAAAACCGCCATTGTCATCATGGCCCATCCCCAATGAGCCGCTGGGCACACCTCCCAGACGGGGTCGTGGCCGGGCAGAGGGGCTCCTCATTTCCCAGTAGGGGCGGCCGGGCAGAAGCGCCCCTCACCTCCCGGACGGGGCGGCCGGCCGGGCGGGGGGCTGACCCCCCCACCTCCCTCCCGGACGGGGCGGCTGGCCAGGCAGAGGGGTCCTCACTTCCCAGTAGGGGCGGCCGGGCAGAGGCGTCCCTCACCTCCCGGACGGGGCGGCCGGCCGGGCGGGGGGCTGACCCCCCCACCTCCCTCCCGGACGGGGCGGCTGGCCAGGCAGAGGGGTCCTCACTTCCCAGTAGGGGCGGCCGGGCAGAGGCGCCCCTCACCTCCCGGACGGGGCGGCTGGCCGGGCGGGGGGCTGACCCCCCCCCACCTCCCTCCCGGTCGGGGTGGCTGCCGGGCGGAGACGCTCCTCACTTCCCAGACGGGGTGGCTGCCGGACGGAGGGGCTCCTCACTTCTCAGACGGGGCGGTTGCCAGGCAGAGGGTTTCCTCACTTCTCAGACGGGGCGGCCGGGCAGAGACTCTCCTCACCTCCCAGACAGGGTTGCGGCCCAGCAGAGGCGCTCCTCACATCCCAGACAGGGCGGCGGGGCAGAGGTGCTCCCCACATCTCAGACGATGGGCGGCCGGGCAGAGACGCTCCTCACTTCCTAGATGGGATGGCGGCGGGGAAGAGGCGCTCCTCGCTTCCTAGATGGGATGGCGGCCGGGCAGAGACGCTCCTCACTTTCCAGACTGGGCAGCCAGGCAGAGAGGCTCCTCATATCCCAGACGATGGGGGGCCAGGCAGAGACGCTCCTCACTTCCCAGACGGGGTGGCGGCTGGGCAGAGGCTGCAATCTCGGCACTTTGGGGGGCCAAGGCAGGCAGCTGGGAGGTGGAGGTTGTAGCGAGCCAAGATCACGCCACTGCACTCCAGCCTGGGCACCATTGAGCACTGAGTGAACAAGACTCCGTCTGCAATCCCGGCACCTCGGGAGGCCGAGGCTGGCGGATCACTCGCGGTTAGGAGCTGGAGACCAGCCCGGCCAACACAGCAAAACCCCGTCTCCACCAAAAAAAAAAAACGAAAACCAGTCAGGCGTGACGGCGCGCGCCTGCAATCGCAGGCACTCGGCAGGCTGAGGCAGGAGAATCAGGCAGGGAGGTTGCAGTGAGCCGAGATGGCAGCAGTACCGTCCAGCTTTGGCTCGGCATCAGAGGGAGACCGTGGAAGGAGACCGTGGGAAGGGGGAGAGGGGAGAGGGGAGAGGGGAGAGGGGAGAGGGGAGAGGGAGAGAGGGAGAGGCCAGGCTAATTTTTTTTTAAAGATGGAGTCTCATGCTGTTGTCCAGGCTGGAGTCCCAGCTGTTTAGATCCTTCAACAGAAACAAAAAATAACTTTTTTGAATAACAATTAAGACACTCTGTATTACTCACAGAGAGGTCCATATAGATTTGTCTTTGGTTACTGGCTTAACTTAAAGGGAAATTTTTCAGTATCTAATACTTCTGATTCCTACAGATGAAAGAAAAGAATATCCTTAAATTCCTTTCTTCAGGAGCCTACTTGGGTGGCATCAATATTTGCTTTCAGATGGATAAGTATATCCACAAAAAGAAAAGTGGTGATATCTATACATTAAACCTAAAATGGATCTGGAGAAGGTTCTTTATGAATCTCAGGCCATTGTAACAATTGAAAACCCAGCAGCCATTATTCTCCAGGTATACTAACCAGCCTGCTGTACTGGAGCTTGCTCCTGCCCTAGGATCCATCTGTTTTGTTGGACACTTTATTCCCAGAACATTTAGGCAGCTTTCTAGGATCCTCCTCCTTTAGTGAACTGAATATTAATATCTTCCAAAGGCATCTGCTACTAACCTGCTCACTACTGCGCTACGTAACAGAGATTCCTCAACTCTGTTTTGCATAGGATATTGACATCTTGTGCAAAAATGAGGGTACTCACTAAAAGGGTCTGACATCTGACATAATGGTTGCTGGCCTATGAGGTCCTGCTTGGGTGTGGCACTATTTCCCCTGAGCACCTGTGGGAAGTCATACCTGATCTCTGCTTCTACAGTGATACTAGAGAGATTGAAAAGGAAGAACAGATTGCTGCTGAAAAGGCAGAACAAAGAGAAGTTTTGGAGAGAATGCATTACTTATGTTGGCAGATTTACTGCAACTCAATCTGAGCTCACAGATTCATCTGAAAGAGTCTGCATCTATTCAGTATTGATGAAGAATGAAGTGCTCAGACTTTTGCTGAAGACAGATCTATAGCTGCCAACTGACCCTGGAGTACAGAACTAGGGTGAATAGAAAAGAAGTCTCAGTTTGAGATATTATAACAATAATAGCAATAGTAATACTGACAATATTTATGAAATAAACTTAAAATTTAGAGTAAATTCTCCTCCATGAGAATAATAAAATGAAAAGAACAAAGTATGTCTAATGTTTATTGAGCATTTACTCTGTTGAAATTGAGCATTGAGCATTGAGCCAAATGTTTTCACATACATTTTATCAGTTAGTTTTTACAAAAAGTCTAATAATATATAAATATATATAATAGATACATACATATATATATATATATATATAAAATAGATACTTTCCCCAGTTTATAGATGATGAAACTGAGATTCAGACAGGTTAGCTGACATGGTTTAGAAGTGTGTCCCCTCCAAATCTCATGTTGAAATGTGATCCAAATGTTGGAGCTGGGGCCTGGTAGGAGGTATTCTGGTCGTGGAGGTGGATCCTTCATGAATATCTATCTTGGTGCCATCCTCACAGTAATGAGTGAGTTCTTGCTCTATGAATTCACAGAAGATCTGGTTGTTTAAAAGGGTCTGAAACCTCCCCCTTCTCTCTGGCTCTGTCTCAGCATGTGATATGGTTTTCCTGTGTCTCCAACCCAAATCTCATTTTGAATTCCCACATGTTGTGGGAGGGACCTGGTGAGAGGTAATTATTCAATTACCATGGTGGCAGGTCTTTCCCATGCTGTTCTTGTGATACTGAGTAAGTCTCATGAGATCTAATGGTTTTAAAAAGGGGAGTTTCCCTGCAAAAACTCTCTTCTCTTGTCTGCAACCATGTGAGATGTTCCTTTCACCTTCTGCCATGATTATGAGGCCTCCCCAGCCACATGGAACAGTGAGTCAAATAAACCTCTTTCTTTTGTAAATTGCCCAGTCTTGGGTATGTCTTTATCAGCAGTGTGAAAATGGACTAATACAACATGTGATGTGTTGACTCCCCTTTTCCTTCCACCATGAGTGTAAGCTTCCTGAGGCCCTCACCAGAAGCCGAGCAGATGTTGGTGCCATGCTTATACAGCCTGCAGAACCATAAGCCAAAATAAACCTCTTTTCTTTATAAGTTACCCAGTCTCAAGTATTCCTTTATAGTAACAGCAATGGACTGACACAGAAAATTGCTATGAAGGAGTGGGGCATTGCTATAAAGTGAACTAAAAATGTGGAAGTGGCTTTGGAACTGGGTAAAGAGCAGAGGCTGGAAGAGTTGGGAGATCTCAGAAGAAGACAGAAAGACAAAGGAAAGTTTGGAACTTCTTAGAGTAGTTGTGACCACAGAATGCTGGTAACAATATGGACAGTAACGTCTAGTCCTATGAGGTCTCAGATGGAAAAGAAGAATTTATTGGGAAGTGAAGTAAAGGTTTGTTATGCCCTAGCAAATAATTTGGCTACATTGTGTCCATGTCTTAGGGCTTTGTGGAAGGTTGAACTTAAGAGTGATGACTTAGGAAATTTAGTGGAAGAAAATTCTAAGCACTGAAGCATTCAAGAAGCAGTGTGGCTGCTTCTAACACCCTGCAATCAGACACAGGAGCAAAGGAATGATTTAAATTGGAACTTTTAATTAAAAGGGAAGCACAGTGTAAAAAATTGGAAAATTTGCAGCCTGGCCCTTTGGTAGAGAGAAAAGAGTATTTTCAGGAGCAGAACTGAAGCAGGCTGTAAAGTATCCATTTGCTAGAGAGATTTGCATGACTAAAAGGGAGCCAGGTACTAATAGCCAAGGCAATGTGAAAAAGCCTTGAAGGCATTTCAGAAGTCTTCAGGACAGCTCCTCCTATCACAGACCCAGAGACCTAGGATGGAAGAATGGTTTCAAGGGCCAGGCTCAAGGCACTGCTACCATGCTCAGCCTCAGGACACTGCTCCCTGCATCCAGTTGCTCCAACTCCAGCTGTGGCTTAAAGGGCCCCAGATATAGCTCACGCTGCCACTTCCGAAAGTGCAAGCCTCCATATGCCTTGGTGGTTGCTATGTAGTGTTAAGCCTGCAGGTGCACAGAATGCAAGAGTGAAGGAGGCTTGGCAGTGTCTGCCTAAATTTCAGAAGATGCATGGAAAAGCCTAGGTGCTTAGGCAAAACCCTGCTGGGGGGATGAAGCCCCCACAGAGACACTCTACCAGGGCAGTGCTAAGGGGAAATGTGGAGTTGGAGCCCCCAAACAGAGTCCCCACTGGGGCAGCCCCTAGTAGAGCTGTAGAAATGGGGCCACTAGCTACAGATCCTAGAATGGCACAGCCACCAGCAGCTTGTAACCTCAGCATGGAAAAGCCATGGGGGCAGAGCTGCCCAAGGCCTTGGGAACCTGTCCAGGACACTAATGTGCCCAGGATGTGGGACATGGACCCAAAGATTGTTTTGAAACTTTAAGATGTAATAACTGCCCTCTTGGGTATCAGACTTGTATGGGGCCCATTGCCTCTTTCTTTTGGCTAGTTTCTCCCTTATGGAATGGGAATATTTACCTAATGCCTGTACCACCATTGTATCTTGGAAGTAAACAACTTGTTTTGATTTTACAGGCTCATAGTTGGAAAGAACATGCCTTGAATCTTAAATGAGACTTTGGACTTTTGAGTTGATGCTGGAACAAGTTAAGATTTGGGGGGGACTATTGGGAGGGGATAATTGTATTTTGCAATGTGAGAAGAACATGCTATTTGGGGCCCAGGGTCAGAATTACATGGTTTGGATGTTTGTCCCCTCTAAGTCTCACGTTAAAATATGATTTCCCCAGTGTTGGAGGTGGGGCTTAGTAGAAGGTGTTTGAGTCATGAGGGTGGACCCCTCATGAATGTTTCGGTGCCATCCTTGTGGTAATGGCTGCGTTCTTACTCTGTAACGTCACAGGAAATCTGGTTGTTTAAAAGAGTCTGGGACCTCCCCCTTCTCTCTCTTGCTCTCTCTCTTTCTCTCACCATGTGATGCCCTGGCTCCCCCTTCACCTTCTGCCATTATTGTAAGCTTCTTGAGGCTCTCACCAGAAGTAAAGCAAATGTTGGTGCCATGCTTGTTTGTACAGTCTGCAGAAATATGAGCCAAAATAAACCTCTTTTCTTGATAAATTACTCAATCCCAGGTATTCCTTTATAGTAACACAAATGGACTAATATATTAACTAACTTGCCCAAAGTTGCAGAACTAGGAAATGTTTTGTACCTCTATAAAATCATGACAAGGAAGGCTTTTGGAATCCTAGCATTTTCAAGGTAAAATAAAATAATTTTAAAGACCATCTCCTTCAATTTCCTTGTTTGGAGAATGAGGGAACTAAACCTCAGGACCTAATATCACTCAGTCACTTAGTTCTTTATTGCAGAGCCAGAACCAGAATTCAGGTTTATTTACTTTTATTCCATTGCGCCTTCTATAATTCTACAGATATTTCTTGATGAGACTGAACAGACAGACCTCAGCAAAGGGTAAGGTCTGCTTTCTGAGTATTCCTGTTTGTCATGGATTTACCAGTACTCTAAAGGTAGGTCTACAGCAAACATCAGATTAAAACTGTGTTAAAACCAGTCTTGTTCTTGATTTGGACCTCAAAAAGACACTCTCCAGCAGCCAATTTCAATCTGGTCATGCAGACTAGTCCTGCCTTCCATGTAGCCCCATTGCCTGAGATCTTTCTGCCTACCACTGCCTCTATCCCCTTCAGCTCCTCTGAGCAGGAGGTTCAAGGCAAAAAGGAGGGTGGGAGGAAAAGGTGAAGTATGTAAATAAGAAAGAAAATATTCCACCAAGGGAGAATGTGTGCAACTATCCCAAAGACAACTATCCCAAAGGAAGTTAAAAATAGGTTTTGGGCAAGCATAACAATGTAAAAGTTAATTTGAGGCTTCTTTTGAGGCCTACTGAAAGGATTGCACTTATTTGGATGTTTATAGCCTGGCATGTTACTTTAAAAATGATCCTTATTACTTTATACTCACACATAATACCATATTCAATCCTTTATAATGTCAAATAAAAGGGAAATAATAACACCTTATGTTTGTATATTGTTTTACAGCTTACTGAGCACTTTTACAACCACGATCTCACTTGATCTTCACAATAAGGTTGTGAAGTAGCTAAGGAAGGTTATTATTAATCCCATTTTACAATTGAGGAAACTGAGGCTCAGAGAGATTAAATAAGTTGCTCAAGATCACTCAGCTAGATAATAGGAGCTAAAAGTAGAATCTGGCATTTGAGACAGAGTAGTGCTCTGCGAGGGACTGTTGAAACACCAAGTATGGCCAAAGAGACAAAATTTTCATTTTATGGATTCAGGATTCAAACCAAGGTCTCAACAGGTTCAGGACTGAAACAGATTTTGAAGGCATGTTGACATGGAGCAGCAACATGTAGAGGGATCAGAAGGTGAAAATTCTCTGCAAATAGGAAACTGGCTATACAGTTTCAAGACAGGTAATTTTTATAACATCATTGCTAAAAAGGGGAAGGAGTACGTGCTAATAAAATGGAAGTCCAAGAAAGCCTTAGAAAGGTCACAGATAACCAAATAACGTGAAGTCTACTTTTGCCTACTCAGAAAAAAAAATAAAAAAAATAGAAATGAGGAAAAATTAGTTCCTCATTCCTGGGACTCTGTCTACCAAAAATTACCAAGTATTTCTAATCTCCCCACAAGACATACACAAATAATTTCAGAACTAAATGTGTGTCTGTGTGTGTGTGTGTGTGTGCATATACAGTTATAGGCTAAGTTAATGGTGAATATTTACATAATTTGAGGATATAAGAAGTTTTCTAAGCATGACACCAATGCAAAAATTATAAAGAATATATAGATACAATTATACAAAATTTAAACATTTTTTTCTTAAATCAAAATAAAATGCTATAAAATTTCAAAAGAAAATGCTATAAAAGTTAAAAGAAAAAATTGTACAAATATTCGGAAAACATGTCTCATGAGAGGTTAATGTCTTCATTTTTAACATCTCTAATGAACTAATGATGATGATTATGATGACAATAAAATCAACTTTCCATTTTAAAAAACAGGTTTGGTGAATTAACACGGGAACAGAAAACCAAATGCTGCATGTTCTCAATTATAAATGGGAGCTAAGCATTGGGTACAAATGGACGTAAAGATGGGAAAAATAGAAACTAGTGACTGCAAGAAGTGGGAGAGAGGGAGAGGGACAAGGGCTGAAAAACTACCCATTGGGTACTATGCTCACTACCTGTGACAGATCATTTGCATCCCAAACCTCAGCATCATGCAATATACCCATGTAACAAACCTGTATATGTACCCCCTGCATTGAAAGTAAAAGTTGAAATTATAAAAAATAAAATAAAAATGAAAATAAAAAACATAGGCTTGGAATACGAACAAGAAATTCCAGTTTTAAGAAATACATAGCCAGTATGCATATGGCAATCTGTACCACCCTTATTTATAATTGTATCAACCCACACTAAAATTTATTTTATTAATGTGGCAAAATTTTATAATAAATGTATTTAAAAGGTTATAAAACCTTATGTTCAGTATTATTCATTTTTTAAAAAAAACACATACATCTAAGTTCTGAAAGAACAGTGTCACTGAAACATAAACAGTGGTTATCTCTAGGCAGAAGGATTATGAATACTTTTTTCTTATTTAGTTTTAAAAATCATGAACATGAATTACTTTTGTAATAAAGAAACCAATTGGCCATTATACCTGTAACCAGGGCCTAACTTCCTATTACACAACGGTTTCTATTTAGAAATCACATTTGACTTACAGTATTTGGATTTTCAAACTCCATGTCAAGAACACAATCTGCCATAAACGGGAAAGCTTTGTGCGCTCCATTTGAATACATAATTTGAGTTGGCTTGTTCCCTACCTGGTGTTCCTGCCCTTCAGGGTAATTCGCATAGTTACCTCCTGGCTTCCTAGATGTAATTACTCTACTAGGAAAAGAAGTATCTAGATTATTATATAAACAAACAGCATAATCATAAATGGTTTCTTCTGGAATTTGGGTTGTTGCCGATTTTTCTTTCATAGCAAAATTAGATTTAAGTAAATTTTGCCTATGCTACATTAGAAGCTTAACACTTTCAAATAAATCAACCACAGGGGCCAGATATAAACTCTAACTTAACCGATTTCTTCCCCCAGTACAGACCCTTCTTTCTTTAATAATCTCGCCCTAGCATCCCCACATATTCAGCCCCACTAACAAACACAATCTGCCACACACACTGTTTTTTAACCAGATGAGGACAAAGAATGAGAAAACATTCCCACAGTCAGCCATAGGACAACACCAGAATGCAAATAAAAGGTAGTTTGACAAAATTTCACTTTTTGCCTCTAAACATTCCAAAAAGTTAGATTATACTCATTGGAGAAGAGGGATGATCTAATACTTTAAGATACTGAAATCCTGAGAATGTTTTTGTTTCTGTGGCCTTTTATGGAAGGAAACTTTGCAGAGGCACTTCATCTTTGTGAAAGTCAAGGTGGCAGATGGGTTTTATATGCCCAACCTGTTATGGCTCTCCTACCACAAAAGTAAGGACAAAAATTATCCATAAGAAGGCATCATTAGCATCTATGCTGTGTACCGTGAGCACATGGTTGAAGTGGAAATGGTTGGCTCTGCTCCTGCTGAACCATATACATGATAGACTATTTTGTATCTTGGAGCCACTGATCACTGCCACTTGTCACCCCCCGAATCTCCTGACTACCATTGCCCCATAAATAGGAAGAAGCCTTTCTTTTATTTTAATTTTAATTTTTTTAAATTTATTTTTATTTATTTATTTTTTATGAAATGGAGTCCCACTCTGTCTCCCAGGCTGGAGTGCAGTGGGGCGATCTTGGCTCACTGCAAGCTCCCAGGTTCACGCCATTCTCCTGCCTCAGCCTCCCGAGTAGCTGGGACTACAGGCGCCCACCACCACACCCGGCTAATTTTTTGTTGTATTTTTAGTAGAGATGGGGTTTCACCGTGTTAGCCAGGATGGTCTCGATCTCCTGACCTCGTGATCTGCCCTCCTAGGCCTCCAAAAGTGCTGGGATTACAGGAAGAAGGCTTTCTTAGGTGAAAATGGCTTCTGTTGTTCTCCACCTCTCGATATTCCGTGAGACCATGTGTGTGTGCACTGACTCACGCATGTGTGGCTGTGAAGGTCTCATTTGGAACCCAAAATGAAATGTTTGCTTGAATCTGGCAGAATCTGGCCGGTAACGATGGAAGATATTTCATCATCATAATGATGATGTCACATCACACTTTTCATCTTCAAAGTACTTTACAAACAGTAATTAATTCCTATAACACTCATGAGGTAAGTAAGTAAACACCATTATCCCCATTTTATAGATAGAGAAACTGAGGTGAAGAAGCCAAGCAAAAGGTCCAAGACCGAAAGGAGACAGTCCAAGAGCAGGGATCAGAGGGAAGAAGCTCCTGGTATCTGCTAATCCCCTCCGGCTTGCACCATCCCAAACCTGCGTCAGGGGAAAGTGGCCACAGAGCTGAAGATACCCAGAGGCTGAGGGAGGGCAGGATCTCCCAACAGGCCTGGCTCTGGCCTCACTGCCCTGGGAAATGAATGCTGCTATTCATATTGTGTGGGCAGTTTGTGGGCATTCACTTCAGGATTGCTTGCAAAATCACAACAACAAAAAAGCCCATTGAGGCCCCTTTCTCCTTGGACCACGTATTTCCTGAGTTTTTCCTTGAAATCAGGGGATGCATAGTACATATACGCCCTCAGGAAGCAGGAGCATTCAGCCCACCCTACAATTCTTGGGAGGCTACATTCAGCAATGTGACCACAGACCCGGCTGTGCGGCAGGAACCTTCTCCTACGGGTTCCTGGCCCAGCTCCTTCACAAGACATTTAATAGCCATCTGGCTGGCTCCACACTGGAACACTTATCTAGTTGCCTTCTCACTGTGGGCCTCCCAACTCCCCG
Source organism: Homo sapiens (assembly GCF_000001405.40). NCBI lineage: Eukaryota > Metazoa > Chordata > Mammalia > Primates > Hominidae > Homo > Homo sapiens. The sequence goes on along the minus strand of NC_000004.12, from coordinate 108,399,798 downwards.
TGTCTAAGACGGACACATCTCAAGTAGCCGGCAATTAGATTGAAACCTTATATTACTGCTGGCGGAGGCGGCCTAGGAGAAAACGTGAATTGAAATGAAATGAACATGGCTTATCAAGGAACCTAGTCTCAGGGGAGTCGCTGACCAAACTGCTACCCCACTACAGACCTGAATGTTACCCAGACCACCCTGCTAGACAGCAATCGTAAGAGGCCCCAAGAATTTATCAAACACTCCTTTTGATTTCCTCCCACCTGCCAAAAAAATGCTCCTACCTGTTCACTATCCTGCATCTCTCTTTCCACACCTCACATTTCCCTCAACAGCCCACAGGTTGCCCTGACCACCCACTTCACATTTGGGGCAAATCTGGAAGCTGCTGCATTAAGCATTATGTAGATCATGTTGGTGTCATGACTTGGCTCCTAATGAAAGCTAATAGGCTTTGAAGCTCTGAACCACACACAACAAATAGCTACACCATTCAGCTCCATTCTCCCACCTTGGCTGACATCGTGCCGCCTTTGGCAGCGTGTGGCCTGCAGAGCTACAGAGAAAGGGGAACTTTCCCTCTGCTGCCCCTCCTGACTTTCCCAGGAGATCAGACTCAGGGAAATTTGGAAGGTCTCAGAAACGTTTTGGCTAAAAAAACATAGTAACGGCACCCAGGAAAACACTGGATGGAAACTGTCAGCATCAGCCACAACCCAGGGGCGTCTCCCCGGGAGAGGCCCTTGTCTCGCACCTCCTGAGGCACCTTCCTGGCTGTGGCTTGGGATGACAGCCTCTCTGCCCCACCCACTTCATTCACATCTAACCTGCTGCGGAGACAGTTAGGTTTACTAGAGCACCAGTTTATATAGTTTATACATGGCCTTCCAGTGAAGATGAAATACCTCCAGGCACAGCCTTGCTGAATGAAGGAGCCCTCCAAATTGAATAAGGCACGTATCTTGAATACATAGACAATATTAATCAAATAAGACAACGCCACTGTCGGGATGGCCTTCTCCATTCCACATAATTGCAAAGACTAAACAATTCTGATAATCATCAAGGAAGACTGGACAACAGGGTTACAATCATCTCTGGATCCCCTGGTTCGTGGGCAGGCAAAATCCCCTCCTCTAACCAAAGAGCAAGCTAAGGCCACAAGAAGAATTCTTCTCTGTCCGCCTGAGTGAACTCCACTTCCCTTCCCACACCGAGGTCTCCAGCAGCCCCATAGCTGGGCGCGTTCCAGACTCAGGCATTACACACGTTTGTTCCCTCCATCGTGACACACTCCAGGTGAATGCTGGGGAGAAGGGTAGAGCAGAGAGGCATAACTTCTCACCACATAAAAGAGCCAGACTCCGGCTGCTGCCAGAGTGCTGGCCGCACAGTGACAAAGCGCGTCACACCTTCCAGATTTGGAAGTTCATAAATAGATCCACAATGTTGATACTTCAGGGGGATGGTGGGTGGGAGTTGGATTTCTGTCTCTCCAACTCTGTAATTAATTTATCCAGCAACGAGGCTATAATGATGCCAGGAAGAGAGAAAGAACCCCTCGGGGGGCTGTCTGTGGCTTTTCCTCACAATGACTGGGTACTCTTGGGTTGGAGCTGCAGCCTAGATGTGAATGAATTGAAAGCCGTGTGTGTGTATGGTCTATGTATGCTGTATGTGATGTGATGAAGGAGTGTGTATGGTATGAGTGTCCATCTGTGGTGTGTGACCGTGGGAAGGTGTATGTGTGTGTGTAATGCAAGAGTGTGAGGTGTGGTGTCTGTAGCGTGTGTCTGTGTGGGGTGTTGTGGTATGTGTGTCTATCTGTGATGTGTGAAATGGTGTGGTATGCAAATATGTGTCATACAAGAGCATGAGGTGTGGTATATGTGTACTATCACATTTGTGGAGCCTGTATGTTTACGTGTGGTGTGTATGTGGTACATAAATGTGAATGGGCTCTGTGCGTACTATGTGACAGTGTGAGGTAATATGTGGTATGTGGATGTGTGGTGTGTATGTGCTGTATATAGGTGCACTGAGCATGTATGTGTGTGGCATGTGAGATACAAGGTTGTAAAGTGATATGAATGCTCTGTAGTGTGTGTTACATGTAGCCATGTAAAACGCGGTGTATGTGGTGCATATATGTGTGTTGTATGTGCATATTCAATAAGTGGTGTGAGGTATTGTGTGTATGCTGTAGTGTGTTTGCTCTGTGTGATATTTGGTGTATGTGTGGTATATTTATGTGTGGGGGTGTACATGTATAATGTGAGGGTATGAGGCGTGTTGTGTGAGTTATATGTGGTGTGCATGAGTGTGTGGTGTGTATGTTATATGTGGCATGTTTGAGTGTGTGCTATATGGGATATGTATGAGTGTGGGGTGTGTGTGTGGTGTGTGTGTCACATATGGTGTGTATGAAGGCAAGTGTCATATGTGGCATATGTGAATATATGCACAGTGTGTGTGTTATATGTGGTGTGTGAATGTGTGTGGTGTGTTACATGTGGCATGCTTGAGTGTATGTTAAATGTGATATGTATGCATGTAGAGTGTGTGTGTAGTGTGTGTGCATGCTTGGCTGACAAGCACTTGTGCAGACAGGCCAGGCCCTTACGTCTTTGATCCCCATGCAGCTGGCTGTGTCCCCTCCCCCCACCCCTTTCTCTGAGAGCTAAATCCTAGTGCAGGAAGAAAGAAAGGCTGCCAAAGCACCACACCCTGAGCCCTCAGGGAAGGGTTTGAAGTTGAGGACACTTCACTGGGATTCTACTCAGGCCTGCCAGTCCCTCAGGCTGCACTGCTGAACACAGGTCTTACTTGCAGGAGCTCAGAGAGTGAGGGGAGCAGAAGATGATAATGGCAACTGCAGAGGAGCCCAGGGCCCCGCCTTTCCTCATTCTGGGTCCCCATGCTCAGTTCTGACACTTCCCAGTGACATGAACAAGTTAGTTGAGCCCTCAGGTCAACATCTATAAAATATACACAATAACTTCTTTCTCCTGGGATGAGAATTTCATAGAATGGTGTTGCACAGTGAGTTACTGTTTCTCACCTTTGTCTTTAATGGGGATGTGAGTTTGCTCAGGAATTGGGATTCTTTGGCTTTCTTTTGGCTTCAGAAGTTTTGGTACCTCGTACCCTAAAAACCCTCATCTCCAAAGCTCAGAACTTGTTGGCAAATAATATAGTTGGTAGCTTGCTCTTTGTCATTCTTATTTTGTTTCTAGTGCTTGTGGATAGTGCTATCAGGCCTGGAGAAAGTAACTCAGCTTCCTTGTCTCTGAAAGTGGGAAGGGAGAGAACATAAATTTATTGAGCTGCTAATTCAAGCCTCACACCGGGCCTGATGCTTTGCCATGGGGCAGTATTCAAGTAACAATAGGGGCAGGGACTTTCAAGTTTCTGCCCATCAATTGCTGTGTGACTTTGGACACATTGTTTAACCCCTCTGAGCCTCAATGTTTAAAATCTCTAAATTGGAAATAATAGTAGTCACCCATTCATAGACTTATTTAAGGATTAAGTGAGATAATGCATAATAAACTCTAGCACAGTGCTTAGCACTTAGTCAGTGGTAAAAATATGCTTTACAAGATAATTTCCCTGCTCCCCTGGGTAGGTTTTATATCCACACAAAAGGAGGCTAGACAGGTAAAGAAATTTGCCCAAAATCACACAGCTAATAAGTGATGGACCTGGCTGTCTACCCAAATTCATCTTGTTAGCCCATAGCTTGGCCATACTCTCTGCTCTATTTCTACCCTATCATACTGCCTGCCCTTGCAGCCTTTAGAGACCTCTCCAGGAGAGGCTGCTGAGTGCCAGAGGGGCTGTCATTCAATTGAGCTTTAGTCCTGAAGATATTTTAGCAAGAAGGGTATGAAGAAAGGAGAAAAAGCCATGGGCTGGCAAAATGAGATTACTTCCTTCTGTAGCAGCTGAAAAGTGCCCTGACCTGTACATGTAGACTGGTAGAATTCTACATGATATTTTTGAAATGAATTTGTTGCTGAGTAAAAGCAAACCTCACTGTGACTACTCCCACTTATAAGAGAACCTACTATGCTCTTCCAGGACATCATGCTTTTGCTCAGGCTGTTTCCTCTGATAGGAACACTTTTTTTTTTCACATGGGGTCTTGCTCTGTCACCCAAGCTGGAGTGAAGTGGTGCAGTCATGGCTCACTTCAGTCTTGACTTCCCAGGCTCAAGTGATCTTCCCACCTCAGCCTCCTGAGTAGCTGGGACCACAGGCTCACCCCACCATGCCTAGCTAATTAGGAACACTCTTTCTCTGCCCTACCAATTACCACCTCCACCACCCTGGGGCTTCTTCCAACTCTTCTTCCATTCCACTTTGAATATACTTCTCTTGTAATTGTTATCACATTGATCTAATTATTTGTTTATATGTCTGTTCCCTGCCCCTGGATTGTGCACCCCCAAGGATGGGGGCCCAGTTCCACTCACTGTTGTTTCCCTGACACCTGGCAGAACCCCTAAACAGAAAGCACTGCTAGAGCCATCATTTGTTTATATAACACACTCAGTGCCGTTTGGCACTGACATTACCCAGGTACTATGCTGCTGCTCCCGGTACAGAGCAGAATGAGGTGCAGGCTCTAGAACGTGGGGTGTGCGTCACCCGGAGTCTTGATAGAAAGTAGAAACCGCTTTAAGTGCTTACAGCAAAGGGAATTTAATGCAGAGAGTTGGTTCCATAGGTGTCAGAGGACCGAAGAAGCCAAATAGAAGAAAAGAGAGGTAAACCAGAAATTAGCCACAAATGGGAGCCACGACCACGCCTAGACTGGAGAGACAAAGAGAGGAGGTGGAAGTTTCTCCCAAGAGCTGAGGCAACCTGACAAAGGGTGGAACCACAGAAGGCCTGTCCTGTGGGGGCAGGAGCCATCAAGAATACACAGCCACAACCAAAGGCAGAGAGCTTAGGGAGAGAGAGGTTTCATCTTCCACCCTCAGCTGGAAGCAGGAGCCTGGAAATGCCTCCTGCAGGAGTCAGCCCCCTCCAGTATAGGAGAGCAGCTGGGAAGGATGGGGCATGGATCTAAGGGTTAACTCACCAAGGATCAGCCCATATAGATAATACTGCACTTTGTGGGTGGAGGGCTACTTTGAAGGGGATGCAAGACCGGGGTGATAATAGGCTGAAGAGGTAAAAGTCAAAGTCATGCAAGCTCACTGGTTTCAGGGCAGGTAGGTGGATTCATTATCTGTTGGTGCATAACAAATAACCACAAATTTAGCCAATTTAAACAATATACATTTACCTGCAGTTTCCATGGGTCAGGAGTCTGGATACTACCTAACTGGGTTCTTGTTCAGGATATCAAAAGGATGCAATCAAGGTTTTGGCCAAGCTGCATTTTTATCTAGAGACTTGACTGGGGAAAAATCCACCTCAAGACTCACTCAAGCTGTTGGTAGAACACATTTCCTTGTGTTCTGTGAGCTGTGTGACTCAGGGCACAGCTCTTGCTGGTTGTCAGCTGGAGGCTACCTTTAGGGCTTAGAGCTGCCTGCATTTCTTAGCCATGTAGGCTTCTCCAATATAGTCACTTACTTCATTAAGCCCACAAGGACAGTCTCTAGCTCCAGTCAGCTAAAAGGGAGTCTTCTATAACATAACTTAATCACACGCTTGACATCCCATCACCTTTGCCCTGTTCTATTGGTTAGGATCAAGTCCCAGGATCCACCTGCACTCAAGGGGAGGAGATTACACAAAGGCATAAACAGTAGAGGGCAGGGATCATGGGGGAAGGGGGGCCACCTAGGGTCTGTCCACAACAGTACATCTCACACATCTCACAATGTAGCTTTGTGCACCTCAGTTCTGATTTTCTTCTTCTGTAAATGTGAATTCTTTAAAGTACTCACTACAGAGTAAAACGATAGGAACAATCTTGTGAATGTTTTATCATCTGGCTCAGAAGATTACCATTAAAGTCCACAGACATTGCAATTAGTGAAAGTTCAGAGATGGTATAAAAATTTGCTAAAGCAAATCCCATGCCAAATGCAAACTTAAATTTTAATTTGGACTACACAAATATATCTTAAATGCTTTAATATTTTGCAAGATCTTTGACCAAGAAATTCCAGTTCTGGGAATTTATTTGAAGAAAATTATCATGGATGTATGCAAAAATTTAGCTATAAGGATGTTAACCACAGCAATGCTTACAATTGAACAAAAACTGAAAACAACATATTGCCTTACAATAGGATATTGGCTGCATAAAGCTATGATACATTAATGCAATAGAATATGATGCCCTCCTTGAATATGTCATAAAAGAATATTGAAGTACACGGAAAAGTGTTTGCCGTATAATGCTAAGGAGAGAAAATGACCTTAAAAGAGCATATACATCATGACCGCATTTTGTCTTTGCTCTGTTATTTTAGCATATATAGGCATGGATAAAAGACTGGAAGAATTTACACAAAATTTTAACAATGATGATATCTTCGGGTAGTGAGATCAGATGCGCCTTTTATTTTGCCTTATTATACCTTTTAGATTTTCTACCGTAAACATGTATTATTTCTATGACAAGGAACATGTTAATTTTAAATAAATTTTAGGAAGTTTTCATAATCAAATATTAGGAAGAACAGGCAACCTCAATAATTACTACTTTGCAGCTTAGCATTACAGAAAGAGATAAATTTGGGGCGTAGTTCTGTTTGCTAGCTCTGTTACCTCAGGCAAATCACTGAATTTCATGAACCTCAGTTTCCTTTTGTGTAAAAGGAAATACCATTCACTCTGTCTAGTTAATAGCAGTGTCTACTGTAACAAGGAAGACTGTGTGTACGAGAGGGTTTGCTAAATTGTAAAGCATGAGTAACAGAGTATTCAAATTGAAGAAGGTATATTGCACAGAGGTATCAGGAAGGACCTGGTGGTTGAAGTTGTCATTGAACATTATTCTGTGCAGGGATTCCTCCTCAGCAGTATATTTAATTACCATCCCACTTGGTGTTTGGGGTTGCTGTGTCTGAGTGTATATCTTTTTTACCATTAGCTGGCTGCAGGGTCTTTAGTGTAGCATTTACCTTTCCAACTTTAGTTTCTTACCAAAACCTTGCAAGATAAGCATCGTATTAGGTTTACAAGTTTTTTTTTTACCAGGCCTGTTTCTGCCAAGAAACTGATTCTCTACAGAGCTTTTTTCAGATCAAATGCTCTAAGACTTGTCAAATGCTCTATGTGTGTTTTCGTGGGTAAAGCATAGCCAAAGGCTGTCCACCAAAATGGTGAAAAATAGGAGTCAGGGTTTTCCACTTTCAGGAAATTTTTGGGTTGGTTACATTCCTAGCTGAGGAAAGAGTGAAGGATCTAGGTGACATATTATATCATTGACATCATCACAAATCTCTTAAAGCTTACTATGTTGGTAAGAGGGGTGGCATCAGAGAACATGAGGAAGGTGGGCTCTGGCATCAGCTGACCTGAGCTCAAACCTGACTTTGCCTTACCCTTTGCATAATCTTGGACAAGTTATTTCAATTTTCTGAGTCACCGTTTCTTCCTCTTTAGACCTCCCATGACACTTGCCTTACATGGTTCGGGAAATTAGGAACTAGTAAAGTGCCAGGACAGAGTTGATACTCAGTAACTGGTAACTTTGACTATTTGAGATTAGTTGGAATAAAGCAATCAGAGAATATTCTTGATTTAATCTAGTTCCTCATTTCTCCTGGGTAAAGAGGATGACATCACAGCCTAAGACATGTCATTGTCATGATTCAAAGTATCGTTTAATGATGCCCTATAATTTAATGATGCCCAAGTTTTCCAGGGTCAGCTTTTTAGTCATTGCCTACACTTGGGTATTCAGCTACCAAATTCCAAATCTGTGGGGAAGAAGCATATTAAAATAAAATACTTGTGGCTTTAAGGAATTTCAATAGGAGACAGTCTGTTTCTGTTCACTTAAAGATGTTTTCTTGAGCATCCCAACAATATTTGTACTTGAGCTTTCCTACAAATATTCAGAAGATGTGGAAACTCCAAACCTATTGCTGTGAACATGAACAATGAATCAAATTCTGCCCTCACATTTTGTCCCAAAGCTGTGACTTGAATGGAGAATCATGACAGAAAGTTGTACTTAGTGATCTAATGTGTAAAGACAGAATATGATGCAGCTTCCCTTGATAAATGAAGTTGTATGCATTTGGCCACATCACCTATACCCAACAGGGCTTGGCCTCGCATAGGGCAGGAGCAGGTACAATGTTTCTTATGAGAAGAACAGTCAGTCTCTTGGTTACCTGGGACCAGGATGATAGCACCAGCTTCCTTTGCTGTTCCTTAACTGGGGTGTTCTTAATGGCCAGGGTTTTTGCAGGGACAGCTGGGCACCTGTTCTTTGCCGCTGAAGAGTGTGGGAATCTTGGTGTGTATATTATACCCTCCCCTCCCATTAGTGAACAAGAGAAGGGACCCTGACATATATTAAATCACCTTTGGTACTTTGTGTCAGAGATTGGTTGAAATATCTGAGAAGCACTTTGTAGAATAAAAGTGTATTTTATAATGGGTAGATCCTGTGAGCTAAAGGTTTTGGAGTGAGTTTCTCCTTAGAAAGACTAAGTTAAGGATTTTCCTCCTGTAAAAGACTTAATATATTTACTAAATACTAGGGCTGTTTTGCCAAGAAACTTTTTTGTACACGGGAAATTGCAGAAAAGATCCTGTTTAAATAATGAGAAATTAATATGGTTTATGTTTAAATCCTATTAACTTGTTTCCTTTTTATTATAATAGTAATACATACTCATGTTAAGAAATTTATTTAGACAAGATTCGTAAGGGAATAAAATGAAAAGAAAGAATCCTCTCATCAACCCCACCTAATCTTCAGAGCTACTTGTCTACCTCTGCAGAGGTAATCTGTGTTGAAGCTGGCTATGTGGCCCTGCAGAATTTTTGCTGCTTACATTGCATGCATATATGATATTTACGTTTTTTTTAAACTAAACTTTGAGGTGTTTGTAGATTCATGTGCAATTGTACAAAATAATACAGAGAGATCCTGTGTACCTTTTACCCAGTTTCCCCCAATGGTAACGTATTGCCAAACTACAGTATAATATCATAGCCAGGATATTGACATTAATACAGATAAGAGGCAGAATATTTTCACATGCACAAGGATCCATCATGTGCCCCTTTTTATAGATACATCTACTTCTCTTCCACAACCACCCTCTCATTAACCCCTAGCAACCACTGTGTTCTCCGTTTATATAATTTCATCATTTCAAGCATGTCGTCTGTGTAGAACCGTACAATATGTAACATTTTGGCGTTGGCTGTTCTGTTTGTTTGTTTTGTTTGTTTGTTTTTGCTTTTTATTGTTGTTGTTTTGAGACGGAGTCTCCTCCTGTCACCCAGGCTGGAGTGCAGTGGCGGGGATCTCGGCTCACTGCAAGCTCCGCCTCCCGGGTTCACGCCATTCTCCTGCCTCAGCCTCCCGAGTAGCTGGGACTACAGGCGCCCGCCACCACGCCCGGCTAATTTTTTGTATTTTTAGTAGAGACGGGGTTTCACCGTGTTAGCCAGGACGGTCTCGATCTCCTGACCTCGTGATCCGCCCACCTCGGCCTCCCAAAGTGCTGGGATTACAGACGTCAGCCACTGCGCCCGGCCGCCGTTGGCTGTTTTTATTCAGCATAGTTCCCTGGAGATTTTTACAGCTGGTTGTATCTGTTAGTAGTTTGCTCCTTTTTATTCCTAAGTGGCGTTCCATGGTATGCATGTACCACAATTTGTTAAACCATTTACCTGTTGAAGGACATCTGAGTAACTTACAGTTTGGGGGTTTTACAAACAAAGCTGCTATACACATTCAAAAAGGTTTTTAGGTGAACACATTTTCATTTCTCTGGGATAAATGCCCAGAAGTACAATTGCTGGGTCATATGGTAATTGCATGTTTAGGTTTTTAGGAAACTACTAGACCATTTTTCAGAGTGGCTGCACTATTTTCATTCTCACCAGCAGTGTGAGTGATCCAATTACTCCACATCCTCTTTGGCATTTCGTGTTGTCACTATTTTTTATTTTCTACATTCTAATAGGTATGTAGTGAAATCTCATTGTGGTCATAATTTGCATTTTCCTAATGGCATATGATGTTGAACATCTTTTTATGTGCTTATTTATCATAAAAATCTATTTATATCCTCCTCAGTGAAATATCTCCTCATGCCTTTTGACTATTTTTTTATTGGATTTGAGAGTTCATTTTATGTTTTAGATAGTAATCTTTTGTTGGTTTTCTAGTTTGCAAATATTTTCTCCCAGTCTCTAGTTTGTCTTTTCACTCTCTTAACAGAATTTTTTTGCAGAGCAAAATTTTGAATTTTTTTTTTTTAACTTTAAGTTCCGGGATACATGTACAGAAAGTGCAGTTTTGTTACATAAGTACACATGTGCCGTGGTGGTTTGCTGCACCTATCAACTCGTCATCTAGGTTTTAAGCCCCGCATGCATTGGGTATTTGTCCTAATGCTCTCCCTCCCCTTACCCCCCTACCCCCCCGCAGGCCCTGGTGTGTGATATCCCCCTCCCTGTGTCCATGTGTTCTCATTGTTCAACTCCCACTTATGAGTGAGAACATGCAGTGTCTGGCTTTTTGTTCCCGTGTTAGTTTGCTGAGGATGATGGCTTCCAGCTTCTTCTATGTCCCTGCAAAGGACATGATCTCATTATTTTTTATGGCTGCACAAAGTTTTGAATTTTAATGAAGTCCAATTTATCAATTTTTCATTTTCTGTGTCATGCTTTCAGTGTCAAGTTTAAGAACTCTGCCTGAAGCTAGATCCTAAAGATTTTCTCCTATTTTGTTCTAAAAGTTTTATAATTTTTTGTTTTACCTATGTCTGTGATCCATTTGAGTTATTAATTTTTGTCTAAGGTGTGAGACAGGCTGAGGCTTTTTTATTCTTTGCCTATGAATGTCCAATTGCCCCAGCTTCATTTGTTGAAAAGATTACCGTTCCTCCATTGAATTGCTTTTGCACCTTTGTCAAAAATCAATTTGATATGCACTATCTCTGGATTTTCTGTTCTGTTATATTTATCTATGTGATTATCTCTACACCAGTTCCACTTATCGTAGCTATACAATGTCTTGAAAGAGGTTGGACTGAGTCCTCTCATATTCTTCTTCAAAATTGTTTTAGTTCTTCTGTTTCCTTTGCCTTATCGTATACATTTTAGAATAATTTTGTTTATACTTACAAAACATCTTGCTGGGATTTTAATAGAAATTGCATTAACCTGTATATTAATTTAAGAAAAATTGGTGCCTTTACTATGTTGAGTCTTCCAGTGAACCATTAATACAGTATGTCTTGCAATTTATTTAAACCATTAATTTTTTCATCAGCATATTGTAATTTTCAACATGAAGACCTGTACATTTTTTTTAGATTCAACCTCCAAGTATTTCACATTTTTGTGTAACTGTAAATGGTATTGTATTTTAAATTTTGGTGTCTATGTGTTGATGACTAGTATAGAGAAATACAATGATTTTTTTGTGTGTTTATCTTTATCCTGCAATCTTGCTTAACTCATTTATTAGTTCTACATAGTTCGTAGATTGCTTGGATTTTCTACAGTGACAATCATATCATCTACAAATAGGGACAGTTTTGCTGATCCATATGCTTTCATTTCCTTTTCTTGCTTTATTTCACTGGTTAGAAATTCCAGTACTATATTGAATAAGAGTGATGAGTATATATCCTTACCTTGTTTCTAATCTTAGGGCAAGAGCATTGAGCCTTTCACCATTAACTATAATGTTAGCTGTAGGCTTTCTATAGATTCTCTATCAAGCTGAGGAAGTTCCCCTTTATTCTTATTTGTCCAAGAGCCTTTATCATGAAACGGTATTAAATTTTATTAAATGCTTTTTCTGCATTGATTGATATAATTGGGATTTCTTTTCTTCAGTTTGTTAGTGTGGTAGATTATGATTTATTTTTTAATTATTGCATTTCAAATGCCTTGCATCTTGGAATAAACCTCACTTAGTCATTGTGTGTAATTCTTTTAATATATTGCTGACTTCTATTTGCTAATATTTTGTTAAGGGCTTTTGCGTCTACAGTTATGAGTGATATTGGTCTACAGTTTTCTCTTTTTTTGCTTTTACTCTGTCTGGTTGTAATATTAGGGTAATACTAGCTTCATAAAATGAATTTGGAACTGTTCCCTCCTCTTCTATTTTCTGGAAGCAATTGCTTAGAACTGGTCTTCATTCTTCTTTAAACACTTGGTAGAATTTTCCAGTGAAACCATCTGGATTTGGAGATTTATTTCTTGGAAGTTTTAAAATTACAAACTCAATTTCCTTAACAGAGGCTATTCAAGGGGTCTATTTCATATTGAGTGAGTTCTAGTAGTTTTTTTTTTTTAAGGAATTCGTCCTTTTTATTTAAGTTTTAAAATTTTTATGCGTAGAGGTATTCATAGTAGCCTACAGGGTTTGTTGTGATCATCTCATTTTATATTCCTGAAATTATGTTTTGGTTTCCAAGTGTTTGGTGATTTTCCTTGTATCTTTGTGTTATTGATTGTCATATTAATTCTATTAATTTAAATGTATTCTAGAGGTTATATACTTTATATTACATATCTGGGTTCACCAGTTTGAGTGAAGTATGAAACCATTACCTCCTTTTATGTTCCTTTGCTGTCCAACATGTATAATAGATTTATCTGAAATATTTCCTTTACATGCAATTCAAGGCAAGTCAGAGTGTTATCCTTTTTGCTTTAACTGTCAAACATAATTTAGAAAGTTCAAAAGAAGAAAACTTCATTATATTACCTATATTTTGTTTTACCTTTGCTTTTCTTCTTTCCTGATGTTCCAAGATTCCTTCTTTCATCACTTATTTTTCTGTTTAAAGAACTTCCTATATGAAGTTCTTTTAAGGTAGGTCTACTGGTGACAAATTCTGTTAGTTTCTCCTAATCTGTGAAATGATTTTCCTTTTATTCCTTCTGTTTTCCATGGTTTCTGATGAGAAACCTGCTGTTCATTGAAATGTGTTCTTCCTTATAGGCAAGGTGCTGTTTTTCTCTTGTTGCTTTCAAGGTTTTTCACAGCTTCTTTGCTTTGCTTTCAGAAATTTGAGTTTTATGTGTCTTAGTATACATTTCTTTGGGGGTCCTACTTGAGGTTTACTCAGTTTCTTGAAATCTATAGATTTATATCTTTTACCAAATTTGGGAAACTTTCAGCCATTATTTTTCTGAGTCTTTTTCAGCCCTGTCCTCTTTCTCCTCTCCTGAAACACTAACAACAGGAATGTTAGACCTTCATTTATAGTTCTATAGGTCTTTGAGACCCTCATCATTTTTTTTTTTTTTGTTTTATTTCCCCTCTATTTTTCAGATTGAATAGTTTCTATTGTTGGATCTTTAAGTTCACTGATTCTTTCCTCTGTCCCGTCTATTCTGCTGTTAAGCCTACCCATTGGGCACGTTGTTTGTTGTTGTTGTTGTTGTTGGCTACTGTGTTTTTCAGTTCTAAATTTCCATTTGGTTCTTTGTATGTTCTATTTCTTTACCGAGACTTTCTATTTTTTATTTGTTTTGAGCATGCTCATAATTGCTCATGGAAGCATTCTTATGATAGCTGCTTTAAAAATCTTATTCAGATGATAATTCTAACATTCCTATCCTCTCAATGTTGGCATCTATTGACTGTCTTCAGGTGTCCAATTTGAGATCTTCCTGGTCCTTGGTACAATTAGTGATTTTTTTCTTTTTAATTAAAAGCTAGACATCTACGGTCTTATAAGGCTCTGGATCTTTTTTTTTTTTTTGAGTTTTTTATGTTTTATGTTTATTTATTTATTTATTTATTGAGATGGGTCACTCTGTCACTCAGGCTGGAGTGTAGTGGCACAATCTCAGCTCACTGCAACCTCCACCCCCCGAGTTCAAGTGATTCTCCTACCTCAGCCTCCCCAGTAGCTGGGACTACAGGCATCCGCCATCACACCCAGCTAATTTTTGCATTTTTAGTAGAGATGAGTTTCACCATGTTGGCCAGGCTGATCTCGAACTCCTGACCTCAAGTGATCCACCTGCCTTGGCCTCCCAAAGTGCTGGGATTACAGGCATGAGCCACTGCACCCGGCTAAGGCTCTGAATCTTATTAAACCTTCTGTTTCAGCTTCCAGTGACACTGCTTTGGCAGAGGAAGAGGGAGCACTCTTATTACTGCCAGGTGGGACAGCATAGCCAGGTTCCCCTCATAGCTTCTGTTGACACCTGAGATGGGAGTGCATCTCATTTATGTTGGACACAGGTGGGAATTTTGCTACCCCCACCCCACTAGGCCTCGAGAGGCTGGGAGGGAAAGGGATATGTCCTTACTGCTTCCCTTGTGGCCTCCACTGACACCGCTGGGGGTAGTGGTCTCATTATGTCTGGGCAGTGGTGAAGATGTGACTCACTGCTTGACCTTCTCTGATATCCTGCCTGGAAGTCAGGGCATCTCATTACATTCCAGCCTGGCAAAGGTGGAAATCTAGGCTCTCCATTCAGCCCTTGCTGTTGGGGATTGGGCAGGGGCCATAATTTTTTCTGTGTTTTTTTTTTTTTTTTGGCTGGAGCACAGCAGCCATTGTCTAAAAGTTTAGTGCTTTGCTACACTGCCCTACTCCTGGTCCATTGGTTAGAAAGAGTTAACTTTTGTTGAGGCTTTTTTTTTTTCTGTACTCATTGATGTTTCCAGTTACCAACTTCTTCAGCTCCAAGTCTAGAATGTATGAGGCAGGAACATCACCACTGTGTTGTTTCTAGGGTACTGAACCCCTTAGCAGTTTTACCTTCTTGTCTCCACCTTTCAGAGTCTCCTCATGTTTGTTACATATATAACAAACATATATCTAAGCCCAGGGCCTTTAGCTGTACTTAGTGGGAGGAACAGGGAGAAGTGCATCTACTCTATCTTCCTAGAAGTGGAAGCCCATGGTTTACTTCACTTAACAGGGCCTTAAATAGTACAAGTTTTCCCTTGAGCAATCAAGCATGCAGTTTCAACAACTACAAAGAACTAGCGGAAGACTACAATTAAGGAAATCTTTAATCTTGAAATTAGCTAAATAAAATCATAGTGTCTGTACCTTCTAATGCATAACAGGGAAAACTGAATAATGCCTGTGTATTAGAGGCCCAGAATTATGGAGTCAGAAGAGCTTAATTAATATTTTAAACCAAGATTGCAAATCGAAGTGTTTTCTGAGCTAACAGAACCATCAAAGTAAAATTAAGGACCCAGAGTGCTCACAAACTATATCTTATTGTATGTAACCCTTTCTTTCTCCTTTTTTCTTTCTTCCTTTCTCTTCCTTTCTTTCTCTTTCTTTGTGACTTTCTTTCTTTCTCTTCCTTGCTTCCTTTTGTTCTTTCAACTTTTCTCTTTTTATTTTTAAGACTTTGCCTTTTTCACTTTGAGTTCTACACTGCTGCCTCCTGCCTTTATTTTGAGTTTGTCTTTAGATCCAACTGATTTGAATTATCATTTTGAAGAATGTTACAAATCTATGGATTATTCTGGACCAATCATAAAAAAAACCACTTTAGCTAAAGATAATTCTACAGAATTCTTCCAAATGGTAACTTGGAATATCATTGCATAGCATTTTATTTTCTGACTTTTCCACAACCCTGTTTAGAAAAGTGTTTTCCTAAGTTAATTTACATCCCATCTTCACAAATTATGCCAACTCTTTACTTGTTTTATTCTTTATTTTAAATTTTTCTTAAATCAACTCTTTTTAACCTTTTAATGTCCTTTAAAAATTTATAAAGAAAGGAAAAGAAAATAGTATTGGTAAAGTTTTGTCTTTAAAAAACAAAAAAGGTACCACAATCTCACATAGTAAGCAAATTCACATTTTGCAAATTTAGAGCGATGAAGTTCTCTGTGATGTCCAATCTGCCTTCCTATTCCTGAATGCACTTTAAACTAAGCTATTTTGGTTTTGTGAAAAAAAATCTCCTACAGCATTGGACACATGATCTGTGGTAGAGGACCAAAACTTGACTTTATTCTTATTTCTTAATTAAAATTGTCTCCTTTAACATTTTTGTTTCCTTTAATCTTGTCTCTTTTAAAATTTATTCCCCTGCCACTTGAGGAAAATTCAACAGGCCCCATGATTTTTCTGCTCACTCTTAGATAACAAGCTGTCTTAAAGTCTCAAATCAGCAGAGAGAATGTGTTCGAAGATAATAATCAACTCTTCAATTTTCAATTGAAGACCAGACCTCACCTTTCTTTCCTTCTTGCTGGGGCCTGCAGTTGGTGGCTCCTGCCTTGGGGGCAAAGGAGGATGTGGCCAGCTTCTGCTCACCTCCTCCCCTACTTCTAGTCTGGTACAGACCCCAGCCAGGTGACAGAGGGGCAAGATAGGACAGGAAAGTGGGTGGAACAGTCCTTCTTTGGTTAGATGGCTTTGTGCTGTCTGGCACTTACAGAAGATTGACGTTCACCCTTTCCAAGATTTCCATCCCTGGGGCCCTCCCTCCACACCACTCTGGCAGCCTTCCCCTCAGGAGCCCGCAGCGGGAGTCTTCTTCTGCAGGATTTGGGAAGGCTTCAGTGCGCTCCTCTTCTCCTATGTGGCCCTAATCTAGTCCCTGAGAAACACTCAGGCACCCTTTACTCTGAGAAATTAATGTGCAGTTTATTTCCAATTCAGCATCACATTCCTGAATCTACCATCAAAGCCATTCACCGGCCTTCTCCTGTCTTCGTCATTTCCCCAGAGAACAGAGCCAAGCTAACCCTGTCTTCCATCTCCAGGACCTCTGACTGATTGTAGAGCAATTCTTAAATTTTTTTGCCTTTAGAAAATATGCAAGTGATAATCTAGTACCTCACTTCTTTGGAATTTCACATCTACATTTTTCTCAGTCAAAACTTTAGTATTAACACCTAGCAAAGGAGAACAGTAACTCATTGTCCATCCCAACTGACTTGTTGATATTTCAAGACTGTTATTAAACCTTTCCCTGACCTATTATTTCAGAAGCTGATTCCAATTCTTACAGCCATTTTTCCCAAGTTCTTTAATAACTTTTATTTCTGTACTCTAATTTCTCTAGTTTTGCTATGCTTCAAATAATGTGTACATCAGACAAATGAGCTTTCAAGAGGTATATATGGTGTTTATGGTTTTATTTTTATTTTATTTCATTTATTATTTTGTGTAGCTCATACTTTTATAGATTTCACAATTCTGAAATAACAAAAAGGGTATACAGTGACAGTTTCTTTTCCCTTCTTGTCTCAAAGCCACCTAACACTATTTCCCCACCCTAGGAATGAGTATACTAGTTCCTTCAGAATCCTTCCAACCATGCTGTGTATACATACAGGAAACTGTGTATTTATATCCCAACTCACACTCACACTTTCACCCTTTTCACTTAAATAGTGGATACTTTTACCCTTCCTTGTTCCCCCTTTATGAGGAAATCTTTGAGATCCTCCGTAACAGAAAAGAACGTCCCATTCTCTTTCTGTAGCTGCATGGTAGTCCTTTGGTCAGATACCTCACTGTTTGTTTAACCAGCCCTTTATTCTAGAACATCCAAGTGGCTTCCAATCTCTATCACAAATAATGCTTTATTGAATAATCTAGTAGCTACATCATCTAGTTCATGTGAGAATGTATTTACGGGATACATTCTTAGAAATGGAATCACTAGTCAAAACACGTATGCAGTTATTATTCTAATTATGTTGCCAAATTGCTTTTCACTGGGGTTGTACCAATTATGCTCTCCCCAGCAACATAGAAGACTGCCTGTTTCCCCACACTTTCCCCTGTTTTGCGCTATCAAACATTTTAATCTTTGACAATCTGGTTGGTGAAATGTATCTCAGTTGAGTGAGGCTGAACAGATAATGTTGCATAAGTTTCAGTACTTATTTTCTTATTTTGTGAACTATCTTGCACTTTATATTTGAACGTTTATCTGGACAGGTCTGCAATGACGGAAGGACTATCTCAACAGGCATGGAGGCGAATGGTAGGAGATCCTGTCACAGAAAAGAGACCAGGGTCTAACACGGGAAGCTTCAGGAGACCTGCAACAAGAAGCACAGACTCTTTGCCAGAGCATGATACCAACTTGGACAGTGATGAATGTCAGCTGGGTGTAGATCATGTCCACCAGGCAGGCAAATTCCGGATTGCTGGATTGATAATGGTTCAAAAAAAAAAAGAATTATTAGCAGATACTCTGCTTCTTCAGTTATACATAGCAATCAGGAAGTTACAAAAAAAAAAAGCAAAATAATCTTGAAAATATTTGGCACCCTCCCATGGTAAGACTTTATAAACAATCTATCAGCAGTAAAGAAATTTGGTCTTGCAATTACTGAATCTATGGAGAAAAAAAGATATGTATGAATACATTGATGTGTGTGTATGTATGTATAGTATATTTTTATAAACATATAGTATATACCATTTTCAACATATACAATAACATATATAGTATCCATATATACTTTTCAAGTATTTTGTAGCATTATAATTGTTAATGTAATTTGTTCTAAGAGCTATTAAGTACTCAATTATTGATTGTTTGATGGTAGAACTGTAGTCACCTTTTTTTTTTTTTTTTTTTTTTTTTTTTTGAGACAGAGCCTGGCTCTATTGCCCAGGCTGGAGTATAGCGGTGAGATCTCAGCTCACTGCAACCTCTGCCTCCTGGCTTCAACTGATTCTCCTGCCTCAGCCACCCAAGTAGCTGGGATTACAAGCACCTGTCACCACACCTGGGTAATTTTTCTAATTTTAGTAGAGATGAGGTTTCACCATGTTGGCTAGGCTGGTCTCAAACTCCTGGCCTCAGGTGACCCACTCACCTCGGCCTCCCAAAGTGCTGGGATTACAGGTGTGAGCCACCATGCCCAGCCTGTAGTCAGCTATTTTAAAAATTGCACCCAACTTGTTACTAAAACAAAACAAGCGAGCAAAAAGTATTTCTGCTTGTTGTATATGGAGGGAGGTGAGGATGTTGTTTTGCTTTAAAAGCATTTGCAAATGTAGGAAAGTCACTGGTTGGAGACTGCTGTGGTTTGAATGTCTCCTCCAAAACTCATGTTGAAATTTAATTGTCATTATGGCAGTATGATAAGTTGGGACTCTTACGAGATGATTAGATCAGGAGGGTTCTGCCCTCATGAATGAATTAATGCCATCGTCATGGGAGTGGGCTCCTCCTAAAAGGATGATTTTGGCCCCTGTTCTCTCTCTGTCTCACACACTCACTTGCTTTTCTGCTTTCTGCCATGGGGTGATCCTCACCAGATGCTGGTGCCATGCTCTTGAACTACCCAGCCTCCAGAACTGTGAGCCAAATAAACTTTTGTTCTTTATAATTTACTCAGCCGGTCGCATTTTGTTATAGCAGCAAAAAATAGACTAACAGATAGACCTTAAACAGTTAGCAAATTTATTTAAACTTAAACAAAAGTGTGTAAAAGATAACTTTTTAATTTTTAAATTTCTTCTGAGAAATATGCAAAACTGACAAGGCTTCATATAGAAAGATTTCCTTCCAAGTTATCTTAGCTCCTTTCACTGACCTTTGGGCAAGCTGACTCCTGAATAACCTAAAGTCCTTTAAGTTGACAATCTTTGGTTTCCTGACCCAGACTGATCCCCTCAGATGCTGTTACTGATGGCAAATGTGGCTACTTCAGGGTTTTAAGACTCTTTGGCCAGTTGACACTCCAGGGTGCTTTGATAAGCTCCTCACCCTGTAACAAGAGACTGACAAGAAGGCAACACCTGAACATGTTCAGGGCTTGAGTCCACAAAGGAGAGCAAGTCTGGGAGCTATGTGCATCTAGTTAAGAACAGGAATAAGCACAAAACAATATTAACTTTAGAAATGAGATGAAAGCCCATGTGTGCTGGCTTTCACACGGAAGGGGAGACCCAATGAACCTCCACCCCCTTCAGCACTGCTTTTAGATGGAAATGATTTTGTTGAATACTGACACAAAAGGAAGATACAAATGAAGTGAAGAGCCTTAGCGAACAATTACATGCAAGTAGGTTACATGAAAATATAGTCTCAAGTGTATGATATCTTGTGAATATTAATTAAGGAAATTATTCTCAGAGCAGCTAGTGTTTAAAACAAGATCTAATCTCTGCTGAGTGGCCCCACCATTCTTCCTCTCAATGTTTAACTTCAAAGGGCTTTGGAGTTGGGGCAAATGAGATTATTATTACTTCAATCTAGGGAAAACGTATTCTAGCCAATTTGATGATAAATTCTAGAATTACACATAGCAGTTAATACAAAGAAGAAAAAAATATTCTATACCCATGAATGTCTGTCTGCTTAAAAGAAAAGGTTTTTAAACCTTATCTAATCTACTCTGTTCCCCTACAAAAATTGCACAATTCAAATATAGAGCTGGAGAAGGATATGGCCCAGTCGAAGATATAATTTTTTTTAAAAAAGCTGTTCTCCTCTATCAATTTGGGACCATTGGAAATAATAATATCACTAATAATAATAGCTAATGCTCATATACATCTGTGTGTCAGGTGCTAAGTGTTTTGCTTATATTAACTCATTTAGTCTATGAGGTACTGCATGGTAAACAAACATGGAGAGGTAAAGTGACCACAATGGTTCAGATATGGAGCTGGGATTTGAATCCTATCACCAGACTCAGAAGTTTAACCACCATGCTATGCTGCCCCATAGTTACAGCTCATGTAGAAAAAAGGCAATATTTCTCTCTGTCAATCAGGATAGTTGTCTGATGACCTGTACAACTCAGACTAGGAGGATAAAGGCAAGTCTTTAAAAAACAAAAGACAGGCACCATATTAGGTAGTGCCAGCAAAACTGAATTATATTCACAGATTACTAAGGACGCCCATATGGATTTGGCAGATGTGTAAGTTTGAGGAAAGATAACCAATTACCTAATGTTAAAAATTTAGCTGTTGGTGAAATCAGTGCTGCTGCCATTCAACGTATTCAACTGTAAACAGATGCTGAGTAGGGATAGGTATTGAAGCACCCAGATGCTGAACGGATACAGTTACAATGGGATGAGAGGTGCAGACAGTGAATCAAGACAGAGCGGCTGCAGATGTGTGCCGGCCATGGATAAAGGAGAGCATATCCATGCGGGGGTCCCCAGCAGACTTTTAGACTGCCATGGTGCCTGGATCCTCAGCTGTCACACTCCACAGAGAGTGTCGGAGGTAAATGGAAGTGTATTCTGCCATTCTTGGATCAACCTGAGACCCAGAAAAGTCAGGCACCACCAGTTAAAACGAAGATCTGGAGAATGCAAGGTGCCTGGAGGTGGGGGCTTTTCAGAGCCAGCCTCCCCACCTGCCACTTGCCCTGCACAGCAGCCCCACAAGGTCACTCCTGGTTTTCGCATGTGCTGTGCAGTGTTCCCCTGCATGCCTTTGGCAATGCTGTTTCCTCTCTCCCTGATGCCTTCCCCGCAACCACCTCTCTAGGAGATAAAACGCTTCTTGTGATTCCAGACCTCCAATCTCAGAAACTGAGATTGCCCTTTCCTTTACTGTGGATGTATAGCCTTTAGTTCCATTCCAGCACTTATTATTACATCTGCTTCTGCTTCTGTCTCTCTCCTTTGCTTAACGAAGGATTTGAAAACACGATCCATGTCTTTTGCATTTTTATATCTGCTGGCTCCCAAAACAGTGCCAGGCACATCGTAGGTACTCAGCAAATAATTGTAGAGTGAATGTTTATTGCAGGGAAATCTGAAGGCCCAGAGATATGTTTTCTTTGGTCTACAAATGGCTTAAAAATAATAAATATGTTGCAAATATTTACAGTTTCAGAGATTTCACAGAAAAAAAAGGTTGTTGTCTTCTCTAGAAAGAAAAAAAAAATCTGGCCACACTGGGCTTGAATCACACCTAACATCAGTTAGAATTGAGTAGTGGCTGTCCCCTCTGGACAAAACATTCACTTGGAGATTTGCTTCGGTCTCTACCCCTCCCCAGGTATTTTTGCCTTACAACTGCCCTCTTCCCTCCTTATGAAACCCACTTCACCCCTGTTAAGCAATTGATTTTTCATCCCCTGAACCCATCAAACCAGATCGTCAGACCCTCCTGGAAACTTTGATTGCCATTCCCAGCACATGTGTGCTACAGTGGTTTTCTGTCGTTCAATTTTCACCATGCCCACATCTCACTCCTGAGTCTATTCTTAAAAGGCCTAAGAGGTAGGAGAAGGATGCTTCTTTTGGTTCATGGGAAGGGAGCTCAAGGAAAGATCTGTCTTCTTCTGGCATATCAGCTGTTGGCACTGGTGAGAAGCAGGATGCTGGCCAGGATGGACAAACAAGCAGCTGGGAATGGCAGCTCCTATATTTCAGCCAGCAAAAGCCTTTTCAAAGCCTACTTTGCATAAGACAGTTCCGCTGACCACATTAGAGTCACAGGGGAATAGTTACCTCTGGAACTTCCTTTCTGCAACAGTAGCACCCTGTTTAAAGGAACCAAGAATGGAATATGATCATCTCCTATATATGCTGCCATGAGGTTTCAGACGACCGTACTGGCATGAGCTTTCAACATTGAAAAAATAAATGAAAGCTCTCTGTAAATAATAAGAGCACTGTGTCCTGGAACCCAAAGAATAATAATCCCAGGTCATCAGTCATTCAAGCTGAAAATAGTTTCTTCCTCTCTCTTTACTGTGCCTGAGATGACGTGACACAGACCTTAGTTCAGGAGTGATATGAAACCTGGCCCAGAGACTCAGAACAGGCTGCTCCCACCACTGCCAACACGCTGAGTGAGACAGGGGACTCATCCCTCACTGAGGGTGAGGGTCACTTCCTAGGTGTTGATGTGAAGCACAGTTTTGGAAGACAGGTTATGCTTCATGAACTGCTAATATTTGGATTTAAGGGGACCTTCAAAACCAATCTGGAAGAATCACAAGAAGAAGAAGAACATGAGCCAGTTATTGAGAATTTATGTTCTCAAAAGCCCATAAGTCTTCTCCTTGTGTGGACTCATGCAATCTGAAACAGTGGGCCCCCTTCTTAGGCCCATTTTCCAGATGAGGGTGCTGCAGCTACGCAGACTGAGCAAGGTCACGAAGCTTATGAGTGGCAGGTTATCATTTGAACTCGGGTCTGTCTGTCTCTGATCCCGGAGCCCTGGCTCTTAACTACAACTTTCTCTTATTTCCCCCATTCGTTCACTTATTTTCCAAATATGTATTGATTACCTGCTATAAGCCAGACACTGTTCTAGGTGCTTGGGATACAACAGTGAGCAACTCAGGTAAGAATCCCTGCTTTCAGGAACAAACAAACAAAAAATCAAATACTGCACGTTCTCACTAATAAGTGGGAGCTAAACATCGGGTACACATGGACATAAAAATGGGAACATTAGACACTGGTGGCTACCTATTAGGTACAATGCTCACTACTGATTAGGTACTATGCTCACTACCTATTAGGCACAATGCTCACTACCTATTATGTACTATGTTCACTACCTATTAGGTGCTGTGCTTACTACCTCTTAGGTACTATGCTCACTACCTATTAGGTACAATGCTCACTACCTATTAGGTACTATGCTCACTACCTATTAGGCACAATGCTCACTACCTATTAGGCACTATGCTCACTACCTATTAGGTACTATGCTCACTACCTATTAGGTACTATGCTCACTATTAGGTACAATGCTCACTACCTATTAGGTACTATGCTCACTACCTATTAGGTGCTATGCTTACTACCTGTTAGGTACTATGCTTACCACCTGTGTGATAGGTTCAATCACACCCCAATTCTCAGCATCATGCAATATACCCAAGTCACAAACCTCCACGTGTACCTCCTCAATCTAAAATGAAAGTTGAAATTGTTAAAAGAAAAAAGAGTCTTTGCTGTCAATGAGGTTGTATTCTACCAAGTGTATTTTGCAATGTTGTGGAGTTTGCAGTCCACGGTTGTGAAGACTCTTCATAGGCCTTATTTCTAAAGTACCCAGGGCAAATATGTGAATTTGGGGAGAGATATGAGTTTATTTGCTGTATGTGCATTTTTAAACTAAATTCGAGGGGCTAAAAAGTTCCTAGTGAACTTGAAAATGAGGTTGGGGTATGGCCTATCAGTTTTCCCTGGAGGGAAAAAATCCCCCAATTTTAATTCTCTTCTGAACTCCGCCACATGTTGAGATAAGAAGGGTGGGGTTATAAATCAACTCAGCTCCCTTGGGAGAAAAATTATAGTAATAAGCTTTAAAAAAAGATGATAATCATAAGCTATATGATTTCAAAGTGACTCACCCCCACCCCTTTTTTTTGACAACTGAAATTGATTTTGAAAGGAAAGGCTGTGGAGATTTTAGTAGAATACAATCCAGACACTCTAAATCTAAACCCTCCAGATCTGGAGACGCCTGGGCTCTGTTGATAATGCCCTACACCATGCCTGACATACTATACCCACCACCACATGTCACTCAACATGCCTGAGAGTTCATAGATGAAGGAAATAAAGATGGAATGATAATAAGACTGAAATCAATACAGCTTTCTTTTACATTTTCCAATAGTCTCAATAACTTCAAAGAAGCAGATATGAATATAATTAATGAACAGAACGAACACCAAGTGGAAAGTAAATCTGGACCTTGTTCTATGAGCACCACTAAAGTGATGGATTTAGGATTACAGACATGTTTGCTGGCAAATCTGACTACTCATTCTCAAATGGTATAATATTTTAGGGCGATTGAAGTTGCTTCAGCTTGAGTGTCCCTTTGTAAAAATATCTTGCTGGAACTATTTGGTACCCAACTAAACAGAGCCCTTGTACTTTGATGCATTCAGCTGTATTAAATTTTATGTTAGAATCAGTATTAGAATGAATCCTCCAACCAGCTCTCCTTTTGACTGCTTCTGCCAGCTAATCCTGCTTTAAAATATGTATATTCTTAGAAAACAGACTAAATTGAATAACAACGATGTTCAGAGGGAATTCATACTTGTGTTTGGAAAAGAAATAAGAGTTCTTACGAGGGAATGAGTTCAAAAGCTAGGAGAAAAATGGCCTTGCTGTGGTCTGTTTCTGTGTGGCTTTCCTTATGGAAGTCCCTCAAATGTCTGACCTTCAGTTTCCTCATCAGTAGTAGCAGTAGTAGTAGTACTCAGAGTAACAACAACAATAATAAAGTTATTGGATATTCTCTTCACTATGTATTAAACTGACTGTGCTAAGAGGTTCACATCCTTATCTCCTTTAACCCTTACAACAGTCTGATGAGATAGTTCTAGTATACTCTCATTTTGTGGAGGAGGAAACTGAGGATCAAAGAGGTACAATGACTAGCTTGTCCTTTTTAAGTACATAAAGGCCAGCATTTTACGTAAAGCAGCCTGACTGCAGAACTTCCATTCCTAACCACTATTTTCTTAGGGCTGGCAGTTAGGAGGTTTCGGATATGAGTTCATTTCCATAGCCATGGCTAAGTTGATCTACTCTGTGTTGCAGCTTCCTCATCTCTAAAATGCTAATAATAATACCGACCCACCTCACCTCTTGCGCTCAGTACATTTATTATGCAAAAGTCAAAAGAAGATGGAGAAATACGTGGCAAATTGCGATGGTTTCTCTGTGATGGAATCAGAAGCAACTGGATAAAAATGGTCCTTCCAGTTTTTTGTAGCATACCTACAACATCATGAGTTCCAAAGACATGGGTATATTCGTCCCATCACTCCCAAGACTTTCTGAGCCTGTTGTGGCCAATTTAAATGACTAATTATTTAGGTGTCCTATGCCAAGTCAACATAGCAAAAATAAGAGAGTTCTGGTAATTAGTTTTACATATAAATTGTGTAGAATCAAACCAAACCATTTAGGCCTTGGAGTGACTGTTAAGAAGCTAGACTATTAACATTGATTTTCTATTCAGGATCGAAGTCATTTGTTTGTACTCTAAGGCATTGTGCTGATATTTGGCACAGCAACTCTGTTTCTAAGACATCTGCCCCCCAGGGACTTGAATTTAGCCCGAAAATGTCCTGGCAAGCAGTCTCATTGTAAGACTTACACAGAGAGAAAGAGAAGTAAGTTTGTTCCAGTGATTGTCATGAAAGACACATAAACGTCTTGATATTCTTTCTTTTACCTGTTGTAGAAAGGGGAATTGTTTGCACCTTAACTTACGACTAGAAAAACGATGTACAAATCCTGACCCACCTGGCTGCTTCAGTCCACAGGGCGGGAAGTAAGAGCCAACTGTAGAGAGATGATGGCCCCTTCTCAGGGGGACTGATGGTAATCCCTTTGAAACTGCCTCATGGGCAGAGACAAATACAACATGCAGAGGTCGTGCTACTTCTCAGGCCTGACCCTGGAGAAGGGCTCGGGTAGAAGGAGCATCCCGTGTGTCCTGCATCTGCTCCAGCAGCAGTGCGGCATCCGTACTTGGTTACCGGGTACAGCAAAATTAAAAACATCGGGCTGGGTCAAAATGGGGGAAAAAAAACCACTCGCATTAGCAAACTCTTCGTCTTTTTATGTGGTAAGGAAATCTAAGATCTAATCAGTATGCTTAATTGAAAGGCTCAGTGAGGGGGATCCTGCAGATCTTCTCCCTGCCATTAATTTGAATGCTAGCCCTCTTGCGGATGTATTGACAGAAGTGGAGGTGATGCCATTTTGAATCCTGCGGTCCCGTGGAAGGAGGCTGAAGCACTGTCACTGCAAAAGTCACTGTGCAGCCAGGTGCCTGGTGGAGCTTCCTGTGGCCTCACACCTGTTCTCCTCAAGAACTTTCAGTCTCTGCCTCTGCCCACTTGCACCTCACACTGCTCCTCCTTCTGCCGAAGGAGGAAGACTTGGCCTGCTGCTACCTCCTGACCCACAGCTTTCAGGAAGCCACATGCTTAAAACCATCTGACGATGAGGGGTTGGGGAGGGCAGAGACACAGGCTGGGGAGGGCTGGGGAGGGCTGGAGAGGTTGGAGAAAGGTTGAGAAGGTTGGGGGTTGGGGAGAAAGTGAACCCATAGAGCAACAGCAAGAACTGCCTTTAAAGAAACACCACCTAGTCTTTTCTTCTCCTTTATTTATTTTTCTAATTATTTTTGAGAAACAGGGTCTCGCTATGTTGCCCAGGCTGACTTTGAACTCCTGGGCTCAAGCAATCTTCTTGTCTCAGCCTCTCGACCAGCTGGTACTACAGGTACATGCCACCACATCCAGCTAATAATTTTGTGTAGAGATGAAAGTCTTGCTATGTTGTCCAGGCTAGCCTCAAACTCTTGGGCTCAGGCAATCCTCCTGCCTCAGCCTCCTGAGTAGCTGGGACTACAGGCATGAATTACCACGTTCAGCTTTCTTCCTCTTTATTTTTGCAATTTTGTGGAATGCTCCTACTAAGTGCTAAATTAGAATTTGCCATAATATTCATTTAGGTGCCGCTTTGGTGCACAGTACTTGCTGTTACACAGGATGAGCTTCCTTTTGTGGGAATTAAGACTTTAATAGTGTCTCCTTTGTGCTTTCACCAGTTTAATGCCAGAGCCAAGCGTAATTATAGTGCAGGCTGTTAATGGATTAGGTGGTGGCTTTTGCCGCCTTACTGTGTGCCTGTTTTCTTCCATTTGGCTTTGTGCTGGCTCCCATCATCTCCTAATTATCTGTTCCCCTCCTTGCTTGACTGCCTTAGAAGTTATAAGGGTATTATCTGAATCCAAATTAAATTTCTTTTTTCTTTAAGGAAATGAAAAAGAGAGGTTTGTTTTTTGGTTTGGTTTTGCTTTGTGTTAGGAGTAGCACACTCTATCCAGAGTAATCGAACAGGAAAGACATATAAAAGCATCTATGGTGTTCAAGCTTTATGAAGCCAAGTAAGCTCAAGTCAGCTCCAGCCTTGCTTTGGATGCAGTGGGCATATTCAGTCTCTTCTCCACCTCAGGGTATCCACCTGGAAAAAAAAAAATGAAATAATCACACTTACCAATCTCAGCATGGCAACTGGTAGATTTAACAGTGCCCTGAAAATGAGAATCCTCTATTTAATGAAGCATTTTATTCAAAGGTTCATTTGGTTAATAAAAACCCCATTTTTCACTTGTGTTTGAAGCTAGTCCATTATTCTTTCACGTGTGGTTTGAACCAGTTTCCCGTGAGCTGTGGTCGCTCCTGAGGATGGATATGAATGGCACTTATTAGGAAGGGAAGAGCTCATGAATTCAGATCATCCTTAATGCTGAAATGAGCTGTAATGAAGCCCCGAGATCAAAGTGCTTGAGGAGCAACAGCAGATGAATGGGCCACGGCGCTTGGGTCTGGGTTGCTGTAGAAAAGGATTAGGAAACTTCGCTTAAGTAGCCAGAAAGGTTTCCACAGGCTATCATGCTACGCATTTAATTGTTTATGGGATTTATGGAGGAAAGACACTTTTAACAGATATATAAATAGTCTCCCCCAGAGAAGACAGTGTTAGCAGATATTTTCCACGGGGAGAGAAAAGGCTGTAAATTAGCAGCAAGAACAGAAGCAAGGCCATTCTTAGCTCCTAGGGAGGAGGGAGAGGGAGGCCAAGGGAGGAGTGCAGACCCTGACCTAGAAAGAGGGGATGACACGGAAAGGGGAGAGGAAAATGCCACCCTTCCCTCTAACCTTCAGCGTAAGCCTAGACTCTCCTTCCAGGGAAAAGCAAATCCCACTTTTAAAAAAATACTGAACATGAAGCACAACAGAGCGCCTGAATTGCAGTGAGGGTCCCTCCCTGCCACGCTTGAGCGCAGCAAGATGCAGGGGGAATGGAAAGCAGATGCAGGGGCATAAGTGCTCCAGCGAACCACTCTCCTCCTCGAAAAGATGTCAAGGATTATTTGTGCTACCTCTCTGGAAAAAGCAGAGACATTCTCTTAAAGGATGAATGAAAGATGAGTACAAAGAGTTAATTTGAAACCAATCAAGCCCTGTGTTCGTCTACTGCTTCAGAAATCCTTCTATTTAATGATGAATTTATTTTCAAAGCAGTGCCGATCCTTTTGAGGGGAATTCCACCTCTCACAGCTGCACAATCTGCCCTGCAGTGTTGAGCTTTCTCGCCCACCTGCTCTTTGTAAAGCAGCGTGGACTTCCCAGAGCTGAGACTGTGCCAAGCCGGCTGAGCCCGCCGAAGAGCCATCGTCAGCCTCCCGCCACCAAAGTGTCAGTGAATCCACACACCACAAACCCCTGCAAAACAGGCAAAGCAACTCGGTGGAGCCGCACGACCACATGGCAAAGCCACAGGCTCCCTCTCGCCTAGCAAAAGACCCTATTGAATTTTCTATGGTTGATCTGTTAACCTAACTTGGCTTCCCCCGCTGCCCTGTTCAAAAGCAACTGCATTCAAAATATTACTTGCAAAATTTTTAAAAAACATCGCACCTGAAAAACCCTAAACAAAATTCCCATTTCATATTCCAAGTACAACTCCTGAAGAAACTGGAAGGTTTGATCTACTTTAACTGGGATGGTGCTGACATGTTTGTTTTGAAATAGCACCTAGCCACGACTTTAGAAGCTCCACTTAATAGCTTTCGGTTCCTTTCTTTCTTCTTCGTCTTTATTCAAAGACACCTAATTGTAATTTTCTGAAATTTAAATATAGTTGCTATGCATTTGGTTATCAACAAACAATTCCTAGATTAATGCAGAAACACATTTAATAGGGCAGAATGCTATCCCTTTGTTTCTTTGAGGACATCCGTAGTTCTATTAACTAGGGGGATTATAAGATCTGACACTAGGCAGTGAAAGGAACCCTGTTCCCCTCTCTGAAAAGATTTCTCCTTTGTCAAGTCGTCTGAGATCCACTAGTACTTATTTCCCTTAGTAAAATGGAAACATTGTACCAAATTACCAATTTTATAATGATGATTCATTGGAAAAATGCACAATTTGTTCTAAATGGAATTTTATAAAATGGACATTTGGCATAACTCTTCTTTTTTTCCCTCTCAACCTCAATACCTAATTTTTCACATCTTTATAGTTCTCTCAGAGTTGACCAAGAATCTCAAAATGAGCTGATAAATAATTGGTGTGCCTGCCTTGGCAGTAACAGCCATAGCAGTAGTAATGATGGACTAGAGACAGGGCACTGACTTCTATGAGGCCTCGTTGAATAAGATTTGGTATTATCACCCTAGAGCATCAAAATTCTTGTGCTGTCTTTCTATGAGTCTTTGTTAAGACTGTGAATAAGACAAAGATCACTGTTTATGCTACAGCAGCATATAATTTAGAAATCTACAAAATGCAGCTCACAAGTGTTACTCAGACAGCAATTTAAAGATTTTCAGGAAGAGAGCACGCTTCCATGAAATATACAACATGTACCTACTGAATAGACAGGGCCTGCATACCCCCAGGCATACTCGTGAGAAACTGAATTTTCAGGATTCCCCCTTTAGTTCTCATCCCACTTCCAGCCCTACTGTTGCGGTGGACTCACTAGTGATTGTCCTGTCTCCCCTGCCTGCTGCCAAGTTGGTAAACTCTACAGACACAGTGTGCTGCAGAGAACATTTCCAGACAACAAGAGAAATAGCTCCGTGGCACACTCTCACACTCTCCTTCCCTTTGCCATGCCCAGGCAAAAGCAGCCTGCTTAAGACTTAGGTTTAAGACACAAAGCAATCGCCTGGATCAATTTTCCCAAATATGTAAATATATTCTATTATTGATGCTTAATTGCTTCCTACTGAAAATCTAAAGCAGAATCAAATAGAAAGCTTATAAATTCTCATAGTGAACCTCCTCTAATTCTGTCTCATACACAGTCTATTTGTTGGAGGTGTAAATAAACAAGCCCTCTGACTCCCAGTGCAATTCCTTCATGGTGTACTGTGAACTAGGAAATCATTCTAGAAATATCAGAGCAACAGTTTGGAGTTTTGCCCCACCTCATGTGCCCCCTCCCTCTCAAACTTGTGCTATGAATTTGTTGTTGTTGTTGTTGTTGTTTTGAACAGAGTCCCTCTTTGTCACCAGGCTGCAGTGCAGTTGCGCGATCTCTACTCACTGCAACCTCCACCTCCTGGGTTCAACGATTCTCCTGTCTCAGCCTCCTGAGTAGCTGGGACTACAGGTGTGTACCACCACGCCCAGCTAATTTTTGTATTTTTAGTAGAGATGGGGTTTCACCATGTTGGCCAGGATGGTCTCCATCTCTTGACCTCGTGATCTGCCTGCCTCAGCCTCCCAAGGTGCTGGGATTATAGGTGTGAGCTGCCGTGCTCAGCCATGAATGTTTTAAAGATCTGTTTATGCGTGTTTGTCTAGACTGGATTGTCCACTGTGGTAACCTCAAAGCCTAGCACAGTGTATTTTTTGAAGTGGAATTGTGTTGCTTCCCAGCATTGCGCACCTCCCCTCCATTGCAGAGCAGCTTTGTGGTTTGTATGGGTTTGCCTACCTCTCCTCCAACTCCAAGGAGTATGATCCTGATTTCCTATCCACAGTGACTGGTTTGAAAAAGAAGGCACATGACCTAAGCTGGTTCAACAGGAGTGAAGCACAGACCTTTGTTTGCTGATTTGAGGATAAATTCTTCCAGAGGGAGGAAGAATTTCTGAGAGTGAATATGAGCTGCAAAGTAAGACAGCCATTCTTCTACCAGGAGAAAAGCCAGCCTGAAAATAAAGGTAACACCCAGAGGAGAGCCAGAGATGAGAGAACTGTAAAAAATCAGAGTCCTGATCAGACCATTCCTGAAGATTGAAATCACCCTGGACTTTCCCATTTACGCCTCCCAACAGATTATCTTTAACAGACTATCTTCAGCCACCATGAACTCAGTTTCAGTTATTTGCAATCAAAAGCTTCCAAACGAACACAAAAAATGGTTCAATAAATATTTTTAAAATGATTACATCATTACATATAATTTAGTCCACATTAAAATATAACATTATTAATCACCACATTTCTGTTACTAAAGTTTGTGTCATCAGCATGCTCTAGAACTGAATCTGAAAATCCCAGGCCAGGTGCAGTAGCTCACACTTTGGGACGCCAAGGTGGGCAGATCACCTGAGCTCAGGAGTTTGAGACCAACCTGGGAAACACGGTGAAACGCTGTCTTTACTAAAAATACAAAAATATTAGCCAGGCGTGGTGGTGCATGCCTAAGCAGCTACTTGGGAGGCTGAGGCAGGAGGATTGCTTGAGCCCAGGAGGTTGAGACTGAAGTGAGATCTGATCATGCCACTGAACTCCAGCCTGGGTGACAAAGTGAAACCCTGTCTCAAAAATAAAAAAAAAAAAAGAAAAAAAATCATCAAGTATTGGAGTTTTCATCCAACAGACCATCGCTTAGTGAGTTTATGAACAGAAACATAGGCTATCAGTCCCTGAAAATTTCCTATATGCTTCCATAGAAATGAAAGATATAACATGTACTCACTACATAAACATGAAGTGAGACACAGAGCTTAAAATTGTTACAGTTAAAAAAAAATTAATCCTCTAATTCATCGTGAGGAAGACAAGAACGTCTCCAAAACAGCAATGGATTTGTTCTAGGTCCTCCATCCTCTCACTTGGTCTACAGTGGCCAATGACACACAGCTGTGAGGTAGCTGGCCAGGCTACAGACTGGCTCAAAGCCCTCTAAAGACCATCTCCAGGTAGAGTCAGTTAGTCCTTCCACAGGTGCTAGTACTCAGAGGAGAGCCAGGGCTGAGAGAAAAAAGCAGAGCCCTGATCAGACCATTCCTGAAGACTGAAATCACCCTGGACTTTTTCATTTATGTCATCCAACAGCTCTATGAGGGCAGGGACTTGACTTACTCTCTGCTGTGTCCCAGTGTCTAGTATGTGACACACAGTATGTACCTGTGTGTGTACAACTCATGACACATAGTGGGCTCTGAATAATTATTTGCTGGATAAGTGAATGATGAGAATTTATGACGGGTCTCCTTTGCACTAGTCTTATTCTATGCTTCATACAACAAGTAGGAGGAAGTGCAAGAGATAATTGAGTTAATTTTGGGTTTTCCCCCAAGCTCCTCTTTGATCTTTTGGACATTCATCAGATTCCTGCATCCATCTAAGCTCTCTTTAGGATGCTGTTATACACCCTTAAGGAATTTTTTTTTCAACAGAAAATATGCACAATCTGCTTGTAGAGAGAGAAAAATCAGGTGAGTCTTTAACCTAAGGAACAAGATGTAAATAACCTTGTTTTGCTAATTGTGAGATTTTAGAGAAGTCACTTTACCTCTCTGGGTCTCAATATCTTCATCTTTCAAAGGAGAGAGTTGAACTGGATGAGTAGCTTTTTGAGCTGTATTTGATAGAGCCACAGCATTTTCTAGAGTAAAAAGAGACGAGGCAAGGCCAAATGGGCAGGGTCTGGAGTCCTCCACTCCCCACATCAACAGAAAGGATTTCTGAAGTTCACTGCCTGGCTTCAAATCACAGCTCTACTATTTACTAGCTGTGTTATCTTGGCAAGTTAATTTTTCTGTTACTCAATTTCCACACCTGTAAGTAGAGATGACAATAATACTTTTTATAGGGTTATGGAGATTAAATACATTAGTATAAATAAAACCTCATACACAGAAAATGCTATATAAATTTTGGATATTATTGGTTTTATATATTGGAGTTCCCAATAGTGTTTGGGTTTAAAGGATTTAAATGTCTTCTGCTTCTAACAAAACAAAAATACTTAAAATTTTAAGATGTTAAGGGTCTTTAATTAGGATGTAATAAGGAATACTAATTACACAGGGTCTGTGAGACTGACATTAACCTCTCCAGCCACGGCCCCATCATTGTCATCAACACCACACCTCCCCACCGCCAACCAGACTCTCTCCAGCGTCTTTAACTCAGCACAATGGGCTGCTGCCACTCATGTGAGCTTGCTTTTTCTTCTGAAGATTATTCTGCAGTTCCATTCAAATGGCCTCTGTATAGTTGGGCGTCTGATGCCTGATGCTAGACAGAGAAGGGCTCCGTGGCTAATCGCCTACATTCCTGTGAAGACTGAAGGAAAAGATAAATTTCGCTAACAGTCAACATTTCAGGGAAGGCATTTTTTTTTAACAGAAAATGGTAAATATCTGAAAATATAGAAACCTCAGGCAGTTTGAAATTTGCAAGGAAGGAGTGCCTGGCAGTTCAACTGCTTTAAAATTCCACTTCCGAAGATACCATATGAATCTAAATAAAACCTGAATGATTATGGTAATTATTCACACTAATAACCTTGCTCTGAAACTTCTTTATCAGTGCTTTTACTTCCAGAATATCCTAAGGATTGTGAGACATTTCTTTCCTTCTCTTACCTATGGAGGAAGATTCAGGTAATTGACATCATTCTCTAGAACTGAGATTACGGTACTATCTATTTCTACACCCATCCTAATCTCAACCGTGACCTGAGCACTGATACTATCCCTGAGCAAGTCCCATTTTCCTGATTTGCTCCCCAAACATTGAACACATATTTCCTTTGACATTTGGCCAACATTTAAAATATTTTCATATTTGTTCTCCCTTTCTCCCTGCCTTCTTCTGTTTCTTCTTCCCTTCTTTTCACCCTTTCCTCCAACCCCACCCCCATATTTCTCCCCTCTCATTCTCTCTCTCTCTCTCTTTCTCCCCTTTTGCTTTTCACTCAGTAAAAAGAAAAAAAAAAGCTTCTGCCTATTCCTTAGAACTAAGGTTGGACAGGGGCATCACTGTCCCAGAAATATGCTAAGATTAATCCAATTTGCAAGGGCATGTAGGAGCTGTAAATATTTATGGGCAACAGAGAAGAAATTGGCCCAAGCAAACAAAGTAAAGAGACTGGGCAGAGGCATGGCCAAACATCAATGACCCCAAGTGTCACTCCATGGGTGCCAGGTGCAATTAGCTGCCAGTGTCGCCCTTTGAGGTGGGAAGATGGGGAAGCAGGAGGAGGGTGGAAAATCTGTCTTTGGCATCAGGAGCAATAGAAGTATTCTCTCTCCCTTTCCTCTAACCCCAGCCCATTTCTATCTACCAGTCTTTTGGAGGTTTTAGGGACCGATTTTATAGTCTGAAACTTTCCACACCTCAGATATGCCTATGCCTGGCTTAGGTAGTGTCATACACTACTGGGGAAGAAGAAAACACATGCTCACCACCCGCTCGCTTACCCACCCCTCATCCTTAAGAGAGTCATTGCTTTTTCTGCACTTGCACCTAGGCATATGTGAGTTGTTTTAAGGTCCAGGGTTTAAAATCCATAGGATAATTTCTAGAATATTCTCTTCCTCTGTTGTAATTTAGACACAAAAACTTAGAGATAAATGCATTGGTCTTTTATTAGATGGTTTATGACTATAAATGTATTATTACAGAGGAAAATTTTCACCAAGTAGTCACCAGCCCTCTCCTGCATTCTGCCAGGAATGAGACACTCACCACCACCAAAAGCAGCTCAGTTATGTTAGCCTCATTGTGTTCATTAGAAAAACATTTTGAGGGCCAGGCGTGGTGGCTCACACCCGTATTCCCAACACTTTGGGAGGCCAAGGCAGGTGGATCACTTGAGGTCAGGAGTTAGAGACCAGCCTGGCCAACATGGTGAAACCCCGTCTCTACTAAAAATACAAAAAAATTAGCCAGGCATGGTGGCACGTGCCTGTAGTCCCAGCTACATGGGAGGCTGAGGCAGGAGAATCCCTGGAACCCTGGAGGTGGAGGCTGCAGTGAGCCGAGATTACCCCACTGCACTCCAGCCTGGGTGACAAAGCAAGATGTTGCGTCAAAAAAAAAAGAAAGAAAGAAAGAAAGAAATACATTTTGAAATCAAATGAATATCTGCTTCCCAAATGCATATGTCCCTTGTTCTTTTTCCTACGTCTTAGGGTCTTACACAAATAATTGCACATTGCTACCTTGTAGTGTACATTTGCTGGTTTTGCTTTCTCATTTTTGTTTGTTCATGTCTGCCCAGGCCCCTAACCCTCTCCTTCTCTTGGAATTAGTCTCAATTATATACATCTTAGAGGGAGGCAGGGCCCTACTTCTCACCATGGAAGCCAAAGGGGGCTGGGTATTCCTTCTGCTCACTCTTAGATAGCAAGTGCATGGCCATTAGCCATTTGAAAGCTCTGAGTAGGATTTGTAATATGGGGCAGGGGGAGACAGTCCAAGACTATCTGTGGAAGCAGAGAAAGGCCTAGCAACAGTGGCCCCAAGCGTGTGGTAGAGGTGGTCCCGGGGGCAGCAACCGGGCTAGAAAGTAACCACAGTTCTATCTTCTGCTGCCAGCCTCCCTTGGCTCTTGTGTGATTTCCCCTCCAGGTTCCCTAGTTTTCCAATGATCCCACAAGTCACCCAATAACCTTCCCACAACTTTCTTTTTTGACTATGTTAGACAGAATCCATTTCTGTTGTTAGCAGCCACAAGCCCTGACTGATACACTTTCTTTCAGATAGTCGAAGATAAGTATTATGTGCTCTTGATTTTTTTTTTTAGACTAAACCTCCCAAGTTCCTTCACCACATGGGTCAGCTTCCGACCCCCTCATCTCATTGCTCACCTACCGATGTGCTCAGTGTCTCTGGGCACTCCAACAAAGCAGGGCTGTCCTCTTTCTAGAGCTAGAGATGATACTTTTGGTAAGTGCTACCCAGAATGTATGGCCATATCACACTATTGACTCATACTGAGTCAAATAAAATCTTAAGTTCTTTTTCTACATATTATAGGAAAGCTATATCACCCTCATTTCATAGTTGTGTGTGTGTTTTAATTTGAAACTCCTAGGTCGTTAATAAGGTCAGAACTGCTCTGTCTTAGGGGATTTCGAATTCCCCAATAATTAGGTTCCTGCCCTTTTTCTCCTATGAATGAGTCTTACTCTACACCCCGTTTCCCCAGGGGTTAGTCTCTGGCCTACCCCTTACCCTTTATCCACATCCCCCTCATGGGACTGGATAGCCTGCCCTGAACCTTCTCCAAATTATACAGCCACCCATGCCTAATGAAAACCACCTGCGTGCACGGCTGCCCTTGATTCACTTGTTCAGCCTCTGCTTTAAATACACATGCTGGATGTGAGACCTAGGAGATTACTGGGTGGCTTTATGCATGTCACCCATTCTTTTCCTCTCAGACTGATCTAGTTTAGCTTGACTTTAAGATTAATGTCTCAAATAACTAATAAAAAGCCATATTTCATTGCCTATTCTTAATTGATCTTGGACATGGGAGAATAGGAGATAAAAAGGAGATTACATTTGTTGGGTGTTTATTATATGCCTGGCATGGTGCTAGACCTTATAAGCTTTACCTAATTTATTGTACTCACCAGTTCTCTAAGATAGATATGACTGTCCCCATTTTAGAGATCACACAAGCGTGTCTCTCAGAAAGGATAAACAACATCCATTAAGTGGAAAATTTAGAATTCAAACCCAGGTTTTTTGCAGCCTGAACTCTCCTGGCCTCATTCTGACACCACAGATTGAACAGAAGTATGTGAATTGAGAGATTTGGAGAGTACAGCCCAGCGAAGTGTGCCACACTCCCTCTGTGATGCGTTTCAGAGTCGATGAAGAGTATGAGTTCTATGAGTGACTCATGGTCTTCCTGTCATTTCTCCCCAGAAATAGCCTTGTACCCACCCAACCTCTTATATACTGATTGGAATCAGCAAGTTCAGACAACCATTCATCCTGGGTGTTCCTAATCCTCAGAGAACTTCTTGACTCTGGGGGCTACTTTTACCAAGACTATGACACACCTTGTAGCAAGAGGGTCCCAGAAGTTCCTCAGATTGCCCAGAGCTTTGAGAGGGAACACAGGATGTCTCTGAGAACCAAAAATGCTAAAGTAGGAATGAGCCAACCCTGCTCTAGGTTTCACTGGACTCAAGCTGAAAGGAGTGGATGGAGAGACCCAGGACCTGCTTGGCCAAGCCTTTTGATTGCTCTCAGAATTCTCTCCAAGAGGACAATGCCACTTAGAGACACACATCATGTATAAACTGAATTCTGGTCAGTAGCTCGAGTCATTTCTGTAGCCAACCCTTTTCTATAAAGTACTTACAAATAGAAAAATTGCCCAGATCAAATTTCACTTCCTTTCTAGGATTCTGCCTGAGTAGGGAGGGAAGAATAAAGGCCCGGGTTATCCAGAAACTAGTAAACTGCTCTCTGATGAGAGCTGATGGTATCTTGTTGAAGGCAATGCAATGCCAATAGCACTGGCCTATTTTTGTTTTGAAACCTCCCATCCTGGAACCACAATTGCTACTGCTTTGGTGGCAGAGGGAAGATGTTTATCCTTCACAAAGACTGTGAGCTTTCCAACCCTTTATGTAATCTCCCCGGCCACCAACAGGCCAGCCACATGGTGTCTGCAGATGCAGAGAGAGGCGGACAATTCTCATACCAGGAATTCCTCCACTGTCCTTCCAGTGTGAATAACAGGAATCTTCCCTTCCTTCCCCTCAGGCAGAGAACCTGAGGCTCCATTCTTGACTGCCAACTGCCCACGCAGGCCTGACAGCAATTTGTAACTCAGCTTATACAGGCTCTCCTACTGTCTGCATTTTTGTTTGTAAAATGAGCAATTTGCTCTTGGTTGCTTGGCTTCTCTGTGAAGTCAGCCGCAAGGGCAGCTCACCAAGCAGGACAGCTGGTCAGTGAAAGCAAACGTCGGACCCTCCAGCGCATTGCCCGCGCCTCGCCCCTGCCTGGATCCTGTAAATAGTTTTGTTACAAGGAGCTGCTCTCAGAGGCCAAGCGCCAGTTCTCCATGTGTGGTATCATATTTGCAGCAACAGATAAATCAACCCAGAAGGAAGAAGCTTTTGACGGGATGTTTGGGAGGTCTGGGTAAATTCAGTGCTCTTCTGAGCAGCCACTTTCTTTTAAGAGATGAAGCATGGGAGTGGGGAAAAAGAGATGGCAAAAATGTCCTAGCTCCTACTCCAGGGGTAAAACAGACTAATACATTCATCAAGTGATAAAGACATGGTGAGGAAATCAAAAACCACAGCCAATGCTTACTGCCTCAACGGCTGCGACATTATCTCACCACTCCTCTAGAACATATGTTCGACAGCAGCGTGAAGATTTGGGGTCTCAACTGTGCTCTGAACAAGGAAGGGAAGAGGCGAGAAAAATTGCTTGGTAAGGGCCCACATGACGAGTCCACCAGAAATCCTGAGACCTGTCTTCCCCTCACACCTCCCTCCCACTGCCATCATCACCATCTCTACCATATGCACACTTTTGTCATCAAGAACCATCAAGAACTGCCTTAAAGTGTGGCAGTTACAGCTACCTGTGTAGGACATTTGCAAAGAGGAGGTAATATGAGCTTTGTCTCCTCCCTGACCCCTTCTCCCAACCTCCTTCCGTCAAGGGGAAAAGGTGCAGACTCACACTCTTATCAAGCACTCAGATGATTTCATGGGAACACCACACTTTGTTCTATTCTGGCTTCCCTCACAAGGGGTGAGGGGCGGCACATCTTCAAACGCATGCTGGCTTAAATGGTGACAGCTGCATGCAACGGGCTTGCTTACAGCCTGCCTGGTGCAATGAGAGATAACTGCAGGGTAAGACTTCAAAGACAGACCCACTGCAGCCATTCCAACAGCCTAGGGCTGCTGCCTCCAGTTGGTGGCTCCCTCCATGCAACAAGTGAGCCAAGGGAAACTAAGAAATTAGAACTTTCTCACATGCATTGTGAATTATGATGCAAAGAGGCAAGAATGAGCCTAGAGAGGCATTTAGGGATTTCTGCAAAGCCCAGAGTTATGTTTTGGTCTTAGGCAGATAGTGAGAAGAACCAGCTCATCATAGCATGTTTGACCAATACTCATGTTTCTAACAGGTTATACACCACATTTAAAGACCCAGAAATAAGGTAAGATTTTTTAGCTTTTATTTTGTAGGTGTGTATATTTCTCTGGTGTTACCTCAATTACCCATCTTTGCAGAAATCATTTATTAAAATTTGGCTGTATGTTATAATGTCTGGTGGCTTTTGATCTTCAACTAAGGAGCCGTTATGGGAGAAACTGTCACACAGAAGTTTCAAGAGATGACTTGAAATCCTCAGTTCCTTGCAATGGGTAGCGCAGGTGGCTGTTTGGGGAACCACATTAAAGAGCCACTGTGAAAGGTAGTTATTTCCTGTCTTCTCCATCTGGCAGGTCCTAACGAAACGCACCCCAAGGAACAGACTCACTGTGATATTGTGTAGATGTATGTGGTTCATGATGCTTTTGGTGAGGCTATTGGTTTTGGTGAATTGCCTCTTTCTGCTTACATCACCCAGCTCAGCCCCCATTTCTCCTGTCTGGATGTCAAAATCCTAATTGAACATGGGTAACTCTCCTTAGTTTTGTCATCTGTGAAATGGGAATGAAAGTATCTTATAATAAAGATGATTTAAAAAACCCTTGTTTTGCCTCAGGTAGGTTGAGTTGGTTCCGCAACTTAAAAGGAGCCTAATTAATAAATAAATTATAATGTATTCTTATTGTGGAATATAATATAACCAAAAATGTCTTAATTGATAAGCATGGGGGAAATGTTTCATTGTAACTGTTAAGTAAAAAGAGCAAAAGTTTTGAATGAAATAATCCATGTAAAATGATGAGAATAGGGCATCACACGGGCAGCACTTAAAACATGTAAGTCTTTACCACTGTTACTTCTCCTTTGTGCCCAGATCAATACCATCTCCCTTATGAAGCCCTATGTCCCAGCCAGAGGTAATCTCTCCTTACAACTCTATCTAGTCACTCTGCCTTTGCCATTTCTCACTGTAGACTTGGGATCATACTAATTCATGTCATGTTCTATCTCACCTTGTAATAAATATCCGTCCTTCTTGTTCTGCTTCAGTTAGGTTGAGTTGGCTCTGCAACTTAAAAGAGAGCCTATCTAATTAATAAATTATGGTCTATTCATATGATGGAATACAATATAACCAAAAATGTCTTAAGTCATGGGGAAAATGTTAATTATGCTTTGGTGAGAAAAGTTGCATAGAAAACTGTTAATATAATACATTCGCAAGCAATAAAACAGAACCAAAAAATTACACATGTATACATTAACATGCATAGAAAAAACACTGCTGAAAAATATGCCCAATAATAATAGTAATATTTGGGCATAAGATTATAGTTGATGTTTGCATTGCCTATCTTCATATTTTCTGGAATTTTTCTATTTCTACTCATCAGGAAAACAAAAAGTAATATGCTTTTATTAAGAAGGCAAATTGTGTCTGGGTGTGATGGTTTATGCCTGTAATCCCAGCACTTTGAGAGTCTGAGGCAGGAGGATTGCTTGATCTCAGGAGTTCAAGACCAGTCTGTGCAACATAATGAGACCTTATCTCTACAAATAATTTAAAAATCATCCAGGTGTGGTGGCATGTGCCTGTTGTCCCAGTTACTCTGGAGGCCAAGGCAGAAAGATTGCCTGAGCCTGTGAGGTCAAGGCTGCAGTAAGCCATGAGTACACCACTGCACTCCAGCCTGGGTGACAGAGTGAGACCCTGTCTCAAAAAAAAAAAAAAAAAAAAAAAAAAAGGCAAATTGTTAAATGAGGACAAATAAAAAAGCAAGGTGTTAGGGAGAATTTCATGAGTTTCCAACTTTATCTGTTCATCCAACTAACATTTTTAGAACAACTACTATAAGAATGAGGATGTGATAAATACTATCAGAGAAAATAGACTTAAGATAGATCCTGACCTCAAAAAACTTAATATTTAGTTGAGGAGATGATACAGACAGATGGGAGTAATAATGCAGAAAAAGCAGTAGAGGAAGAGAAAAGATGAGCGACCTGAACAGCAAAGGCTGCCTGTGCTCCTCCTGATGTGTCCACCATGCTGGCGAATGGGCTTCACAAAGAGGCCATCTCAAGGACTCTTTGATGGAAGAACGGGCTCTGTGGCAATTAAATTATTATACAATCAAGGAAGTCAGGAATGAAACAATTAAATTAAATCCACACATCTAACATTTTACTTTAAATCACTGATGTCAAATCATTTCCATGCTTTTTCCCCAGTTTTGCTAGTAAGTAGCGAAATAGTTTGAGTGAAAATTCCATCAACTTTCGGTTGACCTGTAGAGAAATGACAAAAAAGCAAACAGCTGAAAGAAAAAGAGAAGCAGGACAAAATATTCTCAACCAGACTTTCCCCCAGAGACTACTAGAGCTATAAAATTTGATTTTTTCTTTTAAAATTATGTTTTAATTTTACTTAAAAACCAGTGTGATAGTAAAATTTGATTTTTTTAATGCTAAAATATTCTCAATTCTAGGTAAATTTTATGGAAATTAAGCTCTTCCTGCATTGTTTCTGAATAGTAAATGTATCTGATTTTCTCAAAGCTAATATAAGTAATTTAATCCTCCCCTTGTTCTAGTTGAAAATGTCAATAATCTTTGCAAAGAATCTTAGTGGAATTTATTGTCAATATATCCAAACTTTATCATATAGAAATAAAAAAAAACACAACAGTTTTACTTTGATGGAAATTTTATCTGGGTTCAAAGTTACTAGATTTTCCCTTCTACTTGCTAATGGAAAAATTGACAATCTCGAACTATGGCAAATCCAAATAGTTGGCTATTCCTTTGTGACACATGAAGGAAGGGTTCTAAGAAAGAGGAATGGTATTCTAATCGTCCTTTAAAAAGAAGAAATTGTGGGTATCAGTGGTGTCTGAGGTAGTCACACAGAAGCAGACAAAAATGCAGGTTGTTTAGAAGACTTACCTAACACAACCTACTACATCAACTTAATCAAAGGTAACATTTAGGCTAGAAATTCACTTTCAAGAAAATCAGAGGCTTCTTTAGTCAAGGCCAGAACATTCTGATACTTCCCACTAACTTACAAAACAGTGATTCAGGCTTTCAAACACTTGGAGAAGGCCCTCCACATCAAAAAGTTTACTAAGGACCGTGCATGGTGGCTCATGCCTGTAATCCCAGCACTTTGGGAGGCCGAGGCAGGTGGGTCACTTGAAGTCAGAAGTTCGAGACCACCCTGGCCAATATGGTGAAACTCTGTCTCTACTAAAAATACAAAAATTAGCCGGGCATGGTGGTGTGCGCCTTTTAGCCCCAGCTACTTGGGAAGCTGAGGCATGAGAATCGCTTGAACTCGGGAGATGGAAGTTGCAGTGAGCCGAGATCACACCACTGCACTCCAGCCTGGGTGACAGAATGAGACTCTGTCACAAAAAAAAAAAAAAAGAAAATGTTTACTAAGGAAATACGTATTTCTGCATTCTGAAGAAAACCCAATGATTAAATGAAGTTACTGATGCCACCACTAGCAACAGTTTTCAAAATCAGGCTCTT
Organism: Homo sapiens; assembly: GCF_000001405.40. NCBI lineage: Eukaryota > Metazoa > Chordata > Mammalia > Primates > Hominidae > Homo > Homo sapiens. The sequence goes on along the minus strand of NC_000004.12, from coordinate 108,356,304 downwards.
AGGTGTGATATTTGGAAATAAGTAATGTCTTGATTACTTCTCTTCTTCCTATATAGTCAGGGGTCAACAATTACATTTCAGAGCTGAATTCATCCCAGCTCACAGTGCCAGATGGGCCTCCAAACAGATTCAGTCAGTGGAGACCAAGACCAGGAGCAGCTGAATCTTGGCTGCAGTTCAAGATGAATCTAGCCCACTTTGCCTCCCCCACTCCCTGGGGCTTCTCCAGACTTCTGTTTCAAAGACAAGGCTAGAGACTGCCTAGCACTCAGCCAGAAGCTTGGGCAGATGCTGGAGGCGCCTCAGCCCAAGAAAACGTAGATTTACCTGGCTTAATCTTATCACCCTTTGACTTACAGAATTGAAACTAGAGCCTCCAAGGCAATTTTCCGAAAACATTTTTTCAAGTCATTAAAAATATGCATAATATTATCAGTTACCATTTATAGCAGCTGTATTTCTAGTAACTGGCATTGTTGTTACTTTAGGCAAGCCAGAAATTAAGCATGCCAGGAACTGACATGGTGTGTTATGTCACCAAAACAAAGAGCTCACACTGATAAAAGGCAGGTTGGCTTCTTTGTGGGTTTTCCCCTTCCTTCTACAAAGTGTAGCTGTTGTCTTCTTTCCCGCTCTCGATATGGGGTGAAGTGTTGAGCAACATAAGAAGCTGGAGTCTCTTTCAAAGACATCTGTACTCTAAAGGTAGCAGGTTTATCAAATGGCCACAATTTGAGCAGGTACAAAAACTCTATTTCCTTTGCCTTAGATCTAATAATCTAGTGATGTTTTTAAACAGCTGATATTCCTGGGAATCTGGCATATTCATCTTGTAGGGAGGAAAAGATATGATTTTTTCTTGTCATTAAAGCCCTGGGTGGCCAGGGCTGCTTGCAGGGGGAGGCAGTAGAGACTTACTCAAGTAGCAATGAACAAAGAGAAATAGATATTAGGAGGAAACATGACAGAGTAGGGAGGATGGTTATAAAGCTCTGGAAGACAAGGTTGCGGGAAGCCTCTCCCTCCAGTTCTCCCACCTACCAATTTCTCCCTCACGGCATCTGTTTCTTTTCCAGGCTCAGTTAGCCCCATCACTGACAACATAAGGAAAGGGCATTCTCTGCTGGGGCCATTTTCATTGTTTTTTTTTTAAATCTTCTCAAAAACAAACACACATTACTGCTTTTTCAAAAGAGAAGCTAGTATTATTTGTGGGTTTCCATTTTCATGTGTATGATTAGTTTATACTGATTTCTGTTCTGGCTGGGTCGATGTCCACATGCTGCCTGAAGTATAAAGGCGTGTGCACATATATTAGACACAAACTACTACCATGGTGGTAAAGACTGCTATGCATTTAGTCCCCAAGTCTCTTTCTTTCTGCACACCCAGCTAGGAACACTGTGGAAGAAAACTACTTGTTGACCAGGAACACTCACTGTAAACACTTACATGAGCAAGCAATTAGCTCCTGCTATATTTAAACCATAATACACTTTTGGTTCTATTTGTGACAGCAGTTTAGCCTAACTTAACAATACCCCCACAGTCACATTTGACATGAAAACACACACACACACATCATACAAGCATAGTTATCTTCAAAGGTCAAGTTCTTTTGAAAGCTGGAAAAACCTTTAGTGCGCTAAGAATATGTTACATCTGAAGAGTATTTTCCAATTCTCAAAGCATTTTCATGTATATTCTCTCATATAATCTAACAATTTTGTAAGGCAGGTGTTTCAGTCTACAGGTGAAACAATTTGGCTCAAATAGGAAAGCGGCTCTCCCAAAGTCACATAGCCAGCAAATGGAAGAGTTTTAAGGAGGGCATAGACCCAGATCCATTTCTCTGGGAAGGTCTTTCCTCCTGTGCATTGATGAACATTGACACAGCTTATTAAAGCTCGGCTCAAGCTTCACCTGCTGCAGACTTTCCTGGCCACTTCCACTCCAGTTAGAGCTAACTGTCTGTTCTTTTGTGACCCACTTAGCCTTGTACATACATCCAGTAAGATACTCACCACATGTTATTATACTTATTTATTTACATGGGCTCTAAGGGTACTGAATGAGGAAGAAGACCTTATTGCTTCTTAAACCTGCATGATTTCAAATCCATAGTCAACATGCTGCAATGGTAATTTACATGGCTCCAAACGTATGGGAATAATTTGAAAGGATGCTTACAATATTGCAAAAGCACAGTGTTTCCTTTGATAGAATTTGAGCATAGTTAACAATCCAAAAAATTTTTTAGAAGTTACATATGAATCACTAGACCTTCTTAATATTAAAAGGTACCTGAAATACAGATTATTCCTGTTTAGGCCAGAATTGTTTTAATCTGGCTAGACTAAATCAGTTTCGATAATGTGAATGGTGTTACATAGTCCTAAGTAATTCCAAAATGTAACTCTATAAGTCAGCATTAATACAAATACATTCATAAACACATATATCCACATATTAATGAGGAGAAAGATACTGTCTCGCTTCTCTTCATTTTTTTTTTCATTTCACACTTGTAATACATTTATCTCTGTTAAATAAACCAAGTGAAGGTAACTGAAATTGAGTACATCACATGGCCTAACTGCACAGGCTAGGAGCAATGATATTAACCCTGTGTATACTCAATTATAGGTAAGGCATTTTGGGGTAAAGACTCATTACATTTCCACGAGTTGTGCAAGCAGTCAGGTTTAAATCTTGTAGAATCCTGCCAGCAAAAATATTAGAAGTGACTCTCACCTTTTTCTATGCGAGATCTGAGACTTTGAAGTCATGCTCCTTGCTGCATGCAGGCAAAGAAACATGAAGGAAACATATTTGTCTGCTGGAACTACATGGGAAATTCGAAAACACCCACCATTTGTCATTCCCAGGAATAAAACTGGGAAGGGTGAACAGAACTCTCGCCAATGTTAGTTTTCTAGAACATGCCTTGGGCATAGTTAGTGAGAAAGAAAGAGGGAGAAAAAATCAATTGGTGAGCTTTCCTGGCTGAAAGACAAGATTCAAATAAGCTCTTTAGCCCTTAGTTTCAGCATTCCCAAACATCATAAAGATTTCAGCTCTTGTAAAAGGGGAGCCAGTTGTTTACAATAGTCTATTCTGGAGGGATTGGGTGTGTCTCGTGAGGCAAATATTTGCCCATAGGAGGTAATAAAATTGTATTAAGCTCTTCTCCACTACTGTACACGGTCATCAATGTGATTAGCTCACTCAAGTCTATTTTAAGATCCTGTCAGGCACAAACATTAACACAAACCTGGCATTTCTCCTTACGAATATATAATTGACCTTTCAAGTCTGTAATCTCATTTATCAAAGCGGATGGCAAGGATTTATGCAGAATAGTTTGCACACCTCTTTGATTTCAGCCCCCTGAGAACCCAAACATGCATCCCACCCAATCCTGTTTTATTTTCGCCATATCCTGTGTTGTTGAATGGGCCTCTTGTAAAAATGCATTGTGCACACTGCCCCCCACCCCGTGTTTTTCTGAAGTTCTAAACAAATCTTACATCAGTTGTGTAAAATGTGCAGTTCTCTTACATTCCTCAGGCAGACTTTAAAGGTCAAAGTTCTAAAGAGTTGGGGAAATCTTTTTGCAAGGACAAGAATCCACATGGCTGAAAACAAGAAAGTGGTTTAGTGGACAGTAAAGCAAGCTGCGGGGGCAAAATCACACTCCAGAAAATGATGGTTAGAGGGGAGGGTAGAAGTGTGCATATCTGGAGCTTTCTCAAACTATCACCCTCTGCTTGTTATACCCTTTAACTCAACCTTCTGGAAAAATCCACTGACCAACAGCACTGCTTCTTCATTACAGCAACAGCGAAATGGAGTGAGATACTGTTAGATTCTCAGCAAGCCAAAAGGACAGTGGAAGAGCTGGTAAAGAAAACAAGGTTAAGGCCTCGTTGCCCCCATCAGAGCTAAAGCCAACCATTAAAACTCCCTTTAGCATTTCCATTTCTGTGCCTTCACTATTGAGCTCAGCCCTGTCTCATCTCATAGTACCCTCAAGCACCATCATTTGAAATAATTTTATTTCCATAAACATGTATAAAACAATGTTTCTCATAAACATCTATGCGTTATAAGGATTTAACTCTAAATTCCCTTTCAAGTCAGTTCAGGTGCCAGCAAGGATCCAAACTACTCTTTGTTTCTGGCTGAATGATGTACACAATCCCAAGAAAGACACCAAAGAAGCACTCAGCTCTGTTGCTATAAAACTAATAAATAGTGCAATCAACACAGGACACATTCCAGAGAAAGCCTGTGCTCAGTGGCTGGGTACATGACTCAAAGCAGCAGCCTCCCACTATCAAGAGTGGTCGAAAGATTGGGTTGTGAGGATAGGGGAAGGATTACATGTCATAAGAAAAAGGAAATTATGTTGATAATGATTTCTGGAGTCACTGCCAGCAACTTCAGCCAACTTGCCTGCAGGTTATCAAAATGTGCCAAATGTAGGTCCAGCCCTGTCAAGATTCAAAACATTCTTCACTCAGATCAAAGGAAGACCCTCAGAATAATTTTTTTTACTCAATACAAATATTGTCCCCAAAATCAGAGATCTCTAGACTGTCAGACTTAACGTATAGTAGAACAATTTCCCAAGTTACTGTTTTAGTACGAACGTATGGGAATAATTTGAAAAGATGCTTACAATATTGCAAAAACAGTGAGTCCTTAATATCACCATTCAATCATTGTTCAATCATTCACTTAATGCATTTCTTGGGCACTTAATGTGCAAAGTATTTTGCTATTTCTGTGCAGAATCCAAAGTTGGGAGGCAGGATAGCATCACGTTTAGAAATACACACTCTGGTGGCATTCCAAACTTTGGCGGGTCACTTACTAGAGGTGTTATTTAACATCTCTAAGTCACATCTACTTCCTATGGCCCTCATAAAGGTCAAATGAGATAATGAATGTAAAACACTTGGCAGAGCTCCGGGCACATAGAAGTGCCCAGTACATGTTAGTAGGTATTCAAAGTCATAATTTCTAGAATCAAGGCAACATTTCCGAGAATAAAAAAAATCATGGATGTTTGACAGGATATTTGTCCAGCTCCTTAACACATCACTTTCCCTCTTCACACACACATACACAATACTCATGGAGCTCTCAGATTTTCTTTCTGCAGGTAAGTATTTGCTGTTAGGTTTATTTATGCATTGTACTTAGAATTGTTTTTTCTTAAACAGTCAGGGTAGGTGGCTGTGTCAGTCCCACTCTGGACTGATATTCTGAGTCACAACAAATCCCATATTATCTGTACCAAAATGAAACTGCTCCGGCATCTCCAGGAAAGTGTTTACTGACCTGTAAATTACTCCATTGTCCATCTGAGGAGAAAGTAAATCAGCCATCAAGGGGAAAACACAGGAAAGGAAAACAGTTGTTTGTCACAGCGGAGGATTGTTTTTTGTGTTTTTTTGTTTTTTACAAGCTCCTCCGTGTCCTAAGACAAAATAAGAGCCTATGGCTCTGTCCAGTAATGACTTTCCTCAGAAAAGCTGTGTCCTCCCCAAGGTACAGTGAAACCTTTTGCTGAAGTGATGGACTCCTCTTTTGCAACCAGTTAGCACCTGCTCGCAAAACTTGATCCCTCCTTGGTTTGTTTCAAGTGGAGCCAGGGGATCAGGACTTAATTAGCGGTGATATCTCTCACACTGATCAGTTCCATCCAGCTTCCCCTGAGGCCCTAGATTTGTCTCTATCTGGAATTCCCGTGCTTGCTGGTAGGCTTGTGTTTGCAGTTAGCTGGCAGACACTTCCCACTGCAGCGCGGGGCGGCAGGAACACCCCTCGTGGCAGAGCAGGCAGCCCTTGGCGGGGCTTGGTGGGAGGCAAGTCTCAGCACCTTCGTTTAGCCTGGCGCCCACAGCCCAGAGGCGGCCCCACCGTGGAGCTTCCCCCGTGCAAGGACGAGGTCCACTGAGGCTGCCTCAAGTGACAAGGAGTCACCCTCACCAGCTGAAGGAAGAGCCATGGAGGGCTCAGTCCTGTGTGTTTGCAAATGGCCCTTGGGCTGCTGAGGATGGATTTTTTTTTTTTTTTTTAAGAGGGGAAAATGCCTCAGCTCTGTACCAGCTTGAAGCCAAAATAACATGTTTTGGCAACCATTATTTGGCAATTAGGGCCTCAGCTCACTGGAAGCATTCTTCCATGCAAAATATGCCTTAGAAAGAAAACACTAAGCCACATCTGTGTGAAAATATAGGAAGTGAACACAGGAGTGACAGAGCAGTGAGAGTCCAAAAGGGGCTTACTAGACTGGGTTGGAGTCAGGACACATTGGCGGAGGCCAGGCAGTGACTGGGTGACTGGATGTTTTCACAGCCTTACCTCCAAATCTGACCCAGTCCAGCGAGGGACTAAGGATATGGCATGGTGACATCCTATGTGTGTGTCTCCTCCTCCCAGATGATGGACTTGCCTTTCTCTGGCCTTCAAAGGAGCCCTCCCGCACGTTTTAAGCAAAGGCAAAACAGAGGAACGGACCCAGGCCTGGGATCACGTTTTGCTAGTGGGTACACCCACCTCCCTCACCTCAGCCTCCCAGAGGGCAGGCAGAGGGAGTAGATTGGGGCTGGGACACTCCCAGAATTTAGGCCTCCACCAGGGACTGGTAGCTCTTTTCTCCCTTTCATCCAACATTTGAGGGGAAAGTGTGGGAGGAAAAGTAAGAGAGATTCGTCTACCCAACCTTTCATGGAACCCACATTCTTTGATAGAGAGTAATCAAGCAAAATATACTCCTTAACGATGCAATTTTATAGAAACAAAGAGAGATTATGACACATGGCACATGATTTCAGATCAATGTGAAGTTGTTTTCCGCATGTTTCTTGAGATGTTACAAACATACATGTTGCCTCATGCTATGGTCTTCTCTCTTTTATGGGGTGCCTTTTTTATTTCCTACCTCTGCCGAACTCCTCACTTTTTCTGGTGGAACACTTAGTCAAGGTAAGATTTTGAAGGCAGGAAACCATGCCCAGTTAAACCTCCCATGCCCATCAGTGGTAGGCTGGATAAAGAAAATGTGGTACATATACATCATGGAATACTATGCTGCCATAACAAATAACAAAATTATATCCTTTGAAACAACATGGATGGACATGGAGACCATTATCCTAAGTGAACTATCACAGAAAACCAAATGTCCTCACTTATAAGTGAGAGCTAAACATTGAGTATATAGGGACACAAAGAAGGGAGTAATAGACACTGGGGCCTACCTGAGGGTGGCATTTGGGAGGAAGGTGAGGATTGAAAACTACCTATTGGGGTACTATGCTGATTACCTGGGTGACAAAATTATCTGTACATTAAACCCCCACAACACACAATTTACCCATGTAACAAACCTGTGCATGTACCCCTTGAACCTAAAATAAAAGTTGGAAAAACTAAAACTAAAATAAAATAAAAATAAAGATTCTAGTGATTATAGACTAAGATATTTAAATAAGATATGGATTATATGTGTGCACTATCTTATAAACCTAATGTGAGCTACAATTTTGCATAGATAATATCCTCACCTATGGTAATTGAATGAAATTAGAATATCATCAACTTCTTTCCATTTGTGTATTAAACTTTTAACTGACTTGACTATAGAGTGACAAGGTAAACCAGACCATGCAGACATGGGAGAAAAGTCTAGTCAGCTTAGAACTGGTCTTTTCAGCTCTCCATCCCTCCTTTCCCAGGCTTTCTTTTCTCTGTCTCAATGTCCACAATCTAGAGAGGTTATAGAAACTTGGCGATATGCCTGCACATGTTGGCTTGCCTTTCTTTTGAAACCTTTAGAAAAAGTTCTGCCTGCAACTGAGTTTAAACCCTGAAAACAGTAAAGTATATGACATATTCCCTCTGGGCTCTTATTAGGAAAAATGTTTATCTCAACTACTGAGGTCTCAAGGCTCTACAGAGGTTAATGTCTTTCAAAGAAGGCTAAGGGGACTCCATCCCTGCTTAAGCCAGCAATCCCCACTCACATGGGCGTATTGCACACGCAGCTAGCTCTTGGAGGGCAACAGGTGTCTACTGACAAGAATAATGGGAAGAACATATGAAGGGTCTAGAAATTTACTACATATACATTTTAATTTACTTTAGGGATGGCAGCTAGAATTTTCTGGCAGAATGCTGCTCTACCCTTGGGGTTAAAGGTCTTCCTGCCCCAGCAGAAACAGAAGTAAGCTCATTTTCACCAATATTTGAAAGGATCATGGGAATAGAATAGATGATCATGGATTCCTTTCAAAACACTTTTAAAAAATCAATTACTCTTTGGAACATCAAAAGCCATGTAAATCCATATTACATATTGTAGGAGCTTAATGAATAATTGTTGAATGAAGAGATAAATATTAGAGTCCAGGAAGAGATAAATATTAGAGTCCAACAGACCTAACATACATAGCTTCTAATCAAGCTTTCGAGGTACTAGATTTTTTCAGGAGCATAACTCTTACCATATCATTGAATGACATTCTAGGGTATTCCCCCTTAAACAATTCAATACATGGGTTTGAAAAAAATGTCCTTAAACTGATTCTGCTTCTTATTAATTGGTTTAAGTGCAGTCATGAGGCAGGTTATCCAACTACAATGTGCTGTTTTCTTAACACGTTTGTTGATGGATTACTAGCTAGGATTTTTCTCTTTGTGCGCATCTCACAGCTAAGAACATTACTGTAATAACACATAGCATGAATGTCATTTTTCTTCTCTTTTTCTTTTTTTTTTTTTTTTTTTGAGACGAAGTCTTACTCTGTCACCAGGCTGGAGTGCAGTGGCGTGATCTCAGCTCACTGCAACCTCCACCTCCTGAGTTCAAGCTATTCTCCTACATCAGCCTCCCGAGTATCTGGGACCACAGGCGTGCACCACCACACCCAGCAAATTTTTGTATTTTTAGTAGAAACAAGGTTTCACCATATTGGCCAGGATGGTCTCGATCTCTTGACCTTGTGATCCTCCTGCCTCAGCCTCCCAAAGTGCTGGGATCACAAGCGTGAGCCACCATTCCTGGGCCAATGTCATTTTTCTTTAGCATTCACCTTGTCTTATACTTCTTCCTTGCCTGAAGTCACTATGCTTCTTGATTACACTGTCAAACACTTTGTTGATGAGGTGTTATAGTTCATATTAGGTTACTAAAAGGTTGTCATGATTTTAAAAAGTTAAGCTAAAGAAAGAAAGGATGAATGCTGCATACATCCAGTGAGTCATGGTGGGGAAGCGGGAGTCCTTGCCATCTTGCAAAACTGTCTGAAATGCATCAGGCAGGGTCTCAGCAAAAGAAGAGTCTGATTCAGAAAAGTACCTTGCTGGAACAGTGATGGAATTTAATTCCCAAAATTGGGAATTAAATTATCCATAAAAAGGTCTACTGGAATGACATAGGCATGGGTTCAAATCTCTTAAAAAATTATAACAACTCTGCTTTGCCCTGTGAGAAGCCAACTTTGCTGATCTTGGGTCAATCATTTAACTTCTGTGGTTTGGTGTCTGAATCTATAAGAATAATAATTCTGTAACCCTTCACAGAGACATGGGTATGATAAGTGAGCTGCCGTTAAAGGGCTTCTGGTGCCTTGGATATAGCTTTAACGTTAGGCTATTTATTTGATTGGTAGGTGAGATTATCATTAGTTTGAATGGAATTCTTATCTCTGAAAAGACAAAGCTGTACACCAAACAGTGGTGTTCTTAATTCAAAGAAGTTGGTGCACTTAGTATGCTGCAGTAACATTTAATACTCTTCTTTCACTAAAAGTAAACTTCTTTAATAGTGAGCCCCATGGTGTCTTTGTGCTCTGCCCAAGCTGGTCATAAGCAAGGCACTCCTTAGTTCCTAAAAGCAAGGGCTTGTCTATGTCTGTATGTGGGAACAGTAGCATTTTAATTCTCTACACAGAGTTTGAGAGTTGTCTCCTTTATTTCCTGTTGACTCAGCTATCTTCTTCCCACATTTTGGGGTTTGTGGTAAATGAAGAATTTGTATTTGGCCTACTGGAAACAAGGCCTTTGAATAAGCTGAGAATCATGTGGACCCTGTGATTTTTCTAAATAATCTGAAATTCTCCTTTTCTCATAGATTCATCAACATTAATAAGAATTATATATGCATTTGCTAAAAGTGGGACCTCAGTGATAGGAGAAAACTTACTATGAAACAAAACACAGTTTTAAGGTTCCCAACTTCCTTGAAATTCCTTCTAAAACAAACCAGCCCTTGTGAAAGATACACAAAGCCTTGTTTTGTTTCCACAACTTTTCTCTCTCTTGAGAGGCAATAGACCTCCACCAGGGAAAGAAATACTCAAACCCACAATGAGAAAAATAGAAGCTGTCTATGCATATCCAAGCACACACTGCAAAAGTACTTGATGTAAATTTGACCCAATTCATTTAATATTTTTGAAGAATTTTACAAAAACTTTTCTATTTTCTATTTCTCTTTCTCTTTCCTTATCACTTACACAGTTATGGGAAAAAATTCATTGAAAGTATGTAAATGTTCACAATTTTAATTTTAAACTTCCCAAATCAAAAGAATGAACCTATTTTAATCATTGCCATTATACACGCATACACACACACACACACAACATTTTAACCATTTTAAAGTGTACAGCTCAGTGTTGTGCAACCATCACCACCATCCATCTTCAGAATGCTATTTTCATTTGTTTTTTGTTAGACACAGGACCTCATTCTGTCACCTAAGTTGGAGTGCAGTGGCCTGATCATAGCTCATTGTAACTTCAAAGCCCTGAGCTCAAGTGATCCTCCTGCCTCAGACTCGTAAGTAGCTAGAACTATGGACACATGCCATTATGCCCAACTAATTTTTGAATTTTCTGTGGAGATGGAGTCTCACTATGTTGCCCAGGCTGGACTCAAACTCCTGGCCCCCAGCGATCCTCTCACCTCAGCCTCTCAAACTGCTAGGATTACATGTATGAGCCATCATGCTCAGCCCAGGATTCTATTTTCTTTTGAGCATCAGTGTTTAAAACTATAATCCAAAGGAATTATTCTGGATCTTAGTATAAGACTGGGAGTTACTGGATCCAAGTACAAGAATAGGAGAGTTTTTCAGGGATAGGTCTGGTTCGGGGGTGATTGAAGTTTGAGTCCAGCTGGTGGAGGTCTGTGTCAAGCAGAAGGAGGAGGCAGCTGTATGGCTCAACATAGACAAGTCTCTATTCAGAAGACAAACAGGCTATCTTAAGTCTGAGGGACACAGCACACTATGATGGGAAAATAAAGGTGAAGTCAGTGGCAAAACTCCCGAGGGGTGATAGAAATCAGCGTACAAGGTACAGCAGGAGTGGGAAGTTCTTCAGGTAGACCTTCAGTGGATTAATGTCCAGGAGTCCTTCTGATCTGCATTCTTTATATTGTTTTAAAAGACAAAAGCATCTTTTAAGATGTCATTACTAATCAGTTTATCTTCTTCACTCTTTTGGCTCCCATTTCCCCATGTTTACTAGGGAAAGAATAAACTCCTTTTCCAGCAGTCATGATGCTATATTTCATCATATACAAGGTATTTTGAAACAGCATTTTGGGTAGGAAGAACTGCTACCTAAATTCTGCTAGTGAAGACAATATCCTTTCTTCCTTCTCTCCCCTGGTCCATTAAACTTATTTTTTGCTTCTGTTAATATGCATTGGAGTTTTGTGGCTGCTGTTGACTGGTAACTGGAAAAAGAGAGGAGTTTTGGTGAGGGCTTTCCCAGAGGAGTTTGAAGGGAATGGTGCAGTATTCGTTTCCCAACTTTTTTCCATGAAGTTCTTTTTTATGAAAGGGGATAAACAGAAGCTTACAGAACTATGAGACCATGAGCTTAGGAGCTATGTGATAAAATGTGGCCCAAAATTATGGAGAAAGTTATTTTCTCAGCTTCTGCATAGAAGCTAGTATTACTTTAATATGCCAAAGACGGAAAGCTTCACGGCTTTTTTCATGGGCATTACTGTTCACATAATGGGCAGAAGCAACATTTTTCAAAGTGGCTTCATGGCCAGCAGACATCACAGTTTGGAACCAAAGCAAGAGAAGAGTGGAGTGGGTACCATATGATGACAGTAGCAGACAGTCTGATTCATGGACACAAGTAACGCATCCATCTAGGGATTTCTGCAAGCAACCTATGGACACTTTGAGGAAGGGCTTAGAAACCTGCTATCGCAGGGTGGAGGCTTTAGGCTAAGTGACCTTTGGGTTACATTGTATTACTCCAAAGTATTAGATTGTTCATTTCTAAATTTTCTCTGCCAAGTGGCAAATATACTAATTATCTAAAATATGGAACTGGCCGGGCACGGGGGTTCACTCCTGTAATCCCAGCACTTTGGGAGGCCAAGGTGGGTGGATCACTTGAGGTCAGGAGTTCAAGACTGGCCTGGCCAACATGGTGAAACCCCGTCTCTACTAAAAGTACAAAATATTAGCTGGGTGTGGTGGCACGTGCCTGTAGTCCCAGCTACTCAGGAGGCTGAGGCAAGAGAATCATTTGAACCCGGGAGGTGGAGGTTGCAGTGAGCTGAGATGGTACCACTGCACTCCAGCATGGGTGACACAGCAAGACTCCATCTCAAAAACAAACAAATAAATAAATAATAAAATAAAATATGAAACTTACTACCTATAGGGGTCAATATCTCAACAAAGCACTAAGATTCCACTTGGAAGTATCCTGTAAATATTTATTTGCCGGCCAAAGATATGGCACTATATCATCTTAAAGTGGCAAAGATGCTGGAAGATTTCAATTCCGTGCAGGATGCACAAAAGTTAATTCATTCACCTGATAAATATACTCTGAAATTCAATTATGAGCCAAGCTCTAGAGGTAAAAGTATGAAGCAGCATCTGTTCTTTAGACTCAAAGACACAAATTTGAGGATGATCCATGTAAAATATGAGCTACATGTAAGGCCAGAAGAGTGCTGGTGTGGAGAAAGCATCAGCATTGGAAGAACAGAAAGAGGAGGAGGAGTCCTCACGAGGGACACAAGAGCATTGGCAAAGAGTGTTCTCTACATCCCAGAGTCCCTCTGCACGCCATCTTCCCTGCAGGGGCACGTGGGACATCTGGAGATCTTCTATGCCAAGTGGAGGGATTTAGGGAGGACACAGCCCATATCAGAGCTTCCCTCTACCTAAACATGGCATTTTTTTCTTTTGTTTTCTTGACTGTGGTCACTCCATGTTACCAGGAACATTGTAAGGAACAGCCTTATTTCAGAGTCCCAGTTGAAAAGGATTACACAATTCTTTCAGTTCCAGGATTCCCAGATCTTTCCAGGAGATCTCCATGCTGCCTCCTCACTTGTACCCAACTTCAGTAAGGTTTTCAACCCGCAGTCACCTCTCAATGTCCTGGTGTTCCTATGCCTCTCGCATCAAGTTACAGTCCTCCAGCCCAGCAAGAGTTTCTGTTTTGTTTTGCTTTGCCTTGTTACCCTCTGGTTTGACAGGAAACCGCCATACATCACAGCTCATCATCCATCCTCCCCACTCTATGGTTATCACTATAAACTATGCTCTAGTTTTCTATTTTATTTCCTTAGAACCCACAAATCCTCTCCTCTCTCAACAAAGCCTGGATCTTGCAAATGAAAATCTTGGCTTTCACATCTATTTTCCCTGAAATGAGTTTCAGAGGCCTGTTTTGGAAGTCAGAAGCTCAACACTGACTCCTTTGTTCTTGGCTGGCTACTACTGCCTTCCCCCTGAAGTAAGGGGTGCTCTTGGCTTCAATGGGTGGCAGGAGGAATGACCAGAAAGGAAAAATACATCCAATAATATTTTAAAATATTGTCCCATTATAGAAGAACATCAGATAGCTGCTGAGGTTAGAAATCCTGAATTTGTAGCAGTGCTAATCTCACAGTTGCATGATTTTCCCTAACAACACTCGGAAGACTGAGTTTAAGCCTGGACTGATCTGGGGTGGGGTGTTTAAAGGCAAATGATTTGACAAGACAATGGATGGGCCAGGTGCAGTGGCTCACACCTGTAATCCAGCACTTTGGAAGGCCGAGGCGGGCAGATCACTTGAGGTCAGGAGTTTAAGACCAGCCTGGCCAACATGATGAAACCCCAATCTCTACTAAAAATACAAAAAAAAAAAAATTCGTTGGGCATGGTGGCGGGCACCTGTAGATACAGCTACTTGGGAGGCTGAGGCAGGAGAATTGCTTGAACCCGGAAGGCGGAGGTTGTGGTGAGCTGATATCATGACACTGCACTCTAGCCTGGGTGACAGAGAGAAACTCTCAAAAAAAAAAAAAAAAAAAGACAAAGCAGTTGAAGCTATTGACAAGTGAATGATTACTAGATAAAGTTGAAAGGCGGCTGGAGGGTCAAGAGGCTAGAATTTTTGGTACTGGAATGAGTAACGTTCCTAAATTTATGAGTGCAGAGATGAAACAGTTTATGGAAATTCAACTCAGGTGGGGTCGCAATCAAACATGTAGAAAAGCATCTTGTTGCTCTCTAAATTATGTTATTTTATGGATACTAGCAGTTACCTAAAACTTAGTGCATTCTTTCTTTTGCATCCCAGTTTGTATGCCACTGTACACTACCGTGGGTGGTTGCTGCCAGCATGAAAGGACTGTACCAAAGTCTTCCATCCCCTGCCTTCTTACCACTCCCCACCCCAGTACCTGATCCTCACCTTGTGGAGGGCTCGGTGCACCACACCCAGGGAAGAGCATAATGTTGGTAGCACTGATGTCAGCTCAGCTTTGGCTGGTCTTAAATGCCATGTCTTCGGCTGCTTAGCTTATGGAAGACAACTAGAAGATACAAATAATAATTGATATTTATAAAGCATTTTATAATTTACAAAATCATTTTATTTATCTATTTTTTAACCCCCTTGTTGTTATTATACCTATTTTACAGATGAGGAAATGGAGGCTCGGTGAGGCTAAATGCAAGTTCACAAAGCTAATCTATCCTTTTCATCCCTCACACCTGGCCCAGGTACCATCTCCTTGCCTGACATGGCTTCCAATCCTCTTAACTGTACCCCAGGTTCATCTTGCCTGAGCTACCTCCTGATCTGTACCTACCCCCCACACACCTCTTTGCGTTGGACTTATGGCTCTCTAATGTAACAACTCACCTGTCTGTGCACTACCCAGGCCCAACACCTGGCACAGAGCGTGGCTCCTGCCAAGCCATCTCGAGTGGTTTCTTCAGTGAAGATGTGGGCAACCTCGAAAAGAACACAGAAGGTCAAGAGCATCTGTGAATAAACCACGGCTTTCCCTAGCCCATTTGTTGGCAGCTCTCAAGCTATCAGGGGCTTCCAGTCTGCAGGCTTACAGATTGATTTGTGAAAAGAGAAGGCCTCAGGGCTTGGATTGACCAGCTGAGTACACTGCAGGTTATACTACAGGGGAGACTGGCATTTATGAAATGGAAGTTTCACAGGCAGATAATCTCTCCTGGACCTTTGGGCTTGAGGAAAAAAAGGGCAGGAAGGAGAACAGAATTTTTACAGCCTTGTATATAAAGATCTTCTTGTAAAACCAAACTTCAAAGGGATAGAGAATATCGTTCCTTTCCAATGAGTTCATTAATTATCACAGCATCTCTGCAAGGGAAGCACACTGGATGGAATATTTCTCAGATGAAGAAACTGAGTGTGAAAAGGTTTGATTATTAGCAGACTAGAAAAATATAACATCATACTTCCAGGCTCCTCTTCCAGTGTGCCAGCAACCTCCACCAGGCCATTTAGGCACTCGTTAAAGAAACATTTATGGAGACCCTGCTTTATGCCAGGCACTGTGCAGGGAGACAGGAAATATGGTCCCTGTCTTGGAGGGTTCCACATGTCACTTGGTCACCAGGGAAGTTTGCAGAGTCTAAACAGGCAAACAAATACCTGTGACACAAGGTGCTAAGTAGAAGGATAGAAGAATGGAGAAAGAGCAAAGAAGTCGCAGAAAGGAAAGTGATGATTATTTTTGCCTGGGAAGATTAAAAAAGACATTAACTGAAATCTTTAGTTCATCACAAGATTTTGACAGCCGGCATTAGCAAAGTTCTGGATTAACCCTTTGAATGAATTTGTTAAATGAGGATAAGCCTTCCCTCCACATTACTGTGTTTTCACAATCTTACAGAATTTGTTATCCACACCCCTACCTCCACCAGCAATTCAAATGTGCTATGAAGACAGTTGCCATAATCCCCAACATTTACTCATTGCTTATCATGTACTATACTAATGTTGTTCCGTGAACTATCCCATTTAATTCTCATAGCAAATCTATAAGTAAAAAATGTTTGTGTCTCCATTGTACAGATGAAGGAGGTTAAAGGGATTAAGTAACTTGCCCAAGTGTTCACACTGAGAAAAATCAGATTTCAGATCACTGGTATTTAAGGAAGAGCAGCCCTTGCTCAAATTAAGGAGGGTAATTATTTGTTTTGGTTACACGTCTATTGAGTTACACAAATTAGCATTCATTTTTGGAGCTAAAAATTAATTAATAGCATTTATTTAGATACAGTTAATATTCACCTTTCATATAAATTTTTCCTGTTTCTCTCTTTGTAACACCCAAACTGCCCCTCCTCTAAAAAACACTCTTAATAGAAATGTAAATAAAATCACTAATTGTATGTCATATTATGAGCTACATAGTTGAGCTGATGGACAATAGTTCCCCAAGTTCAAAATACCTTTCATCTACGCATTAATGGTGACTTATAAAGAGGCAGCTTGGGTTTTTTTAAGCTTCAGCTCAAAATATCCTTGACTGGGTGTGTTAAACCAAAGCACCTAATTAGAGATGACTTAAAGTAATACCTTCCTTTGTCACTTAATATCTTCTAACCACGAAAATCCTGAGGTTTTTACCTGTACCACAGAAACCTCACTTCCAAAGACATGATAATCACTGTAGGCTTTTAGCCTCCTGAACTCAGACAATGTGGAACGCCAGGACTCATCTCCACCGTTACTATAATGGAAAATTTCTGATTACCGCAATCTTCCAGCAGAGTTAAGTAGAATCCCACAACAAATATCCATTTAGAGAAAAGTGACTCACCAATGAATTAATTATTCAGAGGATCAGTGTAGATGGCATTTAAATGCTCAGTTTTTAGCCTCACATTGCCTGGGTTTGAATCCCATTGCCTCTACTAAGTATGTGACATTGGGCTAGTTTTTCAAACTTGCTAAATTGAATTTACCTCATTAGTAAAATATAGATGATAACTGGTGGAGACTGAAAGTTGCCCAGAGACCTAATGGGTTTAGATAAGATTTCAAAGAAGCCTGAATGTCTATAAATAAACGACCAGTGCCAGCACTGAAATCCTTTCTCTCACAGTAGTAGAATAATGGCTGAGTACATGCCTGCTCTACCAGACTGTATTTCCTTGTCTCTCTTACAGCCGGGTGCAGCCATGACTGAATTATCTCTAAGGGAGTAGGAATGGGAATTAGGTCAGGACACAGGGATCCTGGGGGTGCACTCCTCATGCTCTCTTTCCCCTTTCTCCTGCCTATAGATGGTAACAACTGCAACAATTATGGAAGACACATGCTGAGGAACCACCCCAGCATCCTGGGTCCCTGGATGGAGCAGAGGCATATATTTACGAGACTTATGAGAAAAGCAGACTTCTATCCAGTTTGAGTCATTACATTTTGGCGTATTTATATAATAATAGTATCTAAATTATAAAATACTTACAAGGGTTGAGAAAGGTAATTCATGAGCTCTTAGCACAGTGTCTGGCACTTCATATAACAAAGCATCAGCTATTCATGTGAGAGATAGTGTAGGGGGTAACAGGGGAACTTTGCACCCAGAATCTGTGTTCAAATTCCGGCTGTTTCTTAAAAACCTGTTTAAACAGAGAGATGCTTTGTAGTAGGGAAAGAACGACATGAGAAGTTTCCTTCTTATTCAGGATCTGGCTGAGAAAACCTGTGGGCAAAGTTAGGGATTCTTTGCATTATCATCCTGATGTTAGTTCATTTCTGCAGTGAAACCAAGCTACTGCAGAGTTCCAAGTGCTGTGACTCAGAAGCTCTCAGCTGACCCAGAAAACCTTCAGCCAGATTATAGAAGACACAAGGTCAAATAGATAAGAATCTAAAAGCCAAACAGAAGCCTCTAATTAATGCCAACAATCTGCTCTTTATAGCTCCAGTTTGGTCACTAGTTGACTGTTAAATTAACTGTAGTTCATTTCCTGGTACAGTCAACTTACAATTAGACATAATAATGAAGGGAAGTAATGACATTCATGATTTAAAATAGCAAGTAATACAAAAATAATTTTATTTGGCTTTGGAATTGTCGGCATGTAGCACATACACGTATATTTACTCTTTATCATATACACAGGGAAATGCCCCCTCCCAAAAGAATTGAAAACAATTGGCTATCTCTGTTTTTCTGTTGCTAATTTTCTATTCCTGTGATTAACTTTACACAGGACTAAAATAAAATTATTTGCTTTCTTACTAGTGTGATTATGTGAAATCATTC
Organism: Homo sapiens; assembly: GCF_000001405.40. Taxonomy (NCBI): domain Eukaryota; kingdom Metazoa; phylum Chordata; class Mammalia; order Primates; family Hominidae; genus Homo; species Homo sapiens. The sequence goes on along the minus strand of NC_000004.12, from coordinate 108,337,707 downwards.
CTGGACTGGTATTTTATTAAAAGACATTCAAGCATCTTTTAAATCTTAACTTGACTCATCAGGTTTCTTGAAAATGTGAACTGTATTTCCTCCAGCACAATCACAAACTCCATTCTGGTTGGGGCTGAAAGATCCTGTCCAGGATGCTGTTGTCCAGCTACGTCTCTCTACCCACTCCCTTCTGTGTATGTGCCCTATTACAAAAGGAGAGTCAATGGAGAGACCTGAAATTCTTTAATGAACCGTTTTCAGTTTGGTTGTTTCATTTCTAAGGAGCTTCACTTTTAGTGGGGCTCTTCAGGAAGAAAGGTATTTAAGGACTACAGGAGACGATTTGTTTCCTAACCTTTTGACCCAAGTCAAGGGTCTGGTTTTCTCCAGGCACATTCTATTATCAACAGCAGGATATACAAGACCACAGAAGTGTACAGAGGGGATAATTAACATTGGGAGGAAAAAAGTAACCTGCACTCCATAGCTACTGATAAGAAAGCAGCAGCATTGCCTCCTAAATCAGCTCCTGGAAACTCAAAGAAAGTTGGGTGAGTAAACATCATTTAATATATTCCCCTCCCTTTAAATGTTTCCCTTAAATTCTCATATTCTGCTGGTGTTAAAAGCAATTTGGTAACATCTAATAATGGGGAAGATATATGTCCCTAAGGACCAGCAATTCTACTCATATATATTTATACTGAATTATCTCTAAGGGAATAGGATCTGAGCCAAACAGTATAAATGTAGACAAGCACTTACCTATACACAGAAGAACACACACAGGTATGTGTTTACTGGGGTACTATTTAAGTAGAAAAAAGTAGAAATAGTCTAAATGTCTACCAATGAGAGAACGGAAAAATTAATTCATGAAATGGACATTCAAACTGCAGTACAAATCTATGTCTCTTTGTTTATAAAAATGTATAAATATGACTAAATATAAAAACATAATATTAAGAGAAAAAGCCAATGGTGGACTTATATGTTAAATATAATACCACTTATATAAAAACCAAATTGTATAAAACAAAACTCAGTATTGTTTATGAATATTTATAGCTATTATCATAGCTATACCATATTTGAATTTCAAAAAAACATGTCGAGAATTGTTAAAACTCAAATTCAGGACAGTAATTATCTTGGGGCAGAAGGGGGAAGGTAAGAAGAAGAATGGGCTCAAGGAGAGGCACTGAGTAACTCAACACAATTCTGAGCGGTTTATTTCCTACCATCAGAATAAACCCTGCAAAACATTAAAATTTGTCAAAGTTCTGTGACACATCTATGAGTGTTCATTATATTATTTTCTAGATTTTGCTTATGCCTGAAATGTAGGACTTTCCAAAAGAGTCTCTTGGCAGATGGATATGACTGGATGTCATTGCCTCATTTCTGCTTCTGGAATGTTGTCCATTGCTTTTTCAGACAGTGGAGCTATGAGTGAGTCAGCCTGTGGTTCAGGTAATGTCCCAAGCTCTTCTTAACTGCCATGGAGCTGCAAGCAGTAGCTAGCAATGTTGTATATCAAGGATTTATGGTCTAGACTTAGTCCTGAACATGCACAGCCTCCCATATTCCTCAAAACAATTTAAGGGAGAAAATACAATTGTTATTCCCATTTTATAGATGAAGAAACCGAGTTGTTGAGAGTGATCTAGCCCAGGTTTCCTGGTGAGTGGAGAAGCCAAGAGTCAAACTATGCCCTCTTAGACTCTAGCCACCACTTTATACTCCCTCCTCATGATTGGTGTCCATTGTCTTTACAAGTAATATTGTCCAGAATTGTCAGGTTCAAAAGGTCACTTAAGTTCCCAATATAGGAGTTATGGGAATCAGTGTGTAGCAACCCTCTGACACTGGCTGTGGCTCCACAAGGAACCTCACTGCTTCACACCTGCCTGGCACAGCTGCCACTGCATGCTCGGGAGAGCACCCCCGTGAACTTGAAAGCTGTCCTCCAATAAGACCTTGATGCGTCAGTCAGATGGACCAAGGCCTCTTGTCATGATAGCTCAGGAGGCAGCTACGTTCATTCACAGTTTACATCTATTCAGCAACAGGCCTGAAACAGAGACGTCGTAAATCCCATCAAAATCTCCTCCATTATGTGACACACTTTGTTAGAACAGAATAAGGGGTTCGGCTCTGTTGGACCAAATCAAGTTGGTCTATGTGGAGTATCACATTTTAGATTCAAATCCCTGTTAAACCCTCTGCTTAGGCTCGTGGTTAACAATATTTTTATATCTGTCTGCAGAGATGACAGGCAGCCCAGCTCTCGAGCAGGCCTAGAGGCCTCTGCACGGCTGTTTTTAGAGGCAGGCTCCATAGATGAAAGGCAGAAATCCCACCACCCCAGTGTCTCCTGATTAGCCCGGAGAAAAGCTGAATGACAAACATGTTTCCAATCTGCCTGGCCCATGCAGGGAAATGGGGCAATCTGGCCTGAAAAGGGATTTAGACTTTTGTTGTGTGCAAGGGAGGGGGGTTGGAGAAAAAAGCTGATTTAAATCCATCCACAATGCTTTCCCACTTGGTGAACTCTTAGATAAGAAACAGCCTGGCTGTGGTTCAGACCCCCACCACGCCCGTGCATCTTCCTTCTGCCTGCGTCACTGCTAGGTGATCTTGGTCCTCTCAGACAAAGTCGGATACTATAGAGATGACTGCAGCTGGACATTTCAGAGCACTCACCCTTTTGGCCAGAAGCCTATGTGCTTGTTGATTAATAAAACTGGCATAGAGCAAAATCCTCTATAGAATTTCTAGGCTAAAATAAGCATCAGTAACAAGGTATACACTACCTAGTTAGCTCTTTGGTTGCTTATGCTAATCACACTACAGTACACTAGTTTCACAGTAGTATAAAATACTACATAAAATGATTGCAAGGCTTATGTGGCAAATACTGAGTTAAATATGTGATTTATTTATTGGACACATTGCATGAAAACAGAATATTTTCATTTCTCTCTTCCTGATACAGAGAAGAGCCCCACAGATATTGAAATTATATACAGTTGATACAGACCTTCTTTTAACCATATAAGTCAATAAATCATCTGCCACATTTTATTACATAATTGTATATTCAGGTGGGCAGGGTTTCGGTGCTAATTTCTTTTTAACCCACAAGCCACATAGATGGCAACACTGTACTCTGATAACATTTATTCTGGCTTCAAACAAATCATCCTTTTCCTTTCTCAATGCATACACCCGGGTATCAAACTGATGGAATAAAGGGTAGGGTTGAGGGGAGTCTGTCCCCTTCAAGAGTCCCTTTCTTAGGGTGTGGTATATAAAAAGCACCTGTAAGATGGCTGCCTGCCACATGGCCATGGCTGCCTGGGTACAGCTAAGGCGCCCTGCTCTGCCGGCATCAGCACAGGGCTTCTTCAAACACAATTATCAAGAGAGTCCTCAGTGACCTCTTATTGCTGCCGTATTTGGGAAATAGCATTCAGATGCAGATTGGCTTAAATCCTATCAATCCATTCAACCATGTGTGTGAGTGTGCTTGTATGTGTGTATGCACACGCGCATTTGTGAACACACATCACACATGTATTTGCACTTATATAAGTTCTCCGTAGGGCATTTAAACCCCCCAACCTAAAATGTCCAAATGAGGAGAAATGATTATTTTCCCAGGCAACTTTGTCAATTGCTCCTGTGCTCTTCTTATAAATATTTCATAGCAAATATTTAACATGATTCTTTCCCCAATCGGATCAGCTTTGAAATACTCCTCAAAGTGAATTCTCCCCCAACAATAGCTTGATGCAAAAGCGCTTTTTTTCTCTCTCTTAAGCACAGGGTCTGCTGCCATAGCAGCATGAATAGTTCTTATTTAATGGAAAAGAAAAGATACTTTCCATTAATTCAGTAGGCAGTGCAGGTGGGGGTGGTGACAGGCACAGCACATGCGTACCTTAGGCTTCCAGTATGGAGGCGCAGCCTACCTTGACCTCCCCTCCCCCAGCATGCCTGCGATTACTACCCAGCCGACATTAGAACTGTAATGGGAAGTGACAAGTTTATGTAAATGATCCACATACGGATTTTGCTCTTGTAAAACAGAGCAGTTATTCTGGGCTTTCTAATTATTTCATGCCTCGTGGTTCTCTGATGGGGCAGAGATGACTATACTTGAAAAGTACCCTGTGATTGACAGACTTCTGTCCCCCTGGAGCTCATTAGGGCTTAGGCTTTGGAAGATGGGAAATAACCCTACCAGGCACCAAAAAAAAAAAAAAAAAAAAAAAAAGAATTCTCCCCAGCACCAGTGATTCTGTAAGATTCATTTGTTCAGATTTATGTTTTGTTGGGGAAACAGTGTTATCAGAAAATTGCACTATTGCTTTCCTGATCCAGCCAGACTCTCTGCTTTGGTGCTTTTGATTTTTAAAACCTACGTTTAGAGCCACACCAGCTGTATGATGTAGAACTTGAAGGGTATGAAATGCCAGTGGAATTCTTCACAATGAACTATTCTGAAGAAGAAAGTGGGGAAGGAGGGAGGTGAGAGGAGCAATATGCCATATAGAGCAGCTATGGAATCTAACTGGACTTGAACCAGTGTTATCATTTTATAGACACAGCGTGACCTGTTCCTAAGTCAAATCCACAGAGACATCAATGAAGGGAGCAAATAAAATTGAATCATTGATTAGGAAAATCTGACTATCCTCTCACTTGAAATACACCCTGAAGAGAAAGAGAAGAAAGTGCTGGGATGGGGGAAGATTGTGAAAAAAATATCCATAAGCTGGAAAGATTTCAAGGTTCATTTATTTTAGTCTTCCCATTTTATGGGTTAGAAAATTAAGAGGCAGAGTGGTCATATAGCTCACTAGCAGTATAGCCAGTATGGACTGCAGCTTTCTACCCAGTACCCGTTTCTCTGGCGCAGAACCAGGAAGGGGATAGGATCTGGGGAGACCAGGAAACAAGGTCTCCAATGGGTAAGGTTCCAAATTAAGGAAGCCAAAATTGTTAGTCTCATTGTAGTAGGGTCAGATTTTTATCCACCACACTGAAATATGTAAACATTGGAGCATTCTTTATGTTTCTATAACTGAGTAGTAAGGAAAAAATACTTAAACTTCCTAATTAAAGTAAGTTCAGTGTCTCTCAGTATTAAAAGTTTCATTCAGGTTGGTTTATTTTCATTCAAGTTCAATGGCCATTTGTCTTGTCTCAAAACTTCCCCAATCCCCATGACTACTTTCCTAAGAAGGCATCTGCGTATGTTATGTGCCTGTGTTGTGACTAGAGGGACTGCTTGGGCTGCCCTCTGGTCTTCCGATGCCTCTTCAGCTTGTCTGTTGTCAAGTAAACACATATGCAGATAGCCAGCTTCCCTTCCCGTCATCAATACAAATGCAAGAAAATGTGCCTCGAACCAAAGAAATCATCTTAGAACCTAAGAGAGAGAGAGAGGGGAGAGAATATTTATTCAAAATGCAATTGTGTTAAACCATGTTACTGAGATACTTTCTTTATATTTTGCAAATTTCAGTACCACCACATACCCTTATGTTGTCCTTCCCTGCCTCTATCACTGACCTCATGAAGGGATCATAAGGAAGTTTGAGTCAGTCATAAAAAATTGTTACCATTAAATGCACATCTGAGCCCAACGGTATAAATTTTCACTGCCTGCTGTATATAAGCAACACAGAGTCAGAAAAGAAGGCACAGACCATGAAGGGGTGCATGTAAACCAAACCAGGCATGAGAAGATGGAAGTGTGGAAAGGAAAAGAAGGCCACTCTGTAACAGAGGCATGCCACAAAACCTCCAAGTTAAAGAACACAGAAAAGGAGGAAAGCAGCCTAACTCATTTTAGGAGGCTAATAAAACGTTGATTTCTAAAACCAGTATGGACAGCACAAGAAAAAAATTGCAGGTCTATTTAACTTATGAGTATAGGTGGAAAAATTCTATATAACATGTGATCTAAGTAAATACCAAATAATGTATTTAACAACAAGCCAAGTGTGGTTTTTCCCAAAAATACAATGGTTTAATATCAGAAACCCCAGTGTTAAAGGAGAAAAGAAAGAAAAACATCTATGAATGCAAAAGAGTTTCATGAAATTTATATTTCCTTGTGATAAAACAATAACAATCTCAGTCGCCAGGAATAGAAGAGGACTTTCATTTGCTATAGATGCTATACCAAAAAAGTAACATCAACATGATAGCTGGTGGATAAACCTCAGGCTCTATTCCTTTAATATCTGGAACAAAACAAATTCTCCTTTGTCTCTGCTGCTATATAACCTGTCATGGGATGTTGTTGCCAACAAGAATTAAAAAATAGAAAACAAGAAGGATAAAAGATTACAGGATGCGGTGGCTTGAAATATACTCACAGAGTCTTTGAAAGTTCCTTGAAAAAGTGGAGACTAATTTTTCTCCCCTTAGTTTGGACTGAATTTAGTGAATTGCTTCTAACAAATAGAATAAGGTGAAGTAATGCTGTGTCATTTATGACACTAGGTCAGATTCCAGGATTCTTGACCTCAGAGACTGTATGTATGATCATATATGTCTATTGTTTTAAGCTGCTAAGTTTTGGGATAATTTGTTTGCAGCAACTGATAACTGGTACACCAGCACTGGAATAAAAGATATTAAATTGTCATTCATTGTTGACAGTATGATCATCTACATAGAAAATCAAGAGAGCCAACGGACTATTAAAAGTAGCCAGGGTTTGGCAAATTTGCCTTAAGGCAAGTTCAACTTACAAAAGTCAATAGTGTTCCCCCATCCCAGCACTAACCAGCAGAAAATTAAGTACCATTCACAATAAGAAGAGAACTGTAATGCATCTGAGAGTCAAATTTACAATAAATGTACATTTATGGAAACAAATATTAAAATTCTACTAAGAGACATAAAAGAAGACTGAATAAATGAAAACATATACCACAGTCATGGTTGCTGACTTGATATTTAAAATATTTTAATTCTTTCTCAATTAATGTATAATTTCAACACAAAGACAATAAAAATTCCAGCCAGGTTTCCCATCTGCCTGATGGCTTATTATTGCCTATCCCTGTGTTCTACAAATACTGAATACTTTCAAATAACTTCAAATACTATGCTATGCCTTTATCATTAGAGTTCCTCAGGTTGCCTTTGGCTGGGTCGATATCAAGGGCCTATCTTACCTCAGTGTCCACATTTCTTTTCCAAGCCTCCACCCTATGTGCTTGGGCTCACCTTGTTATTTACTGAGCTACAAGCTTCTGTTGTGAGTTGAGGGATGATAAGAAAGGGCAAACGAGGAAGGAAGGGGAAGGAGGAGGAGTGGGAAGAGCAGGAAGGAGGAGGGCACTACAAAAATAGTAATAACAAATATGGATCCTGTGAAGACTGGACCCCTTTGAAGATAGTTTTGTTATGAAGTCAAGAGACCATAAGATGGGAGGGAACCTGGTTATCAATTCATTGGAATAAACCCATGGGGCATATTTATTTGCAGTAATTAAAACCATTAGAAGTGAGAACTTTTATGCAAAGTTTAGAAAATACATCAGAAGAAAAGATGTCAGAACTGTGTGGCTATTTTATTTAACAGATCAGTGCAAACAACATTTTTATCATCTTCATGAATAAAACAGTAGGTTTAAAAATTATAGACTAGTTTAGATTGGCAAGGAGGTAAATATGAAATAGGGCTTTATCAAAAAAGAACACAGGATTACCTAAGCAGCAATTCTTTTTATTTGTTAGTCAAGAAAGGTTATCATTGATAAGGAATGCAGCTACAGGACATCCTGTAGCTAGGTTTCAAAAAATCATCTGATACAATGAGTAGTCAAGTAATTCAGCTATGAAAGATTTTTCCTCCATCTTTTATTTTAGATTCAGGGGTACACGTCCAGGTTTGTTACAAGAGTATATTGTGTGATGATGAGGTTTAGGGTCCAGTTGAACCCATCACCCAGGTACTGAGCATAGTACCCAACAGGTAGTTTTTCAGCCCTTGTCCCCCTCCCTCCCTCCCTCCTCCCTCCCTCCTCCCTCCCTCTAGTAGTCTCCAGCATCTATTGTTCCCATCTTTCTGACCACGTGTATCCAATGTTTAGCTCTCATTTACAAATGAAAACATACGGCGTTTGGTTTTCTGTTTCACATTAGTTCACTTAGGATATTGGCCTCCAGCTGCATCCATGTTGCTGCAAAGGACATGATTTCATTCTTTTTATGGCTGCAGAGTATTCCATGTTGTATGTGTACCACATTTTCTTTATCTAATCCTCTGTTGATGGCCACCTAGGTTGATTCCATGTCTTTGTTACTATGAATAGTGTTGTGATGAACATATAGCTGTATGTGTCTTTTTGGTAGAGTGATTTCTTTTCCTTTGGGTATATACTCAGTCATGAGATTGCTGAGTCAAATGATAGTTCTGTTTTTAGTTCCTTGAGAAATCTCCAAACGGCTTTCCACAGTGGCTGAACTACTTTATATTCCACAACTATGAAGGATTTGACGTAATGCAGAGGCAAACATTGCCCCCCCTAACTAGAATCTGCACTCCCAACATATTCACAGCCCACTCCTCCTGGCTTATTTCTTTTCATGCTTTGAAACTCAACTCTGATGTCAACAGTTCTGGAATGCTTTCCTTCACACCTCTTCCTTCCACCTCAATTTCTACTAATTGCCCCTTCTCAATTCACCTTGCATTGGCCCTTTCATAGACACGTTACCAAAGTGGAATTTGTTTATTCATCTTCTTCCCCAATAGACTGTGAGCTCTTCAAGAGCAGGAACTGTGCCTTTAATTTCTGTCTCCCAAAGACTCGATCCAGTCCCTTGAAGATAGCAGGCTCTCAATAACATTCACTCAATGAATGAATAAATGAATGCTGTTTCTCTCTGTAAAAGAGAATTACATGTAATCTCTACAAAGATGAAAAGAATTTGTATGCATAAGAGAATAGTGTCACTGAGCCAAATGTGAAGGACAAGTATGAAAAGGGAAAAGAAATCTGAGTGTCCAAAGGCACAAAGGAAAGTCATCAGAGACTGGAGGAGACAGAAGAGGTGGTAAGCAGGAACTTAAATAAACCACAGGAAATGAAGAAGATAGAGTTCAAGGGCACTATAGGCAAAGAAAGGTATTTCCAGAAGCTAAGGATAAATAAGAAAGTACAAGAAGAAGACAAGAGGAACAAAGTATCCTCTGAGAAGTGAAGACACGGTAGCGGGTTTCACTTAACCTCATCTGAGGTTTCTACAGAGGAAAGATGAATGATGAAGAAATTAGGGAAACTAACAAATTAATGCCTATACCAAGAAGGTATCGAGAGGGCAGAAATGCCAAAAAGAAGAGTGGCATAATAACAGTCAACATTTGTTGGGCATTTTCTCAGGCCACTGTGCTAACTTGTGTGTGTTAACACATTTACTCTTCATAGGTAGGTGCTATTTTATAGATGTGGATACAATGACTCAGAGTAGTAAAATATGTTTAAATTCACAAACTTAGTAAGTTGTGGAGATAAGACTCCAGTTCAAATCTTTCAGTACCTGAAGCTCAAGACCTGAGACAAATAGGCACTGAGGGGAGGGGAAGAAGGAATGACTTACGGAGGAAGCCTGAGTGTACCAAGTACATCCATCAAATATAGGTAATGCATGACTCCCAGTAGAATCCCACGATACAGATAGCATGAGAATGTCAGAATTTGGCTTTCAGCGCTCTAAGGAAGTAACTTAAGGGAAAAAGGAGAAGAACAAATGTTTTCCTCTATGTGGTTAGGGTCAGAGAATTTCTTTGTAGGAAGAGACACAAACATGTTGAGACCTAAAGAAAATAGTACAAGCTAGTAGCAACCACCTGCCTCTCTGCGCGGGGCCCTAGTTTCATAAGAAAGTGAGCAGGTGCTCTACATGATAAAATAGCGGGAGTAATTGAAGTTTCTAGGGGGGAGAAAATGCAATAAGGAGAAGAAGAAGGAAGTAGGCAAGAATGTGGCTCTATAAAGAGAGGCTGGAGGAAAAACATTCCCCCAGCCAAGAGAGCATCCCTGGGAGATGATACAGAAAACTAAAATGTCTAACTGGGATTTACGAAGTGTTTTATTGTGAGTTGTTAGAGTTAGGGATACAGACTCCTGTATGATCTTCAGCAAAGGCAATGAAAAACAGAATTTAACATTCTGAATATGGCTGTGTTTCTTACATAAAATGTTGAAGCTTGCTAGGTCAGAATGCTGGTTTTACATTTGGTCAACAGCCTGTTTGACAAGAGGACAGCTAAATCTGGATTACATTTATAATATATGAATACTTTCAGAGCAAACCCATGAAGCATCACATATCAAAAGCCTGAAAAAACTGAGAGTCATACCTTTTGTGCCAGCAATTGTAGTACTTGGACCTCATCTTATGGAAGTAATAGGTCATGATTTTGCCTGCCATTATTTCAATGGAGAAAACTTGTGAGGAATATAAACTGCCGAAAATGATTGGTTAAATAAATTGTGATAAATCCTTACAATTGAGGACTATCTGCATGCAAAAATTACATTATAGAGTCATTCATTCATGTGGCAAGTGTTTATCAATTGCCTGCAATGTGGCCAGTGTTATTCTAGGCACAAGTGACACAGCTGAGAACAAGTAAATGTTTCTAATCTGCTGGAAATTACACTTCAGTGGAGGAGAGAGAAAAACAACATGCAAGTAAACAAATAAATAAACAATATAATTCAGATAGTGGTAAGTGCCAGGCAGAAGAAGGAAGAAAGGGAGATAAATTCAAATGTAGAAGAAACGGCTATTTTATAAGGGTGCCCAAGGAAAGTCTCATTGAACCTAGGGTTGGCTACACACAAAGCCATGTGTCTCCTGGCCAGAGGTGTTTCCTCTTTGGGAAACATGATCTCTGTGGCTGAATAGCTCAGCATTGAGAAGACAGGAGGTACACAATCCCAGTGGATTACCAGGAGAGATGGTAAGTAGGATGACTCCTACTTCCATTGGTTCCTAGATCCACATATTCCACTTACTGGGACACGTCTTCATTTAAGTTTTTTTATTTAAAGTGACAACTGCATTTGCAAGGGTTGTTCCCCATCCTGCAAGCTGGCACTGCAGCTATGCCTTCATATTCCCGTTCCATCATTCTAGCAGGCTGGCAATATCTGGATGTGTCACATGTAGTATGACCAGTGGATCCCATGAGTATGGAAAGGAGGGTCTTGGTCTGATGTAATGTTATGTGTAATCCCATGCAGATGGACCAAACACTTCATAAGCTTTTGGAATGTGATACTGGCTGAGATCTTGAAGACAGGAAAGGCAAACATAGGTTCGAAATATGTATCTCTTCCAGTCGAGGTGAATGCTGCTTTTTTTCAGGTAGAAGGAGCCCAATGTGGTCGACTTGCCACAGGTAGCTGGCACTGTATCTGGGTCTCACAACTGATCTCTGTTATACACAGCTTGGATGTTTGGCAATGGCAGCTATATCGTATTTGGTTGGTGAAATTGTATAAGGATTCCTAACCCTAACTCAGCCACACAGCAAAACACTTCATAAATTTCCATTCATTTATATTTATTTCAGTAGACATTTCAGTTCTTCCCAACATTTCAGTTCTTCTAGCCTCTAAGGTTACTCTTCTGGCCAGAGAAGATTTTCTCATCCAGCCCTCTCTCCATAGAGCTTCATTCTGGCTTGCTCACTCCTCATTTCCATTCTTAGCCTCCATGACTAATCTGTTCGAGCATTCAATGTGCCAAGACCAGGGTGATGATAGAGGCTGGCTGGTGTCAACCAGGCTAAGTTATTGTGCCTACTAACCAAGTACTTACTCTCCCATGGTGGATGCTTTCTTGTGGGCATTAATAAGCAAGGGAAAGACCTTCACACTGCATGGCCATTCCCATGTTGATCCACAGGCCTCTACCCCTGGTCTCCTATCTTCCAATCCTCCTCCCAGGACCATCAAAAGGTGGCTATTTGCCACAGCCCAAGTAAGAGTCTGTGCATATTCTACCCTCAGGCCATTCTCTTTCCACACAAACTGGGCAACCAGGTGCACCACCCAAACCTCCATCATTGGGAAGATTTCCCCCTACTCTTGAGTATGGCAGCAGTGCAACTGCCATCTCTTTTCAGTTTGCACACACAGCACACCCGGGCTGACACACCCATGAACCAAAGAGGGCTTATTACTCCTCTGTCAGTTTGTCATGAAGGATTCACAGGAGGCCACAGATACCAGCTGAGAGAGAAGGGCCAGCCCAACAGTGGTGGGTGGCGTGGGGTCCTGGGCTACCTTGTATAGCTTCCCTGTGCTCTCCAGCCATGCTGGATCCTGGATATGCCACTTGCATCCTATGATGATTTGAACTGGGCTCATCTACCCTCACGACTTGGTGGTCTGACAGGACCCAGCTCAAGATGAATTGTTCTGGCGGCCTGATCACTTGGTGTTCCATGATCCAGCACTTCATCTCTACTAGGGCACAAGGCTGGGGGCTGTTTTCAAAAGGTGTATAATTCTCCATGGCAGATGGCATACTTCTGCTCCAAAAACCCAGGGCTCTGTCATGTGAATCTTCCACTGGGGCCTGTCACAAAAACCACATGGTGTCTTTTCCCACCATGACATCTCTAATATCATAGGTTCTGCTGGATCATATGGCTCAAATGGAAGGGCTGCTTGTACCACAGCCTGGACCTGCTACAGCAAACATCCTGATTTCTACTTAAATCCAGTAGCTTTTTGTGTCATCTGACATATGGATCAGAGCAGTATTTGCAAGTGTGAAATACGCTATTTCCAGAACCCAATGAGGGGTTATGCTTTCTTTTTTTATGATGGGAGATACAAGATGAAATAATTTATTTTTTATTTTGTAGTGGGTTTGGGGATTTTCCCCATGCCCACACCACTGGATCCTCACAATTTTCACTAATGTGAAAATGCCTCTGGATCTTTGTCAAGTTTATCTCTCACTCTCTGGAGGGGATGTTGTCTCACCAACAGGCAAGCCAGCAGGATGTCATCACTACAGTGGACCAATGTGATGTCTGGCAAGCTGTTCAACCACTCAAGACTCTTCAGACAATATTATGATAGAGGACAGGAGAGTTAATATAGTCCCAGGGCAAGATTGTAAATGTAATCTCTTGTCCGTTCCAAATGAATGTGAATGGTTTTTGATCCTCTTTCCAGATCAATGACCACCTATCATGGACCTAAGACCTAGTTAATCTGCTGTAGCAAAGAGACCACACCTGACACAGCAGCTGCAATTGTGAGTACTACATGTCTGAGTTTGCAGTAGTCCACTGTCATCCTCCAGTATCTGGTTTTTGCCGGGGCCAGACTGACGAATTAAACAGAGATATGATGGGGCCCACAACCTCAGCATCTTTTCATCTTTAAAGGTGGCTGGTGTGTGATATTATTTTTGATTGATTATTTTGGCTGGGAGTGGGGAGCAAGTTGCAGGATTCAGAGCTCCACTTGGCCTTCCTACTATGATAGATCTCATTCAAAAGTTGAGGGAATACAGGATTGTGTCAAATACAAAGTACACATGCTCCTTATTTTACAAGGGGGTTGCGTCCTGATTAACCCACCATAACTTGAAAATATTGTTGAGTCAAAAATGCATTTAATACACCTAACCTACTGCACATCACAGTTTAGCCTAGCCTGCCTTAAATTTGCTCAGAACACTTACCTTAACCTATAATTGGGCAAAATTATCTAACACAAAGTCTATTTTATAATAAAGTGTTGACTATCTCATGTAATTTATTAAATACTGTACTGAAAGTGAAAAATAGAATGTCTCAATGGGACTTGAAGTACAGTTTCTACTTAATGCTTATCACTTTCATACCCTCATATGGCTGAAAAATCCTGTCACACCACTGTAAGTTGGGGACCGTCTGTATACCTTCTCCCATTACACATTTGGGAACAGAGAACTGACCACCAAATGGATCCGTGGACCCAGTGGAGCCACTGTGAGCCAGGCCTGGGTCAGGATTCTACTTATTACTTGACTTCTATATGACCACATCATGATGCTTCAGGTCTTTGGATATCAATGTTAACTTCGAGCCTGTGTTTAGTTAGGTATTCCCCTTTCCCTAGTATATGGTCTCCCAAATAAACGGCCATAGGTCCCTTTGAAGGAGGACTGGGGATCCATTACCACATCTTCTTGTCATGCATGATATTGTAGGATCCTTTATCCTGGGGATGGCAGCTCCTTCGGGCAGGGGTTCCTAAGAATAAAAACTGTCTCAGGGTCAGAAAGTAAGCAAGAGACTGTGATTTTTTTTATATATATAAGTGTGATGACCCTCAGTCTCCTGATGGCATTCATCCGTGATTTCTTTTGATCGAACAGCTTGAGTAGCACCCTGTTGGCTGCCTATCTAGTTTCCCCCAGGGATAGTATATTCTATTAGCCAATTATATAATTTTCTCTTTTTTCATTTTATTTTTAAAATTTTATTATTTTTAATTTTGGGGTACATAGTAGGTGTATATATTTATGGGGTATGTGAGCTGTTTTGATACAGGCATGCAATACGTAATAATCACATCATGGAGAATGGGGTATCCATCCCCTCAAGCATTTTTCCTTTGTATTACAAACAATCCAATTATACTCTTTTAGTTATTTTTAAATGTACAATTAAGTTATTATTGACTATAGTCACTCTATTGTACTATCAAATAGTAGGTCTTATTCATTCTTTCTATTTTTTTTTTGTATACATTAATCATCCCTTTCTCCTCCCCACCCCCTCTACTATCCTTCCCAGCCTCTGGTAACCATTCCTCTACTATCTCCACGAGTTTTATTGTTTTGACTTTTAGCACCCACAAATAAGTGAGGACGTGTGATGTTTGTCTTACTGTGCCTGGCTTATTTCACTTAACATAATGATCTCCAGTTCCATCCTGTTGTTGCAAATGACAGGACCTCATTCTTTTTTATAGCTGAATAGTATTCCATTGCATACACATACCACATTTTCTTTATCCACTCATCTGTTCATGGACACTTGGGTTGCTTCAAATTCCTAGCTATTGTGAACAGTGCTGCAATAAACATGGAAGAGCAGATATCTCTTCGATATGCTGATTTCCTTTCTTTTGGGCGTATACCCAGCAGTGGGATTGCTGAATCATATGGTAGCTCTACTTTTAGACTTTAAGAAAACTCCAAACTATTCTCCATAGTGATTGTACTAATTTGCATTGCCACCAATAGCGTAGGAGGGCTCCCTTTTCTCTACATCCTCACCAGCATTTGTTATTGCCTGTTTTTTATATACAAGCCATTTTAACTGGAGTGAGATGAAATCTCATTGAACCAACTACATAACTTTCTGTGGGGCAGGTCCCCCTGCACTTCATTCTGACCTTACTCAATACATTAATTGCACTGACTTGGCCTCTGTGGTCAAATGCCACCACTTAGTCTCTAATGTTTGGGATTCTCTGATCCCCATTGCTATTGATGAAGACATAGCACTAGTTAGTGCATTTCTCTTCTACCAATATCCCATTCCAGTTCCCCATTCAGTGAAAGCTTTAACAATGCTCTGCTTCCTTGGGCCAGGGGTTGTCTATACTCCATCCACCACCACTCACAGGGTCTTGGGGAGAAAGTGAACCAGCTAGAAACTTGTATCATAGAGTCTGCTTTCTCAGACCACTCCCAATGTAGCTGTTATAGATTGGGCCCCCCAGAGAAAAAATTCTGAGACCGAGAATAACATATAGGAAGTTGACAAAGGAGTACTCCTAGGGTCGTGTCTCTGGAAAGGAAGTCATGGGTTGGCAGGACTGAGCAGAGGGAGAAGAGGGGCTATAGTGCTGTCCCAATGAAGGCCTCAGTCTACCCTACAGGGGGTTCTGAAGCTGGAATAACCCTTAAGAATTATCCCAAGCCAGGGCAAGAGAGCCTAGCCTTTATATCCCTGCATCTTGCAGCCACTGGAAGCCTGCAGCTGATGGATATGGGTTTTCCCTTGGGCAAGGCAAATACCTTCATCCAACAGTTCTAAATGGAGTAGAGGGCTAAGGGGCGCCTGCCAGCAGCATACAGATGGGTAATTAAGTCTTCTAGTTCTGAAGGGAGATCTGGATGGGACATTATAGCATCAGCTTATCATTACTTTGAATGAACCAGAAAGATACTGAAAATAGACTAATAAATGAAAAAAAAATCATGTTATAAAAACATATGACTAGATGATCCCTTCTGGAATAGCAGAAGGGATATATATCTAATATTGATATAAGCTAATAATAGTTTGGCATATGAGCTACATACATACCAAGATTTCCTATCTACCTCCTGTCCCCACACATGCAGAGCCTCCCCCTGTTATCAACATCCCCCAGCAGAGGGGTACATTTGTTACAAATGATGAACCTGTTGTAACACATGATTTTCTGATTTGTTTTTCCTCCTACATATCTACATTTTCTGATATTCCTTCAATTGATTACTTCTATAATAAAATTCTTAATTTTAAAATTTTCTGAGGATCAAATTGGTCGTTATATAAGAAATTAGAAATAAAGTGTTTTTTATTTCCCTTTATATTTTAAGCTATTTAACTTAAAAGTTTCTTTCTTTTTTTTTTTTTTTTTTGAGATGGAGTCTTACTCTGTTGCCCAGGCTGGAGTGCAGTGACGTGATCTCAGCTCACTACAACCTCCCCCCATTGGGTTCAAGAGATTCTCCCGCCTCAGCCTCAGGAGTAGCTGGAATTACAGGCACCCGCCACTACGCCTGGCTAATTTTTTGTATTTTTAGTAGAGACAGGGTTTCACCATGTTGGCCAGGCTGATCTCGAACACCTGACCTCAGATGATCTGCCCACCTCAGCCTCCCAAATTGCTGGGATTACAGGCGTGAGCCACCACACTCGGCCTTAACTTAAAAGATTTAAGTTGTGACCTTTATTGATTTAAGTAGGTGAAAGTACAAACGTGAGTTAAGGAAAATATGTTGGATTGTATAACTAGTAAAAACATTCACATTGCCTAGTTCTTCTAAGATTAAAAGTTATATTGCTATCATATTGTGATTTTCATCCGTGCACCCAAAAACTTTTAATGAGAATGGTAATTCCTACTTAACTGATGGACAAAATAAAATGTAGAGAGGTAAAGGGATCCAGCCCAAGCTACACAAATTACTGGCAGAAAAGACTTCTCAGCTTCTGATTTGGAACTCCATTTTCTAATTACTCAGCTATCCTTTCTCCAAGTAAAGTTTAAAAAGGTCAAGGGCATTCAATACCCAACTCACTAGTTCTAAAATGGCCCTCTTAATTACCAGTGCTCATTAACTTTATGTGTCATTATTAGAGCAAGGAGGTGGAGAGGGAAGTGGGAGATATAAAGGAAACAGGAAGTAATAAATTAATTTCTAACCAAGGTCAGCTGTTCCCCAGAGCACAAAGCAATGGACAGTGGATTGCTCCAGGGGCTTATATTGGCAAGAAAGTTATTTTGACAAAGTTCTTATGAAGTGGACAGAAAATTCTGTCAACGACAGCAAATATTCACCAGATAAAAACTATTTTTTTTTTAAAGAGATTTGAGTTTAAATATTTCCCTACAAGTCCTTTCTTCTATATGTCTGTTCTGCATAGAATAAGTTTAAGCAAAAGCAACCTATAGGGAAATAGAATGAGATGATCTTGGTAAAAGGAATCAGAGAGACAGAGAGAGAGAGAGAGAGGGAGAGAAACTGAGAGAGAGACTGAAAGAGAGAGACAGAGTGATCTCTAAGCATTCTTTCAGTTTGCCAGGCAGTTTGGACAAGCATTTCAGTTTCTGTCATCCTCTTCAAGGAGCTATCAATATTTCTGAGAGTCACACATTATTATAGTCATCAGTTAAGAAAAACCTGTTTGATATAAGCTAATAATAGTTTGACATATGACCTACATAGATATTCAAGACTTATAACATTTTCTATATAGACACTACAAATTCCAGAGATTTTGTAGATGAGGACAAAAAACACTTTAACTAAAGTTGACAAGAATCAACACAAAAAACCTTAAACAAGTGACCAAGCTTAATGTGCAACTGACACTAAGAGTCTCCTAAAGGGACGACGCAAAGGGAGACACTCTCACCGGGGTAGTCTTCTTATTAGAAGGCTTTACCTGGACCTATTAGCAAGACCAGCCCAGAACACTGGCCAGCATCCTCACAATGTCATTGCCATGAAAGGAGAAAAATTCACAGGTGGGAGTTGGGGGTTCTGTTTTAGATTAAAGTTGACTAAAGAGACATGACAACTAAATGTAAGGAATGATATTTGAGAAAATTCTAGATTTTTTTTTAAAAAAAGAGTGATAAAGAATATTTTCAATAGGGTAAACTTGAATATGGACTATATGTTAGATGATATTATTGTAATATAGTTTATTACTTGTCTGTGATAATGTCATTTTAGTTATATAGGAGAATGTCTTTGTTCTTAGGGGATAGGTGCTGATCTTTTTAGGGGTGAAATGTCATGATATCTGCAACTTACTTTAAAAATGGTCAGAAATGACTGAGCATGGTGGCTCAACCCTGTAATTCCAGCACTTTGGGAGGCCAAGGTTGGTGGATCATTTGAGATCAGAGTTCAAGACCAGCTTAGCCAACATGGTGAAACCCTGTCTCTACTAAAAATACAAAACTTAGCCAGGTGTGGTGGTGCACACCTGTAATCCCAGGTACTCAAGAACCTGAGGCAGGAGAATTGCTTGAACCCAGGAGACAGAGGCTGCAGTGAGCCAAGATCGTGCCACTGCACTGAAGCCTGGGCAACAGAGTGAGGGAGACTCTGTCTCAAAAAAAAAAAAAGTCAGGAAATAACTGAATGTTCATACATATAAAGAGAAATGTTTATACATGGGTATATATACACATATCTGCATGTTTATAAATACATATAAAACATATGTACATATATAGAAATATTTATGTGTGTATATAGAGAGAAAGAGAGAATATGACAATATGATAAATGTTAATTAGTAAATCTAGATGATGTACTGTTTTTTCAACTTTTCTACAGGTTTGACTTTTTTTCAAAATAAAAAGTTAAAGAAAAAAAAAGAATGAACTCAAAATGGAGTCAATTATTTGTCCATGGAAGTGATCTACACACTAAAGGAAGTATATATCCTGCTCTCTGAGCTTTACGTCCTTGATGGCAGGCCAAAGGAAAAGGTGCTGGCTCTTAATTCTCAGGTTGGACCCCTTTTCAAATAATTGATGTTCAAAGCAATAAATCCAGTCTTTTAATTTTCACTATTTAGTGAAAGGAAATATATTTTCCAAACTACTTTTTGATCTATATGAAATGTTGCCTATCAGATACACTCTCCTATAATTTTTTTTATTTTGAAGAAATTTGAACTTCAGTTTCTTCCTTTAGGACTATGCAAGAAGACTTTGGAAATACATAAAATATAATCAAAAGCAACTTATGATCTGGCTATAGAAATTTAAATTTTGAATTATAAAGACCTAAGACTATTATTATAAAAATGCATTTTTTCTAGTTAATGATGTCACAGAAAAATATGTAAATTTGGTTGAATATATGAACTTGACATTTTTATAGGTCAAAAAAAGTTGAGTAGAGGCAATTTCATATAGTTCAACTATATATTTTTCTATTTACTATACAGATCCAATTATAATATAAGGTGCTTTTATTTATTCAAAAAAATCCTTCTGAAAAGAGTTTATTCAAGTCCTTGCAAATCCTCTAGTATTATCGGGAGCTCTATAATTACTTTATTTTGAACCACAAAATATTTTGGGGAAAAACACATTAGCCTGAACTGACTTCGCCCAATATGTACTTTGGATGTTTTTGGTGGTTACCCAGAAAAATCATTTAATTTTTTTTTAAAAACAAATTAACACATATTTAATAATTACTCCAGAGGAGTTGACCCATCTTTAATGTTCAAATTCATTTCATTTTTATTTATTTATTTCAATTGTGGTGAGATATACACAGAGCCACCCTCATACAAAGAGAGATGATGATGATGATGATGATGATGATGATGATGATGATGATAGCAATTTCATGGAGAACTATATCGCAGGCACATTCCTAAACAGTTTATGTGAATCAATTCAAGTAATTCTCACAGCATTCTGTGCAGTAGCCTATGAAGCCCCCCATGATCTGGCTCAAGGCTCTATCCTGACTTCATTTCCTAGCATTTTTCCCACTGATTGGTCATTCTTCTTCAACCATACCAGTCTCCTTGGATTCCCTGAACATATCAAGAATGTTCCATTCTCAGGGTCTTAACATTGCCTGCTCCCTCTGCCTGGTGTGCTCTTTCCCAAGATATCTTCAAGGCTTAATCTTCTCTTCCTTCAAACCTCACCTCAAATGTCACCATATCAGAGAAAGCTTCTTTTACTACCACATTAATAGCACATCCCTTATAAATTTGTGTTTTAAAATATAAAATTGTGGTATAAAACTGTGTTATAATCATGTTGTAAATAGCACTATGTACCCCATCTATAGTGGAGATGGTTATATGCCACCTCCATCCCCTTCAGGACTGAAGGGCTTGTTCTTCTAAGTGCTGGGAGTAATGTCAGTTGACAACTCTAAATTCTCAGCCTTCCCTAAAAATTGCCCTTAGCTGAAAAGAGCCATTTTTCTAGGGGCAGCCCATGTCCAGTGGCTGATCAAAGCAGGGATATAAAGACCCAAACCCTTTGTCCCAACTTGGGTCAATTCAGAAAAGCCATCCCAGCTTCAGAACTCCCCATGGAGTCAACTGAGGCCTTTCCCCTCCTCCTGCCTTTCTGTTCCCACCAGGTATGATCCTGTGTCTCCATCGCAGAACCTGTTTCCCAGGGAACCCAACCTGCAGGACCACCCATCATTCTCTTTTATTCCTACTCTGCCTATTGTTCTTCAAATAACTTAGCACATCTGGATATATTATGTATTTATTTGCTTATTGTCTCTCTAACCATCTGTAGGTGAACTCCATGGAGTCAAGGACTTGTTTTGTTTGTTGCTGTATCCCTAGAGGACCTAGAGGACCTAGAGTAGCACCTGGCATGGAGGCAGAGCTCAAGGAACACTTGTTGAATCAATAGGTGGGCAAATAAATTAACAAACACCACTAGGAAGTTATTGGTGTTGGCATTTTACAGTTGAGAAAACCAAGATTCAGAAAGATTAAGTAACTCGCCCAAGGTCACACAGCTAATGATCAGTGAGGGGGATAGAAATACTTATATGGCATGTCTCAATAGAATGTAGACAGGAAGAGCTGCACATAATGTGCTAGGGGAACTTGAAGTAAGCCAAATAAAGGGACACAGTGGTGGGAGACAGAGGTAAGAGAGAAATGAGACAAATCATGGTTTCTGCATCACAACTTGGGAAGTACCAGGGTGTGAAGCTTATTTTTTAAAAAGTCAAGAAAGCAAAAAGAAGCATTTCACCACCCTGGTGAATGGCTAAATACTCTGGACTCTAAGAAAGATCAATCATTTCCTAATCTATCCCTTTATTTAGATCCAAAGCCATCTGAAATTAAGTATTTCCACTGAATTCTTACTTTTTCCTAAACCATCAGTTACTGGGAGCCTCATTTAAACTAAGATTTGGATCATAACGAATAATCAGATGTGTTATGTCACTGCCGGTATTCCTAGCTGTTCCAAAGTGGTGAGGGCATGGTGGGAATAAAAAAGGAGAACCTTCCCCTGTTGCAGCTGCTGAGAATTTCAGTGACACCAACAGCTGATGGGTGACAAAGTTATGGAAAATAGTTCCTTAGTGAAGCCTCCACATTTCAAGTATAAAACTTCATCTTTAGACAAGTGAATAGCTGCTTAGAAAAGTTACCATTTGCCTCTTGTTTCTCTTGTAAGAATAACAACAACAAAATTTAACGATCTGTGTCTCTGCCACAGAGAGAAGCAGTAGAAGATTATTCTAGTTTTTGGAACCAAAACAAGGAGCATTTAGGATCTGGGTGAATACGAAGTGTGAGGGGTGGGGCAGGGGGATATTGAAAGAAAGTCGAGGGTCCTACAACCGAGAAGGAGTTTTGACTTTCTTTTTCCCTACAACAAGTAGCGGTCACTTTGAACTTGTGGAGGATATTTCAAAGATCACAAGGAAAAAATCTACAAGAAAGGTATGTGGGACCATAGAAGGAAATCAAAGACTAACACATGACTTTCGGTGGCTTGCAAAAGAAAAGATAAAGGAAGCAAAGAGACAAAATACACCACAGAGTTAGAAAAAAATTATACTTTCACAAGTCTATCAAAGGGAATAAAATCCCCAAAGGGAAGTATACCGCTAAATAAGGAAGGCAAATATAAGAAGAAAACTCAAACTATTAAAATGCTTAGCAGACCACGCTGCAAACTGAAACCTTGCATGCTCGTTAGAAATTACTAACACACAGTATATTTTCCCCTAATTATTGAGATACCTAGGTTGACCATCAGCAAATTGAATTCAATGTGATTAAACTTTGCTCATTCATCATCTCCCCTCACCAGAGGCTAGTGTGGAGCTGAGCTGGCTTCTGAGGATGACTTCAGATTGAGAGCATTGGGTATCTGAGCCTGGAAGTCAACAGCCAAAGGGCATTCAGCTTTGCTTCAGATCCTTCCAGAGGTTACCTCCCCTCAGCCCACCTCCCACCTCCAACATCTCCCCACCCTGCCTCCCCCGACACAACATCCCCAGACAGGAATACCCTGGGCTTCTCCCTTACCCTTCCCTTCACAACTATTTACTGAGTGCTTGCTGTAATAAGTGCCTGGCACTATGCTAGGCCTTGAACCTACGAAAGTGAACAAAAGACACACAGTCCCTGTCTCATGTGGAATCACGTGGTAATAGAGACACTAATCAGATGATCAGACAAAGATTTAATTATACATTGTGGCAGGCGCTGAAGAAGCACCGTGAGAATATACGACGTGGGGTTCAGTCTAGCCTGGTGGGTCAGCGCTTTCCTGAGAAATTAATGTCTGAGCTCAGAACTGAAGGACAAGCAGTAGCAGCCAGATTTGGGGAGTGGGGCTGGAGAAGAGGATTCCAGGCAGAGGAAACAGCCTGTACAAAGGCCCTGAGGTGAGAGGGAATGTGGTGCACTTGAGGACTGCAAGAAGGCCAGAAAGCAGGTAACAAGAAGGAAGGGACAATGCAGGGCTGGAGAGTGAATTGAGGCCCAACAAAGCAGGGTTTTACGGACCACCGTAAGGGCTTGTGTGTACTCCAATAACAATCAAGAAGGGTGTTAAAGGGGCAGGGAGCATTTGACACACTAGATATTTTTAATTTGTTGTAAGTAGAGCCAAGATCAACTATAATACATAATTTTCAGGATTCAAAGCAAAATAAAAACACAGGGCCCTTTGTTTAAAAATTATTTAAAATGTCAAGGCTGTAACAGCAGAGCATTATAACCAAGCAGGCCCCTTCTAAGCCAGTCCTGGGAGGAGCATCCCTGAGTCCCTGGGATGTCTTGGTCTTGGGTTAGTCGGCGTGGCTCCAGGACTGATCTCAGCCTTTGCATAGTCAGGCCTGCTCTGAGCTCAACAAGAAAGCAACATGGGCCCCTTGCTCTGCATTTTAAGATGCCATGCAAGGTTTCCAGTCTTCAAATTCTTTAAACTGAGTAATATAGAGAGAGAAGTTAGTTGAGGTAAACAGAAGAGCTATCAAGCAGAGTGAGAGTGATCTGGCTGTGAGGCTTCCTGCACTAACACAATCCACAGATCTCTCACCAGAGACTCTGGAGTCCAAGGCCCAAAGTAGGGTGAGGCAAGGGAAGCTCCTGGGTGCAAAATTTAAGGAAGCACTTACTTTCAAGGAAGTACAAGTGTCGGTTCGGGACCTGAGATGTAGTGCCTCCTTAAATTTACCCCTCCCACCCCACGTCTGGCTTGCCTCTCATCCTAGTTCCAGCCCTGGTCTGAGCAAAGCACCAGAGGTGTAAATCTGGAGTTTTGGAAGCCCAGCAGGCAGCAAGTCAGCTCTATGCCAGGGGTAGAGAAATGCCTGCAGGTTGAGAAAGCAGGCCATCTTTGGGGTGGAAATACCTTCTGAAATTCAGTACATGGGGTAGGCCCTTTGGAGCTATCTACTTGCTAACTCTGTACTAGCAGCCTTGAGCCAAGTAAAGATCTGGGTGACCCAATGGGCATCTTTGCTGTGTTATAGTTTGTATATTACAGTGACCTATATAGGGTCTGCTCAGTTGGAAACTCAGTTTAGCCGACATACTTGTCTAGGAATTCAGACAGTGCATTGCTGATAGGAAAACAGATCTATCCATGTTAGCTCAGCCTTGTCTTATCAATGCTGTTATTTATTTCAAGCAAATCTCAAAACACAGGCTCCGACTCTTTTATGTGAAGAGAAATAAGATGGTGATTTGGTTAATCTTACCTTTTCTGCCATTTCAGTACTTGTATTCTCCTACCCTCCTTTCCCTGTCCCTTTATGAAGAAGAGAACCTCTTCATGCCCCACTGTCCATTACAAAACATTAAAGATGATTTCATTTGTGGCCAAGTAAAAGCTCTCTGCAAGTCCCATCAGAAGCCTGGCCAGGAAAGCAGGTAAGTTTTCCAAAGTGCAGACTATCTCCATAAAGTAGTTTGACCCCAGAGCCCTGTCTGATTTTGTCTGTCTTCTGTCTATTGCTTTGTCTGGATTTTTGCTCCCCTTTGCATTGAAAAGTGCAATTATTCCACAGCAACTGATTTTCCTGTTAGAAGATGGAAAGGCCGTTATTAATTTGTCCTCATGTTAATATACTTCATTTCCTTTCATCTTTATTACCCATCTATATATTCCTCAGAGGTCTTGTTTACATAAAACAGAACTCCTGGATGCAGAAAGTACTTAATGAGTCTCAGCATAACCACTACAGAGCAAACATAGTCCATTCACCCTTTATAATTATGAATCACTTGACAGTATTAAAAAACATCTTCAGCAAATGGTGCCAGGCAGTTTCTTTCTAGATTTTTTTATTACCATAAAGATCAGCCATAAACTATATTATGAGTTTGGTCTATGACATTCTGGCTTTAAGCTCTAATAGTAAGGGCATATATCTTAAACTATACTCACATTATAGGCTTGAACAATTTGGTTCTTCTTACCTTCACAAGTTCCCCGTCCTTCCTTCCTTCCTTCCTTCCTTCCCTCCTTCCTTCTACCCTCCCTTCCTTCTTTCCTTTTTTCCTTTCTTCCTTCCCTCCCTCCCTCCCTCCTTCCTTCCTTCACTCTTCTTACCCTCACAAGTTCCCCTTCCTTCCTTCCTTCCTCCCTCCCTTCCTTCCTTCTTTCCTTCTTCCTTCCTCCCTCCCTCCCTTCCTTCCTTCTTTCCTTCTTCCTTCCTTCCTTCTTTCCTTCCTTCCCTCCTTCCTTCTTTCCTTCCTTCCTTCCTTCTTCTTACCCTCACAAGTTCTCCTTCCTCCTTCCTTCCTTCCTTCCTGTTTCAAGCATTTGCACACAATTGGAGAATTATGCACAGAGAATTAAGACTTCAGGGGCATCACCTCCCTGAATCCTACTCACATTCTGTTTACTCACTTATGGATCTCTGGTTTAGCAAGACTGATCTGAGAGCCTGAGTTGCTGACCAGTGGGTTTTCTTCTAACTGAAACTATACCATAAACAAAGAACTTGGAGCAATTGGTTCAGTTTCAACAACTAGTTATTAAGCAACCAATATGCAACTGGCATTGTTTTAAGCACTGACAAAAAACAAATATGAGAGCAATTAATTCTGTCTTGGTAGGATGAGAAAGCCTATGAGATTCACAGGATATTTTAGTGGGCTTTGAAGGATGAGTAGAAGTTTGCTAGATAGATAAGGAGAAAGGACATGCCACACAGAAGGTCCAGGATAATCAAAATCTGGAAATACAAAAATACACCAGGGATTGGAGAAGCCTGCTACATCCTGGTATGATTGGGTTACAGGGATTTTAGGAAGGTGTGACTGGAGTGGAAGATGAAAATGGAGATGAGGGATGGGTGGCGTGTGAAAAGCCTTATGTTTATAGAGAAATAAGTTGATCAGTTACACAGAGGTGATCTCTAGTGTTTACAAATCATAAACACAGTTCAAAGGGAATTTAAAGGTGAACAATGTAGGATGATTCATTCTTTCACATAAACATTTTTGAGTGTCTTCTACATGCAAGTAGGTGTTAGGGTGGAATAGAAAAAATCTGGTCCCTGCCCACTGGGGGCTTACAAGCTACCTAGGAATAGAGAGCTCCATAACCAATGACAACTCAAGGCAATGTGAGACAAAGGGGTAATAGGAAGCCTATAAAGCAAGCATACAGGAGGGAGCAGTGAATGCCAGAAGGAATGGCTTCAGGAAAGGTTGGCTGGGGGGAAATATATGTCTAGGGGTACAAAGAATGGCATAAAACAAGGCAAGAGCATGCCAGGCAAAAGGAATGTCCTGAGCAAAATAAACAGGATGTGAGAGATCCGTTTGTGTTTAGAAAAAGGTGGAGCACAGAAGTTAGGCTTTGAGGTAGAAGATGATGGTGGAAAGATGGGCTGGGATGAGTTCACGGAAGGCCTTGAATACCATAGCAAGAAGCCTAGGCTTTATCCAGGAGAAAATGGAGATTAATAAAAGACTACTTAACAGTGACATTTTTTCAAGCACATAGTCAAGGCAAATATATTTCATCTTTAGAAAGTACTTATTTTGATTTATTAATAGCCATTACTGCCAGTGAAACTGGACACTTCCCTGACCCCTTTGCGGGGCTCACAAAGGGTTCTCTTGTTTACTCAGCCCATAGCTCTCAACCCCTCACGGGAGGGGGAGCATGCAGGTGAGCAGGGGCAGTGGCCAGGATGAGTACTTCTGGGCACTGGCAGGAGTAGAACTCCATGCAGCCCCACAGCAGCTTCTAGGGGGGTACCTGCAACCCCCAAAGCCCCAGAGGGTGTGTGTTACAGTGTGTTCTTTTAGCTTTGCCATCCACTGATGGCTTAAGTGTTTAACAGCTCAGTGGGGGGTCAGGATGATAGCCTTTTGCACCCACCTTCTTGGTACTCAAGTCCTTGTCTGACATTCAGAAAGAATCAGGCTGCATGAACGAATTGAAAGGCAGTGAATGTGGAGGTTTTTACTGAGCGGTGGAAGTGGCTCTCAGCAGGATGGGGAGCTGGGAAGGGGATGAAGTGGGAAGGTGGTCTTACCCTGGAGTTCGGCCATCCTTGGCTGAACTCTTCTCCGAAGTCCCATCGTCAAGCTGTCCCTCTGAAATCAAGCTGTTTCTCTCTGATGTCTGGCTGCTACTTCTCTTTTCTCCTTCGCTGCTGCTCCACTCTGCCTCTCAGCCACTCTGCTGTGCCTCTGTCAGTGAAGCCTGGGGTTTTTGTGGGTACAGAATCAGGGGTGGGGTGGGCCAGGGTGGTTTTGTAAAAGGCAATATTCGGGTGGGAAAACAGGAATGCATGTTCTCACTTTGGGCCATGGTCCCAGGCTTGAGGGTATGGCCCTCGCCAGGGACTGTCCTCTTCTACCCAGTATTTCCCTACCCCCTGTCCATATCACCAGAAATACTGTCTTGAGAAGGATTTGGGGCTCAGTGAGGAAGAAATGAATTCATTTATCCACACAGTTACGTGTCATCACTAGCCTACAGGGCACACCTTCTATGTGAGTAGTAGACAGCATCTGGGACAACAATGGTTTGTCTTTGGGAATATTTCCCTTATATTCACCTGACTAAGATCTCAGGAATAGTGGAGCAATACTCATAAGAGAAAGCAATTCTACCCTCATCAACTCAACATCAGAACTAAGCTATTAATACTGGCCAAATCTTTTGAAGTTCAAAAGTACCATAAACACACTACAAATTGTTATTAGTAACCAATGAAAGAGAGACATCTTTCTAGCATCCAACATAAAAGGCCAACTAGAAAGTTTGAAGATCCCAGGCTGGGCACGGTGGCTCATGCCTGTAATCCCAGCAGTTGGGGAGGCCGAGGCGGGAGGATCACTTGAGGTCAGGAATTCAAGACCAGCTTGGCCAACATGGTGAAACTCCGTGTCTACTAAAAATACAAAAATTAGCCAGGCATTCTGGTGCATGCCTGTAGTCTCAGCTACTTGGGAGGCTGAGGCAGGAGAATGGCTTGAACCCAGGAGGTTACAGTGAGCCGAGATCACACTCCAGCCTAGGTAACAGAGCAAGACTCTGTCTCAAAAAAAAAAAAAAAAAAAAAAAAAGTCTGAAGATACTGTAAGTGGTATTCCCTCCTTCTCAGTTACTACAATGTTTCAGGACATTGTCTCAGTTCATGTCACAGGCAGCTCTGCTTTTCCTAAATATCAGAGGACACTAGGAATATGCAGGGTCACCTGGCTCTAGAAATCACTGGCATTACTTGCCAAAACAACAAAGAGAAAAACAGATGAGTTGTTAGAAACCTTAGAAGACAATAATGGAACACAGCAATAGAGTCTTTGAGATGGGGAAATTGGAACAATTGTATTCTAGGTCTAGACAAAGCATCTGTAATCAGGGATCCATAGGATACCCTCCTCCCCAAAGGGTGCCTTGGATGAAATTTGAGGAGGTAGTCACTGAGCTTGGGTGGAAAATAATTTCCATCTTTATTTTCAATTACCTGTAATTGAAATTTAGTGTTTCCTTTAATTATGAATGTAATAAACCAACCACAATAATATTAGCAGTACTTGTGATTTTTTTTCAGCGAGAGAAATCAGAGTCATTTTCATGTCACATTGCAGTAGTTTTGGATATCCTGGAATATTGTTTATAGTCATCACTAATTTGAATTATGGTAGACTCAGTGCTAGATCTTCTTAAGTGTTAATAAAGAAAAGTATATATTAGTTTAGCACAAAAGTAGGATTTTTAAAACATATAGACTATTTTTTAAAGTGGTGTTAGATTCACACCAAAATGGAGTGGAAGATACAGAGTTCCCATGTCCCTTCCCCCAACATGCATGCGGAGCCTCCTCCACTATGGATATCCTGCTCCAGAATGGTACCATTTGTTACAATTGATGAACCAACATTGACAAACCATTGTCACCCAAAGTCCATAGTGTACACTAGGGTTCACTTTTGGTGATGTACATTTTATGCATTTTGACATGTATAATGTCATCTATCCACCACTGAAACCGCTGTTGCAAAATTATAACTGAGAAAATTACTACAGTGAAAGAGACCTGACCTAACTAACTCCATGTTGTTTCTAACCTCCATGTTGTCCCTGTTCATTCCTGGGCATAGGCCAAACTAACTTTTGGGAGGAACTTAGTTTACAGTTTAATTTTGAAACAAAGATGATAACAGCCCTTTTTCAAAACAAACCTCCTTCCTGCCTGGGGACTTGACTGCCTTCGTTAAGACTAACAAATTAGCCACAGGATTAGAAATTACAGTGAAGGAGTCAGGCAGCTGGAGGCTACAAGATTCCGACCCTCCCCAAATCTCTCCTGGGGATAATATCAGTATTGTAAAACCCAAGATCAGTACTTGAGATATTGTGGAGACCCTGCACTTGATGGATCAGCTGGCACCACCCAGATCAATGAACTAGCTCATCTGGTCTTGTGGTCCCCACCCAGGAACTGACTCAGTGCGAGGGGATGGCCTCACCTCCCCATGATTTCATCTCCGACATAACCAATCAGCACTCCTAACTCACTGGCCCCCCACCCACCAAATTATCCTTAAAAACTCTGATCCCCAAATGCTCTGGGAAACTGATGTGAATAATAATAAAACTCCTGTCTCCTGCACAGCCAGCTCTGTGCGAATTACTCTATTGCAATTCCCCTGTCTTGATAAATCAGCTGTCTACGCAGTGGGCAAGGTGAACCCACTGGGTGGTTACACCATTATAGTATCATATCAAATAGTTTCACTGCCCTAAAAGTTTCCAGTGCTCTACCTGTTCATCACTTCTTCCCCCCAAACAAATGTGGTTTAACATTTTTTTTTGATTACAACTTTACTATAACAAAAATCCTATATCTCTTATGTGTTTAAAAATTTTGAAAAGGAGTCCATTGGCTTTACTGGACTCCAAAAGAGCCCAAGGCAGAAATAAGTTTAAAGACACTGTGTTCCTTCCCCCAGCTCCCATATCCTCAGGGGTGGAGTCTCCTCTCTCTTTCCCTTCCAGCATACTGTCTTTTTTCCTTCATCTTCTTGGTACATCTCCCATCTCTCCCTTTTTATGTAAAGCTATTTAACTTTTCCCAGTTTCTCTTTCTAAACTTGCATACTTAATACTTTATACTGAGATTGAGGAATTTGTGATTTGCAAACAAAAGATTATCTAGTTACCAAGATCCACCCTTCTTGAAGACAGTGGGGATTATACACAGTAATTTTTTCCCTGTGACATGTTCAAATTAAGAACCAGAGATTAGGCAGTGTGCGGTGACTCAAGCCTGTAATCCCAGCACTTTGGGAGGCCGAGGCTGGTGGATCACTTGAGGTCAGGAGTTTGAAACCAGCCTGGCCAACATGGTAAAACATCATCTCTACTAAAAATACAGAATTAGCCTGGCATGGTGGCAGGTGCCTGTAATCCCAGCTATTCAGGAGGCTGAGGCAGGAGAATCACTTGAACCTGGGAGGCAGAGGCTGTAGTGGGCCGAGATCATGCCACTGCACTCCAGCCTGGGCAACAAGAGCGAAACTCTGTCTCAAGAAAAAAAAAAAAAAAGAACAAGAAATTACATGTCCAAAACAGGAGCCAGACCATTTTGCATTTCACCAATTACATAAGGAATAATGTGAGAAAACTACAGCTAAACGGCACCATATTCCTAACTTTCTCCAGGGGGTATTTTTGTACCCTTTCTAGAGAGGCACCTGGGAGCCAGTGGCTTGCCCATCCTTGAGTTCAGTTCTCACTCCATCTGGAGTGCCCTTTCCCCACCCCACTTGGTCTTGTCCATCTGCCTCTTCACTAACATCTCTTCTAGAAGGTTTTTGTTTCCTACCCCTTCAGGCATGGTCTCCTGTCTATGGACCTAGCACTTATTATATCATAATTGCTTGCTTAGTAATACTGGCTAAGACTTATTAAGTATCTGCCATGGGCCAGGCACTCTTTTCCACCATCTCAACAGTGGTTTATTAAATGCTTAACATATGCTGCATCATACTAAGACTTGGTAAATTTTATCCAATATTCACAACAATTCTAATGATATTAGACTCTTCCCCAGGTCGCAGATAAAGAATCTGAGGTCCAGGAAGGTTATATAATATTTCAAAAGTCACACAAACCTGGTCAGCTTGACTTTAAACCTTGTGTCAAAATCTAGTCCTGCTAATAACTTACTGGTTTTGGGCAAATCACTTACCTTTGCAGGGCTTCAGTTGTCCTCATCTTTAAAATAAGGGGCTTCTACTAATCAGGAGGCCTAGATTAGTAGATACTAAATAATCAATATTATAAAGGGATTACTTTAATAAATGCTTACATCTCTTCTATCTTGAAACTGTTCTTTTTCTGGTCATGGGATGTTGATGATTAGGGGAGTGGGAAAATTGTCCTGGTCACAGGAGAGCTGGAGGAGACTCAAGAGGTACACTCCAAGGGAGGTCCCTTTGTATCCAAAATACCCTTAAGGGGCACCAGTTGGCAAACCACAAAGTGTCTACTAGCTGACATTATTACTACCAAATTGCCTGGTTCTCCCAAGCCTTTTCCTCCCTCAAGCTTGAGCCAGGAGACCACAAAGTATAGCCTCAGCCCTATTCCAGGCCCCACAACAATCAGAACATATTATTATTAAGAAGTCCCAATTCAGTATTCAGGTGACTGAGTATTAAACCAATATATATGTCTAGTCCTTTGCTAACCTAGTTCTAGGAACTGGGCTTCTTTCTTGTTTTTGAGAACAAGCTTTCACACATAACCCAATCCTGGACCATGTCTTTTTCTTTATTGGGCCTAAGATACAATCTTAGTAGTTGGCTTACTACAAAATGCAGGAATAGAAAACATCTCAGCAGATGTCACCAGTTGATCACAGCATTCTTTCCTGCAGACTCCAGAAGTGACTTCAGGATCTTTCTCTAGGAAGCCACTACACTCAAGAGGAAACTGATTTGCCACAGCTGTATTTCCTTAGGGTCTGGCACTTGCGTCATTCTGGTTTTCTTCTCCTGAAGAACTAGAGTACTACCATGGGCCTTGCTGCCTGCCAAGTGAACTTTCTGATGCTGAGCACAGCCTGCACACCTGGGATCACTGGAGAAGACAGACTGCCCTCCCTGCCTCCCTGCCTCCCTGAAGGAGGGATTTAGTAGAGGTCATTGGGTTAAAGCCATAAGAACACATACATCTCACTTAGATTTCAAGGACACAGTATAAAAAGAATAAAAAGAAGTGTTAACTTCTTAAAGCCATGAAAGGAATTTCAGGAAGACTGTAAGCAGCAATTGAGGGCCAGCACAGGGAAAGGAAACTGGAAAGTGAAGGAGACCAGACGGTGGTGGAACAGATCGAGACCGTGGATGGATGAGGGATGAGGAAATAATTATACAATCCATCACACTTCTCTTATTGTTGCCAGAAGCTCAGAGTGAAACTTATGATATAAAAATAGTAACTATATTGGCTTTCATCACTAGACTATCTGCTCTCACCTCCCTTTAGAGGGTTTAGGGTTTTTGTTTTGTTTTGTTTGAACAATATGAGGTGTATCTAAATATATACATATTGCATATGTATTAATTTCTACATTTTCCATTTACAATAATAATGGATCTGTCCTAGCCTTGCTAAAAGCCCATGTGACCTCAGACTTCTATATGGAAGGAGCGATTTTAAAAAGTAGCACGAAATAAAAAGCCAGAAATCTTCTGTTGATCTTCTTCTCTCGGTATAGCTCAAGAAGTCTTCATTGGGAATCGAATTTGTGTTGAGCTCTGAATTAAATGCTGTGAAAAACATAAAACAGAAACGGTGACCATGATACTTAGGAGCTTAGCATCTTGGAGAGGCTGACTATACAAAAACATAATAGTTCATGTAAAAAGCTGGCTCATGTGGTTATATTGTGTGAGTAGTAAACCTCTGTTTTTGTAAGTGATTGAGATTTTGCAGGTCTCCTACACACAGCACACCCTAATCCAGTGATTCTCACAGTGTGGGGCCCAGACTAGCCTCATCAGCATCACCTAAATATTGCTAGAAACAAAAATCTTCAGGTCCCACCTCAGACATACTGAACCAGAAACTCTGGGGTGGGGCCCAGGAATCTGTGTACTATGTCAGGGGATTCTGATGTGCTAAAGTTAAGAAAATTCCAACCACAATATTCTTTACAATGCCCCACATTTTCCCCTCTTCCACCTCCTGTAACACAGGACCAGATCATGCAACTCTACATAATCCAAAATGCAACGGCAGATAGAGGAAGAATAGAATTCAAACAGAAGCCACCTTACTGAAGGTCCAAGCTAGCAGTTCCCTTTGTAAAAGTTAGACTCAAATATTTACACAAGAGGTTGTTTAAAATGGTATAAGCTCAAGGGAAGGTGGCTGAAAGACACAAATTCAAAGAAAAGAAAAGACCACAATTATTGATCATCTCCTATGTGTTATTTGATCCACCACTTCCTTACCTAGTTCCTTAACCCAAACCTACAAAGAAGGCAAAATTATCATTTCCAATTTACAGAGGAAGACAGAGAACCTGAGAGCATTCAAGGAACTTTCCCAAGACTCTACAGTTTGTATATGGTAGAGTGGATTTGAAAGCAAATCTGTCTGACCTGACCACAGAGCCTGTGCGCCCTACAACTCACCTCCATTAAAGAAATAAGCTATTTTGTGAGAGTGCCTGAGAGCTCGGAGGCCTGAGTAATGAGTCAACCCCCTGATCATATTACCAACTCTACCCCTAATTTGTTGGGCGTCACTTCACTATTGTGCCTGTAGAGTTTTTTTGCTTGAAAAATGAGAGATTCTGCTACTTACCACCCACTTACTTACCTGGAATGAATTGAGGTATGTAAAACTTGAGAGAACTAAGGATGAAAAGTGTTATAAATAGTATTATTACAAGTAGCAATAAATCACGTAAAGAATGTAATGTGCAGGTTGGAACATAAACTGGAATTAAGTCTCATAAATATAAAATAACCCAAAGCATGTGGTTCTTTGAATTCTGACAGTAAAATGTTTCACCTAAATTTTAAGTTACAGAGGCATCCAAGGAGCCACCTCAGAAAGGCACCCTCTGAGAACACTGGGGTAGGAAAATAACAAGGAACTTTTTTTTTTTTTTTTAGATGGAGTTTTGCTGTGTTGCCCAGGCTGGAGTGCAATGGCACAATCTTGGCTCACTCCAACCTCCGCCTTCCAGGTTCAAGTGATTCTCCTGCCTCAGCCTCCCAAGTAGCTGGGATTACAGGCATGCATGACCATGCCTGGCTAATTTTTGTATTTTTAGTAGAGATGGGTTTTCACCATGTTGGTCAAGCTGGTCTCGAACTCCTGACCTCAGGTGATCCACCCACCTCAGCCTCCCAAAGTGCTGGAATTACAGACACGAGCCACCATGCCTGGCTAAGGAACATTTTTGAAAAGGTGGCTAATCTGGTGTATATGTTTAATGTTTTTAGGAAATATTATAGTAATAAAATTTGACTGGTTACTGTGTGCCTGAGATGGTGTCTAAGCCCTTTACATTATTTAACTCGTTTATTTTCACAATTCTATGAAGTAAATCGTATTATCCCTTATTATGAAGATGGGAAGACTGAAAAACTGAGTTCACATAACTGTCAAGTAGCAAGCTAGAATAAGAACCTATGTAGTCTGGCTCTAGAGTATACAGTCTTAAGCCTAATGTTATGTACTAGGACGCACCTTTTTTTGTTTTGTTTTGTTTTGTTTTGAGATGGAGTCTCTTGCTCAGACTGGAGTGCAGTGGCACGATATCGGCTCACTGCAGCCTCCGCCTGCTGGGTTCAAGTGATTCGCCTGCCTCAGCCTCCTGAGTAGCTGGTACTACAGGTGTGCACCACCACACCTGGCTAATTTTTGTATTTTTAGTAGAGATGGGTTTCACCATGTTGGCCAGGCTGGTCTCAAACTCCTGACCTCAAGTGGTCTGCCGCCTTGGCATCCTAAAGTGCTGGGATAACAGGCAGGATGTATCTATTGATAAGTAATTTTTACAATCTCTTCCTCTTTTTCCATTAACTTGCTCTGTTTATCCCTCTTCTCTGTTTTTTACCATTATCCCTGGCTCACACTCCTTACACAGAATTCCAGTAGTAGGTCAGTGAGTGTTACAATAAGCTATTAATACAACAAAACAAAACAGCACTGCAATGATACATGAACTTTTCAATCTTCTCAAATAAAACCATCTAGACAAGAATGTTAATTAAACAGATTTGTGTCAAAGAACTCCCAAACAAGAAGCAAGTATTTTGCCCTGGTACATAGCATAACAAAAGGAACAGAGTATATTTATATCAATGCTTTGTTCTCAGTGATAACTGCTGCTCTTTACAACCTCACACACTTCCTTCCTCTAGCAAGTCTCACTCAATTCTTCTTATCTAAAAACTCTGCCCCAAATTGATGCCTTCTAGATAACTTTTTCAACGTAATTTCATTTCAAAGTATCTTAAAGTTGGTCAAACTCTTAGAAATCAACTACCTTGATCCCATGAGGCCCTGAGAAGTGAGATTTGCTCAGCCTAAAACAATGGGTCAATGCCTATTGCAGCAGGCCAGGCTGTGCCTGCCAGACCTGCCCTGAGCTTGCCTGAAACATTCCTGAATGAACAGGACATCTGAACATGGTCTCATCTCTCCAACAGATTCCAGTGCCAGGCCCAGTTTCACCATTTCCTAGATATGTCATCTTAAGAAATTAAGCAGACATTACTATCAGAAAGAGATTCAAATAACATTATTTGCAAAGAGTGCATGATTGCACAATTAGAAAAGCCAAAAAAAGTCACTAAAAAGCTATTTACTTTCATAGATAATATTTTATCTCTCCAGATACATAATAAACATATAAAAATTCATCACATTCCCATGTACCAATAATAACCAGTTATAATGTTTAATTAATTTCTTCCTGAATGGCTACCCAAAATATAAAATACTTACAAATTTAGCAAGAGGGATACATTACTTATATGCTAAGAAAGAAGTCAAATGACTTGGTAGGAGGAGAAATGTTTCTTCTCCTAAATGGAAAAATTAGATGTATAAATTATGTGTGATTTTTTACCAAAATAATGTATGTCTTAAACGCAATCCCAATAAAAATCTCAACAAGATTAATAACAGTATCCTACAAAATTAAAATAAAATTCATCTGGAAAAACAAATGAGTAAAACTATAAGCAATATTTTGAAAGAAGTGCACAAGGATAAAGGGCTATTTTTGGTGGATAGTAAAATATGATATAAAGCAAAATCAGAAAAGTGTTAATCCTAGTACAAAAGTAGAGACACACTAATAGAACTATATAGAAAGTTTGTTATGGTTTGGGTTTTTGTTCTTGTTGTTGTTTTTTGAGACAGAATCTCGCTCTGTCACCCAGGCTGGAGTGCAGTGGCACAATCTTGGTTCACTGCAACCTCTGCCTCTTGG
This sequence comes from Homo sapiens, assembly GCF_000001405.40. Lineage (NCBI taxonomy): Eukaryota > Metazoa > Chordata > Mammalia > Primates > Hominidae > Homo > Homo sapiens. The sequence goes on along the minus strand of NC_000004.12, from coordinate 108,300,951 downwards.
GTTCAAAGATTCTCCTGCCTCAGCCTTTTGAGTAGCTAGGATTACAGGCACATGCCACCATGCCTGGATAATTTTTGTATTTTTAGTAGAGATGAGGCTTCACTATGTTGGCCAGGCTTGTCTCAAACTCCTGACCTAAGTGGTCTGCCCACCTCGGCCTCCCAAAGTGCTGGGATTACACGTGTGAGCCACTGTGCCCAGCCGAGAAAGTTTGTTATGTAAGAATGTAATACTATATGGAAACTTAAACTATTTTATTAATGGTGGTGTACTATCTGGTTAGAAAATGGGGGAGAGAGATAAACTTCAGTCCATACTTTACTTACACAAAAACCCAAATGAGTTCCAAATGCTGTTAAGAATTAAAGGGGCCGGTTTTTATACCAGTATCATGCTGTTTTGGTGACTATGGTCTTATAGTATAGTTTGAGATCAGGTAGTGTGATGCCTCCAGATTTGTTCTTTTTGCCTAGTCTTACTTTGGCTATGCAGGCTCTTTTTTGGTTCCATATGAATTTTAGGATTGTTTTTTCTAGTTCTGTCACATAGACGAATGGAACAGAATAGAGAACACAGAAATAAATCCAAATACTTAGAGCCAACTGACCTTCAACAAAGCAAACAAAAACATAAAGAGGGGAAAGGACACCCTATTCAACAAATAGTGCTGGGATAGTTGGCTAGCCACATGTAGGAGAATGAAACTGGATCCTCATCTCTCACCTTGTGCAAAAATCAACTCAAGCTGGATCAAGGACTTAAATCTAAGAGCTGAAACTATAAAAATTCTAGAAGATAAAATCAGAAAAACCCTTCTAGACATTGGCTTATGCAAGGATTTCATGACCCAAAACCCAAAACCAAATGCAATAAAAACAAAGATAAATAGCTGGGACTTAATTAAACTAAAGAGCTTTTGCATGGCAAAAGGAACAGTCAGCAGAGTAAACAGACAACCCACAGAGTGGGAGAAAATCTTCATAATCTATACATCTGACAAAGGACTAATATCTAGAATCTACAACACACTCAAACAAATTAGTAAGAAAAAAACAATCCCATCAAAAAGTGAGCTAAGGTCATGAATAGGCAGTTCTCAAAAGAGGATATGCAAATGGCCAACAAACATATGAAAAAATGCTCAACATCACTAATGATCAGGGAAATGCATATCAAAATTACAATGCGATACCACCACACTCCTGCAAGAATGGCCATAATTAAAAAATCAAAAAACAATAGATGTTGGTGTGGATGTGGCAAAAAGGGAACACTTCTACACTGCTGGTGGGAATGTAAGCTAGTACAACCACTATGGAAAACAGTGTGGAGATTCCTTAAAGAACTAAGAGTAAAACTACTGTTTGATCCAGTAATCCCACTACTAGGTATCTGCCCAGAGGAAAAGAAGTCACTATACAAAAGAGATACTTGCACATGCATATTTATAGGAGCAAATTTGCAATTGCAAAAATGTGGAACCAACCCAAATGCCCATCAATCAGTAAGTGGATAAAGACACTGTGGTATATATGTATACAATGGAATACTACTCAGCCATAAAAAGGAACGAATTAATGGCATTTGCAGCAACCTGGATGGGATTGGAGACTATTATTCTAAGTGAAGTAACTCAGGAATGGAAAATCAAACATCGTATGTTCTCACTCATAAGTAAGTGAGAGCTAAGCTATGAGGATGCAAAGGCATACGAATGATATAATGGACTTTGGGGACTCAGGGGGAAAGGATGGGAAGGGGGGTGAATGATAAAAGGCTACAAATTGGGTTCAGTGTATACTGCTCGGGTGATGGGTGCACCAAAATCTCACAGATCACCACTAAAGAACTTATTCATGTAGCCAAATACCATGTGTTCCTCAAAAACCTATGGAAATACATAATAATAATAATAACAATAAATAATTAAAGGGGCCAGGTCTGGTGGCTTATGCCTGTAGCCCCAGCACTTTGGGAGGTGGAATCAGGAGGATCACTTGAGCCCAGGAGTTCCAGACCAGCCTGCAGGCTAAGGTGGGAAGATTATTTGAGGCCAGGAATTTGAGACCAGCCTGGGCAACAAAGCAAGATCCATCTCTGCAAAAAAATAAAAATAAATTAGCCAGGTGTGGTGGCTGTGCCCGGAATCTCAGCTACTTGGGAGGCTGAGGTGGGAGGATCACTTGAGCCTGGGCGGTCAAGGCTGCAGTGAGCCTTGATTGCACCACTGCACTCCAGCCTGGGTGATGGAGCAAGATCCTGTTTCAAAAAAAAAAAAAAAAAATAGGAAAAGGAAAAGGAAAGAAAGAAAGAAAGAAATTCTCTTAAAATTTTTTTAAAATTATAAATATTAAAATAAGAAGGCAAATAGACTAAGAAAAAATCAGTAAAAGCGACAAATTGTCATGTTTATATTATCTTTACAATATAAAACGTCAGTTCAAGTCAATTTTTAAATGATATTGAAATATTACTGAAATAAATTATATAAAGAACTCTCACACATAGACAAGAAAATAATAAGACCTTAATGGATAATTAGGCAAAGGACAAAACACAGACAATTCAAACAAGAAGAAATGCATTTAATAAACAGGTCTATGGAAAAACATTAACATCACTATTAATCAAAGACATGCAAATTAAAGCAACAATGGAGCACCATTTTCCAGCTGTAAAATTAACAAACATTCTTTTCCACTAAAAATACTCAGTGCTGGTGAGGTTATAATGAAGCTGTACAGGCATGTATTTCTGATAGCAGTGTAGAGGAATATAGATATTTTAAGCCATAAAAGTGTAATTCACTTTTTGTTAAAATAGTTCAAAAAAAAAAAACTGGAAGCACAAAGGTGTTTACAGTACTGTTGTATTTTTTAGTAACAAATCCCTGATCTGTTGCTTCCTCACCTTGAGGCCACGTCAGTGTTACTCGCCTGTGCGTGCCTATCACTGGCATGTCCTCGACTGCTGGCAAGGACCTGCCACATGGTAGGGCCTTAATAATTATTTGTTGAATGAATGAATGAATCAATCAAATGAATCCATCTTAAACAGTACCAGATTGCCATAGTATGGTTCTTGATGAAATGTGAACCTATTAATTTGCTAATTATGAAAATTATGTTGCAACTTGGAAAATGCTTCAGGGTAGTAGAGCAAAGTGAGGGAAAACAGAATACATAATTGTACATATATTATGATTGTAACTAGATAGCAGTTGTCGGCACATGGACAAACCCTGGAAGATAATATGTAAATTTAATAATGTTTTTGTTGGAATCATGACATTATGGATGTTTCAGACTTTTTCTTTTTTTAAAGCATATTAATTTTTCTCTTTTTACAATTATAAAAAAAAGGCAGAGGAAAAATTTCACTGGCTTTAGAGTCAGAATAGTTGAGTATCAGTCCTGGCTCTACTATTTAATAGCTTTGTGACCTTGGACAAATTACTGGAACTCTGTGAGCCTCAGTTTCTTCATCTATTAAATGGGAACTATAATAGCTACCTCTCAGAGCTGTTGTGAGGTATAAATGACCTAATGCATGTGAAAGGATTTTATAAGCAATAAAGTGCTATATAAATGTAAGACACCATTATTATTAAAGTAGCCACTTTTTACACACTTGATCTTAGCCAAAAGGCCGAGAAGTGACAGTAGCCACTGTTTCTTAAGAAAAATAAGCTTTTTATTTCTTCTAAATCGTTTATGTTTGGTAATTTACATACAATGCAAAAATAATTTTAAAGTCATTGAAACACACACAGTGAAAACTGCGTTTCACAAGCTGATACTAAACAGGCCCTAAACACAGTCCACCAGGCAGCAGTGGACTTCCAACTGGGTAACAGAAAGGATCTAGAGATTCTGGGAATGAATGGGAAATGCGCCCAAAGTGAAAAAGTTTCCCTGGGTAATTAAGTCATAGAAAATCTATCACCAACTGTATTAGTCCGTTCTCACACTGCTATAAAGAACTGCCCGAGGCTGGGTAATTTATAAAGGAAAGTTCCCTCAGGAAACTTACAATCATGGGAGAAGGGGAAGCAAACATGTCCTTCTTCATATGATGGCAGGATGGAGAAGTGCCAAGCAAAGAGGGAAAAGCCCCTTATAAAACCATCAGATCTCACGTGAACTCACTCACTGTCTCGCAAGAACAGCAGCGTAGGGATAACCTCCCCTCATGATTTAATTACTTTTCACTGGGTCCCTCCCACGACATGTGGGGATTATGCGAACTACAATTCAAGATGAGATTTGGGTGAGGACACAGTCAAACCATATCACCAACTTTTAAATGTTAATTATTTTATTATTTCAAAACTCAAAAATATATAAAGGGAAAAAGAGAAGAAAGCCACCCTCCCATTCCTGTCCCTAATCACTTAGTGCCCTTTCTCCCAAATGGCTACTATTATTTGTCCTATATGTGTCCTTCTAGGATTTATTATGTGTCCTTCTAGGATACTTTATGCACATGTAGACAAACATAAATGCGTTATTTTTCCTGTTAAAAAAATTAACAATACATCTTGGTGCTATTTACCTACTAGTACATAAAC